>NC_000012.12:8334650-8959650 GCF_000001405.40 Homo sapiens | reverse complement strand
TTCTTGCCTGCTGCCCTGAAAAAAACAATGAGAACAGCAGGTGTTGCAGCAAAGAGTTTAATAATTGCAGGGCCAGCCAAGTGAGGAGAACGACAGACACTTTTCAAACTCATCCCCCCAAGAGTTCAGAGGCTAGAGTTTTTTAACTACTACTTTGGCAGGCAGGGGGCTGGAGAACTGAAACAACGGATTGGCTGGGGATGAAATTGCAGGGGTGTCTAAAACCATTTTCACACAGCCAGGTCATTTCCTGGGAAGCGGTCTCAGGACGAAGTGGCATCTCTTGGTCTCCTGAAATGCTAAATCTGAAAAATGTCTCAAAGACCAGTTCTTCAGGTTTTACAATAGTAATATTACCTACAGGAGAAGTTGGAGAAGCTCTAAATCTTGCGACCCCAGATACAAGACTCTGGGGCAGTAAGCAACTTATATAACAAAAACAAGCTAAGTAATGGCGGGTCATTGTTCAACTATGTCTATTCTTCAGCAAAGTTCAAGCCCCTACCATAATTTTAACTTTGTTTTATGAATGTGGTTTTAACTGTAAACTAAATTCCTCTTATAGTTATCTTGGCCCCCACATTAGAATGGACAAAAAAACAATTTAACTTGAGAGGTTGGAAGCAAGATGGAGTCAACCATATTAGACTTCTCTCATTACTTATAGTTCTGCAAAGGTGGTTTCATATTCATGAATTATAAGACTCAACATTAAGATGTCAATTTTCCCCAAATTTATCTACAGATTCATATCAACCCCAATTGTAACCCCAGCAGGATTTTTTTTTTTTTTTGATACAGGGTATCACTCTGTTGTCCAGGCTGGAGTGCAGTGGTGCAACCACGGCTCTCTGAAGCCTTGACCTCCTGGGCTCAAGCGATCCTCCCACTTTAGCCTCCCAAGTAGCTGGGACCATAGGCACAAGCCACCACGCTCAGCTAATTCTTAGGTTTTTTTGTAGAGACAGAGTCTCACCATGTTGCCCAAGCTGGTTTGAAATCCTGAGCCCAAGTGATCCTCCCATCTCAGCCTCCCAAAGTGCTGAGATTACACACGTGAGCCACTATGCCTTGCCCCAGCAGGATTTTTTAACAGAAATTGACAGGTTGCTTTTAAAGTGTATATGGAAATGCAAAGGACCTAGAATAGCCAAAACAATCTTGAAAAGAGAAGAAAGACTTATAATACCTTTCTTCAAGACTTAATATAAAACTAGAAGAATCAGGAGTGTGTTATTAGCTTAATAATAAAGATATCAACTAAACAGAATTAAGTCCAGAAACAGAACTACATTTATACAATCAACTGATTCTCAACAAAGCTCTGACGCAATTAAGAGAGGAAAAATAGTCAAACAATGTTATAGGAAGTCATTATATATCCATATGGGGAAAAAAAGGAACCTCAGTGCTACCTCAACTATACACAAAAATTAACTCAAAATAGATCACAGACCGGGCACACTGGTTCATGCTTGTAATCCCAACACTTTGGGAGGCCATGTTGGGAGAAGAGCTTGAGGCCAGGAGTTTGAGACCAGCCTGGGTACTATAGCAAGAGCCTGTCTCTAAAAAAATTTAAAAATAAATTACAGACATAAACATAAAACTATAAGGCTTCTTAGAAGAAAATACAGATAGAACCCAAACGCCCATCAAAAGGGAATGAATAAGATGAGAAATACGATAGTTCCCCACCCTTATCTGCAGGTGTGCTTTCTACAATTTCAGTTACCAGTAGTCAACCGAGGTCTGAAAATATCAGATGAAAAATTCCAGAAATAAACTACTCATAAGTTTTACATTGCATGCTGTTCTGAGTACTGTGATAAAATCTTGCACTGTCCTGCTCCATCCCACCTGGGACATAAATCACCCCTTCATCCAGTGGAAACACGCTGGGGACACTCCCTGCCCGTTAGTGTCCCTCTCAGTTATCAGATTGACTGCCACAGTACTGCAGTGCAAGTAACTCTTATTTTACTTAATAATGGCCACAAAGCGCAAGAGTAGTAATGCTGGCTATGCAGACATGCCAAAGAGAAGTGTAAAGTGCTTCCTTTAAATAAAAAGGTGAAGGTTCTTGACTTACTAAAAAAAAACAAAAAACAAAAAAACAAAACAAAACAAACAAACAAACAAAAAACAAAACAAGTATTCCGAGGTTGCTAACATCTATGGTAAGAATAAATCCTCTATCTGTTAAATTGTGAAGAAGGGAAAAGAATGTGTGCTAGTTTTGCTGTTGCAACTCAAACTGCAGAAGTTACTGCCATGGGCCACGGTAAGTGCTTCGTTAAGACAGAAAAGGCATTAAATTTGTGGGTGGAAGATATGAACAGAAACATATTCTCATTGAAGGCAACTGGGTTAGATGCTGTCTACAGCAGGGGCCTTGGAACATGTCCCCTGAGGAGAAGGGAGGGCTACTGTATTCATAAAATGTAATACTACCCCACCAAAACACAAAACAAAACCTACTACTGATACATACAAGTTCACAGATATTACAGTGAAAGAAATCAAACAAATGCAAAAGGAACATGCTATTGACACAGGATTTTTTGGTGGTGTTCCACAGCCAGAGACCTCCACGGCCGGGGGGGCCCTGCTCAAGATCAAGATTCACTCGTGACCACTGGGCTGGCTCCACCCACTGGGCTTGGCAGGCTGTGCTTGGCTCTTGGCTAGCGGTACTGGCCCAGATCTCACACCCACCAAGGGCAAGCCAGGTATGCTAGCTGCTACAGCAGGGCATCACCTCCAGGCACCAGCTTCATGTGAAGCTGTGGCTGGATCAGGTATACTGCAAGCAGCTTCTGCCTTGGGCACTGGCATATGAACGAAGGGAACGCAGTGGCGTCCAAAAAACTCAAAAGACACCAGCAACTGCGGAACTTCAAAGGTCAGGTGCAGTGGCTCATGCCGGTAATCCCCACACTTTGGGAGCCTGAGGTGGGAGAATTACGTGAGGTCAGGAGTTCGAGACCAGCCGGGCCAACGTGGCGAAACCCCATCTCTACTAAAAATACAACAAATTAGCCGGAAGTCGTGGCAGGCACCTGTAATCTCAGTTACTCAGGAGGCTGAGGCAGGAGAATCACTTGAACCTGGGAGGCAGTAAGTTGCAGTGAGCCAAGATCACACCACTGCACTCCAGTCTGGGTGATAGAGTGAGACTCTGTCTCAAAAGAAAAAGAAAAAAAAATGCGGTGGGGGGTGTTACAGCATGTTACAGCTCTGGCTTGGGGAATCCCGAGGTCTGCACCCCGAAGAGTCTCAGCTCGTTTGTGTTACAGTTCATTCATTCCTGCTGTCCACAAGCTTTGCCGAACGGGGGCATGTCCCAACTTGTTCAGTCCCACCAGCCCACGGCTCCTGGGCTGGCCTGGCGCCACCACCACTTCCCATAACGTGGGGTGGCCGCCTGGTGCCAGGAGAGGGCAGGAGGGCTACAGCCTTTCACCTGCTGTTCTTTTGCACCCGCTGTTCGGCAGGTCCCGAGTTCTTGTCCTGCGTCCAAGAAGAATGAGGTTACACTGACAATTGCAGAGTAACCAAGGCAGAGAGGACGTTTATTCAGCAACAGAACAGCTCCCAGCAGAGAGGGGACCCAAAGGTGGTAGTCCCACTGTGTAGCTGAGTCCGGGAGTTTTTATGGGCTCAGAATGGGGGAGTGTGTGCTGATTGGTCCATAGGCAGCCTGGAAAAAGCACCATTTGATTGGCTAAAAGGCATTGCGGGAGTTCTCACTTGGGTCTTAGATTCTACCCAGAACTGGCAGGTGAGTTTTCAGGCTTCCGGCGGTCTTTGACTCGAAGGTTGGTTTTCACCAGGGACCCGCCCGTATCTACCTAGGAATTTGTCTGCTTCCCACCACTATCAGTATCTGTCCATTTATACTAAGTTCTAAAATAGGCAAAATTAATCTATAATTTAAAAAAAAGAAAAATTCAAAAGACCAGGCTTGATGGCTCATGCCTGTAATCTCAGCACTTCGGGAGGCTGAGGTGGAAAGATTACTCAAACCCAGGAATTCAAGACCAGCTCGGGGAAAATAAGGAAACCTCATCTCTACAAAAAATAAAAAAAAATTATCCTAGCATGGTAGCACACTCCTGTGGTCCCACCTACTCCACAGGCTAGCTGGGAGGATCATTTGAGCCTGGGAGGTCGAAGCTGCAGTGAGCCATGTTTGCACCATCGCACTCCAGCCTGAGTGATAGAGACTCTATCTCAAAAAAAAAAAAAAAAAAAAAAAAAAAAAAAAAAAAATCAGAGCAATAGTTGCCTCTAGGACTAGGAGAAGATGACTGGATAGGAGCATGAGGAAATTTTCTTGGATGATGAAAATCTTCTAAATTTTTTGATTACAGATAACAGTTATGATGCATTTGTCAAAATAAATTGAATTGTATCCTTAAGAGTTGTATATTTCGGCCAGGTGCAGTGGCTCACGCCTGTAATCCCAGCACTTTGGGAGGCCGAGGTGGGCGGCACAAGGTCAGGAGTTCGAGACCAGCCTGGCCAACATGGTGAAACCCCATCTCTACTAAAAATATAAAAATTAGCCAGACATGATGGCAGGCGCCTGTAGTTCCAGCTACTCGGGAGGCTGAGGCAGAAGAATAGCTTGAACCCAGAAGGCAGAGGTTGCAGTGAGCCAAGATCGCACCATTGCACTCCAGCCTGGGCAAGAGATCGAGACTCCGCCTCAAAAAAAAAAGAAAAAAAAGAGTTGTACATTTCATGACTTATATATTTTGCCTTAACAAGAGAAACCAGAACTTTAAACAAATATGGAACTCTTACTAGTAGGCTTGCTTCACACATCGTATGGCTTATCAGTTAAAAAATCACTTCCTGTGTTTTCTTATATGTGAATAAATGTATACATACAATGAATATAATGGGAACTTGGTTCACTCTTGGAAATAAACAATTTCCTAGCTCTGTCTGCTGACACTGAAGCAGTGACACACAAGTAGCAACAAACACAACTCGTAATCACATCTTGGTTTTTCAATACCATTTTCCACTAAAAGAACCAAGACCCCTTGGTGAAATGACTGATTCTAGGATAAGGGTAAGAGAACCACAAAACTTTTTAAAAATATACATTTGAGGCATACAAGATATTTTGATTGATACACATATACATAGTGAAGTGATTACTTCAGTCAAGCAAATTAACATATTCATCATCTCATGTAGTTATTTTTTTTTTGGTGGTAAGAGTACCTAAAATCTACTCTCCTGGCAAAGTACCAGTATACAATACAATATTAACTATAGTCCTTATGTTACACACTAGAACATTAGAATCTAACCGCAACTTCGTACCTTTTGACCTACATCTTCCCATTTCCCCTACCCCGCCCCTGGTAACCATCTTCCTACACTGTTTCTATGGTGATTTTTTTCAAGACTCCACATACAACCGATATCATATCATATTTTTCTTTCTGTGTGTGTCTTATTTCACTCAGCATGATGTCCTCCAGGTCCATTCATGCTGAATGCTACAAGATAAAATCGGAACATCTTATGTGCCTGAAAGTAAAGAATTCCTCAAAAAATCATATGGACATGTCAAAAGGATAAAGGAGGCACCACTAAAAGGCTCCCACTGGCTGCTCAACAGAGGCCCACACCCTCCCGCAACTTCTCGGCCTCATCAGTGGGTGGACTGCATGTTCCTGTGGTAGGAAACACACCCTCCCCTCAGAGATCTGAATCTCTAATCTTGCAGGTGGGGAAGGGAGCATTTCCTTTAACTTAAGTAACTCCTTTATTAACTCTTCTTCAGCCCTAGAAGTAACAGCTCCTTTTCGTAGCTGCTTCTTCTGTATCATAGAGTCCTCTTTTAGTAACTGATCATCTTTTACTAGAAAATAATTCTTTAAATTTTTCCTGTTAAAATCGCCAATATGATATCTGTTTCTGAATGGACCCTGATTGATATAAAAACGTATCACTTCCCTTGCATTTCTATCCAAAAAAAATGCAAACTTAAATATAATCATGAGGAAATGATAGCCGCAGGAGGCAGACAAATGCCTAGGCAGATCCCCAGTGAAACCCCATCTCCAAGCTGAAGACAGTTTAAAGCCTGAAAGCCAAGCTACAAGTCAAATCCATGGACCGGATTAAAAACCTGTCTTCCCATTTGGCACATTTTTCTTTGATTGATCCCCACCTTTCACCCATTTTATATACACCTACCCTTTCCTAATTGGTTTTCTACACTGTCGTGCCCACCTTTGAGTGGTGTCTTCACTTTAACTGTTTTTGCATACTCACAAACCAATCAGCACACACTTTCCATTCTGAATCCATAAATGCCCAGACCTAGCCACATTGGGTGAGAAACCACCTGACTGCAGGGGTGGGGGACCACCTCCACCTACCACATCCCCTCTCCGCTGAGAGCTGTTCCATCGCTCAATAAAATTCTTCTCCATCCTTCTCATCCTTCAAATTGTCAGCATATCCTCATTCTTCTTGGATGTGGGACAAGAGTTCAGGAACCACCGAATGCAGATACAAACTATAACACAGGCAGCAGGTCAAGTGAGGCCTGGGGGTTTTGCGGGGGGGGGGTGTCACTAGCTATGGACGGGTCCCTGGTTGGCAAAGTGACCGAGAAAAATCCTACATCAGATATATCAAACAAAACCAAAATGAAAGACATTCTACAAAACAAGTGGCCAGTACCTATCAAAATTTCAAAGTCAAGTAAGATCAATGACAACTAATTACAATGTGTGACTCTGGCTTGGCTCCTGTGATTGTTGGGAAATCGGAAGTAACTATACATAGCATCTATTGAAACGTGATAAAATTTTGAATACAGACTATGGATTTGGTAATATTGTATTAATACTGTAGTTCCTGATTTTGATGAGAGGATGTCCTTGTTTCTAGGAAATACACACTGATATATTTAATGGTAATGGAAGTTTACTCTCAACCTGTTCAAAATAAACTAATGTATATGGAGGGGAAAAAGATGAATTTAGGTAAAATGTGTACCAGAGTTCTTTGTATTATCCTTGCATCTTCTCTATAAATGATAAATATATTAAAATTGAAAGTTACCAAAAACTATATTTAGTCCTTGAAATATGGAAAACATGATCATTTTGAAAAGCATCTGAGCCGGGCTCAGTGGCTCACACCTGTAATCCCAGCATTTTGGGAGGCTGAGGCAGGCAGATTATTTGAGTTTAGGAGTTCAAGACAAGCCTGGGCAAAAATGTGAGACCCTGTCTCTACAAAAAATACAAAGATTAGCTGGGCATGGTGGCTTGCGCCTGTGGTCCCAGCTACTTGGGAAGCTGAGGTTCTAGGACTGTTAATTACCTTCCTCTCTTATGATTATACAGAACAGGAGGCATCCTTCCCATTTGATTTCAGACCAACAATCCTAGAACTGCTTTCTAAACAAGGTGAACAATTTACCTTGTGTGAGAGAAGGCAGTGTGGGTGTAGGTTTATTGTGGGGAGTGTGCTTGTTAATAATGAGGCTAAGAAAGGAGGCAGGCCAGAAATGCAAACAAACAAACAAAAAAAAATTCTGCTCATTTCAATTTTTGCCCCAGCAAGAACCTTGAGCTCAGTTCTCAGAGGTGAGAATTCTAACACAGAAAGCACCCAGAAAGGGCACTGAGGTCTGAGAAGCAAGGAAGTGACCCAGGTTGTTTGCCTCTGGTCGGAAAGGGAAACTACCCCTGCTTCCACTCTGACAGCAGACAAGTTAATCAACCTACTCAATTGCATTTTTGGCCCATTCCCCATTTCCAACATGAACAGTTCCTCCCCTCCAGCCCAATGCCACTCTAGGCAGTCACCAAGAGGTAAGATTTCTGAAATCAAAACTTGAATTAACCAACAAAGGAACATCAATTCTAGAACGGATTGTAACAGGGATTTTTGTCTTTTTTCTCTGCTGTATCCCCAAGATCTATATTATATATTCTGTGGTTTTGGCACATAGTAATTGCTCAGTAAAGCTGTGTTGAGTTACTTGATAAAAAATAAGTCAGTAGAAATAACTTAAATGCTCAACATTAATGTCATTGGTTAAGTAGCAATGCATAGAACTAAATATTATGCTATTAAAAAGTTTATTTGTAAAGTCAAGGATATGGAAAAATATTTGATACATACATATCTTTTTGAGATAGGTTCTCACTCTATCACCAAGGCTGGAGGGTAGTGGCAAGACCATAGCTCACTGCAGCCTCCAACTCCCAGGCTCAAGCAATCTTCCAGCCTCAGGCTCCCAAGCAGCTGGGACTACAGGTGTGCACCACCAAGCCCAGCTGATTTTTTTTTTTGAAAGAAGGGGTCTCACTATGTTGCCCAGGCTAGTCTTGAATTCCTGACCTCAAGTGATCCTTCTGCCCCGGAATCCCAAAGTGCTGGGATTACGGGCATGAGCCACAGTGTGGGACTGATACATTTTTGAAAAAAGGAAACAACATATATTCATGAAGGAAATACACACCCTCCTGGTGAGTTTATGTATGATTTTTGTTTTGTTGTTTTCTGTGTTATCTGATCACAAATTACTTTCATTTTCAGGAAGAAAAAAATTTAATTTTTTTTTTTATTGGGGCAACATCCAACCCAGATATGATTACTACCTAGCCTGAACTGAATGTATTACTAATAAACAAAGAAATGCAGAATGGCATACAGTCGGTAAAGCGTAGTGCTTGAGAGCATGGATTATGGAGACTATTTAAATACTGGCTCCATAACTTAATAGCTTGGGACCCACGGTGTTACTTAGCTTCTATCTGCTTTAATTTACTCATCTGTAAACTTGGGATAAGATACTTCCTCATAAGGTTGGTGTGAAGACCAAGTGAATTAACTATCGTTTAAAGCACTTACAAAAGTGCCGGGCACCACCGAGATATGCATCCGTTAGCTTTTATTATTATTAGACTCAAAACACTGTAGTAGTTCTAATGAGAGGGGTAAGAATCAAAAATCCAGGCACCTGCATAGAGCCAGAGAGGCACACATAGAAGCAACGTAAGAGTGGAAGCGGAATGAAAACATGCTAAAGCCAGGTACAAGCCACAAGCGAGGGTCCACAGGAAGAAATTGTTAATTCTGAAGAGAGTGAATGCACGAAGTTACAGGAAAAATAACATCTGAACAGAGTTTAAGAATGAGCAGGACTTCAACAAGTGGCTAGTAAGACATAAGGAACCTACAAAAGATCTTAGCAAAGGCGCAAAGATTACCATCGTATTGCTCGTTTCTTCCTACTTTGCAGAAGTAACCTCTGGCGAACAGAGGTGGTTGCAGAGCATGCTTATCAAGCAAAATACCACGAAGCAGTAAGGAACGACAGAGATAACAGTAACAATAATAATTCACCCCAAGGTACTCAACTGGAAAAAGGAAATACAGAGGAGAGGTGTCGTTAAGAAAGCCAGGACGCACATCACGGCCCCGTCGCTGCACTACTCTCGTCTAGGGGTCAACAGTGGAGTCGAGACTCGAAGCTTCCACGCGGCGGAACAGCGTCCCTCTCAGGCGGCGAACGGGCTAGGGAAGCGCCCGGAGGAGACCTAGCGTGAGAACTACAACTCCCGCGGAGCCCGAGGGCGAGCTGCCTGCGTAACTTCCGCTTCCGCCACCTGCCCCTCTCACCCTCTTCACTCGAACCCTACCCGGGAGCGGTCAGGCGCGTGACCCCGCGTGACCGGGGTGCGCGAGCCGAGAGGCCCTGGAAGCGGGACTCTGGGACCCCATTGAAAGAAAGGCAACCAGAAAAGGCGAAACGACAACCTCGATAGTGATTGGAGCTGATGGAACGAGGGCGGAGCTAAAGTCCCAGAATACTGGCCAATCAGAGTTTAAGATTATCAGGGAGCCCGGGAAGGGGAAAGGGGCGAAATGGTTCTATGGTCACATGCCGCGGGGTCTGGTGGGAGGAGCGGTTGCCCAGCGGCCTCTTGGCGCTTCCTGTTTCCGGTTCCCAGAGTGGGGCACAGCGAGGCGCTAGGGGGAACGCTGGCCTCTGAAACTAGCTCTGGGACCGGGGTCTGCGGCCGGCCCCTAGCTGGCCCCGTCTCCCATCCCCAGAAGGGTATTCACTGGGGATTCTGAGCTTTGGCTACTCCAGTTTCCCACGACACGTGAGTGTGAGGGGCGTGGAGGAGGAGGCGGGCTGGGTTGCGCTCACACTTAAGCGTCTGTGACAGGAGCCGGAATCGCATTCTCCCTTGACCATGGTTCTAGCCAAAGATCTGGCTGAGGAGCCCTAAGGGTAGAATGGAGGCGGAGGCATGAGAGCGGAGAGTCACGGAGTTCCGAAAGGTGTGAGGGAGAAAGGACTTCCAAGACCAGAGAGGGGATTTACGATATTTAGAAAGCAGGGAAAGGAAAATACCCCAAGTATGGAGTCCGTTGGAGGTGTTGGTGGATTTATTTGTAGGAGGAATTTTGGCCTGCATCACGGTGGGAGGTCAAGTGGCATCATTTGGAGAGGGTATGGCTACAAGCGCTTGGAAAGTCGGGACACTAGACAGAGCGAGAATTTCTGGCACCCTGGGAGAGCTTTGAGGGGGATGCGACTGTGGTGTGGATAAGAATGGCTGATGGACGGATTATCTTGTGTTCCTCGTTGTGGGGAGCTTCCGCTCTTGGGACATAGCCGCTACTTGTCTGAGGCTCCTTCTCTCTTGAGTTCTTTCAGCATTAGGCCTTTTAGCCAATTGAGGCTGCTTTTCTAAACATGTAGGCTGCTGGAGAAAAAGGGATAAGGACTGCTACATCAGAAAGGAGCCAGCGGGAAGACAGTAGAAATTCCACTGGTAAATGGCCATGGCTGTCTTAACAGATGGGGAAGTGAGTGCTACAGAGGCCCAGTGGTGTAAGCTGCTTCCCAGTTGCTGGCTTAGTCATTGGCCACCCTAATAAAGGATAATTTTTAGCATTGCCAAATAAAATAGATCTGTCGTTAGAGAATAAGAAAACTGAAAGATTTTTCAAGATCATAAAATCCTGCTCCTTATTTCCAAAGTATATAGACAAACTCTTGTACCTTGAGAATCTAATTGTAGCATATTAAAAGGGGGCTACTGGGCCCTTCCATTTCATTCTCTTCCTGATTGTTGCACCCCTATGTTTATAAGTTTTCCAGCAGTTATCTTTATGCCACGAATCGTCTAAATTGCCCCAGTAACTTCACACACATTTAATATCTGTGTAATGTACAGCAAGTAATTTAACAAGTAATTCTGTAAAGCATCAGTTTTCTCATCTGTGAAGTATGAAAAATTATACCTATTTTCTGGGTTGTGAAGATGAATGAACATAATCTAGGGAAAACATTTAGCGCATATGCCACTGAATTAAAGAGAAGCAGCTTAAATTTAAAGACAAGCCTTAAGCAGGAAAGAAGAATACAGTATAAATTTATTATCCTAACTTTTTGAATAATAAGCAAATGAAAGATAGTTCAACTCAGCTAATGGCTGAGGTGTTTAACCTTTCATCCCTTCCTAATTTTGTGAGATTCCTTGTTCTAATTTAGGAAAAGAAATCAACTGTCAGTTTTTAATTAGGTCCTGAGAGACTGGAAAGGAAAATGGCAGGCTAAGTCAGTCTAGAAGAAGGAGTCTCCTATTTCTTTTTAGTGAGTCAGCTGGTCAAGTTGTGTGTTGAGCAGTGGGTTAACTTAGGGAAGGTGGGAGTTGGAGGTCTGAGTTCTTTATTTCACCTCCTATTCAGTCAACTGTGTGAGGAATCACTTCCCCTTCACTTCTTAGTAGAAAAAAAAAAAAACCCACAGTTTTGGCTGTCTACTCTCATCTCCAAAAAATTGTTATGCACATAGTGGAAATATACATGTAGTTGTTCAACACAGACCATGAGCTCTGGAGCTAGACTCTCTGGCTCACTCCACTAGCTGTGTCTCAGTTTTCTTACTGGTAAAATAGCAACAATAATTGTATTTACTCATAAGGTTGTGAGGATTAATTAGTTAATTAATATATGTTAAGTGCTTTGAACAGCACCTGGCCCAAGGCAGTAGTCTGTTGTTTCCTGCTGTTGTGTGGTTTCAGTGCATTAAATGTGTTATGAGGGCCTTGGACCTCTTGGTTAGCTATGATTATTCTATGGAAACTACCATAATATTACAGTAGAGAATTGATGTTTGGGGTACAGGAAGTCAGGTAGACAATTTCCCGGGATTTTTTGCTTTAGTGGGGTGTGGGAAGTGGAAGGTCAGATGTTAGGTTGTTTAGGGGAATGGGGAAAGTGCATTCACGGCCAAGGTTGGAGCTTCCATTTTCCCATCTTCAAACTCATTAGTACCCATGAAAATTCTGCCTGTTTCAAGTTTTATATTTTAAAAATGAGGTGGAGTAAGTGGACCCGCATGAAAAAGAACTAGAGAACTTTAAAGAATATTCAAACCAAAGTCCAGACTTGCAGCGTTTTTTGTAAGTGAGAAAAGTTTAGAAGAGTTAAATCAGGAAATTGTCCGTGATACTCTTGGAATAAACAAGTAGCAATGGCCTGAGGGATCATTAACAGATACCAGAGTAAAGTGTTTTGCAAGGGTAAGTCAGTCTGTCCTGGGTATGAAGATGGATAAGAGAAAAGAAAATGTTAGGTTTTGGTGGGGTTTTTTTGCCAAAACCACAATGACCTTTGCACCAGTCTAGTAAGTTTGGGAAAGAGAGCTGTCTGTGTGTTTTCATTCCTAGAGCAGTACAAGCAGCAGGTGCATTGAATTTACTCAATTGTAAAGTGGCTTGGTGATCCCCAATTTGTTGTCATTGATTTGTAGTGTAAAAGACAACTGTACTTATGGGAAGTCTAGAAACCCTTGAGATTTGTGACCTGTAGAGGCCAAAGAGGTTTCAGAAGACTACATCAAGCCATCAAACAGTAAAGAGGCAAGGATGGCTCCACCCAAGCTGTCATCATTCTTTTTTAAGTTCTTTCATTTCCCTCTTCCCAACTTTGTAGTTTGTTCTGAAAGACTCACCTATACATTAGACTACAAGTTACATATAAATGAATTTTCTGCTGCAGATGCTCTTGTTACAGAGATATTAAAATGTACTATGTGTTGCATATGCCAGAGAATCTTGTACTTTCTGGATAATTAAAATACCATCGATTTATTACACATTCATACGCTTTATCTCTTTCCTCTCTCTCCTGATCCTACCTGCCCTCCCCAACACACACTCTCTCCCAAAGGATGTTCCCTTTCTACAGCTGCTGGAGGACTGGACTGCTACTACTACTCCTGGCTGTGGCAGTGAGAGAATCCTGGCAGACAGAAGAAAAAACTTGCGACTTGGTAGGAGAAAAGGGTAAAGAGTCAGAGAAAGAGTTGGCTCTAGTGAAGAGGCTGAAACCACTGTTTAATAAAAGGTAAATGAGAAGAACCTTAAAGAGCTTGAGAAAATATTTATGTTAAAGTCTTTTCTTCTTACTGATTTTATTTCATAATGTGCTCTCTTTTATGACATAGAGCAAATTCTCAGCCCAGTTTTTAGTTGCTGTGTGCAGTTTTCTCATCTTTCACAGAAGTGTAGCTATTTCCAAGACTGGATCCAAGAGACCAGCTTGTAGAAATTTAAGGATTATTTGACACCTACATATAATAGGACTTTAGAAATATCAGATAAACATATTTAGGCCGACACATGTCATTATAAGTGTCAGGAACCTTCAGATATATAAATCTGAAGTTGGTCCCTAAGAAACGAGACTATCCGATGAACATGGGCCCTTATTCATTGGAACATGGTTACTAACAGGCATTCTAAAAATAACTAGAATATTGAGCTATCAAGATAGCTCAAGTGTGTTTTAATAATTCATCATCAGCAATAAGGATGGTCTGTCAAGGTTATGAATATCTTAAAATTAAACAAATATTCACTCAGCCATGACCTCAAATAAATAAATCGAGCATGTTGTTTGTTTTGTTTTAATTAAGGAAAGGGATGCTGTTATTCCTGAGGCTGATAGCTAGTAACTCTCCTCTTCTTTCTTCCCACTTCTCTTTACAGCTTTGAGAGCACTGTGGGCCAGGGTTCAGACACATACATCTACATCTTCAGGGTGTGCCGGGAAGCTGGCAACCACACTTCTGGGGCAGGCCTGGTGCAAATCAACAAAAGTAATGGGAAGGAGACAGTGGTAGGGAGACTCAACGAGACTCACATCTTCAACGGAAGTAAGAAAACTCCCCTTCCTACCATCGATTGACTAACTGATCCCAAGTCAATCCCTCTGACAATCCTGTATGTCTTGGCCGTTTCTAGTGTCTTCAGCATATCATACGTGTGGTTCGGCACACCTGAGACTGTAATATACCACAGGATGCCTAATTCCACAGCTCCTCTGTAAGCCACAGCTCAGGACAGTTGTGCATTAAAATCAGTGAAAAACTTATGCAAAATGAAGACTCTAGCCAGAATTGTTTTGTTTTGTTTTGAGACGGAGTCTCTCTCTGTCACCCAGCCTGGAGTGCAGTGGCACAATCTCGGCTCACTGCAACCTCAGCCTCTTGGGTTCAAGCGATTCTCCAGCCTCAGCCTCCTGAGTAGCTGGGACTACAGGTGTGTGCCATCATGCCCAGCTAATTTTTGTATTTTTAGCAGAGACAGGGTTTCACAATGTTGGCCATGATGGTCTTGATCTTTGACCTCGTGATCTGCCCACCTTGGCCTCCCAAGGTGCTGGGATTACAGGCATGAACCACCGCGCCCAGCCAACTCTAGCCAGAATTCTGTAGCCTAGAGTCCTTTTATTCACCCAAATACTTTTAATGAGTTTCACACTAGACTTACAAATACCAACCACCACCACCACTTTTCATCAAATTAATCAAAGTTTACCAGTTAAATTTTAAGAGCTCAAACTTTTTTTTGCAAACTACTCAGTCTGCAAAACTTTACCCACTGATTTTTGTGCTATGGTGGTGATATTTCTTAAAAGTCATATTGCTGGAGAGGACCATGTAAGCACCTATGGTCCAATTCCCTCCCATACAGATAAATAAGTTATACAAGGTAGCTATTTACTCCTGGTAAATAATACAATAAAAAAGTAACAAAAGGGTTTGGGGCTGGGGATCATGTGACCAGGTTCTCCTCCTGTTTCCTAATCCTGTGACTGGAAAGTCGTATCACCTTTTGACCTTGTTTTCTCATATGCAAAACTAGGAGCAGAATCTTTACCTTATTCACCTCACAATTACTGAATCAAATGATATTTTGCAAAAGAACTGAACACAGTAAATACTAAAGAAGAGATATGCATTCCAATCTTAGATATCCACTCTGAATTTATCTGGGGCTAAGTTGAAATCTTAGATGGGCTTACCCCTGCTGCTCAGCAATTGTATGGAACCTCTTTTTTTGCTTTTAGAAGGTATTCAGAAAATGAATCAGTGTTAAGGTATGGATCATAATTGGTTTTGCATTGTCAGTTGCCTACCTTTAATGTTAAAAATTAAGATTATTCTTAAATGAATATCTGATTCTTGTCTTAAGGGAACACAAGTCTTTGTAAGCAAACAAGTTTAGCTTGGCATTTCTGGTATACCAAGTTCGTACTGATGAGGGTTGTTTAGTTATAACCAATTGCAATGAATTACGCAATTCCACTCTGCCATACCACCCAGATCTGCCTCTGCTTTTCCCCCACCCCATAGCTCCATTTTCCTTGTCCCTCCTCAGGTAATTGGATCATGCTGATCTATAAAGGGGGTGATGAATATGACAACCACTGTGGCAAGGAGCAGCGTCGTGCAGTGGTGATGATCTCCTGCAATCGACACACCCTAGCGGTGAGGCACCCTGTGTTGTATAAGCCGAGGGAGGAGACTGAAAGGACTGACCTGAGGTTGGGGAGAATATCCAGAGGGGACACGATACGTTGGGATGGACATTAGAAAACTAGGAGCTCAGTTTCTCTCTGTGTCAGACACGCATCTTCCATGGAAAATAGGCTGCTGAACCAGGAAGGAGCAGATGTTTTTTGGGTTTTTTATTTTGTTGGACAGGAGTCAAAACACTTAACCACCTGAATGTGTTATGCCATCTCATCATCAGGACAATTTTAACCCTGTGTCTGAGGAGCGTGGCAAAGTCCAAGATTGTTTCTACCTCTTTGAGATGGATAGCAGCCTGGCCTGTTCACCAGAGATCTCCCACCTCAGTGTGGGTTCCATCTTACTTGTCACGTGAGTATGCCTTCCTTTATCAGAACAGACCTTCCTTCCTTTTGTTTTTAAGGTCAGTAACTATATGGTGGTACATAAGCACAAATTGTATGTGTACATTATGCTGTAATTGATGGGGATAACTTTTTAAATCCTCTGGCTATAAAATAATTCTGCCAGGACACAGGGCTCACGCCTGTAATCCCAGCACTTTGGGAAGCCAAGGCAGATGGATCACCTAAGGTCAGGAGTTTGAGACCAACCTGACCAACATGATGAAACTCCGTCTCTACTAAAAATACAAAATTAGCCAGCACAGTGGCACATGCCTGTAATCCCAGCTACTTGGGAGGCTGAGGCAGTAGAATCACTTGAACCTGGGAGGTGGAGGTTGCAGTGAGCTGAGGTCGCACCACTGCACTCCAGCCTGGGCAACAAGGGCAAAACTCCGTCTAAAAAAAAAAAAAAAAAAAATTCTGACTGCAAGTTTTTGAAAAATGAGATTTAATGTTTAGTTGCCGGTATAGATTTGCATTTGGAGGTGCTTTTTTCCCCTACTGCAGGACTAGGCAATTTTTATATTATTTCATTAGATTATGAGAACTTCTAGAGAAATGGAATCATATACTTAATGGTGATTATTCTTGGCCATAGAATCACACGCTGTCACATTTTGTCTGGGCCTTTGCTTCTCTTGGACTGACAGCACTCTAACTGGTTTTCTAAGAGTTACCAGCCCCCTTTTTCATTTAGTATCACTACTCATTTTTCCTTTTCAGGGAATGTATCTTAGGAAACAGCTGACAATAAATGCAGAGGTTATCCTATCTGAGTTTTTACTATTTCCCAGTTCTTAAGTATAGATGTCTTTCTCTCTCTACAGGTTTGCATCACTGGTTGCTGTTTATGTTGTTGGGGGGTTCCTATACCAGCGACTGGTAGTGGGAGCCAAAGGAATGGAGCAGTTTCCCCACTTAGCCTTCTGGCAGGATCTTGGCAACCTGGTAGCAGTAAGTAACAGGGCAGCTGGTTGAATTTGTAGCCTGCAAACAAGGTTGGGTGACCAACCATCCTCGTTTGTTCACACTGAGGGGGTTCCTGGGACACAGGACATTGAGTGCTAAAACCACAAAAGTCCCAGCAAACAAGACAGTTGCCCTAGTACAGAGTAGTAAGTGGCACAGCATCCATTTCTGGCCTTGGTAAGACATTGCTGAAAGAGCAACACTGTTGACCAGATGGGCTCTTCTAAATCTGATTTAGCTTTTAAGAGGGCCTGGGTGGGAAGAAGGTGAGGCCTAATAAGAAGAAACTTTTTCTCCTGTTGCCCCAAATTGAATTTAGGCTGATTGTCAGATCTTTTAGGTTTTCTCATTATCCCTATAGAAAACCAATTCTTGCCACATTCCTAGACCATAAGTACACTTTCTCATATCCTAAAGTTAGATGCTGCGAATTATTTCCTTCTTTTTTTTCCCCCTACAGGATGGCTGTGACTTTGTCTGCCGTTCTAAACCTCGAAATGTGCCTGCAGCATATCGTGGTGTGGGGGATGACCAGCTGGGGGAGGAGTCAGAAGAAAGGGATGACCATTTATTACCAATGTAGATTGCACTTTATATGTCCAGCCTCTTCCTCAGTCCCCCAAACCAAAGCTACACAGCCAGATTTCTCAAGCAGTCTCAACTCCAGTCCCTCATCTCACCCTTACTATTGCTCTTGCTTTCCAGTTTGCTTTTGATTTGCATCTTCTCACTAGTAAAACTGCCTTCCCTTTGTTCCTTATTTTCTGTTTTTTCTCTAGAGAGGTACAGTTGTAAGTCAGAGTTAATATAATAGGGCCTGTGAAAACAGAGGCTTTTGCATTGTCTCTTGACATCAGAAGTTACAATAGGCATATGGGCAAAATGGTGTAGCAGGCTCACTGGCCGTTTGTTTTTTAAACACATTTTCACAAGTTTTTGAGACACTGGATTTCTTTAATTAAAAAAAAAATGCCAAGAAACATTATTTATACAGGGTTGATTGCTTTCATGTTGTTATTCTGTACCCTATAGTAGCCTCCATGAGAATCTGGTATTTCTTGCTGCTTGGAACTACTTTGCAGTGATTACTTGGTTGCAGTCCAAGTACTCTCGTTTAGTCTGAGCCTGGAGATGTTCTAGACTTGCTTCTCCCACCTCTGAGATTAGGACAGGAAAAATGTGAAATTTCCCAATTACAGGATTATACGGTACCATCACATCATTTGTGGAAATTGGGGTGACTGTATAGCTGGGATTGGGCTAAGGACTGTGGTCTTATCTGTCCACATACAGCCAAAATGCCTATCCAGAAATCCAGTTCGTTGGAAAGGAAAATTGGTACTCCTGTGCCACAGGGGTTCCAGAAAAGGGAAGTCACTTTACCTTGCGGTGGTGGGATCCTGATGTCTTTCATCCATTTGTAGTAAAAGCTGGTAAAGCTTTTCTTACTCCTGGTTCCCTACCAGTATTTCTAAACATGTCGCACTTTCTCCACAGGCATGTGGTTTTGACCTTTTTTTCAATCTTCTAGAAAGGGAACGGAAGCAGAAGTGGGACATCGAGGGCTCTGCTGTCCTCTGCGCTGGGTGTGGAATGCTGCTGCACCTGTCCCTTCTGCTGGCTCAGGGAAGTGTCTTCTTGCCCACATTTCTGTGGGGAAAGGTTTTTAATCCTCTGATGCTTCCATCTTCCTGTTTAGGCCATGTGCCCAGAAACCTGGACTGATCTTTCTTTAATAGTGAACCCCTGGGCCACTGAAGAGTAACATGGCTCCACTGGACACAAAAGAGGGATGGAATCAACAGGCAGGGGGCCTTTTATAAGCCTTAGGAAAAGAAAATGAAACTATTTCATCTTTGGACTTTTCAATACTATTGGAGTGATTTTTTTCTTTCTAAACAGGGAAAATAATGTTACAAAAGCATCTTTTTTGTTATTTGTTTGCATCCCTCCCCCACACCCTGGTGTTTTAAAATGAAGAAAAAAAACCATCACCTTTTGTACAAAAACTCTTAATGATTAAAAAACAAACAAAACATATTGGCCTTGTCATTTGTGTGAAAGTGGGCAAAGACTGGAATAGAGTAAGACAACTGAAACCAATTTTCATCCTTTTACTGAGGAAAAAAATATTTAATATTTTTGTTATATAAGGAATAGTGCCTAAGGCAGGTACTTATACTCCTGACCTCAGCCCCACACACTCTGGTTTTATAAAGCTATAGGACAGAGCAGAGATGGAACTGAAAAACAGGGTAGAAAATAACATAAATTGGAGGGGAACAGTGGGATGCAGAAAGAATGACAACAGCCACATGTGCCCCAGTCAAATACTTTTAGTCCCTGCAGCAGAAGATGCCAACCAAGTCTCTATACTGGCTGGGGATCCTGCCATGGATGCAGGAGAAAAAATTCAATCACAAGGGAGTAAGTGACAACAAAAAGAAAAAACTCTGAGCCACAGCTACACTGGGAGGGGGGAGGACCAGATTTTGCTACTTCTGTCACACAAGCTAGAAAAACCCTACCTCTCCCATTGGGCAGGCAACCTGACATTCCACCCAGTTCCTTGCCTTACCATACTATGTATTCCTCCTCTTGGAGAATTAAGACCTGGGCTAAATGCTCCACTCCAGGATAAGGCTGAGCAGTCCTAGTTCTCTAGACTGCCTCTTTTATAAAGATTGGATTAAGGTACGTGAAATGGTGAGAACTGTAAAGATTTTAAAAAATAAAGTAGAACCCAGAGAAAATGTCAAAGCTGCCGCCATGTAGCACCAGCAACCAATTCTTGCACTTCTCTTCCCTGTCTCAGTAATCCCCTACAGAAGGTTACATGATTGGAACAACTCTTTCTTCCCTGCAAAGTCTGCTGGTACCAGGTTATAACCTGGACAGTGGAGAGTGTCTGCCTTAGGCTGGTTTGTGCAAGAGGGCCACCTTAGGTCTCCTTGAGGACATTTATCTTGGCGCAGATCTTGAGGGCAGGGCCCAGCTTGATGTTCATGGCACTCATAAGATGTTCTTCTTTAAGTAATAAAAGGGCCTGTCCATCAATCTCCTGTGAGCGAAATTCCTCTGCAATCTCTTGGCAGCCTAGAAGAAATGGTGAGAACATGTAGGTAATGCCAGATGATAGGAGAAGGGAAGCTAAATGAAACTGAGGTCTAGCAATGATTAATTCCAAAGTACCTGTCCTAAATTCAGTAATATGAAGTCAGATGGCAAGCTTTAAAAGCAAAATGAAATTAGAAAGCAACTGGTATTTAAAAAATGGCCAGGTGCAGAGGCTCACGCCTATAATCCCAGCATTTTAGGAGACCAGGGCAGGCAGATCACTTGAGCTCAGGAGTTCAAGACCATCCTGGGCAACATGGCAAAACCTTGACTCTACAAAACATACAAAAATCAGCTGGGCATGGTGATGCATGCCTATAGTCCCAGCTACTCGGGAAGCTGAGGCAGGAGGATCATTTGAGCCCAGGATGCGGAGGTTGCAGTGTGCCAAAATTCATGCCACAGCACTCCAGCCTGGGCAACAGAGTAAGACTCTGTCTCAAAACAACAACAACAACAAAACCAAAGTCCAAGACCAAGAAAGGAAAAGCAACTAAATTGTTCAACCACAGAAATAACTTCATTCAAATAGCTTAGAGACAGGGGAAAGGGAGAGAACAGAAATAAAAGCATGTTTTCTTTTATACTGGCAAAAAGATTCTTTGTGATATTTTTGTTTAAGGGCCCAGAATTCAGACAAATAGCAAGAAGGGTAGGGTGATTTTCATTTCCGAAAAAAACTCTTTGTCAAAATTGCATATAGGCTGAGTGCAGTGGCTCACACCTATAATCCCAGCACTTTGGGAAGCCAAGGCAGAAGGATCTCTTGAGCCCAGGACTCCAAGACCAGCCTGGGCAACATAGGGAATCCCTGTCTCTGTTTAAAAAAAAAAAAAAAGAAGACTAGCAAACAAGCCCTCTTTGAAGAGTGGGGCAACAATGGCCACTTAGTTTCTAATACCCTGCTCCACTGAAAAAAAAAATTTTTTCCCCATGGGAGGTATCATAGTTAATTACACAAAAACATTTTATCCAAAAATTTAGTGAGAAATGCAGCTACATCATAAGATGAGAATCAAACACTGTAAAATTGCTGACATTACAGAAGATAATGTCAACCCAGAAAAAAATTAGGAAGTCAACTTGAATATTAGGAGTAGAGCCTCTATATTAGCATTCAAGCTCCTACTGCTTAAAAGTCAATTACTTTCCCTCTTATCAAGGCCCCTGTGGGATGATGTTAAGGAAAACAACCTGGGTTCTGTTGAAGAGAGGGTCAGTACCTTGGAGAGAAGCAATAAACTCGTACACCTCCTCTACACTCCAACGGCTGGGATTACTGGACAGGAACACAGGGTTGATGCCATGTAATTCCGGTGTAGGTGGAGCTGTATTGGGATTCCCCAGGTCACGTTCTCCATGCCCAGCTCTTACTGATAAAGGCCCAGGAGATGTTGGAGAGAGTGCTTCATCATAACTGGAATTATCTGAACCCCGGCTAGAGTCTTCTTGACCCTATAGGGGAAAAGAGCAAACCAATGAGGTCAGTGTCAAAGGTTTATTCCTCTCTCTTTCTTCCCAAACCACCCTGGGTTGGGCGTAGAAGAAAAACTCATCTTATCATATGTGAAATAAGCAGCACTTTATTTGCAAATTCCCAAAATCTACTCTCAAAGTCTTTCAAATAGAAACTGTATCACTTCCTTGATTCTCCCCATGACCTAACAATTGATCTAGATTTTCTCTCAAGTACAATTGAGAGAAATTGAGTACAATTGAGTACAATTAACAATTGTACTCAAGTACAGTGTAAGGATTAATGGAAACATGAACCAGTAGTTGGGTAAGAGGTCCGGAGACAAAGGGGGTCAGGATCTCTTGGAATTTGTAGTAATGCAATCAATGTGAAACCAGAGTTCTCATCTCACACCCTCTTACCTGGGCAAATGAATTGCCCTGCAGGGAAAGAAAAAAAGACCCAGTTTAAAGGCATCTGGCTCTACAACAAGCAGCTCACCCGGTGGCACTTGCCCTGAATCTTGGCACGGGCAATGTCAGAGGAGCTGCGGCGGGGTCCACGCCTGCGAACGCGAGCATAGTTGGCTTCTTGAAACTCTTTCATTTTTTTCCTCTTCAGCCGGAACTGATGGCTACAGCTCACATTGTACCTACAGGACAGGGCATATATAGGATGTCAATAGTGCCACAGAAGACCACCCTGCTCTAAATGTGAATTTCTGCTTATGAGCTGATTTGGGGAAGGGAATAAAAGCAAGGAGGGAGACATAAAATATCAGCTATGAGACGATCCTGGGGAAGGGGTGTAACATTAGATGGAGATACCAGTGCTGAGGGCAAGGAGGAGGGTGCCCAGAGTACCTCTTAGCGCAAGTCATGGAGCAGAACCTCTTAGAGCCACGAAACTGCTCTGCGGGGGCGTACTTCCCACAGTACTCGCACTTCAGGAGATTCGCCTTCTTATCTAACTCTAAAAAACAAGGTATTGCTGGACAGTCACCATGGGTTTCTGCTGCCCCTCAGGCAATCATTAGGCTCAGAGCTGGATTCTAAAATTATTCTCAGGGTTCACCCCCAAAAACCTACACAACCTAGTTGAGAATCCCTAAAACGCAAAGTTCAAAACCTAAAATCACGAAGACTTGTCCCTTGAGAACTTTATGACGTCTTCCTAACCTTAAGCCGAACTCTCTCCATTTTAGATGTCTTACTAATTTTATCCTAATTCATACTCTTAGATTTCAGATATGATTCAATTTCTGAGGAGAGAGGAACTACTAATGCCTAGAAAGATATAAGATCCTTCTACCACAAAGATTTCCAAAAGCAGTGGGAAAATCAGTAAGAGTCCTTAAGATAGATTATAAAATCTAGAATAAGGAGAACTGGAAATTAAAGATATAAATGTCCTATTTTAGATCATCTTTTGGAAAAAAAAATTTTTTTGAGACAGTCTCACTCTGTCACCCGGGCTGGAGTGCCGTGGTGCTATCTTGGATCGCTGCAACCTCCACCTCCCGGGCTCAAGCGATCCTCCCACTTTGGCCTCCCAAGTAGCTGGGACTACAAGCATGTGCCACAATGCCCAGTTAATTTTTATATTTTTTTGTAGAGACAAGGTTTCACTATGTTGCTCAGGCTGGTCTCAAACTCCTGAGCTCAAGAAATCCACCGGCCTTGGCCTCCCAAAGTACTGGAATTATAGGTGAGAGTCATCACACTCGGCCAAAAAATACATCTATAGAGTAAAGAATAATTCAAGGGCCAGGCGTGGTGGCTCACGCCTGTAATCCCAGCACTTTGGGAGGCCAAGGCGGGCGGATCACCTGAGGTCGGGAGTTGGCGACTACTAGCCTGACCAACATGCAGAAACCCCGTCTCTACTAAAAATACAAAAATTAGCCAGGCGTGGTGGCGCATGCCTGTAATCCCAGTTACTCGGGAGGCTGAGGCAGGAGAATCGCTTGAACCCAGGAGGCACTGGTTGCGGTGAGCCAAGATCCCACCATTGCACTCCAGCCTGGGCAACAAGAGCGAAACTCCGTCTCAAAAAAAAATAATAATAATAATTCAAAAGATTACTTTAGCTGGATAAATTCCCCTCACCTTATGTAATTCCTTTTCCGTGATTCTACATACTCTGATATATAATATGGTTTCTATATGTAGACAGACTTCATTTTATTCCTACTTTTTTTTGAGACAGAGTCTCGCTCTGTCGCCCAGGCTGGAGTGCGGTGGCGTGCAGCTCACTTCACTGCAACCTCCGCCTCCCAGGTTCAAGTGGTTCTCCCGCCTCAGCCTCCCGAGTAGCTGGGACTATAGACGCATGCTGCCACACCAGGCTAATTTTTGTATTTGTAGTAGAGACAGGGTTTCACTATGTTGGCCAGACTGGTCTCAAACTCCTGACCTCAGGTGATATGCCTGCCTTGGCCTCCCAAAGTGCTGGGATTACAGGCATGAGCCACTGTGCCAGGCCTCATTTCTACTTTAAATAAATAGGTAACTACTATTTTACACCGAGTCCTCAAACACATCTCCACGAGTCTCCTTCCCCCAAATGAGTCTCTAAATAAATGCTCACCAGCAGATGGGCTGTCCACTCCCAAAGGGCCACCTGACTGATTCTCAGTCAGCCCTGTCGGAAGGCCAGTCTGTAGTGGCTTCTCAGACTCCTTCAGTAACTGAGAACAACCCACCTGTCCCAGAAAACATTGAGAGTTAAGTTAGCCTGATCCCCTTCTGCTTCTCTATAGCTTTCCCCAACATTTCCCCATCAATTATGTCTCTGCTTGGATCTCTGAGTTAATGACCAAGTCTGGTTCAGAGAGAATCACTTTCAATACGGTAATCAAGAGTAGTAACTGGTCTCTATACAATGTTTGGAAATGAGAAAAAAAAAATAGTAACTGGCTTTTTTTCCAGATAAGCCATTGGAGAACAGGTTCCTACGCTGGCTCCCTATTTTGTCCTCTTCCTTCCTATGGTGCTGAGAATGCACTAGGAGTCAAGACACCTCAGTTCTAGTCCTGGTTCTGCAAACCCTAGGAAAGCTCCTTAACTTCATTACTATAATTTTATTCATTATAAAACAAACTAGTTTATCTAACTAAACATTACAGTTTTAAAGGTTACTTTCTTCCTTTTTTTCTCCTCTTCCTAACATTTTCATTTTATGGTCCACACACTCTTTTCCCTTTCCTTCTTTATAATTAAATAAATAGCGTAATTGAACCATTCTTTCATTAAATAGTTCTGTGCCTTTTACTTTTACTGGAGTTTGAAAAGACAACAATCAGACCAAGTCCCCACTTCAAAGTCCCACCTTATGGCCCTGCCCTCACCGGGAAAGGTTCTGCTCCTTCCTGGATAACAAAGCCTTCAATGATGTGGGTGAGAATCTGGGGCTTCACGATGGCCTGTGGGGGTTTTGAGTCACCCATTTGTCTAGACACCATGGCTAGTGTAGGAGGCGGTACTGAAGGGGCGGGGGTCAAGGCTACTAGTTCACTGCTTGGAGTATTAGCATTCACATTAGCCACTGATTCAGCTTTTTCTGGAAAACAAACACAGATTAAGCAACAGACATGAGATGACATATTGATCCATCTATTAGTTGAGCCAGCATGATCTTCCATAATAATCTATGTCCACCCTTGACAATTCACCTGGATTCCCTGTTTTTGGATCTATTCATTTGTCCACCAACTTCTGGCCCATTTTCTACTCAACCAGTTTTATCTTTTAGCTCACTCAGAACATTCCTCTACTCTGTGTGCTCTCCAACAGCATTAGAAGTCAGTTACTCACCTCCAAGACTGCTCTTCTCGTCCATGACTTTTGGGCTTTCTGCTACTGGAGATGCCTTGGCAGGAAGCATTGAACCCAATGTGGAGACATCATCTCTCTCCTCCTCAGAGTCAGCCTTGCGTTTGACAGCCAATGTCTGGGGTTTACCCTATACCGTAAAGAATAGGAAAGAAACAAAGATGTACAAATGAAGGATAATAAGGAACCACAATTATTACCATATGTTCAAAGAAAATTTTCTTAGTTCCAGATTTCCCAATTTATCTACTTCCCATGGTACACTAAAATTCCTGGTCATTCCTAGTAACTTTCCATCAGGACAAAAGAAAATGTAACATGATTTAGTCCTGACCTAGGTCTTGAGACCCTGTATTCACGTAGACCAACCAAGAACTGTTGTTTTTTCAAAGACTGATTTGGTTAAGGCTATCTTGATCTAACTTATTACATACCCAAAAACCCAGAATAGTATCAGCAACAAATTTAGGAGTATAAAGTTCAGATATTATATAATGTGTCACTCTCTTACAGAAGAAGCAGATAAATACCAATATTAACCCTCTTAACTCTTTATTCCCCTATTCAATTAAGCTCTATTTCCACTTAGCCCAGGTCCACTCTCATGCATAATAGTGCCCTCAAAACCATCAGACATCACTCACCGGCAAGTGCACAGACTGCATATAGAAGGCAGCAGGGACCTGGGCTACAACAGGTGAGGAGGTGGTAGCCCCACCCTTTACCACATGTGCTGTCCCCTGCACAGGAGCAAGGGTCATCCCAGGGGCCAATGTGGGAGGGCACTCCTGCAGTGCACCAGGAGCCTGGGATGAAGGTGGCGAGGAGGCCAAATGGGCCTGACCAGACTGCACTGTACCTGGCATCCCCCGGGAAGTAGGTACAGCAGCTGCCAGCTGTGCCAACCCCAAAGCCTGTGCCTGGGCTGTACCTGGCTGTCGAGTGCCTACAACTTGCACAGGGATATGGGGTGGTGGTTGCTGGGCAGCTGACATCTTAGCGGCCCCTAACTGAGGCGGCTTGATAGGTGCTACAGGTGGTTTGGATTGGATGGGAATTGGTGGCTTAGGGGCTGCATCAGGTGGAAGAGACAAGGGTGAAGACTGAAGCATGGGCTGAACGACCAGGGTTTGGGCTTGCTGCTGGGACTGGGAAGGTGGGACCTGCTGAGTAGGTGGGACCTGTGGTGGCTGAGGGGCAGTGAGGGTGGTGGCTTGCGGCTGCTGCTGTTGCTGCTGTTGCTGTTGTTGCTGCTGCTGCTGCTGCGCCAACTGGAGGTGTGTAGCTGTGTGAAGGAGCTGGGACTGCCGGTGCTGGAACTGCTGCTGGTGGTGGATGGCAATCTGCTGCTGGATCACCACCTGTTTCTGCTGGAGGTGGATCTGTTGCTGTTGCTGAATCAGTGAATGGGGCTGGATCTGTGTGTAGGTGGCTATAGGAACAATCCCAGAATACAACAGAGAGAAAAAAGAGCAGAGAATAATAATCATTCTAAATTAAAAGTAAATTCATTTTTCCAAGGTATAACCTAGTTTTGGAATTATGCGGTGAAAAGAAATCTAGTCAGTATGAAACTTGGACATCACTTCGTCCATACTCTTCCCACTCAATCAGACATTACCAACTACTACTAGTCTTAAAGATCTCAGAGAAAGAACTCCCTTGCTCAGTCATTTCAGATCCTGAGTAATTTCTTGTGTCTCTTATCTTTGCCATACTTAAATATTGTATTCTTTTACTCTGTACTCAGCAAAGAAGAATGGTTAGCCCCTCCTCCATTAGACTTGGAGTTTCTCAAAGGCTGAATCCATGTTTTATTCATTTTCACATCCCTAAAACACAGCCCAGGGCCTGACACTGCAGAAGCACTTAATATTCACTGAAAGAAGAGATACCCACAGAGTTAAAGATGTCAACGTCTTCCCACAAATGACTTGGATTTTACAAATCATCAGCTTAGACCACCATCTGAGTCTTGAGAGTCAGCACCTGTCAGCTCTGACCTAACTCAGTTTCCTCCACTGTAAACTGGGAGTGACAAACTCTACTTCTCCATATTGTACCAGATTGTCCAGAGATCAAAGCATGTGATGATAAAGCAATTTAGAAATAGAACTGCTAGAGTATATAAATACCAAGTATAGTAATAACTAACTCTTAATTTTTTTGTGAGTAAATTATCTAAATACATCAACAACTAAGGTACTAGAAACAAAAAAAGGCAAAAATCAACATGACCAAATAAGATACACACATCTAACTACATCTTACCCGCAGTCTGAAAGCAAGTATAAACTATCAGAGTCTTGCCCTGTCACCCAGGCTGGAGTGCAGTGGTGTGATCCCAGCTCACTGCAACCTCTGCCAACCGGGTTCAAGCTACTCTCCTGCTTCAGCCTCCCGAGCAGCTGGGACTACAGGTGTAAACCACTACGCCCGGCTAATTTTTGTATTTTTAGTAGAGACGGGGTTTCACCATGATGGCCAGGCTAGTCTCAAACTCTGACCTCAAGTGATCCACCTGCCTTGGCCTTCCAAAGTGCTGGGATTACAGGACTGAGCCACCGCACCCCGCCTCTCCATTAGTCTTAAGTGCTCTAAGGCATTGTACTGTATCTGCTATACACTGGATCAAGTAACCACATTAAACAGTGAGGTGAGAATTCATCCCTTATAGTAAATGCTAAGTTACATGAAGACAGGGAATCTACTTTTCAAAAATGTATCCCCAGTAATTCCTAGAAAACAGTAAGCAATTCAGTAAGATGTGATGAATGAATAGACAGAGTGATAAAACTGAAGAACTCACAGCCTAAGAAAGCGGACAGGGGAACTTGTAAGCTGACTACTGCCTGGTAGAAACAGATAAAATCTGTATCTGTCACTTGTCCTCCTGACCCTGAACTAATATGTTCAAGGCTGATATTATTCCCATTCCTTCCACTATTCAAGGACCAACAGAAGCGGGGAAAAAACAAAAAGGCAAAGAAAAAAAGGCAAAAAAAGAAAAAAAGGAAAATTTCACATGAATTCTGAGAGAATAATGACATGAGGAATGACAATTTACCTGAGCTAATAAGTGTCTGGCTGGGCGCAGGTGTGGCTGTCCGTGTCAGGTTCATGCCCACATTCTGCTGGCCACTCCCATCTGCTTCTGCCTTCTTGGCTGCTGCACTTTCTGCCTCTGTCTGGCTGCCCTGGCTCACAGTCACTGTTTGGGCTGCAGGCAAGGGCTGCACCACTCCTGTACCCTTTCTGGGACAGCTCCCACCACCCATTCCTGAGGAAGGCAACTGACCCAAACCACCATGTGCCTGCCCACCTCCACCTGGACCCATGGACCCTGGGATGCTATTCCCACTGCCTCCACCAGCTTGACTAAGGTTGAGGGACTGGTTTGTGGCCCCAGAGGAAGCCTGTGCCACCGCTAGGGCCTGGCTAGAGGCCTGGGAGAGGCTAGAGACAGGGGAGGCTCCTGGAGGAATGGCCTTCTGAGTGGAGCCTTGCATCTGAGGTCCTTGAGCTGAGGCCTGTTGATTCCTTACTGCCAAGTTCTGAACCTGAAAGATACGAAAAAACAGATTGAGAAAAGGAGGACTGGAGGCATTAAGGTTAAAGATTCAAAAGCAGCCAGGACTGCTATTGTGTCGTATTCCACAGAATACCTCAGCTCGTATCTCTGCCTTTACCATATACTTTAAGGCCTTCCTACCTCCTAAGGAGGAACTCTGGCTCTGTATCTGATTCTTCAGCCATCTTCACTCACTAGCAAGTTTATCATCAAGTGTGGTCTTTTATTCCTTCAAAATATCTCTTCAATTATCCCTTTCCTCGCCATTCAATCATTCAGCACCTCCCAAAAACCTACTATGCTTCAGGTACTACACTGGATACTGGAAATGCAGAGGAAAGACACAGTCTCTGCTCTTAATGATTACTTTCTACTACAGAAGACAAGAAAATTATCACTTATGACATAATAAGATGTATAGATATGCACCCAGTACCATAGGAGTACAGAGAAGGAATATCAACTAAGACTAGGGAGATCAAGGAAGGGCTTCCTAAAACAAGTGATACTGATGTGACACTCAGTAGGTAATGGTGAAGGTGGGGGTTTAAAGATATTGATAACAGCATTTGCAAGGCCAGAACCAAAAAAGGATTATTATTTAGGCTGGGCGCTATGACTCATGCCTGTAATCCCAACACTTTGGGAGGCCAAGACGGACAGACTGCTTGAGTTCAGGAGTTCGAGAACAGCCTGGGCAACACTGCCTCTACAAAAAAATACAGAAAATTAGCCAGGTATGGTGGCAAACACCTGTAGTCCCAGCTACTCAGGAGGCCAAGGTGAAAGGATCACTTGAGCCTGGGAGGCAGAGACTGCAGTGAGCTGAGATCACGCCACTGCACTCCAGCCTGGGTAACAGAGTGAGACCCTGTCCAGAAAAAAAAAAAAAGACATTATTTTAAAATATTATTAAAAAAAATGTATAATTTCTAAAAAGACTGTATTTTTAGAAATTATAAATATTTCATTATGTTTGGGGAGAGTTACAAGGAATGGAAAGAAATAAAGCAAGGAAGGCAGGCTGTGGATAAGGAGGTAGGAAGGTGCTGGGCCAGTAAGGGCCTGGTGTATTGAAACAAGGAATCTGAACTTTAGTTTGGGAACAGCAAGTTTATCTGTCTTATTCATTGTTATATTGCTAGCACCTTCACAGTTCCGGCACATAGTCAGTACTCCAAAATATGGATAAAGGGAAAGAATGATGTCTGCTTAACTGATTATAGGAAGCCAATAAAGCTTATTAATCAAAATAAACATTCACTTATACATTTATACATTTCTGATTGAAGTATAAATCAATACACTTCCTATTTTAGAAAATATTTGTTATCATATCCTAAAGTTGAACATTCACACACCCTCTAACCCAGGAATTCCACAAGACAAACTCTTGCCATGTACCACAGGAGGCATGTGTAGGAATGTTCATGGTGGCATTATTCATTAGCAACCACGACCTGGAATCAACTCAAAGGGCCATCTACAGAAGAGAAGATGAATAAACTATAGTATATTCATACAATGGAATAGTATATAGAAACTACAATTAATAAACTCCAATGACTGCAACAAAACAAATGGATCGTGACAATGTTATTAAGAAAGCACTCTCCAAAAGTGTACATACAGCACGAGTACCTTACACATTTCAATACAATTAAAATATATACATGGTGTCTGGGGTTTGCTTCAAAATATTCCACAGGCAGAGAAGGGCCTGAATGCATTGGTCATGTGTCGATAATTGTTGAAGCTGGATGGTAAGTACACAGGAATTCATACTTTTTCTGTTTTTGTGTACCTTTAAAATTTTCTATAATAAAAAGGGCATTTTAGAAACATAGAGAGATGCAATAAAACCATATAAAAAAGGACCCGAGGGAAGAATGGACTTAGAAATCAGAAGGCTCGTTACTGTGGGTAATGGAAGGCAGTAGACGGAACTGCACACTGCTTATTACATTATTAAAAATTACAGAGTAAATAAATTTTAACAGGTTATGACGAGACCAACAGTGAGAGAGTGTCATGATCCAAGGATTACAATTTTATCAAATTCTGTGTACCAGAAGTACGATTAAAAAATTAGTAGTAACAACATATATTTTCTTATTTAAAAAAACATAGTAAAAGTTTCCTGATAGTAATGTGGAAAAGAACTACAAGTAGGTTAAGACTGAAGTGAAGAAGACCATGTAGAAATCTAGTACAATAGGCCGGTGCAGTGGCTCACGCCTATAATCCTAGCACTTTGGGAGACCAAGGTGGGCAGACTGCCTGAGCTCAGGAGTTCCAGACCAGCAGGAGCAACATGGAGAAACCCCGTCTTCTACTAAAAATACAAAACATTAGCTGGGCATAGTGGCACGCGCCTGTAATCAAGCTACTCAGGAGGCTGAGGTACAAGAATCGCTTGAACCCAGAAGGCAGAAGTTGCAGTGAGCCGAGATCACACCACAGCACTCCAGCCTGAGCAACAGAGACTCTGTCTCAAAAAAAAAAAAAAAGAAAGAAAGAAAGAAAGAAAGAAAGAAAGAAAGAAAGAAAGAAAGAAAGAAAGAAAGAAAACTAGTACAGTACAGGTTAAAATAATAAAAACCTGAATTCAGGCAGGAGCAGTAAAGAGTTGATGGCTTTTGAGAGATATTGACAAGAATCATCAGGATTGGGTGCTAGAGCACATAATATTATCTGGCAATTATTAATATACAGTTTTTCCAATCAGCTTCATTTCCATAATGGCTATTTCAAACTTTCCCACTCTCTCCCTATACCTCAGACTACCTTCTCTTTCTCCTCCTACTCTTCACCTCTTCAGAGAAAACAAAAACCATTATATGAGCATTGCTTCATCAGTTCCACCACCGAATCTATACATTTATCTGCATACACACCCATCATTTCCCCCTTCTCTCCTCTTCCTATCAAAAGGCAATCAGTCCTTCTCTGCACTCTATATTCCACCTCCTCCTGCCATCTCAAGCAGCATATAATATCCACTGCCTCCTCTTCCACTTCTTCTCCACTGGCTCCCTCATCACCATGTAGGAACTGCACATTCCCCTCCCCAGTTCCACCTTCCTTTCCTGGTGCTGCTAAACTCTTAATAGCTGTTTACAGTCACTGTATTCATTCCCACCAGCCATTCACACCCCTCAAACTCATACTACTTTGGATTCACCACCCCCCAAACAACTGAAACAACTCTCCCTCCCTGTTAATAAAACCATCTTTCTTTCTCTCTCTACATTAGAAAGAGATGCCCCCTGCCCACGCATGCGCGCATGCACACATGCACATCTTGTAACATTTGGTTCCCTTGCCTTCGTGACACTACAGTCCAGATTTTCCTATCTGCTGCTCTTTCCCATTCGCCTCTGTCAGCCCACGACCCTCTGTCGACCTTGAACTGCTTTTCCAAAGTGGGGGTTCATCCTACCTCAGGGCCCCATATTAAACGTTCCTCTCCTCAACCTGTACTATCTCCCCAAACATTTTTTTTTTTAAGATGGAGTTTCGCCCTCGTTGCCCAGGCTGGAGTACAACGGCGCGATCTCGGCTCACTGCAACCTCCGCCTCCCAGGTTCAAGTGATTCTCCTGCCTCAGCCTCCCAAGTAACTGGGATTACAGGGATGTGCCACCACGCCCAGCTAATGTTTGTTATTTTTAGTAGAGACGGGGTTTCACCATGTTGATCAGGCTGGATGGTCTCGAACTCCTGACCTCGGGTGATCCACCCGCCTCAGCCTCCCAAAGTGCTGGGATTACAGGCATGAGCCACAGCGCTGGCCTTTTTTTTTAAGATGGAGTCTCCTCTGTTGACCAGGCTGGAGTGCAGTGGCACGATCTTGGCTCACTGCAACCTCCACCTCCCAGGTTCAAGTGATTCTCCTTCCTCAGCCTCCCAAGTTAACTGGGGCTATGGGCATGCACCACCACACCCGGCTAATTTTTTTTGTATGTTTAGTAGAGACAGAGTTTGACTACGCTGCCCAGGTTGGTCTCAAACTCCTGATCTCAGGTGATCCGCCCGCCTCGGCCTCCCAAAGTGCTGGGATTATAGGCATGAGCCACTGTGCCCGGCCTCTCCAGGCAATTTTAAAGACTGAGGAGAGTAAACTAATTTAGTAGATGGGGGACTTCAATTATCATCTATATGCCTACTACTCTCAAATGTTTATCTCCAACCCAGACCTCTCCTCTGAGCTCAAGAACCACATAATAAAACTGCAGTCTCAGTATCTCCTCATGGATGGCTCACAAACACTTCTAATTAGGTCTGCATGTCCAAAACTGAACGTCACTCTAAATACACTCCTACATTCTTCGTCTCATAAACAGCACCACCAGCCACCCCACAGATTTCCTATCTGGCATCTCCTTTAATTCCCCCATCTACTAAATTAGTTCACCCTCTTCAATGATTCTTCTAAGTTATCCTCAAATCTATGCATTTCTGTCCATCTCCATTGCTACCCCCAGTATGAACATCGTCTGTCCCTTAAACTGTTAGAACAGTTATTCTCCCTACAGTCACACTCACACCATATCCGTTTAGTCTCCAAAGAGGAAATCAACATGGTATTTAAAAAGCAAAACAAAACAAAAATACATCCAAATCTCTCTATGACACTTCCATATTTAAAATCCTTCTATAGCTTCCAATTGCTTTTTATAAAAAGCCCAAAATCCTAAACACAGCCCCCAAAGCCCTGAAAGATAAGGTTCCTCCTACCCGTCTAGCCCCACTATGCCAAACTCCAAGAATACAAGACTTTTAATTCCTCTAACAAATCAAGTTCCTGCCCTCCTCAGGACCTTTGGACACACTGTTCTCCTGCCTCCAACACTCTCCTTCCACATTCTTATCTGGCTAACTTCTACACACCCCAAGTTAAATGTCACCTCCTTGACTTTTACACCCCATGCCAAAGCTAAGTTAGGTCCCTTTCTAAATTCTCAGAACACTCGGTACTTTCTCAATTATTTCCCCATTCAGGTGACTATCAGTTTAATGTCTGGTGTTTCAATGGTCTGTGAGCTCCACAAATGCAGTGATCGTGACTTTCTTGGGCATCCAACGCTAAGGAATGTTTGATATATTAATAGCAGTAGTTTCTCCTAAACACTCACTACGTCCAGGCATTCTTCAAGCAGTCAAACGCAGCAACTCACTTAGTCCTCACAACACATCCTGAGGTAGGTATATTACAATACCTATTTTACAGATGAAAAAAACGATAACAGAAAGATGTCAGATCATTTGCACAGGGTCACACAGTAAGTAGTGGAGCTGGAATCTGACCCATCAGATGCGTATTTTTAACTACTGCCCTCTGTTCCTCCACATATTGACACTCAAATATCTGATGAATGAATGAGCGGATAAATCAAAGAACTGGATATGGAAATGGAACCAACCTCACTCGTGGCTCCCATTGCTATCACCAGAGTCTAAAACAAAGACTTGCCTTACAGCTAGATGACCACAAGAGTTTCTTAGCAAGTTCCCTAACTTCTCTTCTCCAGGAACTGTTAGAACAGTTATTCTCCCTATAGTTCTTCCTAAGTACTTTCCTCATCTTGTTAATCTGCTGTTCAATAGCTAGCAATGATCCCTGTGACCTATGAAGTTAACTACAACCTCCTTTATATGCTCTACCCCAGCAATGACCTCTTCTATCATCATGCCTGTTGATTCTATTTTATTTATCCCCTCATCTCCAACGCCTACCACACATACTCGTATTTAAATATATGACTATACTCTTACGCTTGCTGTTCTCTCTCTAGTTTTCTTCTCACTCCAAATCAAATCCACTCGTCCAAGACTCTGCTCAAGTATCCCAATAAGGCATTGCAAAGTAATGTAACCAATTCTTTTCCAAACTCATGTGTCACTCAAAGTTAGCACCATTTAGTTTAGCACTTTCTTTTTGTTTTGGAGACGGAGTCTCACTCTGTCGCCCAGGCTGGAGTGTAGTGGCACGATCTCAGCTCACTGCAACCTCCACCTCCCAGATTCAAGCAATTCTTCTGTCTCAACCTCCCTGTAGGTGGAACTACAGGCACACACCACCATGCCCGGCTAATTTTTGTATTTTTAGTAGAGACAGGGTTTCACCATATTGGTCAGGCTGGTCTTGAACTCCTGACCTCAGGTGATCCACCCTCCTCAGCCTCCCAAAGTGCTGAGATTACAAGAGTGAGCCACCATGCCCAGCCTAATTTAGCACTTTCATTGTCTAAGCTCTTTGAAGACCTGACTCACATTTATTTTTTAATCCTGCAAAATTTCTAATACAATTGTTCCTTGGTATCCACAGGGGATTAGTTCCAGGCTCATGGACATCAAAGTCTGCAGACACTCAAGTCCCTTTTATAAAACAGAGCAGTGTTTGCACATCATCTGTGCACATAGCACATCTTCCCATACACTTTAAATCACCTCTATTACTTATAATATCTAATACAATGTAAGTACTATGTAAATGGTTACACGATGCTGTATTTTTGTATTATTTTTTGTTCTTGTATTGTTATTTTTAATTGTTTTTTTGCCCAAATATTTTCTTTTTTTTTTTTTTTTTGAGACGGAGTCTCGCTCTGTCGCCCAGGCTGGGGCACAGTGGCATGATCTCGGCTTACTGCAAGCTCCGCCTCCCGGGTTCATGCCATTCTCGGGCCTCAGCCTCCCAGGTAGTTGGGACTACAAGCACCCACCACCACGCCTGGCTAATTTTTTGTATTTTTTTAGTAGAGACGGGGTTTCACCATGTTAGCCAGGATGGTCTCGATCTCCTGACCTCGTGATCCACCCGCCTCGGCCTCCCAAAGTGCTGGGATTACAGGCGTGAGCCACCGCGCCCGGCCTTTCCCAAATATTTTCAATCTGCAGTTGGTTGTATCTGCAGATGTGGAAGCCAGAGATGCAGAACCTACAGGTATGAAACCCATAAACAGGGAGGGCCAAAAGTACATGAAGGAAGAACTCAACATTTACCAGCTTACTGATAAATAAACTAAAAGGATGAAATAATTATCGTAAGATCCTAGGTTGTGTCCCATCTATAAGAAGCTAAAATTCCAGGCTCAAAAATACATGTATTTTGGGAATAAGTCATGAGAAGTAATGGTGAGGAAGACCTTTACTGGGAAAAAACAGTGAACAGGAAGAGAAGACTGAAAGTTGAGAACTAGAGTAACTCACAAACAGAAGCAACCAAACATTCCTCCAGTAACTCAGCCAGGTCAGCTTTACATCTAACTAACAGAAGAATTCTCTCAACAATCTCTTCTCTTCTGACAGTACTATGAGAGAATTAAGACTCTCCGAATAAAACAAACCCACAGAGGACTAGAAGGATGGTGAGGAAATTTACCCTATCTTGAAAATAAGACTTCCCAGATCCACAAGACTATTTTCAGGCAAATCTCCTTGTCTTTCTAACTCAGATTAACTCAAAGGTTATATGGGATTCAAGTTCTATGGTGATTAAGGGAAGGAAAAACAAAACACAAAAAGTAAGAATTCTGAAAAGTGTAATGGGGCAGAAGGGTGGACCCAGGTCCGTGGTCATTCCCTTCATCCTGCCCAGTGCCCACCCACAGGTAAAGTCATCGCCACTAACCTGATCTGCATCTGCATGAACTCCAGGAGACTGAGCAGATGGCACCTCCTGCTGGACTGCAGCCACCGCCCCATTAGGCATCAGGATGAGTTGGGAGGCTAGAGGCACATTCCGACCCAGGGTTCGGTTTACCTGCAATAGGTTTCCCAGCTGTGGCTGGCAAGGAGAGGAAGAGGAAGAGCAAAGAGGACAAGAGGGAAAGAAGAGACAGAAGAGATGGAAAGGAAGGACCACAAGACAAAATAAACAGAAGATATTAAACAGCTGAGCCCTGCCTCTTCCACACCAACCCAGGAGCCTCATATTCTCCACATGTAATGAACCATCCAGAAGAAAACCTAGAATGCATAGAAAACTACAGATTGATGTCCAAGAGTCACACGTCAAAGAAATAGAGAAAATTAGGATTTTAGAACAAGTACTTATATATAGAAAGTAGGTAGGCTGAGCGATAACACAGAATTTGTATACTTGAGCCACAGGTTTAAAGGTCGACTATATCTAACACTAATTTAGTCAAATGTTAAGCCAGTATTTTCTAGCATAATATCTCAATTTAATCTATAGGCTACCTGTGAACACAGAACATCACTTCCAGGTTAAGTAAAGTATGGGAAGTAGGTCCCAGCTTCTCTCAAAACATCAGGGTTACCATGGTTTAAAAAAATGGCTTTTGGCCGGGCGCGGTGGTTCACGCCTGTAATCCTAGCACTTTGGGAGGCCGAGGCGGGTGGATCACCTGAGGTCAGGAGTTCCAGACCAGCCTGGCCAACATGGTGAAACCCCGTCTCTACTAAAAATACAAAAATTAGCCAGGTATAGTGGTGCATGCCTGTAATCCCAGCTACCTGGGAGGCTGAGGCAGGAGAATCGCTGGAACCTGGGAGGCAGAGGCTGCAGTGAGCCATTATTGTGCCACTGCACTCCAGCCTGGGTGACATAGCGAGATTCTGTCTCAAAAAAAAGCTTTCACTCAAGTCTTTGCCAGGGCCAGACAATTATGCCTCTGGGGCAATGGTGACTGCATCTGTGGCTTACCCGTAGATACATCTGGGCCTGAGACTGGTTGAGGGGTGGGGAGGTGGTGTTCCCCAGTAGCACAGATTGGGTCAAGGTGGTAGCACTGGGAGAGCTCACACTCTGGGATCGGCTGATGAGCTGGGCGGCCGATGTGGTGGCCAGATTGATCTGTGTGGTACAGAAAGGAACCAGGACTAAGGATTTGGGAGAAGTAAAAGGAAAGGTACGTGACTGACAAATTCAGAGTCACACAGTCAAGAACAGAGTATTTCACTTTCATGGAGCCGGGGGAAATAAATAATGTCTTCATATCCAAAACTGTCATCCTGGCTACTTTAGGGTATTACCAAAGTGAAAAAAAACCAACAGTCTCTAACCACTAGTGTTAACAGTTGAGAAGACAAAAGATTGAAACAGAACAGATTTTACTTCTCATTGAAGAGTCCAGGGATTAGTCCCCTTCTTTGTTATCTCCTCTTCTTCCCCAGGATTTTCTTTCCTCTCTTCCTTAGACTTCCTCTTTAGAGACTCCAATATAGATTAATGTTGGTTACTTTCCCCTTGTACTACTATTCTCTACTTAAAAGCAGTAACTATCCACTGACGGCTCAATAAACACTCTCAGATCAGCGGCACAAAGTAATTTAACCCAGAGACAAAGACCCAGGTAGAGAAGCCTCTCAGTGGGAGAGGGCGTACTCACCGAGGCCTGGGTGGTGGTAGTCTGCTGCTGTGTAGTGCTGGTGTTTGGGGAGCTGGCCTGCCGACTGGCAGCAATTGTGGCCTATTAAAGGGGAAGGGAAACAAGAAATAGCAAAGACAGTGAAGGAAAAAGCTCTCAGTCTTCTAGTAATAAATCACAAGCACAAAACATAGAGATTTCACATTATAAACAGGGAGATTCCACTTTAGGGTAAAGAAAAGTATATTCACTAGTCCAGTGATCCTCACATTACCACATATGCTAACCAATTAGCCCCACATAACCCTCCTGGGGCAGAGAGGCAACTTGTCCTCCAGCTCCCACTCTCTTTTAGGTGGAAAAAGATGGTATTTTTTTTGAGAAGGAGTCTCGCTCTTTCACCCAGGCTGGAGTGCAGTGGCATGATCTCCGCTCACTGCAACCTCCGCCTCCCAGGTTTGAGCGATTCTCCTGCCTCAGCCTCCAGAGTAGCTAGGATCACAGGTGCACACCACCACGCCCAGCTAATTTTTGTATTTTTAGTAAAGAATGAGTTTCACCATATAGGCCAGGCTGGTCTTGAACTCCTGACCTCAAGTGATCCACCTGCCTCAGCCTCCCAAAGTGCTGGCATTACAGGCGTAAGCCACCACGCCCAGCTAGAAAAAGATCTTTTGGTCAGGTCATATCATGAGTCAGTAAAAGTCTAGTCCAGAGGTATCCAATATAAATATAATATGAACCACATTTATAATTTTCTACTATGCAAAGTTTTAAAAAGTAAAACAGGAAAAGTTAACTTTCATAATTTATTTTATTTAGCCCAATATAAAATATCACTTCACATGTAATTAATATTTTTAAATTACTGATATTTTACCTTTTTTTGTACTAAGTAGTCTAACTCTAAAATCTTATAGGACGTCTCCATTTAGACTAGCCACATTTCAAGCACTCAATAGCGATATGTGGCTAGTGACTACGTTATTAGACAATGCAGGTCTATAACACAGCCACTCTATACCTAAAAAGTGATTTTACGGTTCTTACTGCAACCCCAGAAGCTAAGATGCATCCATCCTCCCACAGAAGGACAGGAGGCGGAGGAGGCTGTCTGCAGCCTGGCTTAGTATAGGATGCTATATGCCCAAAAAATCTCCCCTACCCACCTGTAGTGCCTGTCCCCTCCCTCTCGGGCCAGCTGGCTGCTGACCTCTCACCTGCTGGACGGCAGCCAGGCTATGCAGCTGGGCATTACTGAGCTGCTGCTGGAGCATGAACTGGTGGAAATACTGAGCTGCATTGGGCTGCCGCTGCAGTGCTTGCAGAGCCTAGGAAAAGAGAGGATAAAACATTTAGAATGGACCACTCCTAGCTCCTATTCTATGTAAATCACTGTATTTGTGTGAAAGGGGGCCATGGGAAGGACAGAAACCAGAGGAGATGGGAGTTTGGGCTAAATCGTCAACGGCTGATTTTCCTTCATTTTTTTAGAGCAAAGTCAACCTGCTCTATCACCAGGCTGGAGCACAGTGGCGTGATCATAGTTTACTGTAACCTCAAACTCCTAGGCTCAAATAATCCTCCTGACTGCCTCAACCTCCCAAGTAGCTAGGACTATAGGTATGCACCACCATGTCCAGCTAATTTTTTTTATTTTTAGAGATGGGGTCTTGCTATGTTACCCAGGCTGGTCTTGAACTCCTGGCCTCAAGAGATCTTTCTGAGCCAGGCGTGGTGGCTCCTGCCTGTAATCCCAGCACTTTGGGAGGCCTAGGAGGGCAGATCACCTGAGGTCGGGAGTTCAAGACCAGCCTGGCCAACATGGTGAAACTCCGCCTCTACTAAAAATACAAAAAATTAGCTGGGCGTGGTGGTGGGCGCCTGTAATCCCAACTACTAGGGAGGCTGAGGTAGGAGAATTGCTTGAACCTGGGAGGCAGAGGTTGCAGTGAGATGAGATTGCGCCATTGCACTGCAGCCTGGGCAACAGGAGCGAAACTCCATCTCAAAAAAACAGAGAGATCCTTCTGCCTCAGTAAGTCTATATAGTCCTTTAAAAACCGGAAGAAACAATTACAGCCATGCACCACATATCCACTGTTTGGTCAATGGCAGACTACATACACAGGAGTGGTCAGAGTAACAGCCTATACTGTATAACCTAGGTACGGAGTAGGCTACATAATCTGGGTGTGTGTAAGTGCGCTCTATGACAGTCACGCAATTACAAAATCGTCCAACAATACATTTCTCAAAACGCGTTCCTGTCATTAAGTGACGCGTGAATGTAATTCTATGGTTTATTCTCCATAGGATGTTAAGAAAAGTAAAGCAGTGCAATTTATACAAACTTGTTTCTCCAATTGGGAGCTGGAAATACATGCCATAGCAAAGACTAGATCGGGTGAAAATAAACAAAATGCCGATTAATGTAAAGAAAATAAGAAAAAAAGCTGGGCATGGTGGAGTGTGCCTATAGTCCCAGCTAGTCAGGAGGATAAGATAGGAGAACTGGGAGTCTGAGGCTGCAGTGAGCACTGATCGCACCACTGCACTCCAGCCAGGGCAACAGAGCTAGACCTTGTCTCAAAAAAAAAAGAAGAAAATGTAAAAGTATATTTTAGGTATACAGTAAAGGTAATACAGCCCTAATGGGTTGGAAATAATGAAAAAATAAATAGTGGCTTCTAAAGATTCCTTCACGTAAAATTTTCAACGAATTCAACTAATTGGCATTTTTACATATCAGTATGCTAATACAGATTTATGAAATGAAAATAGTAGTTTGGTTTTAGTGCTAACTGGACTTTACTGTATTCTTATTCTTTAATAATTAGAACTATTTTTATGATATGTATAGTTATTCTAGTAACCAAAATATTTGCTAAAAGACCTCATTTCCTAACAGAATTAATAAAAACATGGAATTTGCTGTTTGTTTAAAAATAAATCTCTAAAGAGTTCCATGATACTTCTATTACTCAAGGGGATTTACAAGAATGGCCAAAGATTAAAAACCTGGCAATCCAGTATGAGAAAGGGTTAGTTAGAATCTAGCTAGATGGACTGAATGTGTTTTTTAAATCCTTATTTGAAAGACCAGATTTCACTGTTTGCTTGCCTAAACATTTGTAAACTCCTAAGATTCTCAGAGCTGGAAGACAGCTTAGTCATCATCTAACCCAACTCTCCCCAGTTTGTTGAAAAAGAACTGAGTACAATTATTTTCCAGCATCACTGCCTACCACAAGCCAAGACTCACAGACCATGGCCCCTCAGAGCTGAGTCTCACCTGCACTGCTTGTCGTTCATAAAGTGACATTTGAGCTATCTGGGGCCGAGAGCTGCCCCCTGAGCTAGAACTCCCATTGGTGGAATTGGAGTTCTGCTCGCTCTCAGTCTCCATGATAGTGGTCCAGGGTCCCCAAGGCTGGTGCTCTGTCTGACTCAAGACCTAGAGGGAAGCAGTAAAAGGTTAAAATTTATATCTTGATCCCAAGCTGTTATCTCATGTTATTATTCAAAAACACAGGAAATCCATAAGTATCTAAGAATCTTCCTCCTCTTCCATAAGCCATGATTTCTCATCTTAAAACTCCCAAATCTTCAATACACTCTTGCAACCATGTCTTCCCAATACTACCATCTTTTGAAGCTATGCAGTCTCAAAAGAAACAACCTTTACGTATTCCCTCATGGCTGTCATTAAATAAAACGGCCAGAATGTGAGATGGCACCTTACAATACCAAAGTTACCTTACATTCCCATAGCATTTTTTAACAGTTTAAAATCTTTCCACTTAAAAGTTTTGGTTATCTCATTTTTGTCTCCATCTGCATCGTTATCATCCAAATGAGTCACCATATACTGGAGAGCCACTAGTTGCCTCCTTTCACTGGGCTAGGCACTTCACCTATGCTGTATCTCTCTCATAGTAGTGCTGTAAAGTCAACACTGTTATCCTCATTCTACAATTTGAGACATAAGGTTTTCTGAGGTTAAAGAAGTTGCCCTAGTAAGTATCAAGTCTTTGGACTAACACATGCTTCTTCAAACCAAACTGTAATTAAGGCAGTGTCATTCACTATGATAGTGAGTAGTTATCCTCATTTTATGGAGGAGGACCTTAAGATACAGACACATTCAGTGGGTCATGGAAGGTCATAAAACTAGGAAGCAGAAGAGCTCACCTACAGCCCACATAGCCCAAATAGCTGCCTGGTTCCAGCTCAGGCTACTAATAACACCTCAGGCATGTTGCTTTCCTTCCTTATACCTGTTTCCTCACTGCAAAGGAGGCTTCATACTGAATGTAATATATCATTTTAAGAAATGACTCCGGAGTATGAAACATAGAAATACACACAATGAAAATCTTCAAGAAAGTAAGATGCAACTTTATAATCTACTAACATGTCAGAATTTACCCACTGGGGACTACACTTACATTTGCAAAAAGACACATATGAAAACACTGCTAAGAACCAAGCAAAGAGGCAGGAGATGAGAAGAAGAAATATTCTTCCAAAGCAGCACTAAATGACAATAAGGTTTTTACTCATTCTTTTTTTTTGTTTTTCTCTTTTGTTAAGCTACACACTATTTTCTCTACTTCTGAGGCACTGGGCCACTAGAAATATCAGGTCACCAAAATATTATCTGGCTTAAGAATATAAACATCAAACCAGAATTTCTGCTAAGTGTTGTCAACAGTTTCATTAGGGTGAATGGACTGGTCTTAGGGATTGCATCCAAAACAAACAAACAAGCAAAGTATCAAACTGCTTGGCCTTGGCAATAAAGCTGAGGATATTTCTTATTATCTCATTCCCAGTATCATCCAATCACACTATTATCCCCCCCCAGTCTTTAGTTTCATTTAGGACTAGCAAATGTCACTGCAAACATGTATATTACCCAAAAAGTACATAGGAAAAATCATATCAGCTTCAACTAGTCTACCTTCTCCCCACATCTTTTGCCAAAATATCAAAGCACTAAACAGATACAGACCCATGAATCCTCATTATCAGCATGTGAAGAAAAAAAGTGGGTAAGGATTAGAGGCAGCACGGCACAGTTTTATAGATTACTGGATTTAGTTCACTGGACTCAGAGACACGAGACCCCTTTGCTAGGTATAGAGAACATAATTCCTACATTCACATGTGAAAATACAAACCGTATGACCCCTCGTCTTCCCAAACCTGAATTCTGATTAATAATTTTTTTTGGATTGTGAACTAGAAATAAAAATGTAAAGGGACCAACTTAAAAGTCTCAATAAAATCAAGGGAAACTGCCACCAAAACCAGGATTCCTGGATCCCGGGCACATAAATGTATTCATTTGTGATCAACATTATGACTACAAGATTAAATATAAAAAATGGAGACAACAAACAGTTTGGGCAGCACCAGGTATCAAAATTTTCCAAATTAAACTGGAAGACAGTGAGAAGCTGATCCACAGATGCCCCCAGAGTAGCTAAGCCATGGTCATCTTAAAAGGTAGCATGTGGGCATACATGGGGTTGGGTAGGCGCACAGACCTACCGAAGGGAGTTAGAATGGGACATTGAGGTGGACTTAGCATTGGGCCGAGAGTTGGAGAAAGTCAATATCCCTAAGCACGAAACTCTTATCATGCAGAAAGGATGGGACATAGGAAGGGGGACGGGAGAAGGGGGTGGTTCAGGGAAGACTGTGCCAAAGACACGGTAATAATCAAGAGAACAGGGAGTAGACGCCCAAGGGTCCTCGTTCTATATAGAACCTTGATGAAAATGATGTTTCAAAGAGAAATCAAATACACTGGGGGAAGGGGGTGGATCCAGTGGTGCGCCGGGAATGAACTGACCCAAGTGAGCTGGGACATGTGCATACAGAGAGCAGAGGCAGAAGTCAAGGAACTGGAGGCTGAGGAACCCAGCGGACCACGAAAGCAGGGAGATAACTAGACAGCATGCTCGGCTGGAAGGACCAAAGTCAGAGAAGGAAAAATGAATAAGAAAATGAGCAGTCAGAGGCAGCTAGGGTGACGGACAGACAGCATGAAGCGCAGCAGAATGAATAGCCAGAAGACTCGGACAGGCAGAGCCGAAGGACCGCAGAGCTCAGCGCCGGAGGTAGGCAGGGAAAGCAACTGGGGGAGGTACCTGGGGCGTTACACAGATGGAGGTGGCTGAGGATACATCCCCGCGCAGCCAAGCCCCCAGAGGTCCTGCCCCTCCCCGGCCCTCGGTCGCCCGGTTACCTTCTCGCCTGGCTGTGCACCCAAGTCTTCCCCGGGGGCGTCCACCTCATGTGCCGGGGTCCCCAGTCGCCAGGCTGGGCTGGGGGCTCGCTCGGCCTCCGCGGCGGGCTCCCCTCGCCTCCTCCCCTTCCTGGAGGGGCGGGGGCGCCGAGGGCGGGGTGGGAGGCGCCCGGCGCGACCGCGGCTCCCCGCCCCTCCCGCCGCTCCGGGTGCGGGCCCGGCCGCGGCTCAGCCAGGCCTCCGGGGCTCGCTCCGGGCCTGTCACTTCCTGCCCGGCCGAGAAGGTGGGGGCCGCAGGCCAGGGGCTGCGGGCCGGGCTGGAGGAGGGGGCTGCGGGGAGGTGCTTCCGGGGCAGCCGGACCCCCCCCCCGCCGTCCCTCCGCCTCCCCTCGGCGCCCTCCGCCCCCTCCCTCCCGCGCGTCCCTCGTTTCCTGCCGGCGCCCGTTGCCATGGCGACGCAGCTCCCGGGCCTCTGCGCTCCAGGCCCAGGGGTTTTTTCCTCTCTTGCTCTCTTTCTCCTCTTTTTTACCCCCTTCTTTCTCTCCGAGTTCTGCTCGCCGGTTGGAAGGACGAAACTAAGAAAGTGCTGGCCTCTAGTGGGGAACGCACCTCTCGGAGAGGAGAGGGAGATGGGAGAAGGGAGGGAAGTGACGTGAGACGGGGAGAAAGAAGGTATTTTCTGGAGCTGCTGGGAATAAGGGGTAGAAAGAAAGGATCAAAGGGACCAACAGACAGAGAGGGAGAAAGAGCAAAGCAACGACCCCTAGAGAAACGATAGACTGGGAAAAGAAATGAAGCAAAGGAAAGGAAGGAAAAGGCGAGAAAAACTTTGAGAATGAGAGAAAGGAGAGAGAAGGTTGATTGTTTAATCCCTCACCTCAACTCCAAGAAGGCGGGAAAGAATGCTGCAGAAACAGCTAACCCATTAGGAGTTGACTTCATTTTCAAAGCAGCAACCTAATGTAACTTCCTTTGGATAGCATTTAAGTTTGTCATTTCAGGGATTTGTGTGTGCTTCGATTTCAATATGTATATGAGTTCGAATGACAAAAACGGGAAAAGGCCAGAGTATAACGAGATGTAGAACAATGGGGCTGTCTCTGGGAACACTAAACATTTGATAGGGGAGCCGTTGTCGTTGTATTTATGATATCAACTTACCGGTTTTTAATTACTCTCTCATCGTTCAACATTCAATAAATATTTATAGAGCGTCTACTATGTGCTAAACCGTGGAAGCTTGGATTGCATCAGTGCACGAAACAAAGATAACTGCCTTACTGCCTTCATTAACCTTTACAGAAGGGTCTGGGGGATGCCTCGTGGATTAACAACTGGGATTGATGCCTTTTCTCTTGCTCTCAGTCTTTTCCTAACCTCTATCCTAAACAGTTATTTTCTCTGTCAATCCACTCTTCCTTTTCTCCTTTAAAAGCCCATGCATGGTTTGTTTATAGAGAAAAAAACAGAAGTGTTATCTTTGCTTATAAATTATATCCATTTAGATTTTGCTTTGAGAGAGGAGTATTTGGACTCCAAGGTCTTTCATTTGTGGCAGCCAGATTAAAATCGGAGAACAATTTCTGCCAGGCTTCTAGGAACTAGTCAGACAGGTATGTGAGGGAAGAAACCGGAGGGCAGCCAAAGGACTGGAAAAGCGAAGACACGGGGTATGAGGAGGTGAAAGGGTGTGTTACCAGGCCGTGGATGACAGGCACTGGCTGAGGATGATTTGAAAAGATTCTGACTGGTAGAACTAGTGGTGAAAACGAGGTAAAGCATTCGTTGTTTAATTCACACCTGGATTTTTGGCATGTCAAAGCAGTTAAAGCTTTCTTGCAGAAGTTTAGAAATGGATATCGATTGAGCCTAGGCGGAATTTTCTAGCACCAATGGAAAAAAAAAGCATCTATAGATAATTTTCAGATTATACAACATTAAAGTTAAGAAACATGACTCATGTGCTTCCTTAGTTTCCCTGGGAGAATTATCACTGTTAAGTGTCTAAAGAAGATTTGTAAGCTATAACAAGAATAAGGAATGCAGATATCAGAGGGTATGGACTTGTTTTTCTATAGCCTATGGAACTTGTGTACCAAGAGGGTACATGACCATATCGCATTTCACCCTCCTTACAAATGGAGCAGAATTACCGCTACTGCATATAGTTACATTCCACCCCTAAAGATTTTTTTTTTTTATTTACTAGGTCACCGGCTCCTATAGCTACTAGATAATGTTAGGGGATAAGCGATGAATACTTTTGTTGAGTGCCTGTTATAAATTTAGCCTGAGAATAATCTATCATGAGGCGAGCTATACTGATTATGGGCCAGTAGTTTAATTTTTATATGTAAAGGTGTGTGCTCCATATATCACAGGATTCTTTTCAAGTTCATTTTTCTCCAAGTCAGGCCAGTGTTCTAAGGTCATAGGTCTAAACAGTTCCCACCAAAAAAGATTTAGTATAAAAAAGAAATATATCAACAGCAAAGTAAAGTTATAGGAAAGCCTCCATCCATAAGAAAATCATTTTCATAGACTAAATCAGCTTGAGAGCAGGCATTGAAGAACTTATCTCGGTCTAAACAGCAAAACAATCTGTGTTCCCTAGAGAATACTCAACTTTTTTTTCTTAATTTTTCTAAAGTTTCTCATTTTCATTTAATGACTCTGCTTGAATTAGACTTTTCTTTTTCAAACAAAATGGTTCTTCTGAATGGAGGCTACAGAATGTCTTTACTCTGCATAACACTGAAGGCCATTAGCCTAAACAGGTGAGAAGGAAAAGCATTTAATCCGGTGTATGGAAATGGAAGCCCTCCTGCAAACTTCTCTAAATAAGGAAGGATCCTGGTTTGAAAGGCTGTCGATGTTTGGCAGCAACTGAAGCAAATAGACTAGAAGTTAAGCTAATAGAACTTTTCATATCAACTGAACATTGCTTAAGCATTCCTCAAGCTTCTCCTGTAAACCTAGCATTCTGCAATAAATTGTGAAGGAAGAGATGTCCTTTACCCTAAAGGTGTTAGTATCTTTGGAATGTGTCTTTCTACAAGTAATCAAGTAAGAATGTGTGACCATGTTTTTATGCAAATATGGATAGGAAGAAGTAGAGAAAAAAGGAAATCATAACCTTTACTCTCCCCACCACCAACTGTGGCTGTGAACCACCATACACAGCCCACCTGTGTCTCACTATAATTCTGCATGCCACTTTAAGGTCTAGTTGGGAGAAAATGAAGATTGAGTGGATTTATAGGCTCTTAGATATTTAAAGGAAAAAAAAAGAACTTTAAAACTAAGCCCCTCAGTTTTCAGTGAAGACAATTGAAGTCTAAATGATAAATGTAGAAGAGGGATATTTCGTAATCCCTGGAAAATAGAAAATGTCCAATAAATATTAGTTAACTGAATTAATTTCCTAGATTCTTGCCCTTCTCTCATAGGAAAAGAATATGAAATTAAAAGATATAAAGGATACCTCTCATCTCTCGCTACTAATACCTACCATAGATCCTTTCTTCAAGCAGAAGTTTAAAATTAACATACTAATTGGTTCAGCCCAATATTCCATCCATCATTGCCCGCAAAAGATATAGAAGTACCCCTACATCCTTAAGGAGCATAAGACTGACGATAACATACTCTTCATCAGTATTGACAGTTATAATGATGGCAAGTTATGCACCTTTCCTTAACTTTGGTTTGCTTTCAGTAAAACAGGGGTAACACCTGGTAGTTGGTGGAAATAAGTGAGATGTTTGTAAAGCACTTCACATTGGGACCTGACACATAGCACAGGCTATTATTAATTTTCCTTAGTAACTAATATATTTTTGTGATCACCAAATAGAACTAAACCATTCTTTATGTTTTATTCAGTTTACATCACAACCTTATTAACTCACAATTTAGTTGAGTTTATGCATTAATTAGTTTAGTGAACTTACTATTATTTTATATAACAAAGAGTATTCCCTTCCTTGTATACTAAATTTACCTCTTTCGGGCTTCAGGTGTGTCGTCTTGTCTACTATTTCAGTATTTAGGGAGCAAAACCATGTTGGGACCAAGCACTAGATTTATACCCTCTGGGATTATGTGTCCTAGGCCCAGAGAACCAGGTACCTGGGAAAACATCTAAAGGGAAAAACAATTCAAAATATACTTAGAGCCTCTGCTCATGGCCTCACATGCATTATTGCATTCAACTCAATAACCTTTTCTGCTAGCTGTTTTTAATCCTTAATTTATAGATGAGGAAATTAAAGCTCTGGAAGATTAGGTAAATTGCTCAAGGTTCATAGGTGTAATAAGTAATGGAGTCAGAATTTAAATTCAGGTCTGTCCATCTTCAAAGCTCATAACTACATTATATCCTTCACAGTGTGAAAATAGAGTGATGCAAAAGATCTATTTAAAATGCTTAGCACACACATAAACATTTGCACAAAGAAGCTTGGCATTTGCCATGGTAAATACCTGCAATGGAAGGCCACTCTGCCTTTGTTAACTAGAGAAATAGCTCTAGTTATCAGTCTGTAAAGACACTGTGGAGATGTCTCAGCAGAAAATAGAGATATATATATTATTTCCCTAAATTGGCTGTTTTCTCTCTTGTCTACTGATAAACTGTGGTAAGCAGAACAATGCCCCCCCACCAAGGATGTCCCCATCTGTGAAATCTGTGAATACGTTATGCTCCATGGCAAAAAGAAATTAAAGTTGCAATTGGAATTAAGGTTGTTAATCAGTTGACCTTAAAATAGGGAGATTATCATGGATTACCTTGGCAACCCAGTGTAATCACAAGCGTCCTTAAAAGTGGACGAGGGAGGCAGGAAAGACAGGTTCAGTGATGTGACATGAGAAGTATTTAACCTGTCATTTCTGTCTTTGACACTGGAAGGGGGCCACAAGCCACGTAAGGTGGGAAGCCTTCAGAAGCCAGAAAAAGCAAGGAAATGGATCCTCCCCAGAGCTTCCAGAAAAGAACACAGACAGCCCTGCTGACACCTTGATTTTCACCCAGTGAGACGCATGTCAGACTTCTTTCTTTTTTTCTTATGTTATTTATTTATTTATTTTAATTTTTATTATGTTCTTTTTGAGACTCTTTTTGAGTCTCACTCTGTCACCCAGGCTGGAGTGCAGTGGCGTGACCTTAGCTCACTGCAGCCTTGACCTCCCAGGTTCAAGCAATTCTCATGCCTCAGTTTCCCAAGTAGCTGGGATTACAGGCGCCTGCCACCATGCCCCGCCCAGCCTATTTTTGTATTTTTAGTAGAGACAGGGTTTTTGTTTTTTTGTTTTTTTGTTTTTTTTTTTGAGACGGAGTCTCACTCTGTTGCCCAGGCTGGAGTGCAGTGGCACGATCTCGGCTCACTGCAACCTCCACCTCCCAGGTTCAAGAGATTCTCCTGCCTCAGCCTCCAGAGCTCAGACAATCCGCCCGCCTTGGCCTCCCAAAGTGTTACAATTGCAGGCCTGAGCCACCACGCCTGGCCTTTTTTCTTTTTCTTTTTCTTTCTTTTCTTTTTTTTTTTTTTTTGAGACAGAGTTTCCCTCTTGTTGCCCAGGCTGGAGTGCAATGGCACGATCTCGGCTCACCGCAACCTCCGCCTCCCGGGTTCAAGCGATTCTCCTGCCTCAGTCGCCCGAGTAGCTGGGATTACAGGCATGCACCACCAGGCCCAGCTAATTTTGTATTTTTAGTAGAAACGGGGTTTCTCCATGTTGGTCAGACTGGTCTCAAAATCCTGACCTCAGGTGATCTGCCCTCCTCTGCCTCCCAAAGTGTTGGGATTTGGGAGGCGTTAGCCACCGCCACATGTCAGACTTCTGACCTACAGAACTGTGAAATAATACATTTGTGTTGTTTTAAGCCACTAAATTTGTGGCTTATTGTTGTGTCCCAAATCATTACCAGTGGCAACAGAAAACTAACATACAACCTAGTGTAGGCGAGGAAAACTTCCTTCTACTCTCTTAGGTTCTGCAGCTGGTTTAAGAATTAAACTGACAAATTAGCTAATCCCAGCTACTAGGGAGGCTGAGAACCCAAGAGGTGCGGCGGTTGCAGTGAACCAGAATCATGATAAAATAGATTAAGGCCGGGCACAGTGGGTCATGTCTGTAATCCCAGCACATTGGGAAGCCGAGGCGGGTGGATCACCTGAGGTCAGGAGTTCAAGACCAGCCTGGGCAACATGGTGAAACCCTGTCTCCACTAAAAATACAAAAATTAGCTGGGCGCGGTGGCGCGTGCCTGTAGTTCCAGCTACTCGGGAGGCTGAAGCAGGAGAATCTCTTGAACCAGGGAGGCAGAGGTTGCAGCGAGCCTAGATTGTGTCACTGCACTCCAGCCTGGGCAGTGAGACTCCGTCACACACACAGAAAAGAAAAAAACAGGCCGGGCACGGTGGCTCACGCCTGTAGTCACAACACTTTGGGAGGCTGAGGTGGGTGGATCACGAGATCAGGAGTTCGAGACCAGCCTGGCCAACATGGTGAAACCCCATCTCTAGTAAAAATACAAAAATTAGCCGGGCATGGTTGCAGGCACCTCTAATCCCAGCTGCTTGGGAGGCTGAGGCAGGAGAATCACTTTAGCCCCGGAGGTGGAGGTTGCAGTGAGCTGAGATCGCGCCATTGTACTCCAGCCTGGGCACAGAGCAAGACCCCGTCTCAAAATAATAATAATACTAAACAAAATAACAGATTAAGAAGAAAAAAGGATATAAATGCATTTAATATATTTACATGTACGTGGGAGACTTCAGAAGGAAAATGTAAGACCCAAAGAGGCCAGAGCAGTGGCTCACACCTATAATCCTGGCATTTTGGGAGGCCAAGGTGGGTGGATCACCTGAGGTCAAGAGTTCGAGACCAACCTGGCCAACATGGTGAAACCCCATCTCTACTAAAAATACAAAAATTAGCTGGGCGTGGTTGTTCATGCCTGTGATCCCAGTTACTCGGGAGGCTGAGGCAGGAGAATCACCTGAACCTGGGAGATGGTTACAGTGAGCTGAGATTGTGCTGAGGCAGGAAAATAGGGTCTGGAGGCAGGGAGCATAAGGCCAATTCACACTTAAGCTAAAACAGGAAATAGCCTCTCCATCTGGCGTTTGCCATAAATGACTTTGTAACTTTATCCTCTTCATTTACATAGGACATACCCTGAGTAGAGGGTATTTAAACTCAGAAAAACTCTGTAACAGTGCCTGAGTCCCTCTGCTCAGGCCCTTTCCCATACTGTGGAGTGTACTTTCATTTTCAATAAAATCTTTCATTCCTTCCTTGCTTTGTTTGTGCATTTTGTCCAATTCTTTGTTCAAGATGCCAAGAACTTAGATATCCTCCACCATTAACATATTTTGGCAAGCCAGCCAGGAGGGAGAAGTAAGCCCAAAGTTTGGGATTCATTTTCCCTTTCCTTCCTGCTCCATCCATGGAGCAGACCTTGGGACTTTCCAACTTGGGATGCTTGGTGGACCGTGCCTAAACATGGAAGCAACTGCAGGTTTCTGGCCGTGGCCAGTGAAACTAAGGGGTTTCCATGTGGAGAAGCCTAACCGCCACTGCCCAGATCACTTAAGGAATCTGGGTCTTTATTTATGTTTTTTTCTTCTCTTTCAGTCTTACAGTGGCTGTTTCTTAGTAGCTCCTTGAAATTGAGGGCAATTGTCTGGGGTCACTCCCTGGTACTGCCTGAAGGCCGAGGAGCGAATGGGAATAATTACCCCTGCCCCAAAGTGGGAAGGACTTTTTAAAAAAAATATTTTCCACGCATGGTCCATGATCTCTACCTGCTGTGCGGCTCAGAGCAAACTTGCACATATTTCAGGCAACTTAAACCTCCTTTTCATATGCTAAATTCTTCCCAGGTCGTACTCTACTGGCTAAGGAACAAAAGTCTCACCCGGCATCCAGTTCTCATTACAGTTCTTGGCTATTCTTATAAATCTCATAGTATGCTTTGGAAGGAAAACCTGCATTTGATGCACCCACCTAAGGCCAGTGATGTCTGGAACTCTAAGATTGGATTCCACAGGAGGATGCTCTGTGGGTTCTGCGGACCTCAAACTCTCCAAAGAGGAAGCTGTTGGCAGAGGTTCTGAGGTCTAGTATTAAACCCTCCTTAGAATTTTCTCTTGCAGACCGGGCACAGTGGCTCATGCCTGTAATCCCAGCACTTTAAGAGCCCAAGGCAGGCGGATCATTTGAGGTCAGGAGTTTGAGACCAGACTGACCAACATAGTGAAACCCTGTCTCTACTAAAAATACAAAAAATTCAGCCAGGCGTAGTGGCGCATGCCTGTAGTCCCAGCTACTCAAGAGACAGAGGCAAGAGAATCGCTCAAACCTGGTAGGCGGAGGTTGCAGTGAGCCGAGATCACACCACTGCACTCCAGCCTGGGTGACTGAGCCAAATTCGGTCTCAGAAAAGAAAAAAAAAATTTTTTCACAGTTGTGATGCTGCTTGGCCCCAAAATTGTTTAGAATCTGAAATTTACTGTCTAATCAGAAAGTGGGATGGCGTTGCATGTATCCAGGCTTTTGTGCTGCTGTTCTAAGCAGGGGGCCTGGTTAACATGTGACACCCTCCTTTGGTACTGTTTGGCCCCGGTGCTCCTTGAAGTCTAGGGAGGCTGGGAGGCTTTAGCCCTTCAATATCGAACTGCCATGGAGGCTGCTTTACCTGAAATTTTGGTTCAGAGCCGTCCTTGTATTTTCTATTAGGTTGAAGTAAAACCGCAAGCTTGTATTGCTATCTCGTGGCTAAGGTTCCAAGGTATTGGATCTTCGTTGATGTATGTGTATACATGTCTAGATGTGTTTATTTGTTTGTACACCTACTGTTATATGTTGTGTCTACCAAATTGGCTTATAAGTAAAAGTGCGCTCATAAATCAAGTAAATAAGTCTAAGCAATTTTCAAGTTCACGTGACTTAAAGTGTAACTTAACAAGCTAGCTTTAAAATTATTGGCAGAATAAAAATAGAAATGCCTTCAGAATTGTCCGCATACCTTCCACCGTTAACAGCGCCACTGCATTCCAGCCTGGATGACGGAGAGAGACTGTCTCAAGAAAAAAAGAAAAGACCCAAAGAGGCAATTGCTTGAACCTGGGAGGCAGAGGTTGCGGTGAGGCAGAGGTTGCGGTGAGTGAGATCGTGCCATTGCACTGCAGCCTGGGCAACAAGAGTGAAACTCCGTCTCAAAAAAAAAAAAAAGAAAGAAAGAAAGAAAGAAAAAAATACAAATTTATAAAAAACCAATTCACTATAACAACAACTTACACAGCATTTACATTATATTAGGTATAAGTGATCTAGAGATGATTTGAAGTATACAGGAGGGCCAGGTGCAGTGACTCATGCCTATAATCCCAGCACTTTGGGAGGCCAAGGCAGGTGGATTGCTTAAGGCCAGGAGTTCAAGACCAGCCTAGCCAACTGGTGAAACCCCGCCTCTACTAAAAATACAAAAATTAGCCAGGTGTGATAATGCACGCCTGCAATCCCAGCTACAGGCTGAGGCACAAGAATCACGGGAACCCAGGAAACAGAAGTTGCAGTGAGCCAAGATCACTCCACTGCAACCCAGCCTGGGTGACAGCAAGACCCTCTCTCAAAAAAAAATAAGATAAAAAAAATGTATACAGGAAGATGTGCATAACTTGTATGCAAATACTATGTCATTTTATATAAGAACATCCTCAGATTTTTGTATATGCAGGGGGTGGCAACTAGAACCAATACCCTGTGGATACCAAGGAACTACTGTATACCTTTTTACACAAAGAATTATAAATTATGGGGATGTGACAAAACAAAGGGGCTTGGTGTAATGGCAGTAAATTGTGGGACAGTGACTAGGAAATATAAAGGGGGAACCAGTGGAAGTTAAAGGTTATTTTAGTAAGACTATTTGCATAGATCTATTTCAGTGTCAGTTCCCTTTCTATGGTGATAAGAATGTTCTCTTCCTTGTACACAGAGGGCATGTTTCTCATGGAAAATTGTATGACCTGCTTTCAGGTAGAAAGGGAGAATCAGAGAGCTTTTCCTGCATCAGCTGTTTCTCCAGTGTCTTCAGCTCAAATGAATATGCCAAAACAACATATTTTGGGGTGGCATAATCTGAAGCCCTTTATTTATTTTTCAAAAAGCAGCAAGCAGCTGAACGTTCTCTGCTGCCTGAAGTTTAGCCGGTTGCCAACTGTATTAGTGCGCTGGCAACAGGGAAATTCATGTTGTCACAGGGTTGGACTAATCAATGGGTAAGTACTCAGGTATCATTTTGAGTGGCAGCATTTTAGTTCTGTAAAAGTGATATTAAAATATAATTTTCAAAAAGCTAGAATCATAACTCATGCAAATATAAAACGAACACGTCAAAGATTTTATACAACTTATTAATTAATGAAAGAATCTATAAGATATCAAAATCAGTTCAAAGTGCGTTTGAGAAGCATGGGTGTTTCTAGGCAATTTAACAAAGGAATGTTAGTGAGATTGCTGTATTGGATACAAAAGTGGTTAATGTCCTATAGGACCATGAAACATAACCTTCAGGATTATCCTTTCCACCACCAGACAGCAGCCAGTTGCAGCTATGAGTTAATCTCTGCCTCTTCTGACTTGTGAAGTGACTGAATTGATGGGAATCAATCAAAGACACAAGCCCAGTATTGAACTGAAAGAACACCTGGTAACCTCTTCCTTTTCCAACTTTCAGAGGATATCTGTGGCAACTGTAAATCTGACTAAGGAAACTGTTAGAGTTGCCAGAGTCCGAGAAAATGGATCACCCCATCAGTGCACTCTGCCTCAGTTCTTTTTCTTGACGACACTGGAGATAGCCAGTCATCACACCTTCAGCAAACCTGCTCCTCCCTTAGACTTCCCTGATTTGGAAAGTGGCAATCCCAATTGCCCAAGCAAAAAACGTTGAAGTCATTCTTGACTCTTCTCTTTAGATCACCCCCTACATCTGAGTCATCCATTTATTCAATATTCAACAAAAATACATTGAGGGCCTCCCCTAAGACAGTCACTTTTTTTTCTGTCATGGGTGGCCATCAGTAGACAAAACAGACAAAATGTTTACCCTCATGGAGTTCACATTGTAGTGGGGGAGAAAACAAACAAATCAGTAAAATCTAAAATCCATGGGAATTCGCATGATGAGAACTGCTATGGGAACATTTTTTTAATGGAAAAATGTCAGGAGAATTGGAAGATGGGGCTTAGAATTTTAACAGAGTGGTCAGGGAAGACTTCACAGAGAAAGTGGCATTTATGAAGAGATGTAAAGGGAACAAGAGAGGGGGCATGTGTGTATCTGCTCCAGGTGGAGGATTGTGTGCCCGGTGTGTTAGAACAGCAAGCAGAGTGTGCCTGGACCAGAGTGAGTGAGATGGTTTAGCTGTGTCCCCACCCAAATCTCAACTTGCATTGTATCTTCCAGAATTCCCACGTGTGGGCTGGGCGTGGTGGCTCAAACCTGTAATCCCAACACTTTGGGAGGCCAAAGTGGGTGGATCAACTGAGGTCAGGAGTTTGAGACCAGCCCAGCCAACATGGGGAAACCCCATCTCTACTAAAAATACCAAAAAAAAAAAAAAAAAAAAAAAATTAGCAGGGCGTGGTGACAGGTGCCTGTAATTCCAGCTACTCGGGAGGCTGAGGAAGGGGAATTGCTTGAACCCAGGAGGTGGAGGTTGCAGTGAACCAAGATTGCTCCAGCCTGGGCAACAAGAGCAAAACTCCGTTTCAAAAAAAAAAAAACAGAATTCCCACTTGTTGTGGGAGGGACACAAGGGGAAGTAATTGAATCACGGGGGCCCGTCTTTCCCATGATATTCTCGTGATAGTGAATAAGTCTCACAAGATCTGATGGGTTTATAAAGGGTTTCCGCTTTTGCTTCTTCCTCATTTTCTCTTCCACTGCCATATAAGGAGTGCCTTTTGCCTCTGGTCATGATTCTGTGGCCTCCCCAGCCATGTGAAACTGTAAGTCCAATTAAACTTCCTTTTCTTCCCAGTCTCAGGTATGTGTTTATCAGCAGCATGAAAACAGACTAATACAGTAAATTGATACCAATAGAATGGGGCATTGCTGAAAAAGATACCTGAAAATTTGGAAGTGACTTAGGAACTGGGTAACAAGCAGAGATTGGAACAGTTTGAAGGGCTCAGGAGAAGACAAGAAAATGTGGGAAAGTTTGGAACTTCCTAGAGACTTGAACGGCTTTGCCCAAAATGCTGATAGCGATATAGGCAATAAAATCCAGGCTGAGGCCGGATGCAGTGGCTCACGCCTGTAATCCCAGCACTTCGGGAGGCCCAGGTGGACAGATCACTGAGGTCGGGAGTTCAAGACCAGCCTGACCAACATGAAGAAACCCCGTCTCTACTAAAAATACAAAATTAGCTGGGCGTGGTGGCACATGCCTGTAATCCCAGCTACTTGGGAGGCTGAGGCAGGAGAATCACTTGAATCCAGGAGGCGGAGGTTGCGGTGAGCCAAGATCGTGCCATTTCACTCCAGCCTGGGCAACAAGAGTGAAACTCCATCTCAAAAAACAAAAAACAAAAAAAAAATCCATGCTGAAGTCGTCTCAGATGGAGATGAGGAACTTTTTGGGAACTGGAGCAAAGGTGATTCTTGTTATGTTTTAGCAAAGAGATGGGCAGCATTTTGCCCCTGCCCTAGAGATCTGTGGAATTTTGAACTTCAGAGAGATGATTTAGGGTATCTGACAGAAGAAATTTCTAAACAGCAAAGCATCCAAGAGGTGACTTGGGTGCACTTAAAGGCATTCAATTTTATAAGGGAAGCAGAGCATAAAAGTTTGGAAAATTTGCAGCCTGACTATGTGATAGAAAAGAAAAACCCAAGCCAGCTGCAGAAACTTGCATAAGTAGCAAGAAGCCTAATGTTAATCCCCAAGACCATGGGGAAAATGTCTCCAGGCCATGTCAGAGACCTTCACGGAAGTCCCTCCCATCACAGGTCCAGAGGCCCAGGAGGAAAAAGTGGTTTCGTGGGCCAGGTGCAGGGTCCCCATGCTGTGTGCAGTCTAGGGACTTGGTGCACTGTGTCCCAGCCACTCCAGCCATGGCTGAAAGGGGCCAACGTACAGCTCAGGCTGTGGCTTCAGAGGGTGGAACCCCCAAGCCTTGGCAGCTTCCATGTGGTGTTGAGCCTGCAGGTGCACAGAAGTCAAGAATTGAGGTTTGGGGGCCGGGCACAGTGGCTCACGCCTGTAATCCCAGTGCTTTGGGAGGCCGAGGCAGGCAGATCATGAGGTCAGGAGTTCGAGACCAGCCTGGCCAATATGGTGAAACCCTGTCTCTACTACAAATACAAAAATTAGCTGGGCGTGGTGGCACATGCCTGTAGTCCCAGCTACTCAGGAGGCTGAGACAGAAGAATCGCTTGAACCTGGGAGGCGGAGGTTGCAGTGAGCTGAGATCGCGCCACTGCACTCCAGCCTGGGTGATACAGCGACTCTCCATCTCGAAAAAAAAAAAAAAAGAATTGAGGTTTAGGAACCTCCGCCTAGATTTCAGAAGATGTATGGAAATGCCTGGATGCCCAGGCAAAAGTTTGCTGCAGGGGTGGGGCCCTCATGAAGAACCTCTGCTAGGGCAGTGCAGAAGGGAAATGTGGGGTTGGAGCCTCCACACAGTCCTTACTGGGACACCACCTAATGGAGCTATGAGAAGTGGGCCACCGTCCTCCAGACCCCAGAATGGTAGTTCCACTGACAGCTTGCACCAGGCACATGGAAAAGTTGCAGACACTCAATGCCAGCTCGTGAAAGCAGCCAGGAGGGAGGCTGTACCCTGCAAAGCCACAGGAGTAGAGCTGCCCAAGACCGTGAGAACCCACCTCTTGCATCAGCATGACCTGGATATGAGACCTGGAGTCAAAGGAGATCATTTGGGAGCTTTAAAATTTGACTGCTCTACTGGATTTCGGACTTGCATGGGCCCTGTAACTCCTTTGTTTTGGCCAATTTCTCCCATTTGGAATGGCTGTATTTACCCAATACCTGTATACCAGTTGTATCTAGAATGTAACTAGTTTGCTTTTGATTTTACAGGCTCATAGGCAGAAGGGACTTGCCTTGTCTTGGATGACACTTTGGACTGTGGACTTTGGGGTTAATGCTGAAATGAGGGCCGGGCGCGGTGGCTCATGCCTGTAATCCCAGCACTTTGGGAGGCCGAGGCGGGCGGATCACCTGAGGTCGGGAGTTCGAGACCAGCCTGACCAACGTGGAGAAACCCCGGCTCTACTAAAAATACAAAATTAGCCAGGCATGGTGGCACATGCCTGTAATCCCAGCTGCTAGGGAGGCTGAGGCAGGAGAATTGCTTGAACCTGGGAGGCGGAGGTTGCAGTGAGCCGAGATCGCGCCATTGCACTCCAGCTTGGGCAATAAGAGTGAAACTCCATCTCGAAAAAAAAAAGAAATGCTGAAATGAGTTAAGGCTTTGAGGGACTGTTGGGAAGGCATGATTGGTTTTGAAATGTGAGGACATGAGATTTGGAGGGGCCAGGGGCAGGATGATATGGGGTTTTGCTGTGTCCCCACCCAAATATCAACCTGAATTGTATCTCCCAGAATTCCCACGTGTTGTGGGAGGGACCCAGGGGGAGGTCATTGAATCATGGGGGCCCATCTTTCCCATGATATTCTGATGATGGTGAATAAGTCTCGTGAGATCTGATAGGTTTATCAAGGGGTTCTGCTTTTGCTTCTTCCTCATTTTTCTCTTCCACTGCCATGTAGGAAGTGCCTTTTGCCTCTCGTCATGATTCTGAGGCCTCCCCGGCCATGTGGAACTGTAAGTCCATTTAAACCTCTTTTTTCTTCCCAGTCTCAGGTATGTCTTTGTCGGCAGCATGAAAATGGGCGAATACAGTGAGCTAGGAATAGAGGAGCTGGAAGTAAGGTCAGAGTTATAACAAAGTGTGGGAGTGCCAGGGGAGAGGAGAACGGGGAGGAAGAGAGCAAATAACAATTATAAAAACTGACTTTAGCTTTGTTGGAGCTCAGAAAATGATACCCCAAAGTATGGCGCTTTGGCATGCTGAGTACTTTAGAGACTAAAAAGCCTCAGAAGCAAAGTCTCTGACCTTCTCCTGCCCTCCTGTCTCTCACCTCTCTTTCTCCCCTGAGGAGTCACAGAAACCATAATTCCTCTTCCCCAAGGTTGGTCAGAGAAACTAGAACTTCTCTCCCCACAAACAAGCCATAAAACCTAGAAAGGTCACTTTCTCTGTTGTCCATTGAAGACCCTCACTCCAGAAGGGTCCTGCCCCAAACCCAGGAGGAAAGAATGCTGCACAGAGAGGCCAAGAAGGATCTGAACAGAGAGACCTTGCTGGGTTTCCCCGCTTAGTCCATTACCATTAGATCATACCCTTTTGTCCAATCACATTCCTACACCGCTGCCCATTCTTCATCAGACCTAAGCACAGAGACACAGTGTTCTCTGGGTCTTTTGGTCTTCATTTCTGAAGACACTGGTGTCACCTAAAACTTTGATGAAGTACATTTGTTATGCTTTTCTCTTATTAACCTGTCTTTTATTATAGGAGTGCCAGCCACAACCCTTATGATGGGTGAGGAAATATATCACACTTTTTTACCCTTACAGCTTTTATTGCGACTGGGAACTGTTGGAAGGATTTGAATAGAGCAGTAATGTGGTTTGACTTACATTTTAACATCATCACTGTGGCTGCTGTGTTAAGAATAGGCCTGAGAGACAAGGATGGAAGCAAGTAAATGTTAGGAGGCTGTTGCAGTAGACCAGAGGAGTAACAATAGAAGTGGTGAGAAGTAGTTGGATTCGGAATATATTTTGAAGCGAGTCAACAGGATTTGGAGACACGGTGCATGTGGGATGTGAGAAAAAGAGAAAAAACAGGGTACCTCCAAAGTTTTTGGCCTAAGAATAAACTTTAGAGATTATCCTATAAGAGGATATCTAGAGCTATCATTTTTTTTTTTTTTTTGAGATGGAATTTCACTCTTGTCGCCCAGGCTGGAGTGCAATGGCGCAATCTCGGCTCACCACAACTCCCGCCTCCCAGGTTCAAGCGATTCTCCTGCCTCAGACTCCTGAGTAGCTGGGATTATGGGCATGCACCACCACGCCTGGCTAATTTTGTATTTTTAGGAGAGACAGGGTTTCACCATGTTGGCCAGGATGGTCTCAATCTCTTGACCTGGTCATCTGCCCACCTTGGTTTCCCAAAGTGCTGGGATTACAGGTGTGAGCCACCGCGCCCGGCGAGGCGGAGTCTTACTCTGTCACCCAGGCTGGAATGCCGTGGCATGATCTCGGCTCACTGCAACCTCTGCCTCCTGGGTTCAAGCAATTCCACTGCCTCCATCTCCTGAGTAGCTGGGATTACAGGCACGTGCTAGCCACCATGCCCGACTAATTTTGTATTTTTAGTAGAGACAGGGTTTCACCATGTTGGCCAGGCTGGTCTCAAACTCCTGACCTCAGTAGTAGAATAGGAGGCATATGGCCTCCCAAAGTGCTAGGATTACAGGCACGAGCCACTGCGCCTGGCCAGTGTTAGATGACTTATTGTGTAACCCTTAAAATTTTTATAGTTGTCTTTTTCTTTTAAAATTCTTATTTTTAAAAAATTCGTTTGGTTTTTTTTTTTTTTTGAGACAGGGTCTCGCCCTATTGTCCAGGGCGTGATCTCGGCTCACTGCAGCCTCTACCTCCCAAGTTCAAGCAATCCTCCCACCTCAGCATCCCTAGTAGTTGGGGTACAGGCATGCACCACCACACCTGGCTAATCTTTTTTTATTTTTTGTAGGGATAGGGTTTCACTATGTTGCCCAGGCTGGTCTTGAACTCCTGGGCTCAAGGGATCTTCCCAGGCTGGCCTCCCAAAGTGCTGGGATTACAGATGTGAGCCACCGCCTGGTCTCCATCTTGGTTCTAACCTCCAAGCTGCCCTTCTTAATCTCTGGGTGTAGGTTGAGCTAACTTTGGGAGGAACTTAGTTTATAGCTTAACTGTGTATGACTACTTGAGACTGAAAAACGACTTCTAAGCACTTAGTCTACTACAGGCAATGAGCAAGTTGTCAAACCTGCTCAGTAGTTCAGTTTCCTGCAGGAAAGTATATGCCACTCTGGCATAAGAATTATTTTGAGCTGAAAGCAATTCAGAAAAACCAAACACAGGACAAGCTCCCTACCCTCCCTATATGAAAAGAGGGCATATATTCTCCTTGTGCAGGCGACCGCCCCCTTTCCCATATCAGGAAGGGAAGAACAGCCCTTATTACCAGAGATGGAAATGGCAAGAGAGAGATGACGTAAGTGTCTACATGAATAAACCTTACTAACTAGCCCTAATCTCCCATTAGTATTTCCCATATATTTACCTCCCCACAATTTACTACCTCCTAGAACTAGAAAGTTAGAAACCCCCTTCCTTTGCCTTGTTACTTCTCTATAAATTTGTTGTCCTTCCTCTAAATGGCATAAAAACCCCCAAGCCTCGCTGCCTCTTCGGGGAGTTTCTCTTCTCTGTGGATCACCCCCACGTTTTGCCACATTAAACTTATAAAATAAAACCTGGGGCCGGGCATGGTGGCTCACATCTGTAATCCCAGCTCTTTGGGAGGCCGAGGCGGATGGATCACCTGAGGTCAGGAGTTAGGCCAACACAGCAAAACCCTAGGAGAGGAGAGGAAAAACCTTTTTCCTCCTCAGCAACCCTCTTTAGATATGACCAAGGAAGATCTTCCAGAGGGTGGAGTGATAGGCACAGAGAACACCAACTGGTGAACCCTTCCTGGGGGACAAACTGGGACCTGATTAGGAAATTCCTCATCCCTAGGGTAAGAAACCCTTTGCTCATTTGTCTAGAATTTCTACAGAATGCTTTGTATTTCCCTTTCCTAATGGGAGGGTTTTCCTGGCCCCATTCCACCATTGTACATTGGTGGGAGACGAGGCACAGATATCTTGTCTTTTTAGTTCGTACGTCTCCAGATCAAAACGGCCACGTCTGAACGTGGTGCAAGCACTGCCTCACATCATTCCCAAATATAGGGGCTATCACATATCACCTAGAGATTCTGAACTTTGAGCTTAATGCTGTAACTGGACAGGACTTGAGGGTTGTCTCTCTTTGTGGGGTATTTTGCATATGTAAAGGAGAGAGAAACTAATATGTATGGTGATAAATAGATAAAAGTGGGCTGGGCATGGTGGCTCACGCCTATAATCCCAGCACTTTGGGAGGCCAAGGTGGGTGGATCAATTGAGTTCAGGAGTTCAAGACCAGCCTGGTCAACGTGGTGAAACCTCGTCTCTACTAAAAATTCAAAAAAAAATTAGCTGGGCGTGGTGGCCTGCACCTGTAGTCCCAGCTACTCGGGAGGCTGAGGCACAAGATTCACTTGAACTCAGGAGGCAGAGGTTGCTGTGAGCCAAGATTGTGCCACTAGACTCCAGCCTGGATGACAGAACAAGAGTCTGTCTAAATATATAAATAAAACCTCTGAAAGATAATACAGAAAACTATCTTCATGACCTTGCAGTAAGGAAGGAGTTCTTAAGCAAGTCATAAAATATACTAACAATAAGGGAAAAGATTGTTGTTTTGAGCATTAAAGTTGAAAATATTTATTTATTAAGGCACCATTAAAAGGCAAGCTACAAATGTCAATCAAAACCACAATGAGATTCCTCCTTACACCAACGAGGATGTCTAGAATCAAAAAGAAAAACAATAACAAGTGTTGGTGAGGATGTGGATTAATCAGGACTGTTATATACTGCTGGTAGGAATTTAAAATGGAAGAATGGCTGTGGAAAACATTTTGAGTTTTGCTTTGTGGCAAGCCACAAAGTAGAAAAAAAAAAATTTGTGTAAGTCATGTAACCCAAAGAAGCTCATATCTAGAATATATAAGAACTCCTAGGCCAGGTGCAATGGCTCACGCCTGTAAACCCAGCATTTTGGGATGCCAAGGTGGGCAGATCACCTGAGGTTGGGAGTTTGGGACCAGCCTGGCCAACACAGGGAAACCCCATCTCTACTAAAAACACAAAAATTAGCCGGGTGTGGTGGCGCATGCCTGTAATACCAGCTACAGGCTGAGGCATGAGAATTGCTTGAACCCGGGAGGCAGAGGTTGCAGTGAGCTGAGATTGTACCACTGCACTCCAGCCTGGGTGACAGAGTCAGACTCTCTCTCAAAAAAAAAAAAAAAAAAAAAAAAAAAGAAAAGAAAGAAAGAAAAGAAAAAAAATCAGAGAACCCAAAAGAAAAATGGGCAAAGGACTCAAGCAAAATATGATATCCAAATAGTCAAAAATGTAGAAAAATCCCTCAACCTCATTAGTAATCAAATTAGGTAGAAGTGCAAATAAAAACATAATGAAATATAATACCATTACACATGTTCCAAATTAGCTGAAATTTTAAAATGTGATAGTGCCAAGAGTTAAAAGCATTTGACATTATCTAGTAAAATTTAAGATTCAACTATTTGTGACCCAGTCATCTCACTCTTATGAATGTGTGCTTGTGTCCACTTGGAGTCATGTACAAGGATGTTCCCAGCAGCAACTGTTTATCAGCAATAAAATGGCTACATTGTCATCTGTTCATACAATGCTAAAAATTCGACACTATAGTGAAAATAAATGAAGTATAGCTATAGGCAACAATATATATGAATCTCAAAAACCTAATTATTAAGTAATGGAAGCCCAGACAAAAGAATACATGCTGTCTGAAATACTTGTTCATTTATATCAAGTTCAAAGCCAGACAGAACTAAACTTCGATGTTTGGAAAGGCATACATGGGTATTATAACCAGAAAGTAAAGCAAAGAAGTTATTACTTTTAATGTCAATGTAGTAGTTTCCTCTGGGGGCTGGGAAGGGGGTTTGATTGGGAATTGGTACGTATGAGCTCTGGGTTGCTGGCAATCTATTTCTAGATCTAGGGAGTGGCTACACTCTTTATATTAACCTAAATTAATGTTTAAACACTCTTCCTTTAATAAATGGTTTTCTAAAGTAATCTAAAAAACCCAAAACAACAAAAAACTTCCCAGCAAGGAAAGCCAGAGTTAGAAATTGTGGCTGTGAGTGATAAATCTGCTGCTTAGCATAGACATTTGTGTAGGTCTCTTGTCTATTTGTTGACATTTTTGTGGTCACAATGGGAAAGAGAGAGAGCTAAGTAAATGTCATCCATTTCTATAGCATCTCTATGTTTTAAGATGAAGCTTTGTGGTTTGTAATGTATTTCCCCTAAAGGAAATAAAATTTTAAGAGTTAACATGAGAATTCAGAGAATCACCATTTGCAAAATTAATTTTTTAATATTAAAGTGTATATCAAAATAAAATACTTTAAATGTGCCCCTGATATATTTTTAAGTTGACATCTAAAATTTGACATCATAAGCTGGGCACAGTGGCTCACGCCTGTAATCCCAGCACTTTGGGAGGCCGAGGCAGGCGGATCAGGAGGTCAGGAGATCGAGACCATCCTGGCTAACATGGTGGAACCCTGTCTCTACTAAAAATACAAAAAAATTAGCTGGGCGTGGTGGTGTGCGCCTGTAATCCCAGCTACTCAGGAGGCTGAGGCAGGAGAATCTCCTGAACCCGGGAGGTGGAGGTTGCAGTGAGCTGATGAGCTGAGATCACACCATTGTACTCCAGCCTGGGCAACAAGAGTGAAACTCCATCTCAATAAATAAATAAATAAATAAAGTAATAATAATTTTAAAATAATTAAAATTTTTAGAAAGGAATTCTGCACTTTGGGTCTTATTTTCCTCATTTTTCAGTTGAAGAGACCTGATTGCATGATTTCTAAAGACATTTCCAATTCTAAGAAATTCTAATTCTATTTTCTGCCAATGATGGGCATTTCTTGAACTTTATCAAGAGTGCAGAAAATAGTCTTCACTCCATCTCCTGAGAACTAAAAAAGGTACAGGGTCTTGTCTCCCTAGGACCACTAACATGAGAGGCTCTCGCTGATGAGGGACTTTAGTCATAGGATGGATTCTTATGCATTTAGGATGGTGACTTCCTCACTTGGAAAGTCTATGTGTACATTCCTATTCAAAATATCTGGAAAGCTGGGCGCAGTGGCTCACGCTTGTAATCCCAGCACTTTGGGAGGCCGAGGCGGGCGGATCATGAGGTCAGGAGATCGAGACCACGGTGAAACCCCATCTCTACTAAAAATACAAAAAATTAGCCGGGCGTGGTGGCGGGTGACTGTAGTCCCAGCTACTTGGGAGGCTGAGGCAGGAGAATGGCGTGAACCCAGGAGGCGGAGCTTGCAGTGAGCCGATATTGCGCCCCTGCACCCCAGACTGGGGGACAGAGTGAGACTCCGTCTCAAAAAAAAAAAAAAAAAAAAAAATCTGGAAAGCAGACCACAAGATGTACAGAACAAATGGCGGAACACAGAAACCAGAAACACGGAGAAAAGTAATCTCGGTTCCAGAGAAGGCATAGGCTATCTCCCCTTACAAGAACAATCCTCCCACACCGCACCCCTCACCTGTCTCATTCCTGCTTATTCTTCATCTTGCAACTTGAGTGTCACTTCTGGGAATTCTTAATTCAGCCCAAAGATTAGGTTAGGTTCCCACAACCTGACTGTGCTTTGTCACATTCATCCCCCTAATGAAGGGCAGGCAGTGTTGCTCTCCCTCACTAAGCTGCAAGCCTGGGAAGGGCAGGGAGTGTGGTTGTCACATTCATCCTGTTCACTACTCAGTGGGTGCCCAACAGATTCGCACTTAATGAAGGCCCCTCTGCTGGCCTTCAGATTTCAGTGCTTATGGAATAATTATTTCTGTCCCCTGCCACTCAGCCCTGTACTCTGCTTTGTGATGGAAAAGAGGAAACCAGGAATAAGAAAATGTGCCCCACAGATTTTGCCAAAACCATAATCTGTTAGATAAATTGCTGAGAGGGAAAACACTAGAATACCTCAAACGGTAATTCCATTCAACACAAAATACGTAAATATACGTACTTTGGGAAAGTACATCACATATCACCACAGAGCAAACGCTGTTGGATCGCCATTATTTAAGGAATATCTCATACTCAGTTTCTGGATTTCTGCAACAACTGGTAAAGGGGAAAATATCACATTTCTTAAATTTATACATGTATAGGCTGGGCACGGTGGCTCACACCTGTAATCCCAGCACTTTGGGAGGCCGAGAGGGGAGGATCACTTGAGGTCAGGAGTGTGAGACCAGCCTGGCCAACATGGTGAAACCCTGTCTCTACTAAAAATACAAAAAAGTTGTCTGGGCTTGGTGGTGGGAGCCTATAATCCCAACTACTTGGGAGGCTGAGATAGAAGAATCACTTGAACCTGGGAGGCGGAGGTTGCACTGAGCCGAGATCGTGCCACTGCACTCCAGCCTGGGTGACAGAGCAAGACTCTGTCTCAAAAAAAAATAAAAAGATAAAAATAATAATAAAAGAAATTTATACATGTATAGTTGAATAAGCACAGAATATCTCTGAAAAGATATACCAGAAACTGAGAATTAGCCAAGCCCCACCCACACACTTTACTGCCTACATTAGCTTGACTTTGCTATTCTACTGTCTTTACCAACAAGACTTTAGTATTTCAGGAAGCCCTTGCCCCAAAAATAAAAGCTGTAATGGGAATGGGTAATGGGTACAAAAAAATAGAATGAATAAAATGTAGTATTTGATAGCACAACAGAGTGACTCTAATCAATAATAATTTAGTGTGCATTTTAAAATAACTAAAAGTACAATTGTATTATTATTTTTTCTTGAAACAGAGTCTCACTCTGTCACCCAGGCTGGAGTGCAGTGGCTCAGTCTTGGCTCACTGCAACCTCTGCCTCCCAGGTTCAAGCAATTCTCCTGCCTCAGCCTCCTGAGTAGCTGGAATTACAGGCGCCCGCCACCACGCCCGCCTACTTTTTGTATGTTCAGCAGAGATGGGGTTTTGCCATGTTGGCCAGGCTGGTCTCCAACTCCTGACCTCAAGTGATCTACCCACTTCAGCCTCCCAAAAGTCCTGGGATTACAGGCGTGAGCCACTGTACCTGGCCTAATTGTATTGTTTGTAACACAAAGGATAAATGCTTGAGGTCATAGATATCCCATTTACCCGGATGTGATTATTACACATCACACGCCTGTATCAAAACATCTCATGTATCCCATATACCTACTCTGCACTCACAAAATGAAATTTTTAAAAACTTTTTATTTCCATAGGTTATTGGGGCACAGGTGGTATTTGGTTACATGAGTAAGTTCTTTAGTGGTGATTTGTGAGATTTTGGTGCACCCATCACCCGAGCAGTATACACTGAACCCAATTTGTAGTTTTTTATTCCTCTCTCCCTTCCCACCCTTTCCGCCCAAGTCCCCAAAGTCCTTTGTATCATACTTATGCCTTTAATTTTTTTTAACTGAAAAAACTTTTTAAAATAAAACTTTTAAATAATGTTATTGTTCATTTCAGGAATATCCAGACAACGTATTTTAAATTGCTTAGCTTTCCAGTACAGTTATCAAATGATTATTCATGCTCCAAAACTTTTTTAAGCCCTCACCTTGCTAAATCATGATCCGTACCCAAACTTAATCAGAGCCCTTCACTGAAAGACCCACCTTAATCCAACCTAGAACCTCATAAATATCCTCCCTTTGCCCTCCCCTCCCAGATGCTGCTCAAGTTTCCGCAAGGCGGTGTGCTCCCTTGCTAAGACATGAATAAACTCCAGCTTTGCCTATCTGTGAGATTTCGGGTGGTGTATTTCAGGGCGCTGACATTTGGCAAAAGTAATAGTATAGGTTACATCCGAGGAGGGAACTGAGAGAAGAAATGTGGAAGGTGTCTCTTAGGACCTTTGAATTTTTACGTGGGCGTGTATTGTCTATTCGAAAATAAATGCTAAAACAAAACAAAAAGTTTAAAAGCAGGACACCATTGTGTAATCTCCTTTCTGACCAGAAGGTGGCGCCTCCACCTTTCCTGGGGCTGGGGAAGGGGAAAGCTGTAGAGAGGGGAGAAAGGTCCCAGTGAAACAACAGGGGCCTACATTGAGAGTGGAAATTTTACCTCCTGGCAAGAAAGGTCCAGAATCTCTCTTCACAATAATAGCTAATATTTATTGAATATATATTAAATGCCAATTAAGATTTTTAAAACAGGCCGGGCACAGAGTCTCAAGCCTGTAATCCGAGGACTTTGGAAGGCTGCAGCCAGTGGACAGCTTAAGTCTAGGAGTTTGAGAAAAGCCTGGGCAACACGGTGAAACCCTGTCCCTATTTTTTAAAAATAAAAAATGAAAGATTTTAAAACAGCATTCTTCTTTTTTTCTTTTCTTTTTTTTTTTTTTTTGAGACGGAGTCTTGCTTTTTTACCTAGGCTGGAGTGCAGTGGCGTGATCTCAGCTCACTGCAACCCCCGCCTCCCAGGTTCAAGCAAATCTCCTGCCTCCCAAGTAGCTGAGATTACAGGTGTGCACCACCACTCCAGGCTAATTTTTATATTTTTAGTAGAGATGGGGTTTCATCATGTTGGCCAGACTGGTCTCGAACTCCTGAGCTCAAAGTGATCCACCTGCATCAGCCTCCCAAAGTGCTGGGATTACAGGCGTGAGCCACTGTGCCCAGGTTTAATACAGCATTCCTAAGGTAAAATTGGTATACAATAACAGCACATATTTAGTGTACAATCTGATGAATATTAACATGTATTCAACCATGAAACTATCACCATAATCAAGATAATGGAACATATCACCCCCAAAGCTTTCTTGTGCTAATTTGCAATCCCTCCCTTCCTCCCTATCAGTTTTAAGTACTTTACGTAGATAATTTTATCTTCACTACCACTCTTTGAGGTATTATCACTCCCATTTTACCAAGGAGGAAACTGAGGTATAGTTAGGCTAAATAAATTGCCCAAAGTCATTCAGCTAGCAAGATGTAGAGCTGTTATTTGAACACAGGCTGATTGACACTAGATACACACTACATCAGCAATTTTCAAACTGGAGTACATGTATCTCTGGGGTGTACAAAGCCTTTCCAACATGGACAGGGCTGAAATTTCCAGATTTTGACTTCCAGATGCAGTCTCCATCTTGACACTTCACCAAGAATGTTCTCTACGTGTCAAAGCATCTTCTTTCCCCTCTCCCTGCTCACTTTACAAAAGGTTACTGCAACTCTCATTCCTTCCATGGTATGCTGTTCTAGGGCACACACATACACACACACACACACATACCCCCTCTTGACCACCAAAGATAATTTGAAATATTGTCACTTTGTGTAGATAAAGTACTTTCATGAAAAATCTTTTTGGAAGTCAAGATTTATAATTCTTTCAACCAAATTAAAGGAGCATCTAATCAAGTTGAGTGCTGATAAATCAGTTTTTGATGAAAGATTATTATAAGGTTTTGGTATATAACTTGAAAGAGTTCACAAAATTCACTGGCATTGCTAAAGCTAAATGCCTTCTACTCTTATTTATATGAGTGAGATTTCTCAAATAATATACCTGAAGAAATTAAAAATTGGAATACAATTAATCTTGATTCTTGTCTCATTCTAGAAATAAGCAAATTATGGGCCAGGCATGGTGGCCCACACCTGTAATCCCGGCACTTTGGTGGGCAGATCACTTGAGGTCAGGAGTTCGAGACCAGCCTGGCCAACATGGTGAAACCCCATCTCTATTAAAAATACAAAAATTAGCCAGGCGTGGTGGCAGGCGCCTGTAGTCCCAGCTACTCAGGAGGCAGAGGCAGGAGAATCACTTGAACCCAGGAGGTGGAGGTGGCAGTGAGCTGAGATTGTGCCACTGCACTCCAGCCTGGGGGACAGAGTGAGACTCCATGTCAAAAAAAGAAAAAAAGAAATAAGCAATAATCATCTGTGAATGTATGCACTAATATATTATTGGATAATTGAAAAAAATCCCAACCACATTCATGTCATTAGAAAATGTGCTTCTAGTTTTTACTTTTTATTATGTGTAATATTTTTTGGCCAGGTGCAGTGGCTCATGCCTGTAATCCCAGCATTTTGGAAGGCAAGGCGGGAGGATCACTTGAGGTCAGGAGTTTGAGACCAGCCTGGCCAATGTAGTGAAACCCCCTCTCTGCTAAAAATACAAAAATTAACTGGGTGTGGTGGCACGCACCTGTAATCCCAACTACTAGAGAGGCTGAGGCAGGATAATTGCTTGAACCCCGGAGGCGGAGATTGCAGTGAGCCGAGATTACACCACTGCACTCCAACCTGGGCAACAGAGCAAGACTCCGTCTCAAAACAAAAGAAGTGATATTTTTTAACTTCTTATTTTAAAAATGTGTGCTGTTTTGATCCAATATGTCTAATTGTGATGTTAACTCAATCCACAAGAAGCCTTGAATATATTTGAGCCTTATAAAATAAAAATGTTTTGATATCTGAAGTTATAGACATATTTTTATGGCAGAAACTCTGATAAGATGATCAATAAAACTTTTAAGCATAAAAACATATTAAATAAAATTCTCTGATAAAAGTGGATGAAGGCTAGGCATGGTGGCTCACACCAGTAATTCCAGCACTTTGGGAGGCTGACATGGGATGATTGCTTGAGCCCAGGAGTTTGAGACCAGCCTGGGCAACATGGTGAAACCTTGTCTCTACAAAAAATGCAAAAATTAGCCTGGTGTGGTGGCAAACACCTGTAGTTTCAAGTACTCGGGAGTCTGAGGCAGGAGGATAGCTTGAGCCTGGGATGTTGAGGCTACACTGAGCCATGATTGCACCATTGCACTCCAGCGTGGGTGACAGAGACACTGTCTTAAAAAAAAAAAAATTAAATGTTGACCAAAAATATGCAAAAGAATGTATGCTTTTTAAAAATTATTTTAAAAAATTATTTTAGGAGGTAGGCAATAAAAAATGTTTGAGTCTATAGGTTTCCTTATGTTTGCGTCACAGAAAACACAATTATTATTTTTGATTGGTCAAACCAAAATCTCTTCAGGGATGTGTTATTGTAGTGGGAAATCAGAGACTGGAGAGACTAAGCGGAGTTCAGGAGGGAATATTTTAAGTGTACACTAGCTCAGCGGACATGCATCTTGAAAGTCTGAGCAGCAAACAAAGAAAATGAATGTCTTTTATGCACTTTGAGGTGGGAATTATATGATGCAGGAAGCTGGTTTACAAAAGCGAGAACAAAGCAGTTAATTATCAGGTGACATTCTTAGGACTCAGCTTACATCTTGGGAAAACATGTCTTGCGACTCATGCTTATCTATCTTGTGACTTTGCAGCTGCACAGCAAGAAAAACAGGAGCTTACAGAACTTACAAAATATGTGGGGGAGAGATATGGTTAATGCTTCACAGACCTTACAGAGGAGCAGTTAATATTCTTTCTTAACTCTTATTTCAGGGGGGCTACTTCATGTCTATTCTAGCATAACTTTAAACTGTAAATTTAATTTCTTTTAATTTTTCCACTTTATTATGAACTGAAATGTGTTCCCCAAAATTTATATGGGTTTTTTTGTTTTTTTTGTTTCGTTTTGTTTTGTTTGAGACAGGGTCTTGCTCTGTTGCCCAGGCTTGAGTGCTGCAGTGGCGTGATCTTGGCTCGACCTCCTGGGCTTAAGTGATCCTCCCACTTCAGCCCCCAAGTTTCTGAGACTACAGGTATGCACCACCACACCCAGTTAAATTTTTTTGTTTATTTATTTATATTTTTTTGTAGAGATGAGTCTCCCTGTGTTGCCCAGGCTGATCTCTAGCTCCTGGGCTCAAGCAATCCTCCTGCCTTGGCCTCCGAAAGTGCTGGGATTACAGGCATGAGCCACCACACCTGGCTTCCAAATGAGTATGTTGGAGCCATAACCCCCAATGTGACTGTATTTGGAGACAGGGCCTTTAAAGTGGTAATCAAGGTGAAATGCAGCCATAAGGGTGGCTAATCCAATGTGACTGATGTCTTCAGAAGAGGAAGAACACAGTTACAAATGCATAATCACAGAGGATAGGCCACTATGGGCAAAAGTCCAGAGCGGGCACAACTGGTAGCTATCAGTTGTTAACACTCCCAGGAAGTGAAGGAATAAATGCTTCTGTCTTGAAAGGGGGTGGTTCTGGGTGCCGTGCCACAGAGTCCACTATGCTGTCATTGTTCATGGACCACACAATTGTGTACTGAGATAATTTAAAAGAACCTAAGGAAAAAACCAAGACAATAAGCAAATTTAGCAAGGTTGCTGGATTCAAGGTCCAAATACAAAATAAATAGGAAATTAGATGTTATTACTGAAATTGTTTACATAACATCAAAAGAACCAACTGCCTAGGAATTAATTTAATATAAGATGTGCAACACCCACTACACTGAAAACTACAAAACACTGCTGAGAGAAATTGAGGATGGACTTAATACTTAAGGGATAGAGCATGTTCATAAATTAGAAACTTAATATTATAAAGATGTCAGTCATCTTCAACTCTATAGCTCCAAAGCAATCCTCCCAAATTCCCAGCAGGTTTTTTGAGGAAATTAACAAACTGATTTAAATTTATATGGAAATTCAAAATGCCAAGAATAGCTAGGGCTATCTTGAAGAAGAATCACAAAATCTAGAGGATTATACTACCCAAAATCAAGAACTATAATAAAACTATAGTGTGTGTGTGTGTGTGTGTGTGTGTGTGTGTGTGAGATATTGTTGAAGGATAGGCGAAGTAAACAATGAGACAAAACAGAATCCAGGAATAAACTCTCCCATGTATGGCTACCTTATTTATGATAAAAGCAACATGCTGTAATGTAGTGGGAAAAGGATGGTCTTTCAATAGATGATCTGAGCCATATTAAATATCCATGTAGGAAAACAAAGTCTCTTGACCTAGCTCATACCATGCGCAAAAAGCAATTTCAGATAAAATTAAAACAAAAACAGCTTTTAGCTGGGTGCAGTGGCTCACGCCTGTAATGTCAACCCTTTGGGAGGCCGAGGCAGGCAGATTGCTTGAGCTCAGGAGTTCGAGACCAGTCTGGGCAACATGCTGAAACCCCAACTCTATCAAAACAATACAAAAAATTAGCGGGGTGTGGTGGCATGTGCCTCCTGTGGTCCCAGCTATTCAGGAGGCTGAGGTGGGAGGATTGCTTGAGCCCGGGAAGCAGAAGTTGCAATGAGCTGAGATTGCACCACTGTACTCCAACCTGGGTGACAGAGTGAGAGAGTGAGACCCTGTTTTCTAAAAAAAATAAAATAAAATAAAAAGCTTTTATTTGAAAACATAAGGAAAGCATTTTTTGACCCTGAAGTAAAGATTTCTTTCTCTTTATTTTGATTTTGATTTTGTAGAGACAGCTGCCTTCAAACTCCTGGCCTCAAGTAATCCTCCCACCTCAACCTCCCAAAGTGCTAGGAATACAGATGTGAGCCACCACACCCAGGCAAGATTCTTAAATAGAATAATAAAATCACTCACTTGAACTATATTAAAATTAAGAACTTTTGTTCACCAAAAGACATTATTGAAAGAGTGAGAAGGCAACCCATAGACTGAAGAAGATATTTGCGGTACTGAAGTTTATTCTGAACTTTTTGCAAGTCTGAAAATCTCACAAAGTCCTCTGATCTAGACATATAAAGAATTTCACAAGCCAGCAATCCCATTACTGGATATATACCCAGAGGAATATAAATCATTCTACCATAAAGACACATGCATGCAAATGTTCATTGCAGCACTATTCACAATAGCAAAGATATGGAATCAACCTAAATGTCCATCAATGAGAGATTGGATAAAGAAAATGTGGTACATATAAACCACGGAATACTATGCAGCCATAAAAAGGAATGAGACCATGTTTTTCATGGGAACATGGATGAAGCTGGAGGCCATTATACTCAGCAAACTAATGCAGAAACAGAAAACCAAATCCCACCAGCCTGGCCAACATAGTGAAACCTCGTCTCTACTAAAAATACAAAAATTAGCCAGGCATGGTGGTGCATGGGCACGGTGGCACATGCCTGTTGTCCCAGCTACTTGGCAGCCTGAGACAGGAGAATCACTTGAACCCAAGAAGTGGAGGTTGCAGTGAGCCAAGATCGCGCTACTACACTCCAGCTTGGGCAACAGAGTGAGACTTCGTCTTAAAAAAAGAAAAAAAAGAAAAAGAAAACCAATTCCCACACATTCTCATTTATAAGTGGGAGCTAAATGGTAAGAACTTATGAACACAAAGAAGGGAAAAACAGACACTGGAGTCTACTCGACGGAGGATAGTAGGAGGAGGGAGAGGAGCAGAAAAGATAACTATTGGGTACTGGGCTTAATACCTAGGTGATGAAATAATCTGTACAACCAACCCCCGCGACACGTGTTTACCTATGTAACAAACCTGCACAGGTAGCCCCAAACCTCAAATAAAAGTTAAAAAAAAGGAAAATAGTTAAAAAAAAACAAAACAAAAAAAAACAAAAAATAAAAAAAAGAATTTCAAAAGAAAGTCAATCCAGAATCATAAACAAAAGCCTTGAACAGATCCTTTTTCATCAGAGGATATCCAACCACAATGAGATACCACTTCACACACACTAAGATGGCTAGAATTCAAAAAACAGGGCCAGGTGTGGTGGGTCACGCCTGTAATCCCAGCACTTTGGGAGGCCAAGGCAGGCAGATAACTTGAGGCCAGGAGTTCAAGACCAGCCTGATTAACATGGCGAAACCCTGCCTCTACTAAACATACAAAAATTAGCCAGGCGTGTTGGCGGGCGCCTGTAGTCTCAGCTACTGGGGAGGCTGAGGCGGGAGAATCGCTTGAACCTGGGAGGCAGAGGTTGCAGTGAGCCAAGATCGTGCCACTGCACTCCAGCCTGGGTGACAGAATGAGACTCTGTCTCAAAAATTAAAAATAAAAATAAAAAACAGGCCAGGTATGGTGGCTCAACCTATAATCCCAGCACTTTGGGAGGCCGAGGTGGGCAGATCACCTGAGGTCAGGAGTTTGAGACCAGCCTGACCAACATGGTGAAACACCGTCTCTAGTAAAAATACAAAAATTAGCCAGGCGTGGTGGTGGGCACCTGTAATCCCAGCTACTTGGGAGGCTGAGGCAGGAGAATCTCTTGAACCTGGGAGGTGGAGGTTGCAGTGAGCCAAGATCGTGCCATTGCACTCCAGCCTGGGCAACAAGAGTGAAACTCCATCTCAAAAAAAAAGAGAGAGAGAGAAGAAGAAGAAGGAAATACTTTCCAGGGACTTCCGGTTACTTTTTGTAGGCTGGAATTCTGCCACATGGCCAAACCTAACTGCAAGCGATTCTGAGAAGGTGACGATTTTAGTTGGGCACGTGGCTGCTCCAAATAAAATTGTACTTTTTGTCAGTGATAAAGAGAATAGATAATGGGGTGTGGTGGTGGGGAGTTGGAAGCACCCAGCACAGGGTCCAGCTTTCCAGAGATCTTACACTCTGATGGGGGAGATGGGAGGGTCAACAGAAAACAGGAACCCAGCTTGGTAAATCCTCCGCTGGAATCACAGGTGCTGTAGGAGCAAAGAGCTCTTAAGGAAGCCTTGCCAGAGTAGGAAACACACCTTGGAGGCCATTCCTTGAAGGACCAGTGGAAGTCCTCCAAGCAGAAGAGAGAAAAGCTTTTCAAGCATGATAGAAAGCATCTTTGAAAGTTATCGGAGATTTTAGTGGAAATTGGGAACCAAATGTTCCGTGTTCCTGAAGTGTGAGGGTCAAAGGCCGAAGATGGAGCTGGCGGGGAGGGGGCAGGAAGAAAATAGTCATGAAAGTCTGCTATGCCATGAACAGGAATAGAACTTTACCCCTAACAGCCCCTGAAGGGTTTTAAGCAAATGAATGTCATAATCAGATTAGGATTTTATTTTTTAAAAAGAATGAGATTGGGTCTTGCTATGTTGTCCAGGCTGGTCTTGAACTTCTGGGCTCAAGTGATCCTCCTTCCTCAACTTCCCAAAGTGCTGGGACTACAGGTGGGAGCCACTGCACCTGGCCCAGATTTTAAATAGCTGGCAGTACATCACCTGACACAATTCTAAGGGTTAGTTGAATAGAGGCAGCCTTGTGTATAGAGAATATGTAAAATAAAATAATAGACATAGGGGTGGAGGAATGTTCTGACATAGAAGGGGCAGCAACTGGGTTTTTGCAACAGTCTGGATGAGATATGATAAATATTTCAACAGGGCTACAGGAAGAAGGATAGAAAGTTCTCTGTGCTCCAAATGTGACATATTTTGCTTATTAAGGTAGGATTCTTAGAAAGAAAAAAAAGTAGGATTCTTTTCTGATACTGGTTCCTTTCCACTTCCTACCAAATCCTTGATGAAGGCGGGGATTCAAGGGGGAGGTAGGAGAAGGGAAAGCCTTCAAGAGGCCATTGTTATGGGAAGAAATATTGGTGAGATCCTGGGTTCTGAAGTCCCTTCTCTTCCTTTGCTGTTGAAATGTTGGCACTCCCTTTCAGTCTCTCCTCTTCTCATTTCCTGTTCCCTAGCTAGTCCTCAACACTCTTGGCTTCTCACTACTTATTTGCTGCTAACTGCCAGTCTTTATCTTCAGATTTCTTTCTTTAATGGTTGACATGACCCTTTATATCCCACTATCTCAACATCTTCACCATCAGGACTTACACATTCTCAAACTTTTTTCTTTTTTTTTTTTGAGACAGAGTCTCGCTCTGTCGCCCAGGCTGGAGTGCAGTGGCGCAATCTCGGCTCACTGCAAGCTCCACCTCCCAGGTTCACGCCATTCTCCTGCCTCAGCCTCCCGAGTAGCTGGGACTACAGGCACCCACCACCACACCCAGCTAATTTTTTGTATTTTTAGTACAGACGGGGTTTCACCGTGTTAGCCAGGATGGTCTCGATCTCCTGACCTCGTGATCCACCCGCCTCGGCCTCCCAAAGTGCTGTGATTACAGGTGTGAGCCACCACACCCAGCCACTCAAACTTAATGTAGTAAACTGAACACACTATTTTCTCTCTTTCTATATCTGTACCTGCATGGATGGCACCATCCACCCAGTTAAAAGGGATCAAAATATGCCAGTCCAAATTGTGCCACTTTGGCATAAGTAGGATTTTGTGCTGGAAGGCAATTAAGAAACACTTAAAAGCAGGATATAAATTTCCCCTTATGAAGGAAAGTGTCTCTCTCCCCCTCTCCCATATCAGGAGAAGGAGAATAACTTATATGACAAGAGACAGAAAGTCAGCACCAACTTGAATCTGCGTAAACAAATCTTACTAAAATGGTCATTATCTTCCATTAGTGCCTCCGATATATTTACCTTCCCATAACTTACTGCCCCAAATGCCCAGATCTCACTTCCTTGGTCTTGTTAATGTTTCCACAACTTGTCCTTTGTTAAAATGGCATATAAGCCCCCATTCCTCATTGCTTCTCTTATTTTCACTTCTTCCCTGTGAAGTTGTCACATGCTTGTGAAATAAGCCTTTCCCTTTCATCTGTCTTTTCTCGGTTTCATTTGCAGGCCCCGTATACTAAACCTAACAGGTAGAGGAAAAGGTTTTTCTCCTGTATGTAATCCACAGTCTAGAATTCTGGCAGTCTTCCCAGCCTCTTCCCTTACTCTCCTTTCTTGCATTCACTTAGTCTCTGACACTGGTGAACCACCTGAACCCTGTGCTTCTGTAAAACAGGTCAGTTAAGAAATTTACCCATCGTGTTGTTTTCCAAAACCCTCCAACCTTTTGTGTTCCAACAAAAAAGCTAACTGCAAAGAATCACTCTGCTCACACATATTCCATAAAAAGCCTCATCTCCATCCTTCATTATGGCTCCCATAAGATCCATGTATGACTCTTTTGTTTGCTGCCTCTATGAAACCTCAGGTCCCCTTCCTTTTCTCTGAGATGTTATTAATTAATGAACATGTGTTCTTGATTGCAATGGCCCGAATAAAACCACCTGTGTAATTGTCTGGTACGTTTTGTCTTTGATGTCAGTAAGTCTTCCTGATTCTATCAGCTAAGCTGAGTAGCTGCTGAGTGTCCCCTCCTCCCCCTCCCACTCCCCGTTCACCAGCTTTTACCTGGATAACTGTAGCAGTCTCCTAAATGGTTTCAAGGACTTCGGCTTTCTTCTTCTCCACCCCATTCTTCACATTACTGCTAGAATGATCTTTCTGAAAAGCAAGTCATTATCCAATCTCTGTTTCCCAGTCTAACTTTGAGGAGACACTACCCACGCCCCCACCCCGCCCCACACATACACACACATAATCCATGAGTACACTGAATTACTTGGGTGAAATACCGTGCTTTCTCCCCACCTCTTTTTTTTAGACAGTCTTGCTCTGTTGCCCAGGCTCCTGGAGTGCAGTGCTACAATCTCCGCTCACTGCAACCTCCACCTCTCAGATGCAAGCAATTCTCATGCCTCAGCCTCCCAATTAGCTGGGATTATAGGCACCTGCCACCACACTCGGCTGATTTTTTTGTATTTTTACTACAGACGAGGTTTCACCATATTGGCCAGGCTGGTCTCGAACTCCTGATCTCAGGTGATCTGCCTGCCTCGGCCTCCCAAGGTGCTGGGATTACAGGCATGAGCCACCACACCTGGCCTTCCGTAGCTTTTTGTGCTTTCTTCTATCATTTTTTTGGTCACACTGTATTATAACTGTTAATTTGTTTGTTTCCTTCCTCCCTCCACTAGTCTGTGAGCTTTTTGAGAAGAGAAACTTCATTTTATTTATCTTTGTATTCCCAGGCCTGGTGTAATACCTGACATATAATAAATGTATGTATCAGTATTTACTGTAAGTACTGTAATACCAAGTGTCACTTGAATGCTAAATGCCACCTAATCCTCACAATCACCTTCTCAAATATGCACAAATATTTATATTTCAATGAGTTGGACAATGTACATGTTCTCATTAACATCCTTTTATTCAGCGTAGTTGATAATTTAAGCATAAGAATATTCTTTTTATCCTATCTGAAATCCCAAAGATACAAGAATAAAGAGTTTTCCTAATCATTTAAGATGTATTCTGCCCGCATAACCTCTTAAGTCTTGAGGATCACCATTTCCTTTCGTTCCAAAAGAGGGGATGCTCTGGTAAGTGCTGCAGACCCAAAATGTACATGGGATGGAGCTTTTAGTGAGTGGAAGGGGCTTTCATGATCATGACTACCTTCTTTTTTTTTTTGGACACCAAGTCTCACTCTGTCCCCCAGGCTGGAGTGCAGTGGTGCAATCCCAGCTCACTGCAACCTCCGCCTCCCGGGTTCAAGCAATTCTCCTGCCTCAGCCTCCCGAGTAGCTGGGATTACAGGCGCATGCCACCACGCCCAGCTAATTTTGTATATTTAGTAGGGACAGGGTTTCACCATGTTAGCCAGGCTGATCTTGAATGCCCGATCTCTAGTGATCCGCCCGCCTAAGCCTCCAAAACTGCTGGGATTACAGGTGTGAGCTGCTGCACCTGACAACTACCTTCTTTTCTTTAGAGTTCCCTCTGCTCTCTTCCTTTGATACCCAAGAGGCAAGCTTGGGAATGACCTCCTTTGCATATCTTCCCCCATCTGCCCTCACTATAGGAACTCCTAGAAGGACCAGGACAGACACAAGGATGGAGGAGAAAGGTACAGAACAATTAATGCAACTGTGACCCTGGGCTTGGGGGAATATTCTCTTCAGTATACGCTTTTATTTATTTTATTTTATTCTATTTTTTTGAGACAAGGTCTCACCCTATCACCCAGGTTGGAGTGCAGTGGTGCAAACTAGGCTCACTGCAACCTCCTCCTCCTGGGTTCAAGCGATTCTCCCACCTCAGCCTCCGGAGTAGCTGGGACTACAGGAACACGCCACCATGCCTGGCTAATTTTTGTATTTTTGGTAGAGATGGAGTTTTGCCATGTTGCCTAGGTTGATCTCGAACTCAGAGCTCAAGCGATCCACCCACCTTGGACTACCAAAGTGCTGGGATTACAGGAGTGAGCCACCATGCCTGGCCTTTTCAATTTTAAATTCAGGAGATACATATGCAGGTTTAGATTCAGGGGGTAAATATGCAGGTTTTGTTACATGGGTATATTGCGTGATGCTGTGGTTTGAGTTAGTGATCCCGTTACCCAAATAGTGAACATAGTACCTGAATGTAGGTTTCAACTCTTGCCCTCTTTCCTCCCTTCTCCCTTTTGGAATCTCCAGTGTTTATTGTTTCTATCTTTGTGTCTATGTGTACAACAGGTTTAGCTCCCACTTAAAAGTTAGAACATGCAGTATTTGGTTTTCTGTTTCTGCATTAATTCACTTAGGATAATGGCCTCCAGCTGCATCCATGCTGCTGCAAAGGACATGATTACATTCTATTTATTTATTTATTTATTTAGATACGGAGTTTTGCTCTTGTCGCCCAGGCTGAAGTGCGATGGCATGATCTCGGCTCATTGCAACCTCCACCTCCCAGGTTCAAGCAATTCTCCTGCCTCAGCCTCCCCAGTAGCTGGGATTATAGGCACCTGCCACCACACCCTGCTAGGTTTTTGTATTTTTAGTAGAGATGGGTTTTGCCATGTTGGCCAGGTTGGTCTTGAAGTCCTGACCTCAGGTGATCCACCCACCTCGGCCTCCCAAAGTGCTGGGTTTACAGGTATGAGCCACCGCACTGGGCCGATTGCATTCTTTTTTATGGCTACATAGCATTCCATGGTATACATGGACCACATTTTCTTTATCCACTCTACCATTGATGAACATCTAGGCTGATTCCATGTCTTTGCTATTGTGAATAGTGCTGCGAAAAACATACAGGTGCATGTGTCCTTTTGGTAGAAAGATGTATTTCCTTTGTGTATATACCCAGTAGTGAGATTGCTGGGTTGAATGTTAATTCTATTTTTAATTCTTTGAGAAAACTCCAAACTGCTTTCCACAGTGGCTGAACTAATTTACCTTCCCACCAACAGTGTGTTAGCATTCCCTTTTCTCTGCTACCTCGCCAACATCTCTTATTTTCTGACTTTAATAATAGCCATTCTAACTAGTGTGGATGGTATCTCATTGTGGTTTTGATTTTGCATTTCTCTGATGATTAGTGATGGTTAGCATTTTTTCATATGTTTATTGGCCACTTGTACTCTTCTTTTGAGAAGTGTCTGCTCATGCCCCTTGCCCACGTTTTAATGGGATTATTTGTTTTTTTCTTGTTGATTTGTTTAAGTTCCTTATAGATTCTGGATATTAGTTCTTTGCTGGAGGCAGTTTGTTAATATTTTCTCCTATTCTTTAGGCTGTCTGTTTACTCTGTTGATAGTTTCTTTTGCTGTGCAGAAGCTCTTTAGTTTAAGTAGGTCCCATCTGTCATTTTTTATTTTTGTAGAATGTACTTATTTTCCCTGACTTTTCAGTCAGAATTTGCAATCAAGGGGAGCATAATGGATCCAGTGGATACCCAGGATAAAAGGGTGTAATTGCCTAGAGAATCTTTTCTGTTAAATATCATTCATCTTACTTCCCTTATCCCTTTGCCTCCAAACCTGTTTCCAAAACAAAAGCATTCCTCTGAGGAAGTGCTTGCACGGTGATAGGTGATAGATAGCCCATGTGGGGAGAGGTTGGGAGAATCATGCAGAAGAGAAACCGAGAGAGATGGAAACGGCATTCTGGCCAGCCACTTTTCTTGTAATCCATCACTGTTTGCCCTGCAGTAGCGGGCTGGTTGAGCAGAGCCCCATAATTAAAATTCTCTATTCTAACCTGTCCTCACATCTTTAAGATGATTCTTTGAGAAGTCTGGGTTAAAAGGTTTAAGGAAGAAACCAAACTGTGAGTTTTGGGGGAAAGGATGATCATCACCTTTAAAAGAACTTTTGGTTTCCAAAGAAATATGCATAGAACTAAATGCACAGATTTTCTTTTCCATTTTTATTTTTTTAGCCAATTTCCAAAGCCCTAAATCACATTTTCCCTTAGACTGAAACTCTAGAAAAACATTATTATTATTATTATTTATTATTTTTTGAGACAGGGTCTTGCCTCATTGCCCAGGCTGGAGTGCAGTGGCACAATCTCAGCTCACTGCAACCTCCACCTCCAGTGTTGAGGCGATTCTCCTGCCTTGGCCTTCCAAGGGGCTGCGATTACAGGCCCGTGCCACCACACCAGGCTAATCTTTGTATTGTTAGTAGAGACGGGTTTTACCATGTTGGCCAGGCTGGTCTTGAACTCCTGACCTCAAGTGATCCGCCCACCTCGCAATCCCAAAGTGCTGGGATTACAGGCGTGAGCCACCGCATCCGGCCTAGGAAGACATTCTTATCTTCTCTAGTTCACCCTCTACCACCGTCTCCTCTCTGGAGAGCCCCCTGAATGGCTAAATAAAACAGCTAAACCACCTTTCTTCCCCCTATGACCCTGCCCATGCAACGCCTCCTCTGAGTGATTGTTCCTATCCCATCTCCTTGCAAAGGTAGTAGAAAGTATTATAGCTGAGGTTCAGACATATTCATTTGTTACCCATATACTAGTCAGAGAAATTAAATTATTTGATTGAATGAGTTCTGCTTCAAGCGACAGAAGAATGTTCCACCCTCCAGTAAATGTCACAGAGGACTAATTGAGTTTCCAGCTCCTATCCTGAAAAGCGAACAATCAAACAAAAAATAGAAGACACTGTGATACTCAGAAGCTCATTACATACATAGAGGATACTTGACCTCTCTATATATATACAAAAAAATCTCACAAATGCACAGTTGGATTATTAATAGTGTTATCTCACAGGTGTAGAATCAGGTAACCTTTACTTTTGTCTTAGTATTTTCATATAACAAAGATGTATCATGTAAAAATATCAGGAAAAATCAATCCATTTTCAATCTGATAGAAAAAAGTATTGTTTTAATACCAAGCATTAGCTTTTTCTTCTGTAAACTATTTTCAAGAGTTTAGGACAGGCCGGGCACAGTGGCTTACACCTGTAATCCCAGCACTTTGGGAGGCTGAAGTAGGCGGATCACCTGAGGCCAGGAGTTTGAGACCAGCCTGACCAACATGGCGAAACCCCATCTCTATTAAAAATACAAAAAAAATTAGCTGGGCGTGATGGCACGTGCCTGTCATCCCAGCTACTCAGGAGGCTGAGGCACAAGAATCGCTTGAACTTGGGAGGCAGAGGCTGCAGTGAGCTGAGATCACGCCACTGCACTGCAGCCTGGGCAACAGAGCCAGATCCTGTTTAAAAAAAAAAAAAAAGTTTAAGACAAAAAAGGAAAGCTCACTTTCTATCAACAATAGCTTCCAAAAGACAATAACAGGGCTGAGTGTGGTGGCTCATGCTTGTAATCTCAGCACTTTGGGAGGCCGAGGTGGGCAGATCACCTGAAGTCAGGAGTTCGAGACCAGCCTGGTCAACATGGTGAAACTCTGTCTCTACTAAAAATACAAAAATTAGCCAGGCATCATGGTGGGCGCCTATAATCCCAGCAACTCAGGAGGCTGAGGCAGGAGAATCGCTTGAAGCTGGGAAGTGAGCCACTCAACCTCCGCCACTGCCCTCCAGCCTGGGCAACACCGCGAGACTCTATCTCAAAAAAAGACAATGACAGTAACTCGAAAAGAGGCTCCTCTTAACTTCTGCCACCCTAACCCATAACTCCACCCATTTCTCCGCTGGACTTACCTCATTCACAGGGATCAGAATACTGAATTGTTGCCTGTTCATCTGTGAAATGAAATAAGTCATATTATTACTTTGAGGGCCTCCTATATTCAGAGGGAAAATGCTTCAGAAAAGCTACTGCTTGAGCCCCTTCCAGAGAATCTCTACAGGTTATGAGCATATTCAGAATTACAAGAAAGTTTCAATCACTAATATTTGTACATTGTGACAAACTATTAATCATACCAAAAATAATAGAAATAGCCCTTTGAGAACAATGGTTCACATTGTTCTCCGATCACATAAAATGTCTCTAGTGTACGCAACTTAAAAATGGCACACAACTGAATTAAAATATTTTAGGAGATTAGATAATTTAATTATGTGCTACTTGGCTTGGGAAGGAGTATTTGTAAAATTAAGAGAGAAGCCATGAAGAATGAGGCAGAAGTAAGTTGGGAGATGCAGGTAAGATCTCAGATCTCATTTCAGCTCAGCCCTCTCACCTGGTAGGTAGTAGTCATAGACCTTGATGGTTGCTGGTTTCAAGTTGGTGACCAGCACACTTTGGCTGATGGTGAAGGTGTAAGTCTGAGTGTTCTTAATGAGCTGTGGGGAAGACAGATGAAACAGTACCTTAGAAGTAAAATGAAAATTACACTGTATGCAATGTGGAATAAAAGACCCTTGCTGTCTTCATGTAGATTTTCTGAAGCCCCGCCAGGCACGGTGGCTCATGCCTCTAATCCCAGCACTTTGGGAGGCCGAAGTGGGTGAATCACCAGAGGTCAGGAGTTCCAGACCAGCCTGGCCAACATGGTGAAACCCCATCTCTACTAAAAATACAAAAATTAGTCGGGCATGGTGGCTGGCACCTGTAATCCCAGCTACTCAGGAGGCTGAGGCAGAAGAATCGCTTGAACCTGGGAGGCAGATGTTGCAGTGAGCCGAGATGGCGCCACTGCACTCCAGCCTGGGCGACAGAGCGAGACTCCATCTCAAATTAAAAAAAAATTTTTTTTTTAATTAAAAAAAGATTCTCTGAAACCCTCTATGTACCGCTACTGCCCTATGAGTCTTAAAGACATTGCCTCCTGCTGACTTCCTGGCTCTTTCTTCTTAGGATCTTACAGCTCTCTGGCCCTCTTGTGAACTGGTTCCCTTTGTTCATGGTCCACCCTGACCCATGGCTTCTCCACTAAATTAGTCAAAGTGGCCAGAGAAACAGAGGCTTGCATTTTACTCCAACAGTTCTATGCCCCTTACTGGTTTGCTTTCTTCAATCTGGTCCCTGAGCAAATGATACCTCCTCAAAGAGGCTTTCCTTGAACACCTTATTTAAAAAGAGTCACATCCCTGGCCTGCCCCACCAGCACTCTTTATCCCCTTATGCTGCATAGCACTTATTACTACTGAAAAAAAATGTGTGTGTATACACATATACATGTAATTTTTAAAAACCTGAATATTGTTGTCTCTCCACTAGAATATCAGCACTCTTAGGCCAGGTATCATATCTATTGTTTTCATTGCTACGTCTCCATCACTTAGAAAAGTGACTGGCATATGTTGGTTGTTCAGTAAATATTTGTTGAATAAATTAGCAAATGGAGAATCTAAGGCAATTGTATAAGTTACTTTAATATAAAAAAATAAATCCTAGCTACTTGGGAAGCTGAGGTGGAAGGATCATTTGAACCCAGGAGGTGGAGATTATAGTGAGCCAAGATCGGGCCACTGAAGTCCAGCCTGGGCAACAGAGTGAGACCCTGTCTCAAAAAAAAAAAAAAATCGTATTATAAATTTAGATATAGCGCTATTAACGCCTAATTGGAAGGGATTTCCAAAGTTCTTCAGGTATAGTGCTTCTCAAAGTGTGGTCGAGGGACCTCCCCTACTCCAGGGATCCCCGAGATTGCATCAGAATATCTGAGAGGTCAGAATTATTTTTAGAATGATATTAAGACTTTTTTTTTCCACTCTCATTCTCTTACAAATATACAGGAGATTGTTTCCTTCTGGGGAAAGTGATTTAAAAAAATAAAAAACAAAACAAGTATACAGGAGAGTTATCAGAGGCTACTTTATGTGTAATATTGCAACGGTTTGAATGTAGGAGTAAATAGGAAAATTTCATTCTCTTTGATTAAGCCAGATATTAAAGCAAAAATGCAAAACAATGTCACCATTCTTATTTTTTTGTTTTGGAAAATAGTTATTTTCTTTTTCTTTTTCTTTTTTTTTTTTTTTGAGATGGAGTCTCACTCTGTTGCCCAGGCTAGAGTATAGTGGCATGATCTCGGCTCACCGCAACCTCTGCCTGCCAGGTTCAGGCGATTCTTCTGCCTCAGCCTCTCAAGTAGCTGGGACTACCGGCACGCACAACCATGCCCAGCTAATTTTTGTGTTTTCAGTAGAGATGGATGGGGTTTCACCATATTGGCCAGGTTGATCTCGAACTCCTGATCTCGTGATCCACCCGCCTCGGCCTCCCAAAGTGCTGGGATTACAGGCATGAGCCACCACGCCTGGCCAGAAAATAGTTATTTTCACAAAAATTTTATTTATATTAAGATGTAGTGAGTTTATTATCATTTTTAAATTAATTAATAAATATTTTAAGATTGTCTCAGTTTTAATTTCTAATATGATAAAGACCAATAGTTAAAACCCACTTCACCGAAAGCTGTTTGAGGTCCTCAGTAAATTAAGAGTATAAAGGGACACTGAAACAAAGAATTTTTAGAACCACTGTTCTTTTCTATCATTTGGTCACCATAATGAATTAAAGCAAATGACTAATATGAACCAAAAGAAAGCTGGGGTAGCAGTTTTTTTTTTTTTTTCTTTTTTCTGAGATGGAGTCTTGCACCGTTGCCCAGGCTGGAGTGCAGTGGCGCAATCTCGGCTCACTGCAAGCTCTGCCTCCCAGGTTCACGCCATTCTTGTGCCTCAGCCACCTGAGTAGCTGGGACTACAGGCTCCTGCCACCACGCCCAGCTAACTTTTTGTACCTTTAGTACAGACGGGGTTTCACTGTGTTAGCCAGGATGGTCTTGATCTCCTGACCTCATGATCTGCCCGTCTCAGCCTCCCAAAGTGCTGGGATTACAGGCATGAGCCACTGCGCCCGGCCAGGTAGCAGTTTTAATATCTGACTAAATGGCACCCAAGGCAAGGGAAAAAAATTGTGTGTGTGTGTGTGGCGGTGGGGGAGTGTAAGAATCTAAGGCAAAAGTAAATGATATAAATATATACACATATATAGTAATGGGGAAAGGATAGTATGTACTAATATAAGGAAAATTTAATAAGAAGATATGTTCATAACATATATATCTAATTATGTAGTCTCAAATATATCAGGAAACAATTGGCAGAAATGTATGGATAAATGGATAAATCAAATATCATAATTAGAGGCCAGGCGTGGTGGCTCACACCTATAACTCCAGCACTTTGGGAGGCCTAGGCAGGCAGATCACTTGAGGTCAGAAGTTCAAGACCAGCCTGGCCAACATGGTGAAACGCTGTCTCTACCAAAAAAATACTAAACAAACAAACAAAAACCATCATAATTGGATATTTTAACACATGCTTTTCAGAAATTGTTAAATCAAGCAGAAAAATAAGCAGAGTTATCAAACACATGAACAACAGAAATAATGATCTCAGACTTCTAGATCAGAATCCAAGCCCAAGAGAAAAGAAATAGATGTTCTTTTGGAGTGCACACTGAACACCTGCAAAAACAGATCATGGATTAGGTCATGGAAGAAACTTCAGCACATTCCAGGCAATCAGGATCATGAAGACTGTATTCTCAGACCATAATGCAACAAAATTAGACATCAGGAACAAAAGGATGGCTTTAAAAATTCCATGTGTTTCCCAACAAATTAAGAAATAGTTAGAACTGAATGACAGTAAAAACATTGCTTGTCTGAGATTGTGGGAGAGGGATGGCATGTACCTAGAGGGACGCTTATAGTGTAAGTTCATCAAAAAATAAGGAAGACTATATATGTGAATAAGGTCATCCTCTGGTGAAATTGATCAAGAACACAAGGGAGAAGACACACAGAAAAGAGGAAATAACCACAGATACAATGATTAGCACTGGCTTTTAGATCATTAGGCCTGTTAACTCAAATTAGAAGCCAACTGGCAGATTTGGCAGGACACACTGAGGAGCAGTTCATTGCAGTCTCAGGCATGGTGTCATGGAAATCAGACTCCCCAGGTTCTGCTCCCACCCTAGACACTGACAGATGGTATGACTTGGACAACCCACTCTCTCTCTCCAACTCTGTCTCCTTATGTCTAAGGAGGGTGGCTGTAAGACTTGAATAAGTCATGTATGAAAGCATCATAAACTTGGCAAAGTTTTAAACAGCAACATCATGATTACAGGGTAGTGCCAGATAAGCTAACCCGAGCTGTCTCAAAAGAAACTATACACAACTCGGCTGGGTGCGGTGGCTTACGCCTGTAATCCTAACACTTTGGGAGGCCGAGGTGGGTGGATCACGAGGTCAGGAGATCGAGACCATCCTGGCTAACACGGTGAAACCCTGTCTCTAGTAAAAATACAAAAAATTAGCCGGGCATGGTGGCGGGCGCATGTGGTCCCAGCTACTCGGGAGGCTGAGGCAGGAGAATGGCATGAACCCGGGAGGCAGAGCTTACAGTGAGCTGAGATTGTGCCACTGCACTCCAGCCTGGGTGACAGAGCGAGACTGCGTCTCAAAAAAAAAAGAAAAAAGAAACTATACACGGCTCACACAACATAAAAAACCCTGGCTCCCTGGAAGACAGGAAACACAGTTAGATGATGGGGTTGGTGGGTGGGCAGGGGGTTGGAAATGGATGTTACTAACAACAGTATGTTTTGATTTGGGATATTCTTGTCTTTTGGTTATATTCAATAAGGATAACTTTGTTCCTTGTGTGGAATGGAATATCATGAAAAGGAACATTGTAACAATCTTTAGAACATTGTTAGTCCTTGAGAACTTCTTGTTTTGTTAAAATGAAAGGTTACATACAATGTCTGATTAATATTAAGTAATATTAACATTATGTTAAAATGATAGGAATAGCTATAAAGTGATGAGGGCTTACTCTATACCAGGTACAGTTCTAAATATTTTTACATGTCTTAAATAATTTAGTTTTTTCTATAACTCTAAAAGAACTATTTTGACCCCTACCCACACACATTTTACAGCTAACTTTCAACAGCTTGTCCAGTTACTCAGTCAATGCTAGAACCAAGATCACAGCCCAGGCAGTCTGGCTTCAGAGCTTCTGCTATTAACCACTATAACATACTCTAGAGTTGCAATGTCACTTGTGGCTATTGAGCACTTGAAATGAGGTCAGTCAGAATTGAGATGCACTGACAGTGTAAAGTACATACTGGATTTCAAAGATGTGGTACAGAAAAAAAAAAAGAATGTAGATATCTCATTAATACGTCTGTATATTAATTGTATGGTAAAATGGAAATATTTGGGGTGTATAAGCTTGCATAAAATATACCGTTAAACTTAATTTCATCTGTTTCTATACTTTTTAAATGTGTCTACCAGAAATCTTCAAATGTCGTAAACGGCTCACATTATAGGTCTGTTGGACAGGGCTCCTCTAGAGGCACAATGGGGTGTTTTACGGTATACCAGCATGGAGGCAGAACTCATGGCATGGTGTGGACTCACTCCCAGGCCCCTCATCCCCATGTGTGTGACACCCGTATATACAGATTAGAAGGGAAGTCATGAAGATCCGTAAGCAATCCAGCTCTTTGATCTGGTTCCTGAATACCTACCTCATCCAAGTAAATGTTAAGTGTGTCAGTTCCAAATTCAACCTTCTTCACCAGGGGTTGCTGGAGAAGCTGAATAAGAGAGGGAGAAAAAAAAGATACTAAGAGCCAGAGCCTTCCCTGGGGTAGTCTTCCAAAGCTCTGCCATGATCAAGGAAACAATATATACTGTGGAAAAGGTAGGAAAAGGGAACCAAGACTATTACAAGTTGCATGTCATATATCTGCTACAACCTTGCAGCCCATTTAAATAATCCAATCATGAGTTTGTGTGTATGAATATATACATATATGCACACATATATGTACATACATGCACATATATACATGTATATATACCTACATATGTATACACACACATATATATAATCACATACTGTGTATATGGATGCCATATATATATATGAAAACTACTTTTCTTACAAGTGTACATACATATACATACATATATATGTATGTATATACATGCCTTGTGTGTGTGTGTGTATACACGCCATGATGCCCATTTTACCAGTTTTTTAAATTATAACGTTAGGTCCCCTCACAGCTAGATAAATGAAGAAAACAGAAGTAACTTACTAACTGATTGGTGCCCTCCATGGGACTGAACCCAGATAGCATCTTCACTTCCACAATAGCCATATTGGAAGAGCTACGGCTCCCCACATAACTGAGAGCAGGAAGAAGAAAACACATGTGAGCCTATTACTTCAGTGCACTCTGCATCCCCAACACACACACACACACACGTACACACACACATACACAGACACACACACACACAAGTGTCCCAGCTCAGCTCCTATGACCAGGTGCTCTGCCGGCCACCAGCACCCCAGCTTTAATCACCTGGTGTGAATAGTGAGAGTCAAGGATCGAGGTGAAGTCGGTTGCTCACATCTAGCTTTTCCTATTTCCACACTAAGACTAAAGGTCTTCATATTTGTGGGAGGGAGAATATTGTATCTCAACACCGTCTGGTAGGAAGAAATAGGTAGCCAAATCAGACTTGGAAAGAACTTTAAAGATTGTACAGTTCAAACTACTTTTCTTACAAGTGAGAAAGAAAGAGAGAGAGAAGGCCTAAGGGGAAGATGCTCTCCGACTCTCCTTCCCAATGTCCGCTCATTCTCATGGATCTCTACTTACCTGCACATAGACACAGCCCTGGCCTGAGGCCTCCAACGTGTACATTCCAGGGACATTGGGCAGGGTATCCTGCTGAAATACCAATCTGTTAACTGACTGTATGTTGAATGTGCGCTGGAAATTCTCAGTGGATTTTACAACCAGGTTGATCTCCTCAGATGGCATGTAGGCGGTAGTGGCATATTTGGCAAGAGCTTGGAGAGCAACTACAGTATCCTGAGGGAAACAACCAAACGTATACTTACCATTTTGTGAGCCATTGGAATTAACCTTGAACAACTCTATAACCCACACATCTGGTTGTTGTTAGTTGGCTTGGATGATGACTTCTTTAAGTATTTAGAGAACTATACCCACCTCCTCTGGAGAAGCTGGCCTAGAAATCACAGTAGCTTGCTTTTTTTTTTTTTCAGATGGAGTTTTGCTTTTGTTGCCCAGGCTGGAGTGCAATGGCACGATCTCAGCTCATTGCAACCTCCGCTTCCTGGGTTCAAGTGATTCTCCTCCCTAAGCCTCCCAAGTAGCTGGGATTACAGGCGTGTGCCACCACATCCGGCTAATTTTGTATTTTTAGTAGAGAAGGGGTTTCTCCATGTTGGTCAGGCTAGTCTTGAACTCCCAACCTCAGGTGGTCCGGCTGCCTTGGCCTCCCAAAATGCTGGGATGACAGGCATGAGCCACCATACCCAGCCAGTAGCATGCTTTTATAGAAAATCACCATCAACAAGGTACTACTGAACATCCACAGATTACTTGGTTAACCTAATCAATTCATGTTCAGAAACCAACAGTTTCAGAATGAGTTATTGCTAGAAGCAAGTGGATAATTGTTCAGTATATATTTTACAGCTTCCTTATTTGGGGGAGAAACAGTAGTAACTTGATAGCCCTAGAAATTGCAGTCTATGAAGTCATTTAACTGTGTAATGATCTTCTACATGACAGTTGGAAGGAGTATAAGGGACCCTAGGAAAGTCCTTCCCTGCAGGCTGGCTTCTTAGCCATTATACCATGTGACAATCTTTTATTTCTCTGGGAATAAGACAGATAAACTGTCACTAAGTGAGCATGGTACAGTGATATTTGAACTGTTTCATTCTGAAAACATAATTCATATAAATTACAAGGGGAAAGAAAAATGAATGAAGTGTTCAACAAAATTGTTATATCTCACTCGTGTAAAATATCTATTACAAAAAATATCTATTACAAAAAAAAACCCGATTTCTTCATCTCACAAATGAAAAATACATTCTTATTTCGACATTATCACTGTCCTACAAAACAGGAAGACAGGTCACCCACCCTGGTGAAGCTGTGAAGAAGTTCTATCTGTGCAGCTTCACCATCTACAAACAATTTTTGTTTACCTTTTGTGGACTGGAGCCAGGGAGGTTTTTTACTGCTTGAACATATGGAGACAATTCAAAGAAAGGGACCTCACTGTCAGCTGAAAAACCAGTGTGGGTAATATATGATATATGACTTCTTGTGATAGCCAAGGATTTCATTGAAAAAGGATTCTGACATATACCTGTCACTGAGAGTTGTAAACATTTCACCCACTGCTTTCCAAAAATATTATTATATATTATAATTATTCAGGACCGAGCAAGAAGGAGTATTTTGTGATCTTTGGCCAAGAATTTCCCTGAAACAGGGAGGCATAGTACCATATAATTTTTTTAAGTTTCAATTAAGTCATTACCATATTTAAACTTGGTGCTTTTTTTTTTTTTTTTTTTTTTTTTTTGAGATGGAGTCTTGCTCTGTCTCCCAGGCTGGAGTGCAGTGGCGCGATCTTGGCTCACTGCAAGCTCTGCCTCCTGGGTTCACGCCATTCTCCTGCCTCAGCCTCCCGAGTAGCTGGGACTACAGGCGCCCACCACTGTGCCCGGCTAATTTTTTGTATTTTTAGTAGAGATGGGGTTTCACCGTGGTCTCGATCTCCTGACCTCGTGATCCACCTGCCTCGGCCTCCCAAAGTGCTGGGATTACAGGCGTGAGCCACCACACCTGGCCTAAACTTGGTGCTTTTAACATTTTTACCAAACATGCAACCTATTAAAAGATGTTCATTCTTTCAGGTCTGATTTACATGTTATATCTTCAGTGAAATTGGCTAATTTCAACAAATCAGAATATAATCTTCATGAGAACAAGAAATATATTTTCTTAGTTATTTCTGTAGCCTCATCAAAGTGATTTGGACATGGTAGATATTTAATATTTTCAGAATACATAGATTAATGACTACTCTCTTCATTATAATCTAAAATAATTTTTTATGATTTGAGTTTATCATACAATTCTACCCCTCTGTTTTTTCCATACTGCCACACCACTCATTCAATTTCCCAATTTCCCCTTACCCCTAACCTAGATAAAGGAAACAGTCTCCTGATCTCTTCAAGTCCAATGTTTCTCCTCTCTAAATTATCTCACACACCAAGTGGCTGATTAATCTTTCTGAAACAAAGTTAAAATTGTTGTTGTTGTTGTTGTGTTGTTGTTGTTGAGACGGAGTTTTAACTCTTGTTGCCCAGGCTGGAGTGCAATGGCGCCATCTCGGCTCACCGCAACCTCTGCCTCCCGGGTTCAAGCGATTCTCCTGCCTCAGCCTCCCAGGTAGCTGGGATTACAGGCACCCGCCACCACGCCTGGCTAATTTTGTATTTTTAGTAGAGATGGGGTTTCTCCATGTTGGTCAGGCTGGTCTCGAACTCCCGACCTCAGGTGATCCGCCTGCCTCGGCCTCCCAAAGCACTGGGATTACAGGCATGAGCTGCTGTGTCCAGCCTAAAAAATTTTTGTTTGTTGTTGTTTTTGTTTGTTTTTGTTTATTGTTGTTGTTGACACAGAGTGCTGCTTTGTCACTCAGGCTGGAGTGCAGTGGCACGATCTCAGCTCACTGCAACCTCTGCCTTCCGGGTTCAAGCAATTCTTCTGCCTCAGCCTCCCGAGTAGCTGGGACTACAGGAACATGTCACCACATCCAGCTAATTTTTGTATCTTTAGTAGAGATGGGGCCACATCCAGCTAATTTTTGTATTTTAGTAGAGATGGGGTTTCACCATGTTGACCAGGCTGATCTTGAACTCCTGACCTCCAGTGATCCAACCGCCTCAGGCTGCCAAAGTGCTGGGATTATAGGCGTGAGTCACTGTGCCCGGCTAAGACTTTTCTTATCCCTCAAGCTGATATGAGCTTTCTCTCCCATTTTGAAATTCGATATGTTGTACCTTTTGCATGTTTCTTATATTATAAACCAGATCCTCTTTGTAATACATAGACTTTGTCCTCGCTTTTCTTCTAGACTGTAAACTTTTTAGAGTTCAGACTATATCTTATTAGCTTTCTAATACCTGCAATAGCAGAAGAAGGATAGAAGGATATGTGCCCATGAATCTTGGTGTTATCTTTACAGACCCCATAATGGTCTTCCTAGTTTATTAATATGTACATTTAGCCATAATTATATATATCCTACTTGCATGTAAAACATGGACCTCATGATGTTGCTTTTTTTTTTTTTTTTTTTTTGGAGACAGAGTTTCACTCTTGTCACCCAGACTGGAGTGCAATGGCATGATCTCAGCTCACTGCAACCTCTGCCTCCTGGGTTCAAGCGATTCTCCTGTCTCAGCCTCCTAAGTAGCTGGGATTACAGGCACCTGCCATCGCACCTGGCTAATTTTTGTATTTTTAGTAGAGATGGGGTTTCATCATGTTGGCCAGACTGGTCTCGAACTCCTGACCTCAGGTGATCCGCCTGCCTCGGCCTCTCAAAGTGCTGCGATGACAGGCATGAGCCACCATGCCCGGCCCCAATGTTTCACATTCAACAAAAAAAAAAAGAAAATTAAATACATCTGGTACTATTAATGTGCTCTTATAACCCATTTTATGAATACTTCCATATATTGTTCACAGGCTTTTCCTCTCTCTAAGCCCCTGGACCGAGAAGGCAAGGACAATATGTTTTCCTCTATCTCCACACAAGATCTAATTCTACCTGATAAGTGGCAGTGGGAGAACAGGCTGTTTACCTGAGTAGAAGAGAAGCCCCCATATGCATTGTGTTGCTTGGCCAACCAAGCCACTATGCTAGTGGCCTTCGCTATCTCCTTTTGAGTCAGGCTGGGCTTGGTAAGCTGGGCCAACAATGCATATGCTGTGAGTTCCACATCTACAGCCGCAGGCTCAGACCAAGGGCTGGCGTTCGATGATGGAGTAGGTTTCTGGCTCCAGTAAATGGATTCTCCTATGGAAAAAGAAACATAACTAGGATGTCCTTAGAAGGAACTGGCTTTCCCACATTCACTTTGTAAATGCAGCATCTTAGAGCAGAGTAAGTACCAACTGAGAATTAAACAGAGTAGAAAAAAAATTTCTTAGATTTAGCTGATTAATTGACCTTGATGTAAATGCAAGGATGCATGTGCGTGCCTGTGTGTAAAGCTAGAAGCATCGATAAATGTTCCTGCCTCCAGCAATTACATGAAAACCACCCTTGTTAATTTATCAGTTTTGATGCTAATGGAAATAGGTAAATAGAAGCTTCTTATAAGAATCTCTGTGTTTGGGGGCAATTTTTGTTTGCTTACAGTTTTATGAATTTTTCAGCATTTATTTCATTTAATCAAAGATTTAGGCCGGGTGCGGTGGCTCACACCTGTAATCCAGCACTTTGGGAGGCCGAGGCGGGTGGATCACCTGAGGTCGGGAGTTTGAGACCAGCCTGACCAACATGGAGAAACCCTAACTCTACTAAAAATACAAAATTAGCCAGGCGTGGTGGCGCGTGCCTCTAATCCCAGCTACTTGGGAGGCTGAGGCAGGAGAATCATTTGAACCCGGGAGGTGGAGGTTGCGGTGAACTGAGATCACGCCAATGCACTCCAACCTGGGCAACAAAACAAGAGCGAAACCCAGTCTCAAAAAAAAAAAAAAGATTTAACATTTTAAGTAGAATAAAAATGGCAGAGTATATGAAAGAATTCTGAGAAACCATGAAGAAATGCTAATGAGGCCAACTATATGAAACATGCTTAGAAGGCAGTCCAATAGAATGAGACCAAAAGAAACCTCTGTGACAGCCAAGATGACAGATAATGGATAACTTGAAGAAAAATAAATAAGAAATGAGAAGACTGTACGTTAGAAGACTAATTAAACAGAATTTTAGAGATAATAAGTAACCACAGAAGGGCAATCTAATTGGAAGAACGTAACAGGAAACGTGAGCTTGCAATACAAGATAATGGAAAAGAGATCATCACAATAAACCAATACACGGTGGAACAGGTGTATTTAACCCATTGTCTCGGACACACATTTCATGACTGGAGTTGCTTAGACACAAGAGAAAAAACTACCTGACCCCCTGTGAGAGGACAGCTCAGCCATGACGCTCATATAAATGAAGGCTGAGACTGCACTTCTGCCTGGAAGAATAATTTTAAATACACAGCCAGATAAATGAAATGCATTAAAATTTTATTTACAAGATCTGTCATACTTCAAATAGTATTCTAAATATATTTAAAGTGGTCCAGGCCAGGTGCAATGGCTCACGCTTGTAATTCAGCACTTTGGAAGACCAAGAGGGGCGGATCACTTGAGGTCAGGATTCTGAGACCAGCCTGGCCAACATGGTGAAACCCCCTCTCTACTAAAAATACAAAGATTAGCCAGTGTGGTGGCGGGCACCTGTAATCCCAGCTACTCGGGAGGCTGAGGCAGGAGAATCACTTGAACCCAGGAGGCAAAGGTTGCAGTGAGCCAAGATTGCACCACTGCACTCCAGCCTGGGTGACAGAGCAAGACACCGTCTCAAAAAAATAAAAAGTAAAATAAAAAATTTAAAAAATATTTAAAGTGGTCCTACATCAAAGCACTTTCAAAGATCTCCAAAAGGGTGATTCCACAATGCCAATATATTTTCCGACTAGCTTCTTCAATGTAGTTTCTCTTCACATTAAAAGTATAAAAATGTGGCCAGGCATGGTGGCTCACGCCTGTAATCCCAGCACTTTGGGAGGCCGAGGCAGGTGGATCACCTGAGGTCAAGAATTCGAGACCACCCTGGTCAACAGGGCGAAACCCCTTCTCTACTAAAAATACAAAAATTAGCTGTGCATGATGGCACACACCTGTAATCCCATCTACTCGGGAGGCTGAGGCAGGAGAGTTGCTTGATCCTGGGAGGCAGAGGTTGCAGTGAGCTGAGATCACGCCATTGCACTCCAGCTTGGGCAAGAAGAGAGAAACTCGGGCGTGGTGGCTCATGCCTGTAATACCAGCACTTTGGGAGGCCGAGGCGGGTGGATCATGAGGTCAGGAGATCGAGACCATCCTGGCTAACACGGTGAAACCCCGTCTCTACTAAAAATACAAAAAATTCGCCGGGCGTGGTGGTGGGCGCCTGTAGTCCCAGCTACTGGGGAGGCTGAGGCAGGAGAATGGCGTGAACCCGGGAGGCGGAACTTGGAGTGAGCCGAGATCACGCCACTGCACTCCAGCCTGGGCAACAGAGCAAGACTCCGTCTCAAAAAGAAAAGAAAAAAAAGTATAAAAATGCCCTTTGAGCACTTGCGTGTGTTTCTCACAAACCTCCCAACAATAATTTGATGACTTAATAACTGTTACTAAAATGAATCCTAGAGTACATGTGTGGGACAGAGGTTACTAGGGAGATTATAGATAACTCACAGCTTATGTTCACAATTTCAAAGAACTCTCAACAGGACCAACATACCTGAGATGATAGCCTGTTGATCTAACTGTTTAAGGAGAATGTTTCTGATGTCCATTTCCCCAGCCAGGGAGAAAATGTAAGCCAACAGGGCCTGTGTGTAGAGGTTGGTCGTGGAGGTGGCCGAATTCTTGAGACACCGTAGACCCTGACTCACCATTGGGTCCTAAAAAGTGAAGATGAAGACTATAACTTATAAGGCATTCCTTTAAAAATGGCAAGTAATCAGGAAATCATCTTATCCTTCTTGACCTTAAAAGGGTGACTAGAGACAAAGATGGGTGAATGTCTCTAGGAATACGCATGAGAAGGAGGGTATCAAGAGCAGGAGCCAGGAGAACTTACATCTACATCCTTTCCCATCTCCAGCAATGCAGCTGTGACATACGCAGTCAAGGAGACCTCATCATCAACACCACCCTAGAGGCAAACAGGGAGGCAGTGAGTCAGGGCAGCAGGCAGCAGCTGCAAGAATTATGTGCAGATTGCAAAACAGCCTCCCCTCTGAATAGATGAATAATTTTTAAAAAGAAAAAAGAAAAGAAAGCTCTTTTTTCCACAGGCTTTCTGCAGCTCCAAGCCTCCAGGACACACAAAGAGGGAACAGTTTGGACTTCATAACTGCACAGCCTTAAACAGCCTGCAGGAGGCAGCATGTGGACTTCAGCTGAGTGGGTATTTAAGAAACCCAAGAGAAGGAGTTAGGAAGGGTAAGAGCTTTAAAGAAGGGAGGAATAAGGAGAGAATCTGCCGCATCACCGCATCTGAGCCTCCTCACATGCAGCTCCCCTCAAGCAGCACAATACCCAGCCCTTCTCCAGCAGAGATTAGGTGAGACCTTCCCTGCTTATCGCCTTTCCCAGAAAGAGCTAAGCAAATTTTTAAAAATATCTACTCAAATTATTATCCTCATTCTATAAATAAGAAAACAAACACTTAACAAGATTAAATAGCTTGTGGTCACGCACAGTGGTTTATGCCTATTATCCCAGCTTGAGGCCAAGTCGGTGGGGAGGATCGCTTGAGCTCAGGAGTTTGAGGCCAGCCTGGGCAACACGGTAAAACCCCAACTCTACAAAACCTGCAAAAATTAGCCAGGTGTAGTGGCACGTGGATCCGTGGTCCCAGCTATTCAGGAAGCTAAAGTAGGAGGATCATCTGAGCCCGGGGAGGTCAAGGCTGCAGTGAGCCATGATCGTGCCACTGCACTTCAGCCTGGGTGACAGAGTGAGACCCTGTCTCAAAAAAATGAATAAGTAAATAAATAAAAAGATTAAATAGCTTGCTCACGGTTACATGGCTCATCTGCAGCAGGACTGGAATTTGAACCCAGGACATTTAACTCTGGAGCTCATGTGCCACACCACTAACCTTGGCTACACAGAGGATGGATTTCTCAATGGACTGGCCTGCTCTCAAAAGAAAGTAGGAAGAGGCTGGGCACGCATAGGTCACGCTTGTAATCCCAGCACTTTGGGAGGTCAAGGCGGGTGGATCACTTGAGGCCAGGAGTTCAAGACCAGCCTGGCCAAACATGGTGAAACCCCATCTCTACTAAAAATACAAAAAGTAGCCAGGCATGGTGGCACATGCCTGTAGTCCCAGCTGCTCAGGAGGCTGAGATCACTTGAACCCAGGAGGTAGAGGTTGCAGTGAGCTGGGATTGCGCAACTACACTCCAGCCTGTACAACAGAGTAAGACTCTTGTCTCAAGAAAAAAAGAAAAGAAAAAAAAGGGAAAGAAGGAAGAATACCTCTGAGATCTTGCTCTAGTCAAGTCCTTTATCTTAGTAGAGACAGGGTTTCAGACTGGTCTCTAATTCCTGACCTCATGATCCACTCGCCTCAGCCTCCCAGAATGCTGGGATTACAAGCATGAGCCACTGCGCCTGGCCCCCACGCATATTTCATACAGTGTATAAGAGAAGAAGAAGACAAAAACTTAGGGGAGACTAATAAGATCCTGCAGAGGAAGACTAATGAATCCTATAAATAGATTTTTTTTTTAACACTCAAGATTTTTAATCCTTGCCCTGGAATAGCAATGTAAGTGATCTCTCTAGAAAAGTTTATACAAGTCTTTCTTGCACTGAGTGTGTCCTGAATTGAACAAGTTATCCTGCAGGATCTACGCCTCGCCCTCTGCTTGGGACAGGTACAGACAAGGTAGTGAACAGAAGAAAGCAGTGCCTCTGGAGTGCAACTGCCTGGTTCAAATCTCAGTCCTGCCACTTATTAGCATGCACCTTGGGCAATTTACTTAGTCTCCATGGCTTAGTTTCTTCATCTGTAAAATGGGATTAATAATGGCATACCAATACCTAGCTCATTGATTTGTTGTAAACATGAAATAATATCAAATAAACCACGTGCCTAGAATAGTGCCCAATAGAGTAAACTTCTTACAAAAGACGTTGGGCTGCCTACTAGTCCTCACCACAGGAAATGGCTTTCCCAGATGGATTTGGTGACACAGTAAGAGGCCCAGAGATCTTTTAGTCCAGTAGTATCAAATTTCAGTGTGTATCAGAATAATCAGGAGGGCTTGTCAAAACACAAATTTCTGGCCCACCCTCCCAGAGTTTCTCATTCAGTAGGTGTGGGCTGGGAGTCAGAATCTGCGTTTCCAACAAGTTCCCATGTGATGCCAATGCTCCTGATCTGGGAACTATGCTTTGAGAACCATGTTCCAGTCCACATTCTCTTTTTCTTTTTGAGGCAGGGTCTCACTCGGTCACCCAGGTTGGGGTGCAGTGGTGCAATCACGGCTCACTGCAGGCTTGACCTCCTGGGTTCAAGTGATCCTCCAACCTCAACCACCCAAGTAGCTGGGACTACAGGCATGCACTAACAAGCCTGATTAATTTTTCATATTTTTTTTGTAGAGATGGGGTTTCACCATGTTGCCCAGGGTGGTCTCAAACTCCTGGGCCCAAACGATCTGCCCGCCTCGGCCTCCCAAAGTGCTGGGATTACAGGCATGAGCCACTGCACCCAGGCTTCATCTGTATTCTCATTCTACAGACATGAAAACTGAGGCCCAGACCAGCTAAGCATTTTGATCACGGTCACCCAGAGCCACAGTGGAGATCAGGAGAAAACTGATTCCCAGGCCAGTGCTCTTTTGCTTCTACTCGGTCAGAGGTGTGGGGTCCTTCGAGACAGTGGTTGGCTGCAGGCTCCTGGACAGATCCGCACCTTCATAGCTGTGTGAAGGAGATTTCCCACGTTGGCATAGCAGCCACTGGGGAGCTGGTTTCCTGCCATCCACTTGAGAGCATCCTGGATGTTCTTGGGATCAATGAAGATGAATTTCTGAGCTTGGCCAAAGCATTTTGTGACAAACGCTGTCAGCCTACATGGGTAAAGAGGAAAATATGGCATGAAGAGGAATTTCCAGGTGAGGGTGCAATCATTTCTTCATTTATTTGGGTGTATACTTCCAGAAGGGGAGCTGAGGGAACATATGCCATAGCAGGCCTAGAAAAGAGAGGCATTAATGGGCACCAATGAGGACAAGAACAGGGGAGGCACAAGCTCAGGAAGATCGAGGGACTTGACCATCCATGAGGGTGAAATAAACAGTATTAAAGAGGTAGAAGACTGAGTGCAAGAAGGAAAGGGGTTAAGGGGAGAGGTAGTGGAATAGTTCCAGAGGGCTCAGGAATTATGCTCTGGAGTACAGAACTCATTGGGAATTGGGTGATATTACCATGTGTTTCCATTTCCATCTCGCTCCCCAAAGGCACTGTATGAGCCATTGCTGTGTTTGTACATCAGCTCCTTCTGGTACCCTGGGAAGCCAAATGTGGTTTTAGATCACAGCGACAACTTCAGAAAACACCCCCATGCCGTTCAAGGATATGGGACACTTGAGGGGCTGGAATTCCCTGTATCATCAATCTGTCATAGGGCCTAGTGGAGGAGAGTGTTCAAGAAAGAAAGACTGAACCAACTTACCTATTTCCAGGAAACCCACTGCCCGAGACCTGATCTCCTCCGTCAGCAGCCCTGCCTTCTCCAGGTACTGCAAGACATAGATGATGGGAGCAAACAAGACCATGTTCTGCTCGCCACAGCCACTGGGCATCTGCACCAGACCATCCAGGTTCTGCAGGGCTGTGCCCATAATGTCTCCTGGGATCCAAAAGGAGAGAGAGAAGGTAGGGGTACAGAGAAGAAGGGACCCTCTAAGAGTTATCATCATTCACTGAACAAACACGTATTAGCTATCATTTAATAAGTACCTACTATGGGCCGGGCGTGGTGGCTCACGCCTGTAATTCCAGCAGTATGGGAGGCCGAGGAGGGTGGATCACCTGAGGTCAGGAGTTCGAGACCAGCCTGACCAACATGGACAAACCCTGTCTCTACTAAAAATACAAAAAAAAAAAAAAAAAAAGTACCTACTGTGTGTCCTGGGAAGACCACAGTAAATCAAACTCGGTCTCTACCCTCAAAAAAACTCACAGAGGAGCAAACCATTACAACACATTACAATTTTTATTCATTATAAACAATTTTAATACAGTACTACAATGTCATACTGGATATGTACGAGGTGCTAGGGGACACGGAGAGGCACATAAGCTATCTAAGAGAGTTCAGGGCTTTTAAGAAGACATGTCACTGAGCTGATGAGTGATGTGACAAAACTTATAACACTTAGGATCAATCTCTTAAGCTCCTCTACCACTGCATGTACGTTCCTCACCCTCCAAATCACCAAGTTTCTCTAAAACACAGTTCTGACACTCTTTTCCAAGTTGTCACTGACCCCTTCATATACTTCCCAAGCCAGTGAACCTGACATAAGTGACTCATTAACATCTGCATTGTAGCCAACAAGCTCAATTCAATCTATAAATGTGTCCTGAATGTCAACTATGTTGCAGGAACTGTACTAGGAACACAAAAGAAAAAGATGTGGCCCTTCCTCTTCAGGAGCCCCCAACACAGTGTGGAAGACAGATATAGACAGTGAACTCTAATACAATAAGATAAGTGCTATGTCAGACTTACGAATAAAATAGACAAAACAGAGACACTGTGACTGCAAAGGATCTCAATAGAGGGTGAGGGAGTAAAGAAAGAGCCTAACATTCATAGGGCTCCTACTACATGCTAGATATTGTGCTGGGGACTTTATATTGCATTTAATCTTTACACCAGTCTGAGAGGTAGGTTATTATCACTGTTTTACAGAAGAGGAAAGAAGGCCCAGAACTGTTCACTAACTTGTTCAGGGTCACATGGCTATTAAATGACAGGTTAGATATGATTTCTACGTTCATGCTTTTCAACCCACTTCCTCCCTTGCCCCAAACAGTAAGTGTGCTGCCTATTGTAAATATGGTTGTATCTTCCCTAAACTATACCCAAATTCCTCAGTTTTGAAAATGGTTGCTGCAAATATTCTGTTTTCCCTTCACCCAATTTATAGACTGTCTAAACCTAAAATCAAGCATCAGCGACCTTACCTTCTTCCTACCCTGACTCTCTTCCATTTTTAACTAGAGTACAAGTCTAATCCCATCTGTACTGTTGCCTACACTGTATTTCCCTCCTATATAAAATACGCTCTTTTTCCTTCATCACTTGTTATTAGTTACACTCTCCGGATAGGTCCGTATGTCCCGCCCCACTCCACACCTTTGCAGCCTCCATTCGCCTTTTCCTTTCTGAGTCAAGAATCTCTAACTGCTTACCCAGAACCGTAACATAAGCCTTGGTCGAGTCAGGAACAATGTCCACTGGGAGCTCCAGGGAGACAGATTCAGATGCCACCTTTCCTGTGAGATGCAGAAAAAAAGGTGACACAATAGAAGATGGGGAATGGCAGGGGTTCTCAAGACAAAATTTTAGAAGAACTTTCTATAATCCAGGGATTTCTGTACTCGGTGCTTTCTCTGGGATGCAGAAAGCACTGGGTACTATTCATAGTGATCTTGCTGAAAATAAATTCCACAGAGAGTCATCATCGTGCTGCACACTTTCTCTTCTTCCTCCTGCCTCCCAGTTAATCAGCCCCATGAGGAATGGCACTTCAGACTCTCCTATTCCTTCTGGTACTATGCATTCCTCCTTTTGCCTATGAAAATCTCCTGCTGCCGGGTGCAGTGGCTCACGCCTGTAATCCCAGCACTTTGGGAGGCCAAGGCAGGAGGATCACAAGGTCAGGAGTTCGAGACCAGCCTGGCCAATATGGTGAAACCCCATCTCTACTAAAAATACAAAAATTAGCCAGGCATGGTGGCATGTACCTGTAGTCCCAGCTACTCAGGAGACTAAGGCAGTAGAATCACTTGAACCCGGGAGGCAGAGGTTGCAATGAGCTGAAATCGTGCCACTGCAATCCAGCCTGGACGACGGAGCGAGACTCCGTCTCAAAAAAAAAAAAAAAATGAAAAGAAAATCTCCTGCCCTCTAAGGGAATTCTCACCACCAATCCTGCTCTGAGTCCACCCACCTTTTGGGCACAGCAATGAGCTGTGTGTCTTCTCCACCAGGACTCCCTCAGGCTGCGATGAAGAGAGACACAGATAAAAACAACAAAGATGAACATCAGGAGGGATGGCACTAAAGGAAAGGGAAGGGAGGCCCCTCGCTGTGCCCCCAGGGCTTCCCTCAGAACTGCAGACAAGAGCTTCTCACTGAAGCTCAGAAGAACTCTGCGTCAACCCAAGGATGGGCCCTTTCTGTAAAGTTCTTTCTGGGCAAGTGCTAGAGCCAAAGACACATTTAGGCAACTTCTAAGAGGCAAGATTGACAATGGGCTTCATGATGGGACGAAAAAGGCAGCTATTGATGAAGACAGACATTTTAATTAGGTAAACTAACATTTGTTGAGTGCCTATGAGGTGCCGGGTTTTAGGTGCTTTCATAGGCCGTGGGTGTGGATTAGGCAAATGTTCAAGGGGCCAGGGAAGGAGAAAGTTGAAGCTGCCTGGTTGGACTGGAGTATGGTTGCTGTGAGAGACTAACTCACAGCAAGACGAGATGCTGAGCATCCCTCGGTTGGTTGCTGTCTCTACCTCTGAAGAAAACTCACTTTGACGAGAACTGGCTTGATGAGCGTGTCACTTCGGCCCTTTTGGGGAACAAACCCCTTCTGGCCCCCACATGGTTCATTGCTGTCCAGAATCTTTGTACTAATAGTAAAGTTAATGTGACCTGAGAGAAAGAAGAAGGGAAGCCATTAGCCCTATTGCCAGAGGTACCAGTGAGGTCCATTCCCATTTGGATCAGCATTTCTGAAACTTTAATGGGGATCTTGCAACAGTGCAAACTCTGCTGCCATAGACCTGGGGTGGGGCCCATATTCTGCATTTCTAACAAGCTCCCAGGTGATGCCAGAGAGGCTAGTCCAGTGTGGTAGGTAACCTCTAAGGGCCCTCAGAGATCCCTGCATCCTGATATTTACATCCATTGAGTGTGAGCTGGATTGAGTGACTCGCTTCTGTTAAAGAGAACAGGGTGAAAGTAATGACTCTTCTGGGATTAGGTTACAAAAAAGACTGCAGCTTCCATCTTGGGTGCACCCCTTTTCTCAAACTGCTTGCTCTGGGGAAGACAGCTGTTGTGTGATGAGGCAGCCCAGCAGAGAGATTCATGTGATGAGATACTGAGTGAGGCCCCTAGCCAAAAGCTGAGGTCAAGAACTGTGTCCTTCAGTCTAGCAGCCTGTAAGGATCAGAGACTTTGGGATGAGCTTGAAAAATCAATCCTCTCCTAGTCGAGTCTTCAGATGAAACCAGAGTCCTGACTGACAGCTTGATTGCAACCTCATGAGATACCTTGAGCCAGAGGTACCCAGCTAAGCTGCACCCAGATTAATGACCCATAGAATCTGTTTGATAATGTTTGTCCTTTTATGACACTTAAGTTTTACAATAATTTGTCAAGCAACATGAGATAACTCATACATATGAAAATCAAACTTTGAGTTGCAAGGATTTAATCTATGAGTGACTGACATCCCATAGGGTTGGGGGTGAGGATTAAACAAGTTAAAGGTGCAGTGACTCATTCTTGTAATCCCAGTACTTTGGAAGGGTGAGGCGGGAGAATCACTTGAACCCAGGAGTTTGAGAACAGCCTGGGCAACAGAGCAAGACCGCTTCTCTGCCAACTGAATTAGCCAGGCATGGTGGTGGCATGAGCCTATAGTCCCAGCTACTCCGGAGGCCTAGGTGAGAGGATCGCTTGAGCCTGGGAGGTTGAGGCTGCAGTGAGCAATGACCACACCACTGTACTCCAGCTTAGGTGACAGAGTAAGATCTTGTCTCTCTAAAAAAAAATAAAAGGCCAGGCGCAGCGGCTCACGCCTGTAATCCCAGCACTTTGGGAGGCCGAGGCAGGCAGGTCACCTGAGGTCAGGAGTTTGAGACCAGCCTGGCCAACATGGCAAAACCCCACCTCTACTAAAAGTACAAAAATTAGCCGGGTAGGGTGGCACGCGACTGTAATCCTAGCTACTTGGGAGGCTTGGCAGGAGAATCACTTGAACCCAGGAGGTGGAGGTTGCAGTAAGCACAGATTGCACCACTGCACTCCAGCCTGCGCAACAGAGCGAGACTTCCTCTCAAAAATAAATAAATAAAATAAAAATTAATTAGTCAATCAATTTAATGAGTTAATATATGTAAAGCAGTTAGAATAGTGCCTGGCCCAGGGACTCTTATAGTAAGTCCTTGATTAGTTACATGACCATGTATTCCTTGTCCAGCTATAAATATTAAAAGCTCTCCCTTTCACACTCAAAATATTCCGGTTTGAACAAATTTGTTTGGTCACCTATCAAAGAGTGTTTGTGTATTGACTTATAACAGCCTTAGGAGGGAGAAAAATAGTGGAAAATGGAGGAGGAAGCAAAGCAGATGTGGCAGAGGAAAAGACTGAGTGCTCAGTCACTGGTCTTCTGCTGCTGGCTTTCCTCGCCCGTCTACCACTTCCCTCTCTTACCCAATTTGACAGCTGTGATGTTCCAGTGGTGGGTTTTTGCGTCATCAGCACAGAGACAACTGGAGGTCTGAGAATCTGCCCATGATTCTAGCTGGTACTCATGCGATTTAGCCAGGTCAGTCTGAACCTACGGAGGATGTTTAAGAGACAAAGGGTACAAACAAAGGAGGTAGTGCATAGAGGCCTGGGGAAACCTGGGGGCTGAGACGCCGACATCTCCTCTCTTTCCCAGGGAAAATTGGGATGCTTCCAATTTAGAGACAAACTTATGGGGGAGGTGTGATTCCAGGGCTGACACCTGATTCCTGTATCCCCAGCTCTCACCCTGATGCAATCCTTTAGGTAATTGAAGATGGTGGCAGTAAGACGAAAGGATTCCCCACGGACTACTGAGTAAGGGAGAGTCAGGTCAACAAAGAACGGCTTGAAAGCAGTTAGTCCAACAGTGGGTGAAAGCCCGAAGCCTCTTGACTGGGAAGTGCAGAAACTCATCGCCTTCCACTCGGTGATGGCGTCAGGAACTGTGACGTGGACCGCCTCCTTCCCCGAGTTACTGTGAAAACACAAGGACCAACATGAGGCAGAGGTAGCGTGGGGCAAGGAGAACATTTGTGAATTAAGCCACAAATTCGGTGGGGTGTGCTGGCTTACACTTGTAATCCCAGCTCTTTGAGAGGCTGAGGTGAGCAGATAGCTTCAGCCCAGCAGTTTGAGGCCAGCCTGGGAAACATAGCAAGACCCTATTTCTACCAAAAATTTAAAAATTAGCCAGGTGTGGTGGTGCATGCCTATAGTCCCAGCTACTTAGGAGGCTGAGGCAGGAGGATTGCTTGAGCCCAGGAGTTTGAGGCTGCAGTGAGCTATGATTGCACCACTGCACTCCAGCCTGGGTGACAGGGCAAGACCCTGTCCAAAAAAAAAAAGCTACAAATTCATCTGCAGAAGTAAAATTGTTATTGTTATTGTATGGGGAGAAGTAAAGAGGCAACTGAACAGGTGAGTCTCAGTGTGAGTGAGGCTGCACTCATACGGAGGAGGGGGACTATGGTGGGGAGTCGGGGTGGGCATCTCTGTGCAAGCACATCTGACAGAGAGGCTGGTGCCCTCTGAGTCTGAGGATGTGTGGTCTCAGGGCTTGTCAAAATGGATATGCAAGCAGTGAGCAAAAATTGATGTCAATATATACCTTTAAATGTGTGTGGTTCTGTAGTGAGAACACAGGGCCTGCAATGTGTGAGTGTGGAATTGTGTGGATTTGTTTTGAGTGGTTGTATATGAATGCATGAAGAATTCAGGTAGGCCGGGCGCAGTGGCTCACACCTGTAATCCCAACACTTTGGGAGGCCAAGGCGGGTGGATCACTTGAGGCCAGGAGTTCAAGACTAGCCTGGCCAACATAGCAAAACCCTGCCTCTACTAAAAATACAAAACTTAGCCAGGTGTGGTGGCATGTGCCTATAGTCCCAGCTACTTGGGAGGCTGAGGCACAAGAATTGCTTGAACCTAGGAGGTTGAGGCCTACAGTGAGCCAAAATCATGCCACTGCACTCCAGCCTGGGTGACAGAGCAAGACTCTGTCTTAAAAATAAAAAGAAAAAAAGAATTCCGGAAAATAAATAAATTCCCACACCCCATCAAGCTTTCTTTGCTTAAGATTTAGATCCATTAGGAATGCGTCTGATTCTGAGTTTTCTACAGGCTCTACATTGCAGAATCTTACTGTTTTTTTTCTGGGTTTGTTGTTGTCGTTGTCGTTGTTGATTTTGAGAAGGGTTTTGCTCTGTCACCCAAGCAGGAGTGAAGCAATGTGATCTTGCTTCACTGCAGCCTCCACCTCCCAGACTCAAGTGATCCTTCCACCTCAGCCTTCCAAGTAGGACACAACTACCATCTGGCTATTTTTTTAATTTCTTTTGTAGAGACAGAAGCTCATTATGTTGCCCAGGCTGGTCTTGAACTCCTGGTCTCAAGTGATCCTCCCTCCTAAGCCTCCCAAAGTGTTGGGATTACAGGCGTGAGCCATGCACCTGGCCCTTTACTGTACTTTTGAGTCATCACTTACCCAATAGGAAACAGATCCCAGAGCCAGGTCTCTGGGAAGTACTGGCGGACCTGAGAATCCTCTGCTTGATGTAAAGGAGTTGATGACTCAAAAGCCTCTGGATGACCACCGCCTGCTGATGAAATTGAGAATACGAAAACTTTAGGAAACAGGAGACTTCTTGTTGTGACATAAATTGGGATGGAGGGATTACTAGAAAGAAATTTAGAGGGAAGCAGAGAACATCCAGTCAGAGGCAAGGAGGAAGGACCAAAGAGGAACTAACTAGTCACAAAGGCCATCGAGGGAAGTGATAGCCAAGGAGGTTTGGCCGGGGAATGGATACATAAGCTTCAGGCTTCAAAAGCTCTCCCCAGAGAGAGAACACTTGGGAAACTGTCCTGCATCTGTGACCCACAACCCATTAGCATTCTCGGGCTAGAGGCTCAGTGCAAGAACAGGAGGCAAGAGGAAATCTGCAGAGTTCCAGGACTGTTAACATCTCAGAGAATCCACAGACCACAGAGGTGGCTTACCACCCATAGCAGTGCTGTATTCTGGAGATCTGTGACTGCAATCTACTGGCTTCTTGATTTTGGCATTGGACAGTATTTTCAGGCCCACGTCCTGATAGGCATCAGAGAAATAAGTATTAAGGTGGTCCCTTCCCCAACTACAAGGGCTACTGCCCAGGAATTCCACCATCAAAGAGTTGAAACAAAACATTCTTTTTGAATTAATGGTGAACCTGGGTGTTCTTACCTGAAACTCAGCCACTGAGGCTGGTTGGCTTCTGTTCCAGCTAGCATGAAAGGCTTTCAGTTAAACTTATTTCATCATTACATACATGTAATGGTTCTGCCAAATATTATTCGCTATGTCCTTACTATTTGACTTACGCTGTAAACATGCTGAGGGTAGGGACCATATCAGCGTACTCAATTCAACAAAAATACAATGAGCCTTATGAAGGGTCAGGCATTAGAGAGAATACAAAGATGAACAAGACCTAGTTCCTGACCTCAGGGACCTCCTGGTCAGACTTGGGTCACACAGCATCCCAAATCCTGCTCATAGAATAGGTGCAAATTATTTTTTATAATAATGATAAGAGACCTCTGGTCTACCTTCTCTAATTTTCCCTCCTGATTGATCTCATGGAAATCAGTGTTTGAGGACAACAAAAAGAGGAAGACTAGGTTGGACATCTTCTTCAAGCATAAGGGCCAACAGAGGCGACCTTACACGTCAGAAGCTTCTTTCAAGATTTTGTTCCCATCAGTGCCCATATGAGTCTCTCTGCTTTCTTAGATATGAACTTTCCTTTGCCCATTCCCACCACCATCTTTCCCATAAGAACAAAATGGGTAAGAAGACCTACCCGGAAAAAGCTGAAAAGGTCCGTGCCTTCAGAGAACGAGGGCCTCCAGATAATGGAACGCTGGCTCGAATGCCCTTGGGGCATTGGGTCAATGAGGGGCTGAGGAAAGTCCCATGGGCCAGACACTGGACACTGATCATACTCAGCCACTTGATAGGGGTAGTGACCATACCAGAATGGAAACATCCCATAGACCTGGGACAAGAGGGGGAGAGGAAATAAAGCATTGATATAGTGATATCAGTTGAGAAACTTCTCTCAGATTCTGGTGCTCAGTTCACTACTCCTGTATCATTTCTCTTTATTACTTCAGAATTATTTTTATATTCATTCTGTCATAATTACCTTTCTCACTGTCTAAAACTTTAACCTCTATCTCACCTATTTTTTCATAATCCTATCCCCTATTTCGTTCTCTTTCTTGTTTTTTTTTTGAGACGGAGTCTTGCTCTGTCGCCCAGATTGAAGTGCAGTGGGACGATCTCGGCTCACTGCAACCTCTGCCTCCCGGGTTCACGCAATTCTCCTGCCTCAGCCTCCTGAGTAGTTGGGATTACAGGCATGCGCCACCATGCCTGGCTAATTTTTGTATTTTTAGTAGAGACAGGGTTTCACCATGTTGGTCAGGCTGGTCTTGAACCCCAGACCTCAGGTGATCTGCCTGCCTTGGTCTCCTAAAGTTCTGGGATTACAGGCTCATTCTCTTTTCTTGTCTCTGCATTCATACTAACCATGCCTTTCTCTTATCCTTTCTTTTTTTGTTTTTGTTTTTTTTTTTTTGTTTTTGAGACAGAGTTTTGCTCTTGTTGCCCAGGCTGGAGGGCAATGATACAACCTCCGCCTCCCAGGTTCAAGTGATTCTCCTGCCTCAGCCTCCCCAGGATTACAGGCATGGGCCCATGCCCAGTTAATTTTTTTTTTTTTTTTCTGGATTTTTAGTAGAGACAGAGTTTCTCCATGTTGGTCAGGCTGGTCTCGAACTCCCGACCTCAGGTGATCTGCCAGCCTCGGCCTCACAAAGCACTGGGATTACAGGCGTGAGCCACCGTGCCCAGCCCTCTTACACTTTCTAACTTCATTTTCACACCAGCCTTTTTACCGCCTTATGGCAGTGCATTATTTCCCTAAGACTTTCTCTCCCCTGCCTGAAACCTACCTCTTAATTGTCTTCTCCATCAACTCCCTCCTCCCACTCTGTCAGCAGACAGTTACTCACAGAGCGGTTGCTCAGCTCTCTGTCTGGCCTAAGCAGTAAGACACTCTCATCCACCGCCCGGAGCGCACACAGGGATCCGGGAGCTGCCTGCAGCTGCAGCTCCACTTCTGCTCCTGGAAGCTGCTGGGAGGGGGAGAAGCCAAGGGAAACCTGGGGAAGGGAAAGGTATAACTTGGGGATCAGGTCAGCCTGGAAAGGAAGGGAAACAACATAATTTGGGTCATCAGCAAATATGCCCCAGCTATGACATCCAACCCATTCTTTCACTTTTGTACTTATCTTTCTTTGTAAAGTCTAGCTCTTCAGGACGTGTATGCCGTGATAGAGTTGGGAAACGTGAGCAGCACAGTAGAAGGATAGAGAAAGTTTAGAAGACAAAAAGTAGAGAGAACATGTGGAATAACTATATAGAACATGTGGCTTCCCAGTATGGCTTTTTTTTTTTTTTTTTTTAATAGAGACAGGGTCATGCCTGTAATCCCAGCACATTGGGAGGCCAAGGCAGGTGGATGACCTGAGGTCAGGAGTTCAAGACCAGCCTGGCTAACATGGTGAAACCCCGTCTCTACTAAAAATACAAAAAAAAAAAAAAAAAAAAAAGCCAGGCATGGTGGTGCATACTTGTAATCCCAGCTACTCGGGAGTCTGAGGCAAGAGAATCACTTGAACCCAGGAGGCAGAGGTTGCAGTGAGCCGAGATCGCACCATTGCACTCCAGCCTGGGCAACAAGAGGAAAGCTCTGTCTATAAAAAATAAAAAAAATAGACAGGGTCTCGCTCTGCAGCCTTGAACTCCTGGGCTCAAGCGATACACCTGCTTCAGCCTTCCGACTAGCTGGGACTACAGGTATGCATCACCACACTCAACTAATTTTTTTTTTTTTTTTTGAGACAGAGTCTCACTCTGTCACTCAGGCTGGAGTGTAATGGTGTGTTCTTTGCTCACTGCAACCTCCGTCTCCTGGGTTCATGCAATTCTCCTGCCTCAGCCTCCCAAGTAGCTGGGATTGCAGGCATCCACCACCATGCTTGGCTAATTTTTGTATTTTTAGTAGAGACACGGTTTCACCAGGCTGGTCTTGAACTCCTAGCATCAGGTGATCCACCCACCTCGGCCTCCCAAAGTGCTGCACACCCAGCTAATTAAAAATTTTTTTGTACAGACAGGATCTTGCTATGTTGTCCAGGCTGGTCTTGAACCCTTGACCTAAAGAAATCCCTCTGCCTTGGCCTCCCAAAGCACTGGGATTACAGGAGTGAGCCACTGCACCTCAGCCAGCATGACTTCTTAAAATAAAAAGTAGGAGAGAGATGGATTTCAACACAAACCCCAAACACTAAAGATATAAATATAATACAACATCCAACGTCAACACTATCTTCTTTCCCTGACTTGTCTTGTTTCCAACCGCAGCACACACAAGATCTTTCTCTATGCCCAACTTTTATCTTCACCCTTCTCCGCTATCATTTTACCTGATTGTCAAAGCACATCTCGACTGAGAACTGAATTTTGTCAGCTACAACACCTCCACTGGGAAAAATGGCATAGATCACCAGGGAAGGATCAGGGGCCAGTCTCGAAGTGAAGGTCAGTGAGAGAGAGAAGGAGGCTTTCAGTCCTGAAAGAGAAGAGGGAATATACAGGAAAATCAGAATGCACATTCACCTGCCAACGGCATCTAACCATATGTACTTTTCACTGAGCCAGTGCAGGCACCATGGTGCAAGTTACTTCTCATTTTTCTCTTCTCCTGTGATAACTGTTAGTGCTCCAATTCCATTACTTCTGTGGATAAGAATTTTTTTATTTTATTTTATTTTATTTTATTTATTTTTTTTTTTTTTTGAGACGGAGTCTCGCTCTGTCGCCCAGGCTGGAGCGCAGTGGCATGATCTCGGCTCACTGCAAGCTCCGCCTCCCGGGTTCACGCCATTCTCCTGCCTCAGCCTCCCGAGTAGCTGGGACTACAGGGGCCCGCCCCGACGTCCGGCTAATTTTTTTTTGTATTTTTAGTAGAGACGGGGTTTCACCATGTTAGCCAAGATGGTCTCGATCTCCCGACATCGTGATCCGCCCACCTCGGCCTCCCAAAGTGCTGGGATTACAGGCATGAGCCACCGCGCCTGGCCAAGAATTGTTTTCTGGAATTTAAAAATATCCTGTTTGCTTCCGGGAAAAGCATGTACACTCACCTTTCTTCTTAGAGTTCAGGTGTTTCTGCCCCTCCATCACCAAACTTCCTTTCCCTATTAACTAAAGAAGAAAAGAAAAGAATCAACTGCACAGAAGTTACAGTAATTTCACCTTGGACCAACTTCCAGAGCATCTCTGCATCCCTTCATGAGGAGAGGTTCCTTTCACAGTTCAGAGTCCGGGTCAATACCTCACCCAGCATCCACTAGCTTGACAAATGCAGGATGCTGCCAACGGGTCCTGGTGGCTCCTCCTGCAGTTGGAGGTCTGGCTGAGAACCACGCAGGTGGATGGGAGGAGTCTGACAGCATAGAAATTGTTCCTCACCATAGATAACTGTCTGCCATTTCTTGAAGATCTCCAAATTTTATTTTCTTATAATCTTTGTAACAGAAAGTCAGCGAAAATCTATCCTCATAAGTGTTTTTTAATTACAGCTCAATTTAAAATTCAGTGGAAATAATTTCATCCTAAACCACCCTGAGCCCTTCTGACATTGAACCCTCTAGAGGAGAAATCTCCTCTTCTAACTCCCCCTTCCCGTCCACTCTCACTTGAAACAGAACTCGGTGATCTTGTTTGCAAGCAGGCTCTCATCCCACGCTCCTGCAGGGCTCCAAGGTCGGTTCCTTGGACGCCTGCCCAGCATTAGCCATTCCACGTGGCTCGGCCCTAACTTCACTTTTGTCCTACACCTCCCCACACTTCGGTCCTGAAGACAGAGCCCGCTTTATCACTGGACTTGTTATTTTCCACCTATCTTTTCTCTTTTCGTTGTATTAGGATGATTTTTTTTTTTTCACTTAACGACAACACTGAAACCATGGAAGCTACTGCAATGATCCAGAGGGGAGAAAGTCTCTCATAGACTGACAGGAGGATAACGGAACAAAGAGGCTCCGAGCCATCAAACCTGAGGTTTCCATTCTACTTCCTGACTGTCACCAAGGTGACAGGAAAGCTGCTTATCCTTATACATTGCTTTCAGGCTACCAAGTTATGATTTTATTTCCCCAATGAGGCTGCTATCGATGTGAATTTAACCCCATATCATCTATTTGATAATATTGACCAATGGAACACAGAATGAAATGTATCCTGGCTGGGCTCGGTGGCTCATGCCTGCAGTCCCAGCACTTTGGGAGGCCAAGGTGGGCAGATCACCTGAGGTCAGGAGTTCAAGACCAGCCTGGCCAACATGGCGAAACCCTGTCTCATATAAATTAAAAAAAAAAAAAAAGTATCCTGAGTCCCATCCCTCCCCACTCTCCCTCCCAACCACCCAGCTGGTTTTGTTTTTGTTTTTGTTTTTTTTGGTCCTGGCCAGCACTATTTTCTCAGGTAATTCCTCATTTTATTTTCCCACACAATTTTCCTGTGTTCCTGCTCAGAATCTCTTTCTTCCCCCAATGTTTTCCATCTCTTACACCTATACTGGGCCATGCAGTATCTCATAGCCACATAGGAATATTGAATACTTGAGGCCGGGCGCGGTGGCTCATGCCTGTAATCCCAGCACTCTGGGAGACTGAGGCAGGTGGATCACGAGGTCAGGAGATCGAGACCATCCTAGTTAACATGGTGAAACCCCGTCTCTACTAAAAATACAAAAAAAATTAGCTGGGCGTGGTGGCGGGCGCCTGTAGTCCCAGCTACTTGGGAGGCTGAGACAGGAGAATGGCGTGAACCTGGGAGGTGGAGCTTGCAGTGAGCCAAGAACACACCACTGCACTCCAGCCTGGGCAACTGAGCGAGACTGTGTCTCAAAAAAAAAAAAAAAGAAAAAAAAAGGAATATTGAATACTTGAAATGTGCTCAGTCCAAACTGAGATACGCTTTAAGTGTAAAATACATACTGAGTTTCAAAGACACCGTTGAAACAAGAATGTAAAATATCTATTAAAACTTTTTATATGGCTTTCGTGTTAAAATGTTAATATTTTGGATATAATGGGTTAAATAAAAAATACATTTAAAATTAATGTCAACTGTTCTTTTACTTTTTTAGTGTGGCTTTAAAATTGTTTTTAATTAGATGTGCATCTGCAATTCAGATAGCCTAGGTGCACCCTCTGGCTGACTCTTCTCATTCTCTTTCCTTCCCAGCATACTCTCACCCGTCCCCGTTTCCCGGTCTCACATAGTAGGAGAAGCTGATCTCTTGGTCAGGGCTTGCATCGGCCGGGTCGATGTAATAATCCACCAGCACTTCCTGGGGCTGGCCACATTTCAAGGGGCCGTTTAGCCGGTGGATGCCAAGGAAGCTGCGGGTTGTGCTGTAGAAGGGTCGCAGGTGCAGGTAGGCATTTTGGTAGTAACGTGGCACTTGTTCCGGATTATATACTAAGTCTTCCATTTGAAACTTTCCCTGAGAATAAAAGAGAGAGAGAGAATTTTAGCATGTGCTCCAACCATGGAAACCCCACGGACTTGTTACGGTTTTCAAATAGAGCTCTTTCTCTCAAATCTTCACTGCCTGAGAATGGCATGTGGGTATTTCATTAGCGGTCCAGCCAAGGATGGATAAAGAATCCATAAACGTAGCTGTGTACAGCAATATTTTGGTATGTAGGAGAGCGACAGAAGGGCTGAATTATAGTTACTAAATGAGAGGAAATTGTGGGTGATGTATCTTCACAGATATTCCTGGGATAGATGAACGTGACTTAGATTATATAGAAATCAAAGATTATATTTCAGGGATAAGAAAACTAGGCACAGAAGACACTAAGATTGAAAAATAATTATTTCTGAGTAACTGAGTCATGCCTAGAGTAAAGAAATAGTCAAATTAGCCACAAGGCAAGTAGTATGTGTTTGCTTAAGTCCTGAGGTTGAACGATCTCATTAATGGCTCCAATTCCTCACACGCACCCCGCCCCCTCCGAGATCAGCATCCTTGAGCATGTGGTCTTCCAGTACCCTCCTAGTCTGTGCCCACTGTTCGATTTGTTGGGAAAGGGGTGTTAACATATGCAACAGGGGCCGGGCGCGGTGGCTCACGCCTGTAATCCCAGCACTTTGGGAGGCCAAGGCGGGCGGATCACGAGGTCAGGAGATCGAGACCATCCTGGCTAACACAGTGAAACCCCATCTCTACTAAAAAATACAAAAAATTAGCCGGGCGTGGTGGCAGGCGCCTGTAGTCCCAGCTACTCGGGGAGGCTGAGGCAGGAGAATGGCGTGAACCGGGGAGGCGGAGCTTGCAGTGAGCCGAGATCACGCCACTGCACTCCAGCCTGGGTGACAGAGTGAGACTCTGTCTCAAAAAAAAAAAAAAGAAAAAAACATATGCAATATACAGAGGTTTGGAAAAGCCCTGAACATCAGCTTTTGCACTTGCACCTCATCACTGCCATAAGAATATACCTGGGCTAGCTGGCTCCTGCATGAGAGGCATGCGGAGCAGCAGCTTATGGCCAGCCGATCTGCAGACAGTTCTGGAAATCGAAATCAGCAGAGCTGCCTGACTGAATGCCCCAGATGCACAAGCAGTGAATGCTTTCTGCTGCACGATACTGAAGTTTGTAGCTGTTTGATAAGAAGCATTGTTGTGGCAGTTGATAATTGATACTTATAAGTTATCTAGAATCTAGAGTTCTCTTGTTTGCTGTTTTTATTAAGTAATGAGGGGATGGGAAGGGGAAAGAGAAAGAAAAAGACTCTGAGTCACCTATTCCTCCCTGCTCTAACTTCATATATAGATAGGATCAGATAGAGATGGGGGTAAGTTAAAAGATGTATTAGTAGAAATAGTAGTTTTCATCCAAGTAAGGACTATTTATTTGATTGATATTAAAAACAGAAAGCATCTAAGGAAAACTTTTTGTCAACGGGAGAGCAGGACTTGTGAGTGAGAAAGATGTAATTCCAAGCAGAGGGGAGAATAGGAAACAGGAAAATTCTGAAGTTTTCCTTCAGGGAAGCCTTCCTTTCTAGGAAGCTGGTCCTCCGTCCATGCTTACCTCCAGAGAAACGTCTGTCCCATTCCAACCGGATGTCTCCAAGGTAAAGGGAGCTAGGCCATTGTTATCAGTAACCAGGGTCTGGTTGAAGGTTCCATTTGTGCCATAAATCACCAGAAACACTAGATGGTTCTTGAGGAAGGAGTCATCATGGCCCCTAACTCTTATCTGAAGGACAAAGATCATTACGGATTAGAATTAGGTTTGGAGTAAGCTTGAGTATGAGGTAAAGTGAAATATTAGGTTGGTGCAAACTAATTGTGGTTTTTGGCACTAAAAGTAATAACAGAATTTCTAAGAATACATTTCAGGAAAGAGTCCTGAAAAAGATAAATGTGATTCAAGCTTTTGAACTAGGATCTGTGAGGAACCGAAAAACAAACAGAAGTAACAGCCCAGAGCAGAGCTAGATTTGCCCGGTGGCTAATGAAGCTTCAGGGCTCTTCATATGCACAGGCTCCTTCAAAGGTTCTGCACGTTGTTTTGCTTTCTTTTTTCTTTCCTTCCTTCCTTCCTTCCTTCCGTCCTTCCTTCCTTCCTTCCTTCCTTCCTTCCTTCTTTCCTTCCTTCTTTCCTTCCTTCCTTCCTTCTTTCCTTCCTTTCTTCCTTCCTTTCTTTCTTTTTTTTTTTGAGATGGAGTCTCAGTCTGTCGCCCAGGCTGGAGTGCAGTGGGACGAGCTCAGCTCACTGCAACCTCTACCTCCTGGGTTCAAGCGATTCTCCTGCCTCAGCCTCCCAAGTAGTGGGACTATAGGCCCGTGCCACCATACCTGGCTAATTTTTGTATTTTTAGCAGGGACGGGTTTTCACCATGTTGGTCAGGCTGGTTTCGAACTCCTGACCTCGTGATTCGCCCGCCTCAGCCTCCCAAAGTGCTGAGATTACAGGCATGAGCCATTGTGCCCAGCCTATTTTGCTTTCTTTTTCTTAAAGCGAATCCCCTACCCTCCCAAACTGTGTAATCCTTAGGCTCTAAAAATAATTTGCACCCACCCTTGGTCTAGAGAAATGATAACTGAGGAATAAATGCATCTCTATGTGTGCAATATTATTGTGTGGACCAGCTGTACAAGAAGTAAAGAAAGATAAGCTGAACAAGAGAGAAATTCAGTTAGATATCAGAAAGAAAACACTAGCAAAGAAAATTTAATTATGTATTTATCTTTTTTTTTTTTTTTTGAGACAGTCTCGCTCTATCGCCCAGGCTGGAGTGCAGTGGCATGATCTTAGCTCACTGCACCCCCTGCCTCCTGTGTTCAAGCCATTCTCGTGCCTCAGACTCCCGAGTAGCTGGGATTATAGGCATGCGCCACCATGCCTGGCTAATTTTTGTATTTTTAGCAGAGACAAGTTTTCGCCATGTTGGCCAGGCTGGTCTCGAACTCTTGGCCTCAAGTGATCTGCCCACCTCAGCCTCCCAAAGTGCTAGGACTGCAGACGTGAGCCACCACGCCCTGCCGGAAATTTTAAAATCTCTAAAGAAAATTGCTAGTCAGGCACAGTGGCTCACTCCTGTAATCCCAGCACTTTGGGAGGCCCAGGTGGACGGATCACCTGAGGTCGGGAGTTCAAGACCAGCCTGACCAACATGGAGAAACCCCATCTCTACTAAAAATACAAAATTAGCCAGGCATGGGGACACATGTCTGTAATCCCAGCTACTCAGGAGGCTGAGACAGGAGAATCGCTTGAACCTGGGAGGTGGAGGTTGCGGTGAACAGAGATCGCGCCATTGCACTTCAGGCTGGGCAACAAGAGCGAGACTGTCTCAAAACAAAACAAAACAAAACAAAAACAGAAAGAAAAACAAAATTGCTTACAGAGCTATACATGGCTGTCAAGGAAAGTTTCATATTAACCTTGCCTAGATGCAGGAGACCAGGCTGGATGATTTCTCTAGAAACCCTGCAGCTCTTAAATATGAAGATTTAGACATTAGAAGATCAGCCCCTGGCATTAGAAAGACCCCTAAGGTGTCATTAATATTCAAGGCACTTCTTCTATGGGATTGGGGCAGCAGAGTACAGGGAGTGGAGAGTGTATACCCGGGAGGCAGGCTTCCTGGATTTGGTCATAGTTCCCATCTATTTGTGATCACCTTGGAAAAATCACTTAGCCTCTGTTGCCTGTCTCAGTATCCATAAAATGGGGCCAATACAGTGCCTGCCTCATTGCATTATTCTAAAGATTAAAATGAATACACATAAAGTACTTGGAACAGCACTAAGTTAGCTATGTGGCTATGGCTGCAGGAAGGAGGCAAAGTAGATGGTTATGCATTTTTTTGTCTATGCAGAGAAAAGTTTTAACATACCTTCCCACTGAAGGGGAAATTTGGATGGTAAAAATTGCTGGTGTCTTCAAAGGTCATTGATCCCATTTGTGGAGAAATGTAGATATTCTGAGTGGCATTGGCCTCCACACCTGCAGAGGGAAACCAGATGTATAAAGATCTAGGCACCTGATATTCTCATCTTCACGTTTAATGTCAAGTCTCTGAGAGAATGGTGGCAGAGGGATGAAGTTGAATGTATTTCTGGCCAAAGATCCAAACCAACCTCACCTCCCCAATCTTTTGGAGAAGTATGTAGTATTTCTTCTTTTTTTTTTTTTTTTTTTTTTAAGATGGAGTCTCGCTCTGTTGCCCAGGCTGGAGTGCAGTGGCACGATCTCGGCTCACTGCAAGCTCCACCTCCTGGGTTCACGCCATTCTCCTGCCTCAGCCTCCCCGAGTAGCTGGGACTACAGGCGCCCCCGTCACCATGCCCGGCTAATTTTTTGTATTTTTAGTAGAGACAGGGTTTCACCGTGTTAGCCAGGATGGTCTCGATCTCCTGACCTCGTGATCTGCCCGTCTCGGCCTCCCAAAGTGCTGGCATTACAGGCGTGAGCCACCATGCCCGGCCCGTAGTATTTCTTATAGATGGCAAGATGGGATCTGGTATTTCCCCTTGACTATGAACTAGGAACAAGGTACCATCCAAACACTCAAGAGGGTAGGTCTTGTATACTTGGAGTAAATCTGTCCCTGGGACCAGCCCTTTTTCTTTCTCTTTTCTTAATGAGCCAAGGAGCACCCTACTTACCTGTCCCTTCCTCCACAACAGTAGCCACAATATTGATTTGATGGCTGTACGCATATCCAATGAGGTCAAAGGTGGCCATGTCCACAGGTGCTGAGAAACATCCTGTTTTGTCAGTCTAGTGAGGTGATCAGAGACAGAGATAGAGAGCAGATGAGGAATCTAATCTCTACATCCATTTTATAATGTTCTGTAGAAGGAAATAATTTCTCATCTCCACACTTCAGTTTCTAATATAGAAAAACTCTCCTACAACATGAAGTATACACTTGCACATAGATAATCATGAAATGACTTTGAAGCTCCAAGATTTGGGAAAGGGAAAAAGAAATGCCTTCAAAACTGGAAAATTGTACCTTACTGGGGTTTAGGTCAATTTCTTGGTTCCAAGGCAGACTCTAAAACACTCCCTGTTTAGGATAAAGATCCCTGCTTTGTTCTTTGGAACTGGGATGATAATTCTGGGAAATGCTTTCTACTTTGGGCTGTTTAGCTCTTTTCTAGATTGTTGCTTCCTTACGCTTTAGGACATGTGGATACGTTCTTTTTTTTTTTTTTTTTTCGGTGGGGGAGGGGGACTGAGTGTTGCTCTGTCACCCACGCTGGAGTGCAGTGGCACCATCTCGGCTCATTGCAACCTCCGCCTCCCGGGTTCAAGTGATTCTCCTGTCTCAGCCTCCAAGTAGCTGGGATTTCAGGTGCACACCACCATGCCCAGCCAATTTTTTGAATTTTTAATAGAGACGGGGTTTCCCCATATTGGTCAGGCTGGTCTCAAACTCCTGACCTCGTGATCCGCCCATCTCGGCCTCCCAAAGTGCTGGGATGACAGGCGTGAGCCACCGTGCCTGGCCGATAGGTTCCTTTTTAACCTGTCATTTACTCACCTGTCCAGAGAGGTTCCTGCATTTGTCAGGAAGCTGTTCCCGTTCCACCTCTCGATACCAGTAAGTATTTGCCTTCTGACACACAGATACCTGCACTGCCCCTAGCATGGGCTTTCCATAGGTGTACCTAACCAAGAAAAGCATAAGGAGTCAGAGTTGGGAAATTCCACTTGAGATCCAACTCTTCCCTCAAACACCACTTCTTCCCTCTCACACTCCAGCCTCTGAAAGAAAGCTCTGACAATCTGGGCCAGTGCAGTGGCTCACGCCTGTAATCCCAGCACTTTGGGAGGCCGAGACAGGTGTATTACTTGAGGCCAGGGGTTCAAGACCAGCCTAGGCAACATGGCAAGATCCTGTCTCTACTAAAAATACAAAAATTTGCTGGGCATGGTGGCTCACACCTGTAATCCCAGCTTCTCCGGGAGGAAGAGGCAGGAGAATCGCTTGAACCTGGGAGACAGAGGTTGCAGTGAGCTGAGATCTCCCCACTGCACCCCAGCCTGCGTGACAGAGACTCTGTCTCAAAAAAAAGAAGAAAGCAAGCTCTGACAATCCTACCTTTCTCTAGCTCTCTTCCCCTTCCCTACTTTACTCAGAGTCTTAGAGTAGACCCACTTCCACAATTAGCACCATACTAAGGACGGAAACAGTATCTTTCTTTCTCCTGATCCATATTTATCTATGGGATTCAATATTGTGTCTTGTAAAGACTAAATCAATAATACTATCTGAGTGAGCAATGGAAAAAAACAGCAGAAACACAACTATAAAATATGTTCTTGGCTGGGCGCGGTGGCTCACGTCTGTAATCCAACACTTTGGGAGGCCAAGGTGGGCGGATCACCTGAGGTCAGGAGTCCGAGACCAGCCTGGCCAACACGGCGAAATCCCATCTCTACTAAAAATACAAACATTAGCCAGGCATGGTGGCGCGCGCCTGTGATCCCAGCTACTCTAGAGGTTGAGGCAGGAGAATCGCTTGAACCCATGAGGCGGAGGTTGCAGTGAGCCGAGATCACGTGATTGCACTCCAGCCTGGGAAACAAGAGTGAGACTTTGTCTCAAAAAAAAAAAAAAAAAAAGGTCTTGGATAAGCCATGACTCTGAATTACATAAAATGCCCCAAGTTTTGGCCCACCCATAATCCCACATCCCATGTCATCCCCTCATCATGTCTCTCGATGCATCTTTAATCTCCACCAGATCCCAAGCTTCTGCTCTTACCTACAACAAATTTTTACTAAGAAAGATTCCTGCACCGTTGATAACTCCTTGGGTTCCACCACTTCCACCTTAAACTTCGGCAGCACTGAAGAGAGTAAAAGGAGAAATGGAGAAAGCACTGGAGGAGGAATCAGTCAGACAGGCAGTGAGCAGAGGGGTATAAACAGTGAGAATTAAATTAATGGATCTAATGAAGGAGGCATTATTTAGGTAGCATGTTCCTGAAGTAATTAGCTGGTTCAGCATCGATTCAAAAATGAGTAAATAATCCTTTCCCAGAGTACATTTTACTCCACCTTTGCTGATTTTTTTTTTTTTTTTTTTTTTGAGACGGAGTCTTGCTCTGTCACCCAGGCTGGAGTGCAGTGGCGTGATGTCAGCTCACTGCAAGCTGCACCTCCCAGGTTCACGCCATTCTCCTGCCTCAGCCTCCCGAGTAGCTGAGACTACAGGCACCTGCCACCACGCCCGGCTAATTTTTTGTATTGTTAGTGGAGACAGGGTTTCACTGTGTTAGCCAGGGTGGTCTCGATCTCCTGACCTCATGATCTGCCCGCCTCGGCCTCCCAAAGTCCTGGGATTACAGGCGTGAGCCACTGCGCCCGGCTCCACCTTTGCTGATTTTAAGATGAGATTATGCCCAATACTTTGGCCTGTCCATTTCCCCACCTACCATATTCCTCCACACTGAAAGTACCAAAGGTCTTGCCCTCAGCCACTGCCACAGTGTAGGTGCCCAGCATTGCCTCTGGTGCCAGTTGGAAGGACAGGTCTACAATGCCTTGCTCAGGTACCACTTCCAGCCACTGTGCAATCCTGTTGCTATTTGGATCCTGTCCAATAGAGAAACTGCATGATGTGCCTGCCCGTTTGCTTCCCACTCTGCATTGCAAAAAGCAGGTAAAGAAGCAAAAGGCAGGTAAAAAACCCCACCCATTGTTCATGACCCCTGTGGTCTGTGTCCAGGAAGAGCAGCTCCCTGTGTTATTTATAACTTTCTTTATGGCGGAATGAGGTAAATATTTCTATAGATCCAGCCCCCATTTGGTAGGAAATCTTGTGGATTTTAATGATCAGACTGAGCCCTCTAAAGTGTTATCTCCAGTTTTAGAAAGTAGGACCCAGGATGTCATTTACAAAGAATGTTTACTCTGTTTCTGGTCACTATTAGGGGACAAGGCTGAGGAGATTGATTGTAAGATACCTAAAACATGGGTGATTTAATGGAAAAATGGAGAAGATATTGTGGAGAAATCACCTTCTAGAGCCTTTCCTTTAAAATACTTCTCACAGGTGTTTATGTTATCACGTACCTGTTGAGAATGCCTATGGCAAGGGCTATTACCTTACACTAAGGGGAGTATGGAACCAAGCCTGGTTAAGTCATCTGGGCACAGAGAAGTTAGGGGAATGAGAGAGCGGTGTAGTCATTACAGAGGCTGGTGTCCTTGTCTACTGAAATGTAGGTGTGAGAGACTAGGAGGGCAGAGGCAAGAAAGCAGGCACAGCTTAGGTGGATGTGGGCGCTCGGTGCTGGGCAGAGTCATGGGGCTCTGGGCCAAGATCTCAGAGTTGCTTCTGTCTTCAAGGTGTACCACCAAATTCTCATTCTTCCTCTTCCACAACTGACAGAGAAGAGAAAGAAACTTCCGCTTACCTGTAGTTCCACCATGGAGTACTGAAAAGGAAAACCAGATAATGCGGGTTAAAGAAGGTTGACAGCAATAAGAATAAGTTTGCTGAAAGCAAAAGTTCACAAAGAATTCTTCCTTTCCCTCTTGCCCATTTCTTCATTTCTTCCTTTCTAAATGGCTCTTTTGTGCCCTGAAAAGAATAACAATGGGGGCACAGACTTCTTGGGAGGGAAACAAGGCAGGAGGAGGGTAAGAGTGGGGGCAGGAATCTCAAAGGAATTGCCAGTCTCCAAAAGATTTGAAGAACTGGAGCGTCAGACCAGTCTCAGTACCCTGTGACTGAGCTCTTGCACAAGAAACATGCCCTAAAAGAAGTATTAGCACCAGGGGGTTCCTCAATGTTTAAACCTCTTCTTGGTAGCCAACCATCTCCTGGCTTCTTCCTTTACCATCTGAATGCTTGTGGGCAGGAAGCTTACTTTCAAGCATTGCAAATAATTATTTTTAAAATTGTTTGAAATAGTTCCATTGGAGAATCATGTATCACTTTCCTCAAGACAGTAGTTGCTAAATAGATGTGAAACCATTAAGTTTGTGAGGAACAGGTCATTGTGCTTGCAACTAGATGAGATTGAAAGCTGGAATTCAGTGAATAGCAGGAGAGGGGCTCAGAGAGACTGCAAAGGTATTCAAAAGAGAAGACCAGTTTGGATCTAACTTGGAAAGAAGAAAATGAAATCAAGACAGTCCTTGATTTTTTTATTCTTGGGCCAAGTGTCATGTGATGCCAACCAGTGAAGAAGCTGAACCACTAAATACAAATATCAGCCTTGATAGTAGGGATAATGGCAATTCTTCAAAAAAAGCAAAAAATAAGGAGATCTAAGGATCACGATGAGCTAGGACTTCCACAAACCTGGGCTATATAAACATCAGGAGGAGAATATCACTAAGATTGCTATAAATTTCCATAAAGTCAAAACAAAACAAAACAAACAAACACTTCTTTAGGCCAGACACGGTGGCTCACACCTGTAATCCCAGCACTTTGGGAGGCTGTGGCGGTTGGATCACCTGAGGTTAGGAGTTCAAGACCAGCCTGGCCAACATGGTGAAACCCCTCTCTACTAAAAATACAAAAATTAGCCGGACATGGTGGCACATGCCTGTAACCCCAGCTACTCCGGAGGCTGAGGCAGAAGAATCACTTGAACCCGGACAGTGGAGGTTGCTTGAGCCGGGATCATGCCACTGCACTCCAGCCTGGGTGACAAAGTAACTCAAAAACAAAATACAAAACAACAACAACAAAAAACACTTCGATAACAAAGTACTTTTCTCACACAGGGATCAAGAATCAGGAAAGACATCAGTTGGCCAGAAATAGGCTCTGGAAGAAAATAAGTGTTTCACTAGGAAAGTAGCATTGCTGAGGCCAGGCATGGTGGCTCACGCCCATAATCCCAGCACTTTGGGAGGCTGAGGTGGGCAGATCACCTGAGGTCAGGAGTTTGAGACCAGCCTGACCGACATGGTAAAACCACATTTCTACTAAAAATACAAAATTAGCCAGATGTGGTGGTACATTCCTGTAAACCCAACTACTTGGGAGGCTGAGGCGGGAGAATCCTTTGAACCCAGGAGGGGGAGGTTGCAGTGAGCTGAGATCCCGCTACTGCACTCCAACCTGGGCAACGCAGCGAAACTCCGTCTCAAAAAAAAAAAAGGAAAGTAGCATTTCCGACTGGAAGTTGCCTGGAGTTTCTGAATAACTGAGTATAGCAATCAAGTTAGACAGGGTCAGTTAATATCAGGCTTACTTTACTTGTTTGGGGATTAAATATTGTGCTGTGTAAATGAAACTGACTTTGCAAAATTAAAACTGAGGAAACGATGACAGTGAAAGAAATCAGACCTAACCAACGCTATCTTGCTTCTAAGCAGTTCCACTCCTCTCACCTTAGGTACCCTCACTACGCCCCCTCTCAGCAGGAAGAAGCCAGAACAATCGACAGCCTTTTCCCATCTTCCTAGCCCACACCTGAAGATTAAGGTGTTATAAAACCCAAAGGGAGGGACTGAAGCCGCCTTTGCAAAATTATAACTGAGGAAACTATGAAAGTGAAAGATGTCAGACCTAACCGACTCCATCTTGCTTCTAACTTGTAAGCTGTCCTTGTGGATTCCTGGGTGTAAGCCAGACTAACTTTGGGAAGGAATTCAGTTCATGGTTTGACTCTGAAACAAAATTGATAACAGCCCTTTCCCAAAAAGACCCCCTTCTTGCCCGGGGACCAGTCTGCCTTTGCAGGACTAACAAATTAGCTACAAGATTAGAAATTACACTTTAGGGGTCATGCAGCCTCTGACTCCAAGAGTCTGAACCTCTTCAAATTGCTCCTGGGGAGAACATCACTGTTGTAAAACCCAAGATCAGCGCCTGAGATGTTCTGCAGACCCTGCATTCAGTGGATCAGCTGACACCACCCAGACCAGTAATCTGGCTCAACCAGTTCTGCCATCCCACCCAGGAGGAGGAAAACAGCAAGAAAACCTCACTTTGACCATCTATGACTCCATCTCCAACCTGACCAATCAGCACTCCCCACTTCCCAAGCCCCTACCTGCCAAATTATCTTTAAAAACTCGATTTCCTGGCCAGGCGCGGTGGCTCACGCCTGTAATCCCAGCACTTTGGGAGGCCGAGGCGGGCGGATCACTTGAGGTCGGGAGTTCAAGAACAGCCTGACCAACATGAAGAAACCCCGTCTCTACTAAAAGTACCAAAATTAGCCGGGCGTGTTGGCGCATGCCTGTAATCCCAGCTACTTGGGAGGCTGAGGCAGGAGAATCACTTGAACCTGGGAGGCAGAGGTTGCGGCGAGCCGAGATCGCGCCATTGCACTCCAGCCTGGGCAACAAGAATGAAACTCCGTCTCAAAAAAAAACAAAAACAAAAACAAAAAAAAACTCGATTTCCAAATGCTCAGGGAGACTGATTTGAGTAACAGTAAAACTCCAGTCTCCCACACAGCCGGCTCTGGGTGAGTTACTCTTTCTTCATTGCAATTCCCCTGTCTCGATAAATCAACCCTGTCTAAGCAGCAGGCAAGGTGAACCCATTGGGTGGTTACATAAACACAATTTTTATCCTAGCTTTCTTGGTAAAATTCCTTTTGTTAATCTCAGTGTTTCAACTGAATTTGGAGGGAGAGTTTGGCTGGAGAAATAGAGTGGGGAGGAAGGAGTAATTTCACAAGAGAAAGAGCCTAACTGCAGAAAACAGAACACCTGGAAGTAATCCCGCTTCATTTGAATCGTAACAGGGGTAGTTAATGAGATCAACCCTGAGGGTAAGTGAGTCTAAAATAGTGCTGCTGCGGGCCACGCTTTGAACCCAGCACTTCCTTGTTGCAGCTCTAGAGAAAACAGTCTGTTAAGAAGTAAGCACTCAGGCCGGGTGCAGTGGCTCAGGCCTATAATCCCAACACTTTGGGAGACCAAAGCGAGAGAGGCCAGGAGCTCAAGACCGGCCTGCGCAACAAGGTGAGACCCCCGCCCCCCACAACTCTACAAAAAAATAAAATAATTAGCCAGGTGTGGTAGTGCACACCTGTGGTCCCAGCTACTGGGGAGACTGAGATGGGAAGATTACTTGAGCCCGGGGCAGGGTCAAAGCTGCAGTGAGCCATGACTGCCACTGCACTCCAGCCTAGGTGACAGAATGAGACCTTGTCTTAAAATGTTAAAAAAAAAAAAAAAAAGTAAGAAGTACTCAACGTTATACCTACCAAAGAAAAGCCATAGGTGATGGGAAGGAGGAAGTAAAAGGAAATCTATATTGGGAAAGAGAGTAGCGGGTAGGGCATTACCAATCATAACAAGCTAATAACTCCCCTGCACATAGGGAAAGGAAACAGCAGCTCTGAGAACACGGAGATGGAAAATGGAAATCATGCTTTCTCTATGTTTATCTCTAAAAGTTTCATTTGAATACACAGGCTGGGACAGACGGAAGAGGAAGAAAGCAGGGGTGTCCGGGAGGTAAGTGTCTCAGAAGCATGTAGAAATGACACATGCTCCAACTTGAAATCAAACCTGTGGTAAGGCTTATGATTCTAGGGATGGGGAGTCCAAGGAAAAATCAAATATTCGCAAAATGTTGCTACATTTTAAGCTTTGGCATGTATTTATTTAATGTTGCCCTAAGAGAATTACCTACTTTGTAAATTATTTTGCCTCATAGAAACAGAGTGGAAGCGGACATTCTCCTTTCTGCCTTAAAAAAAAAAATGCTTTTGTCAGTCCTGAAGAAAAGGTCTTGAAGTTTGCGAAAACTCTTAAAATGAAAGGGGGCTGAGCATGGTGGCTCTTGTCTGTAATCCCAGCACTTTGGGAGGCCGAGGTGGGTGGAACACTTGAGGTCAGGAGTTTGAGACCAGCTTGGCCAACATGATGTAACCCTGTTTTTACTAAAAATACAAAAATTAGCCAGGCGTGATGGTGCGCGCCTGTAATTCCAACTATTTGGGAGGCCGAGGCAGGAGAATTGCTTAAACCCAGGAGGCAGAGGTTGTAGTGAGCTGAGGTCACGCCATTGCACTCCAGCCTGGGCCACAGAGCGAGACTCTGTCTCTAAATAAACAAATAAATAAAATAAAATGACAAGGAGCATAACCATCTCTCAAGAACCTGATGAATGTGTAGATACTGAAGCTGAGAACTGGTTACCTCTGCTTGTTCCTAGGCTGATTTAGGCTAGCTCCCTGAAGCTCGCCCAGCACTTCCAGTCCCACGCACACAGCAGTCTCCAACCCAGAGGGCCTCGCCTTGCCACGCCCAGGCTGAGAGGACTTCCACCCTAGAGAATCTCTCATCCTTTTCCCTGTTCTCCCTGCGCCACTCCTTCTCCTCCTCCCAACTCACCTTGTCATTCACTGGAACGAAGTTGCTATCCATGGTGACAATGCGGAAATACACTGGAAAGGAACAGGCATCATTAGCAAAGGGGATGTTTCCTGGCTCAGAATTTTTTTTTTTTTTTTTTTTTTGATACAGGGTCTCACTCTGTCACCCAGGTTGGAGTGCAGTGGCACAACCGTGGCTCACTTCAGCCTCAAACTCCTGGGCTCAAGTGATTCTCCCACCCCAGCCTCCGGAGTAGCTGGGACCACAGGCAGGTGCCACCACACTTGGCTAATTTTTGTAGAGACAGGGTTTCACCATGTTGGCCAGGCTGGTCTATGAACTCCTGACCTCAGGTGATCCACCTGCCTTGGCCTCCCAAAGTGCTGGGATTATAGGCGTGAGCCACCGCGCTCCGCCTCCTGCTCAGAATCTTTCCTCTATCCCTCCTCCTTCCTCACACATGCTCTGAGTCAGCAAAACCCCAACAGGTTTTACTTTTTTACAAAACCTGCTCTGAGAGTAAGGTAAAGTCCAAACACAGGCCTGGAGCTCAGGAGGCAGAGCAAGAGGCAGAATAGAAGCCTCCATTGACCACCCTCCTCATCCCCCACAGTAACACCAAACTGAACAACTGCCCACGCAAAACAGCACTGTCATAAGAACCAAAAATCAGAAGAGTGATCACAGTGCCTGGTTTTAACTTTATATCACTGAAAGAGGCACTGAAGAGGGTAGAAAAGACACACTTGAATTGCTGATTCACCCCCTCCCCGCCATCCCCCAGCAGTGACTGTGGTACAGAGACAGAATCGATGAGCTTGAGGGCGGGAGAGCACAGTGACTGTGGGACTTGGCTTTAGAATGCAATGCTGCCCAATCACAGGGGAAAGCACACAGGGCAGAACTCAGCCAGTGCCCATGGAGGGAGCATTTAGACCAGCGTTAGCCAGGGGTGAACTGCCCATCCCAGCGGTTGGAAGCTGAGTTCCGATTAGCCCCTGGGGCTCTAAATACTCAGCAGTGATAGCTGGGCAGTACTTGTCGTGGGCCTTGGGTGAGACTCAGAGACATGCTGGCTTCCAGTGATTCAGCACATTCCCAGCTGTGGTGACTATGGGGAGAGACTCCTTCTACTTGAGAAAAGGAGAGGGAAGAGTCAAGGGGACTTTGTCTTGCAGCTTAGGTACCAGCTCAGCCACAGTGGGGTACAGCACCAAGCAGGCCCTTGGGGTCGCCAGTTATGGGCTGTGGCTCTTGGATGCCATTTCTGGACCTGCTGTTTGTCAGAGGAGAGCTCACTGCCCTGAAAAGAGAGTCCCAGGCCAGGCACCATTCACCACAAGCTGGTGAAAGGAGACTTTGGGCCTCGAGAGAATACTGGAAGTATCCAGGCAGTACTCCTGTGGGCCTGGAGTAGTGGTGGCCACAGAGAGAGACTCCTCTGTGAAAAGGGGAAGGAAGAGTGGGAAGGACTTTGTCTTATGGCTTGGGTGCCAACTCAGCTGCAGTAGAACAGAACACCAGGTAGATTCCTAAGGTTTCTGACTCCAGGCCCTGGCTCGCAGATTACATCTCTGGACCTTCCAGGGTCATGGGGAACTCACCACCCTGAAGGGGAGGACACAAGCCTGGCTGGCTTTGTCACCTGCTGACTGTAGAGCCCTAGGGCCTTGAGCAAACATGGGCAGTAGCCAGGTACTGGTTACCACAGGCCTTGGGTGAGACACAGTACGGTGCTGGCTTCAGATCTGACCCAGTGCAGTCCCAATGCTGGTGGCCACAGGGGTGCTTGTGTCACCCCTCTCTCCAGGCAGCTCAGCACAAAGAGAGAAACTCTGTTTGTTTTGGAGAAAGTAAGGGAAGAGAACAGGAGTCTCCTCCTGGTAATCTGGAATTCTTCCAGATCTTATCCAAGACCATCAAGGAGGTACCTCTATGAGCCTTCAAGAGCCACAGAGATACTGAGCATGGGGTCCTCCCTAATGCAGATGAACTGCAGAGTCCAAACACTTAGATTACGACACCCAAGTCCCTTCAAATACCTGGAAAGTCTGCCCAAGGAGGACAGGTACAAACAAGTCCAGAATGCCAAGACTACAATAAATACCTAACTCTTCAATGCCCAGACACCAATGAACATCCACATCAAGACCATGTTGGAAAAAATTACCTCACCAGATGAACTAAATAAGGCACCAGCAACCAATCTCCCAGAAACAAAGATAGTGATCTTTCAGATCGAGAATTCAAAATAGCTGTTTTGAGGAAACTCAACAAAATTTTAGATAACACAGAGAAAGAATTCAGAATCTTATCAGATAAATTTAACAAAGAGAAAAAAAAAGAGGTATTGACTTTAAAGAGGAGGTTGAGAGAGAAAATGAGATGGAAAGTTTATTCAAAGTGAAAATAACAGAGAACTTTCCAAACCTAGAGAAAGATATCAATATTATTATTATTTGAGACAGTCTCGCTCTGTTGCCCAGGCTGGAGTGCAGTAATGTGATCTTGGCTCATGTGACCTCCGCCTCCCTGGTTCAAGTGATTCTCCTGCCTCAGCCTCCCCAGTAGCTGGGATTACAGGCACAGGCCACCTTGCTTGGCTAATTTGGTATTTTTAGTAGAGACAGGGTTTTGCCATGTTGGCCAGGCTGGTCTCGAAATACTCATCTCAGGTGATTTGCCCACCTCAGCCTCCCAAAGTGCTGGGATTACAAGCATGAGCCACTGAGCCCAGCTGAGAAAGATATCAATATTAATTACAAGATTATAGAACACCAAGCAGATTTAGCCCAAATGAGTCTACCTCAAGACATTTAATAATCAAACTCCCAAACATCAAGGAATAAAAAACAAAAAAGAATCCTAAAAGTGCAAGAAGACAGACGTGGTGGCTTACGCGTGTAACCCCAGCACTTTGGGAGGCTGAGTGGGGAGGATAACTTGAGGTCAGGAGTTGGAGACCAGCCTGGCCAACATGGCGAAACTCCATCTCTACCAAAAATACAAAAATTAGCCAGGGGTGGTGGCGCTCACCTGTAAACCCAGCTACTCGGGAGGCTGAGGCAGGAGAATCACTTGAACCCAGGAGGCAGAGGCTGCAATGAGCAACCATTTATTGCATTCCAGCCTGCGCGGCAGAATGAGACTCCATCTCAAAAAACAAAAAAACAAAAACAAAAATTAGCTGGGCATGGTGGCGCATGCCTGTACTCCCAGCTACTTGGGATGCTGAAGCACAAGAATCACTTGAACCCAGGAGGCAGAGGTTGCAGTAAGCAGTGATCCCGCCACTGCACTCCACAGCCTGGGCAACAGAGGGAGACTCTGTCTCAAAAACAAAAAAAATTCAGTAACATTTCTATATGCCAACAGGGAACAATCTGAAAAAGAAATTAAGAAAGATAATTCCATTTACAATAGCTATAAATAATATAAAATACCTAGGAATAAACTTTACCAAAGAAGTGAAAGATCTCAACAATAAAAACTATAAAATACTGATGAAAGAAATTGAAGAGGACACACAAAAACATGAAAAGAGATTTCATGTTTCTGGATTGGAAGAATTGATATTGTTAAAATTCCGTACTACCTAAGGCAATCTACAGGTTCATTGCAATCCCTATCAGAATACTAATGACATTCTTCACAGAAATTCTACATCCTAAATCTTAGGACTTTTGTAAAAAAAATCATAAAATTTTTATGGAACCATAAAAGACCTAAAATAACCAAATCTATTCTGAACAAAAAGAACAAAGCTGGAAGAATCACATTACATGACTTCAAATTATACTGCAAAGCTATAGTAACCAAAACAGCATGGTACTGTCATAAAAACAAATACATAGACCAATGGAACAGAATAGAGAACCCAGAAACATGTCTAGGGTGAACTCATTTTTGACAAAGGTGACAAGTGTATACACTGGAGAAAGCACAGGCTCTTCAATAAATGGTTCTGGGAAAATTGGATATCCATATGCAGAAGAATGAAACTAGACCCTCATCTCTCTCCATATAGAAAAATCAAGTCAAAATGGATGAAAGATTTAAATCTAATACCTCAATCTATGAAACTATTATATATAAGAAAACTTTGGGGAAACTCTCCAGAACATTGGTCTGGGCAAAGATTTCTTGAGTAATACCCAAGGAGCACAAGAAACCAAAGCAAAAATGGACAAACAGGATCACATCAAGTTAAAAAGCTTCTGCACAGCAAAGGAAACAATCAACAAAGAGACAACCCACAGAATGAAAGAAAATATTTGCAAACTACCCATCTGACAAGGGATTAATAACCAGAATATATAAGGAGCTCAGACAGCTGTATAGGAAAACATCTAGTAATCAGATTAAAGAACGGGCAAAAAGATCTGAATAGACATTTCTCAAAAGAAGACATACAAATGGCAAACAGGTATATAAAAAAGGTGCTCAAATCATTGACTGTCAGAGAAATGTAAATCAAAACTACAATGAGATATTATCTCACCCCAGTTAAAATGGCTTTTTTCCAAAAGACAAACAATAATAAATGCTGGTGAGGATGTGGAGAAAAGAGAACCCTCATACACTGTTGGTGGGAATGTAAATTAGTACAACCACTATGGAGAACAGTTTGGAGGTTTCTGAAAAAAACTAAAAATAGAGCTTCCATATAATCCTGCAAGCCCACTGCTAAGTATATATACAAAAGAAAGGAAATCAGTATATCAAAGACTATCTGTGCTGCCATGTTTATGGCATCAGTATTCACAATAGCCAAGATATGGAAGCAACCTAAGTGTCTATGAACAGATGATAAAAAATGGATTAAAAAATGTGGTACACATACATAATGGAGTACTATTCAGCCATAAAAAAGAATGAGACCCCATCCTTTGCAACAGCCTGAATGGAACAGGAGGTCATTATGTTAAGTAAAATAAACCAGACACAGAAAGACAAACTTTCCATGTTCTCATTTATTTGTGGGAGCTAAAAATTAAAACAATTGAAGTCGTGGAGATAGAGAATAGAATAATAATTTTTAAGTGTGTGGAAAAAAATAAGGTAAAAGGAAAAAAATTTTTTTGAAAGAGAGAGAGAGAACAGAATGATGGTTACCAGATGCTGGGAAGGGTAATGGTGGGCAGGATGAGGGGTGGGGTGGGAATGGTTAATGGGTACAAAAATATATTTAGCTAGAATGAATAAGATCTAGGGATCTTGTAGTTTTTAGCACAAAGAGTGACTACAGTCAACAATAATTTATTGCACATTTAAAAATTACTAAGAGAGTATAATTGGATTGTTTGTAATACAAGGAAATGATAAATGCTTGAGGTGATGGATACACATGTACCCTGATGTAATGATTACACATTGTGTGTGTGTATAAAAATATCTCATCTACCCCATAAATATATATACACCAGCTATGTACCCACAAAAATTTTAAATAAAAAAATAAAAAAAACCCAAACATAGTTTCTTTTCAGGGTGCCTGACTTTGAAATCTCAGAATGAAGTGCCCCTGTAAGGACGAATGAACAAATACAAAAAAAAAAAAAAAAAAAAAAAAAAACCCCAGTAGCTCAAGCCAAATGCCCTCAGTGCTTTCTTAGCCATTTACAAGCAGTTTGTTGTAAGGCCCAGCAACCCAGTTATACTTGCCAAATTCTATTCCAGAAGAAATGTGTACTTTTGTTTTAGATACACAAACTCAGTAGCAACCCCCACCTACTTCTCTTGCTTGTGTAGCGCAGCATGTATTCAACACTTGCACTACTTAATCCCCCCAGATTTTCCTCTCCTCTGCACTCCTTTTTTTCCAAAGCCTACTGTCAAACCACAAATCCCCTCTTTACCCCTGTGCACAGCGGTTTCCCCAGGTTTTAGTCGAACCCCAAATATGTGACTCTTACCTTGCTGCCCTGGGGTGTAGAGAGGTTTGTCAGTCTGTACAAAGGTGCCGTTCCCCTGCCTCTGAATTAGAACCTTTTTCTTCTCCTCAAAGCTGATGTTATTTCCAACTCCCGACACCCGGATTGTGGCCACTTCTTCTGTGCCACCAGCAGGAGGTGGTACCTGACCAAGAAAGGGGACTTCTGGGGAGGGGTAAGGGATTGGGGGAACAGAATCAACTGGTCTCAACCCAACAGTGAGTTAAAGGAAAGAGCTGAGTTAGATGGGGGTAGCAAGGATAGAGACATAAAACAAATTACCACGAGGAAGAATTAAGGTCAGGAACTAAAGGGAGAAATCCTAGGTCGAGGAAACCGTGGGTGAGTTATAGCCGGGGATTGAGGTTAAGTTGAGAAAAAATAGGTTTAGAGGCCGTGGCAAAAGATAACAGAAATTATACTTAAAGTAGATTATAGTGAGCCTAGGGAGGAGAATAGGCAAGTAAGGGATTCGAGTGAGGGCTGAGTCTGTGCTTACAAGAAAGGAGATACAATGTAAGTGCCTCTTCTTCAGTCCAGAGTATTCTAGCAACTTCTGGGTCTTGTCCTTGGTCTCCAGAGTAACCGTGAATTTAACATCACTGTACCCAGGGCTCAGGTCCAAACAAACCTTCTGAACGGAGGGGAAATTTAGCCGGGCTGGTAATGTCACCAGGTAGTTTCTATTAAAGGAGCAGAAGGATTTCAGGGCAATAATGATTCATTCACTCGAAAAATCCAGCACTCTCCTAAGCGCTCAGCAAGTAGCAGTGAATTAGACAGACCAAGCCCCTGCCTTCCTTATGCACCTCATTTTCTACAAGAAGCAGAGGGGCAACGACTCAGTGCACAGTCTTCAACTTCCGCCATCAGGAGGCCCTCACCGAGCACACATGCCTAGAGCACCAAGGAGGAAATTAGGCCTATTTCAGAAAACAGGGCACATTTTAATATTTATCTTTTTTAAAGCTTCCTCTTCATGCGTCAGCCTCCCTCTCTGGGTAAAGGATCAGTGGAACCAAAGAAGAGAAAAAAGGAGGAGGAAATTAAGATAAACCAAAGTTGATCTCCCCATCTCCATATAAATGTTTGAGAAAGTTAGGCGAAGAAGCCGCTGCCCTAATAAACCAATTCTGACACCAAGCACTCACGGAAGTTCTTCTGCAATGGCTGGTGATAGGGCCAACATTCCTAGAAGGAGCTGAGCCCACATCTTTGTGGGTGAGACAGATTTTTCCAGGGTCAGGGGCAGAGATCGCTCCGCGTAGCTTTATATACTAATTCCAGGTAGGGTGTGCAGTGATGACTGATGCTATAGTCAGTCACCTCCTGGCACCTGGAACACAGGAGGACTGTGTTCCTCCTTCTGTAACCACCAGGTTAGGTGGTGGACCAGGGTAGGGCCACTATTCACTTCTTTAAAGTTGTTTCTGCCTGGAACATCCATACTGGTTCAGCCAGTTTTGGGGGAAAACCAGAGCTGAGTATTCATAATGGTAAAGCTCTCAGAACATATTTTGAACTCCTCCCTTTTTTTCTGGTCTCATTCCAATTCCTGTTCTCATTTAATGTCCTTATTTTCTTTTATTATTCAATTAAGGTGTAGTTGGGAACACGGGTATGAGAACAGTTTCAATAGAAAAGCAGTAAACTTGGCCGGTCACAGTGGCTCACGCCTGTAATCCCAGCACTTTGGGGGGTTGAGGTGGGCAGATCACCAGGTCAGGAGTTCAAGACCAGCCTGGCCAACATAGTGAAACCCTGTCTCTACTAAAAATACAAAGAAAAAAAAATCAGCTGGGCATAGTGGTGGGTGCCTATAGTCCCAGCTACTTGGGAGGCTGAGGCAGGAGAATCGCTTGAACCCGGGAGGTGGAGGTTGCAGTGAGCCGAGATCATGCCACTTTACTCCAGCGTGGGTGACACAACGAGACTCTGTCTCAAAAAAAAAAAAAATTAATACTACTCAGTATTGTTGTGACTGTATGGAAATAGGGACACACACAGTCCTAGAGAAAATAGAATGTGGATAACTTTCTCATGGCAATTTTGTAATACACACCAAAGCCTTTGAGATTTGCATATTCTTTCACTCAGCAACTCCTACTCTGGAAATGTTTCTTAATGAGGAAAAAAAGGACAGCATGCATGTATGCACAAGTGTAACACTGAGTTTTTTCACACTGTTCTTTCTTTTTTTTCTTTTCTTTATTTTTTATTTTTTTGAAGTAGAGTCTCACTTTATCACCCAGGCTGGAGTGCAGTGGCACAATCTCAGCCCACTGCAGCTTTGACCTCCTGGGCTCAAGCGATCCTCCCACCTCCACCTCCTGAGTAGCTGGGACCACAGGTAGGCACCAACACTCCTGGCTAATTGTTTTGTATTTTTAATAGAGACAGGGTTTCACCATGTTGCCCAGGCTAGTCTCGAACTCCTGAGCTCCAGGGACCACCTCAGCCTCCCAAAGTGCTGGGATTACAGGTATGAGCCACCGTGCCCAGCCCACAGTGTTCTTTATGATGGTAATACTTAGAAGTCACCTAAAATATAAATTAGTCTAAGTGCAGTGGCTCATGCCTATAATCCCAGCTTTTGGGAGTCAGAAGCTGGAGGATTGCTTGAGCCCAAGAGTTTGAGACCAGCCTGGGCAACATAGTGAGACCCCGTTTTGTAACCACCCAATGGATTCACCTTGCTTGCTGCCTAGACAGAGCCGATTTATCAAGACAGGGGAACTGCAATGGCAAAAGAGTAATTCACGCAGAGCCGGCTGTGTGGGAGACTGGAGTTTTATTATTACTTAAATCCTTGAGCCTTCGTGGATCAGAGTTTTTAAAGATAATTTGGCAGGTAGGGGCTTGGGAAGTGGGGAGTGCTGATTGCTCAGGTTGGAGATGGAATCATAGAGGGTCGAAGTTAGATTTTCTTAATGTCTTCTGTTCCTGGGTGAGATGGCAGAACTGGTTGGGCCAGATGACTGGTCTGTGTGGTGTCAGCTGATCCCATGGAGTGCAGGGCCTGCAAAATAACTCAATTACTGATCTTAGGTTTTACAGCAGTGATGTTATCCCCAGGAGCAATTTGGGGAGGTTCAGACTCTTGGAGCCAGAGGCTGCATGACCTCTAAACTGTAATTTCTTTTTTTTTTTTTTTGAGACAGAGTCTGGCTCTACCGCCCAGGCTGAAGTGCAATGGCGCGATCTCGGCTCACTGCAAGCTCCGCCTCCCGGGTTCACGCCATTCTCCTGCCTCAGCCTCCCGAGTAGCTGGGACTACAGGCGCCCGCCACCACGCCCGGCTAATTTTTTGTATTTTTAGTAGAGACGGGGTTTCACCGTGTCAGCCAGGATGGTCTCGATCTCCTGACCTCGTGATCCGCCCGCCTTGGCCTCCCAAAGTGCTGGGATTACAGGCGCGAGCCACTGCACCCGGCCTCTAAACTGTAATTTCTAATCTTGTAGCTAATCTGTTAGTCCTACAAAGGCAGACTGGACCCCGGGCAAGAAGGGGGTCTTTTTGGGAAAGGGCTGTTATCAATTTTGTTTCAGAGTCAAACCATGAACTGAATTCCTTCCCAAAGTTACTTCGGCCTATGCCCAGGAATAAACAAGGACAGCTTAAGGGTTAGAAGCAAGATAGAGTCGGTTAGGTCTGACTTCTTGCACTGTCATAATTTCCTGTTACAATTTTGCAAAGGCAGTTTCAGTCTGTATAAAACATTTCTTTAAAATTAGCTGAGTGTGGTGGTGCACGCCTGTAGTCCCAGCTACTCTGGAGGCTGAGATGGTAGGATTTGCTTGAGCCCAGGGGTTCAAGGCTGCAATGAGCCATGATAGCACCACTGCACTCCAGCCTGGGCAACAGTGAGAACTTGTCTCATAAAATAAAATAATAAAATAGATTAGCCAGGATGCTCTCTGGGACCAATGATCATCCTATATCAAACCAGCCTAAACAAAAAAGTGTTTTTGGTAACTGGAATGGATCCAACAGGAAGAATGAGCTTATGGAACCAGAGCACCTTGAAAAACTTGACAGCCCAGGAGTGGAGACGTGGTGCAGCCAGGGCCGACTCCTCCCAGTCCTTCTCTCTTGTGTACTTGTCTCTGATTGGTTCATTTTCTCCTACTGCACACAAGCTTTTCTTCAAGTCGTAGGGAGGACGGCAGCTGGGAGCCCTCAAGCCATATTCGTTCAGCTCCACGACCCCAACTGACAAAATTTTTCACCTATGTTATAGAAATTCCCGAAGAAGGACTGTGTTCCTCCCTCTCTCGCTGGCTCACCTCTGAATCAGTCACTGTAGTCAGGAGGGTATGATAGGCAGGGCCTGGGTCATTCTCCCACCTAAAGGCCAGGGTGATGGGGTACTGTGATTGGCCACCCCTTTAGAACCACAGGGAGTTGGGGAGGGGAAATTGTTCAAAGAAATCACTACAGTAGGAAAAGTGTTGGTGTAAAGAGCTGCAAACATAAAACATTAAGTCTATTACAATGCCCCATAAAGAGTTCGGTTGAATAAACTGTCATGTTAATATAAAGCAATACTCTGCTGCCATTAAAAATAATGTTTTCATGATAAGGGGAATTATTTGCAATGCTAATTGAAAGGGGTTGGGGCTGGTGCAGCGGCTCACACCTGTAATCCCAGCACTTTGGGAGGCCGATCCGTAGGAGCTCGAGACCAGCCTAGTCAACATGGCGAAACCCTGTCTCTCCCAAAAATACAAAAATTAGCCAGGCATGGTGGTGGGCGCCTATAATCTCAGCTACTCGGGAGGCTGAGGCAGGAAAATCACTTGAACTGGGGAGGTGGAGGCTGCAGTGAGCTGAGAGCATAACATTGCACTCCAGCCTGGGCAACAAGAGTGAAATTCCGTCTCAAAAAAAAAAAAAAAAAGAAAAGAAAGGGGTTGGGGAAAGTGATACAAAACGACATGTGGCAAGTTCCACTTTAACTTGGAATTTGAAAGGCTAGAAAGAGTGTGGCTTGGTGGCTCGAGCCTGTGATCTCAACACTTTGGGAAGGCAAGGTGGGAGGGTTGTTTGAGGCCAGGAGTTCGAGATCAACCTGGGCAGTATAGTAAGACCCCATCTCTACCAAAAAAAAAAATTAAAAGTTAGCTAGGTGTGGTGTCACATGCCCAGCTACTTGGGAGGCTGAGGCAGGAAGATCACTAGAGCCCAGGACTTCAAGTCTGCAGTGAGCCATGATTGTGCCACTGCACTCCAGCCTGGGCAACAGAGCAAGACCCTGTCTCTAAGAATAAAAAATAAAAATAAGCTGGAAAGTGCATTGCCCCCTCTCTGACAATATGAAAAAGCCAGACAAACTGCAAAATCACTTTTCTTAAACCAAAAGTTGAACCTAAATGCTGAGCTGGGCCGGGGGCGGTGGCTCACGTCTGTAATCCCAGCACTTTGGGAGGCTGAGGCAAGCAGATCACAAGGTCAGGAGTTCGAGACCCGCCTGGCCAATATGGTGAAACCCTGTCTTTACTAAAAATACAAAAAAATTAGCCAGGCATGGTGGTGCATGCCTGTAATCCCAGCTACTCGGGAGGCTGAGGCAGGAGAATTGCTTGAACCCAGGAGGTGGAGGTTGCAGTGAGCTGAGATCACGCCATTGCACTCCAGCCTGAGTGACAGAGCAAGACTCCATCACAAAACAAAACAAAAGAAAACAAAACAGCTGAGCTGAGGTTGCAGGTAAGCTAAGTAGCCTGAAATTCAAGGACATGCAATCCTCATGAGCAGAGACCAGATGGGTGGAGTGTCTCATCAGTGCCAGAGTATGGGAGGTATTTAGGCCATCATACAAGCATGCAAGAAGAAAGCAGCTACATTTTTCATAAATTGCTAGAGGCCTAGTGCAGACTAGAGTGACTATAAGGAGCCTCTGGGTGTCACAGAAGCAAGGAGGGCTTTACTTACCCACAGGCTCCTTTCCATGACCTCTACCAGGTGTTCACAGGAAATACTGGGGGCCAAGTGGGAGACTACAAAGAGCCCCCTCAGTACTATGGGCATCAAGGACCGTATTTGCTATCATTGCAGAAAAGGCCCCAGCTGCCCATGCTCCTCTCTCGAAAGCCTTAAGACCCTGGGGAGGACTGGCAAATACTGTTGCTCCCAGGGCACAGGTGTTACCAAGGGAAGAGCAGGGAGGACCCTAGTCCGAGGGAGGGACAAGGAGCAATTGTGAGCCCAGAGTTCTAAGCTAATACTTTTAGAGGTCTCCTGAAACTGAAGGAGGAGCACAAAAAAATCTTTCCCACCCAAGACCAGCCACAAATTCAAAGCAGGGTTTGGCAGCCTGGCATAAGGAGTGGGGCAGAAATACTCATCCCCCAGGGCCCAGGCATATAAACCTACCTAAGATAGAAGATGAAGAGGGCAACAGAGAAGCACCCTGTCCCCTCACCATTACCCGAGCAAGAGCACCAAGTAACTAAGCAGTCCGCCACTGGCAGAGGGCATGAACGTGCAGAGAGACGACCTCTGTGGGGTCTGCTGTGTGGTGTACAGAGGAGAACGAGAGCTGAGGGTGGGGCACAAACACTGAGAAATAGCCAGCACTCCAGATGCCACCCTAAGCATAAGGCATCACAAAAGGAATTTGAAGCCTATGATGTACCGAAAGTAAACTTGGCAATTACAAAACCTGCACAGTTCACCTTTTAACTAGATTAACTCAATCCACCAAGCTAACTGCCTGAGAAGAGGTGTGTCCATTTCTAGTCACAAATACTATTTATTTAAATCTCTCCTGTTCTACACAAGATGTTTGGCAATCAATGAAAAATTACAAGTTGTATCAAAAGAAGAAGAAGATGACAACAACATCCTGTGAAGATACAAAGTAATCAATGGAACCAGGCTCAGAGCTGCCCTCCATGTTATAATAAAAGAGAGAGACTTTAAAATGCCCAGGAGTCATATGTCAAAGGAGCTCATGAAAAAAAAAAAAGGACAACAGACATGAGGAGATGGTGTCAGGGGTGGATTTCAAAAGAAAGGTGGAAGTGATCGACTTCCTGAAATACTAAACATGACAGACTTTATAGAAGTTTCAAAAATAAGATATGCAATATCAGGCCAGGAACAGTAGCTGAAGCCTATTAATCCCAGCACTTTGGGAGGCCAAGGCAAAAAGATCACTTGAGCCCAGGAGTGTGAGACCAGCCTAGGTAACATAGTGAGGAGACTTTGTGTCTATGTAAGATAAAGACATTAGCTAGGTGTGGTGACTTATATCTGTAGTCCCAGCTACTTGGGAGGCTGAGGTGGGAGAATTACTTGAGCCCAGGAGGCCAAGGTCGCAAGCAAGCTGAGATCGCACCACTACACTCCAGCCTGGGCAACAGAACAAAATCCTGTCTCAAAAAAAAAAAAAAAAAAAAAAGAAAATGCTGTATCAGAGATGAGCAGCTCCTTCTTCAGGCTCATTAATAACCTTGACAATACGAATATAGCTGAGGAAATAATCGATTGCCTTGAAGTTAGGTCAATAGAAATTACCCAAACAAACACAACAAGAAAAAAGAGTGAAAATCATTTGAATTCTTTTCAAATAATTTGAATTTTTATAGCACTTGAATTATCTTCAAGTGCTATAAAACAATATCAAATGGCTTAGCATACATATTATCAGAATCTTAGAAGGAGAAACGAGAAAGAACAAGCAGAAGACATGTTTGAAGAGACAAGAAATGAGAATTTTCCAAAAATAATGAAACACATCAAAGAATAGATTCAAGAATTATAAACAATTTCTCCATGTTTCCCCTAATTCACACACACTAGGCACATACATACATGCACGCACCGTCTCTTGGTTAGGTTGTAAAATTGTGATGGTCTCTGGAGGCTCTGTTTGATTTGGACACAGGGAAAACCAGTATATTCAATTGAGTTTTGGGTCACTCTACCACTCTACATAAACTCCATAAACTTTTTTTTTTTGAGACAGGATCTCGCTCTGTCACCCACCCTGGAGTACGGTGGCGTGATCTCAGCTCACTGCAACTTCCACCTCCCAGGTTCAAGAGATTCTCCTGCCTCAGCCTCCTGAGTAGCAGGGATTACAGGTGCGCGCCACCATGCTGGGGTAATTTTTGTATTTTTAGTAGAGACAGGGTTTCACCATGGCCTCCCAAAGTGTTGGGATGACCGGCATGAGCCACTGCGGTCTTGTTTTCCTTGGTTCCCATCACTCTTCCTGCTAAGAGCAATCGCCCAGGTCTGTGAACACCCACTCCTCCGTAGATGGTGAGTGCCCCTCCAGCTAGAGCTGCTGACTCCCTTTACCACTTCCATCAGTCAAATCGGCCCACCAGTGATTTTTATCTCTTCTGATCCATTTTAAAATCTATTTAAATGCAGCTATCAGTCTGATAACCTGTCTGGAATTTGGTGGGAGGAAATGTCCAGGGTTTAATAATCTCCCAAAGTTAGGCTGCATAAAACCCTACTGTTGACATCTCATGTGGTGCATATGGGCGAAACGGAGCCGTGTGGAAGGCTATTCTGTAAAGGGGTTAGCGTGCTTGGATTTGCTCTGGGTATCAGAATCCTGACTTGAGACTTTTAGCTTAGATAGACACCATAATATGTTACTTCGAAGGCTTCTTACACTTGGACCTTTATTGTAAATAATAGAAGTATTTCTGGAGTAAGAATTACATCAATTATATATTATCATGTTATGCTACATATTAGGCATAACATATATATATATATATATATATATATATATATATATATATATATAGTTTTTGTTTGTTTTTTGAGACAGAGTTTCACTCTTGTTGCTCAGGCTGGAGTTCAATGGCACGATCTCAGCTCACGACAACCTCCGCCTCCTGGGTTCAAGTGATTATCCTGCCTCAGCCTCCCAAGTAGCTGGGATTACAGGCGCCCCCCCACCACCCCCGGCTAATTTTTTTTGTATTTTTAGTAGAGACAGGGTTTCACCATGTTGGTCAGGCTGGTCTCGAATTCCTGACATCAGGTAATCTATCCACCTCGGCCTCCCAAAGTGCTGGGATTACAGGTGTGAGACACCACGCCCGGCCTATAATATATATTTTTTAATTATTATCCAAGGGTGCTGACATAAATTTCCAATTTATTCGTGCCAAAAAATTAGTGATGATAACTGCCAATCAGTACAGCTAAAGAAAATGTTTTCATTCTGGTGTATTTGGAAGTCTTCTGTCTTTATATTATCCCAGCCTTCCTCACTCATTTCTGTGTATTTTATACTTTGTTTCACACCATTCTGCTCAAGGGTATTATTTTCGCATTTCCATATTATTTCTATTTTTCACAGGTAGTCTTTGGTCTTACATCTGTGAACATCTTCTTTGACTATTTTGCTTTTCCACGAAGGGCTTTCCAAAAACTATTAGCCCACTTTACTTGGTAACCTCCCAGGAGACAGCTTAGTCCTGTCTGCTAAGGGATGCTATTCTCAGCAAGTCAGTTTTCTGCTCTCCTCACTGCAAGGGAGGCCAGAGGAGAAGAGCCTGTTTCTGTTCCACCCAGGACTGTTGATTTGAGGTTCTACCTCCAGAGAGCATGGGGCTAATCAAACCAAGACACAACACTAAGGAAAAGAAAAGAAAGAACAAGCAGAAGCTGGGGCCACTCCTTGCTTGCCACTGTCTCCTCCCTCCTTCTTACTAATTATAGGCTTCACTCTGTTCCTTTTTCAAATGTATTCAAGTGAATATGCAATGTACCAAAGTTTGCATATGAATGCATCAGGGAAAATAAGGGTGCTACCCAACCCCACCCATGCTTAGACAGCACATAAACCAACATTTGGCTTCCTAAAGTCAGAAATGACAGAAAACTGAAAGTTCAAAGAGGGAAAAAAGAAACATGGAGATCACATGCTCAGATTATACCTAGGGGGAAAAACCTTTTTTTTCCAACAAATATTTATTGAACACTGCTATGGGATAAATTGTATCCCCCTCAAAATTTATATGTTGAAGTCCTAACTCCTAGGATCTCCGAGTGTGACTTAATTTGGAAATAGGGTCCAGCCTGCCCTGGAGATATTGGACTTGCCAGCCTCCACAATCATGTGAGCCAATTATAAATCTCTCAGGGTGTGGGGCAGGCCCTGCCCCACACCCTGAGAGATTTAAAAAATAATATATATAAACAAGCCGGGTGCAGTAGCTCACACCTGTAATCCCAGCACTTTTGGGAGGCCGAGGTGGGCGGATCACCTGAGGTTGGGAGTTTGAGACCAGCCTGACCAACATGGAGAAACCCCGTCTCTACTAAAAAAATACAAAATTAGCCGGGTGTGGTAGCACATGCCTGTAATCCCAGCTACTAGGGAGGCTGAGGCAGGAGAATCGCTTGAACCTGGGAGGCAGAGGTTGCAGTGAGCCGAGATCGTGCCACTACTCCAGCCTGGGCAACAAGAGCAAAACTCCATCTCAAAAAAAAATAAACAAGCAAAGTATATACATATATACAAACTATATACATACACATATATAGTTTGTTTCATGTGCGTCCGTGTGAAGAGACCACCAAACGGGATTTGTGTAAGCAATAAAGCTTTTAATCACCTGGGTGCAGGTGGGCTGAGTCCGAAAAGAGAGTCAGTGAAGGGAGATGGGGTGGGGTCGTTTTATAGGATTCGGGTAGGTAAAGGAAAATTACAGTCAAAGAGGGGTTGTTCTCTGGCGGGCAGAGTGGGGGTCACAAGGTGCTCAGTAGGGGAGCTTTTGAGCCAGGATGAGCCAGGAGAAGGAATTTCACAAGACAATGTCATCAGTTAAGGCAGGAACCGGCCATCTGGATGTGTACGTGCAGGCCACAGGAGATATGATGGCTTAGCTTGGGCTCAGAGGCCTGACAGCTTGTATATATATACATATATATAATACATAATATATGTATTATATAATTTATATAATACAAAATATGTGTATTATATAATGTATTATATAATACACATATATGTATTATATATGTATAATACATATATGTGTATTATATATGTATAATACACATCATATATAATATATATAATATTATATGACACATATATATAATATATGTGTATTATATATGTATATATAACACATATATAATGTATTATATAATACAATATATAATGTATTATACAATGTATTATATAATATATAGTGTATTATATAATACATATATAATGTATTACATAATACATATATAATGTATTATATATGTGTATTATATAATACATTATATATGTATTATGTAATGTATTATATAATACATAATATATACTACATATATAATACTATATACATATAATATTATACACATATATGTATATAGTTTGTATATGTGTATACAGTTTGCTTGTTTTTTATTGGAAGAAACCTGACTGTGCAAACCTTCAGCATGTTAGACACTATAGGAACCATATGTGAAGGTGTTTTCTTTGACTTCAAGGGAAACATTTCAGAACGTAAGATATTCACATATGAAAAGTCCAGTAACAAAATACTAAAGAAATGCTACTTAATAACATATGACTGAGTCCCTAATATGTGCTACTGATGATAAATATGACTCATTTTCAAAGACTATAAGCTGGGTTACAGTTGTCAGAAAAAGTTTAATGGCATGTAAATCAGCAAGCAACTGAGAAGTTTCAGGGACCCTCTTTCATCCAGATGTTTCTTATTCTTTATCCTTCTTACTCTTCTAACTTTAAATCCTTCTTACTCTTGTAACTTTAAATCTTTCAAAGAAACAGAAATCTCTCTTTCTTCTTTGAAGGACAGGGTCCTTCTCCCTTAGTCCTAGCCGTATCATTTCCTCTCTGAGACACTGCCTTGTCTATACTAAGCCATTTTTCTGATTTTTCTGAATTAGATGGTATTATTTTGGGGGATGGGAGAGAGGAGGAGAAGTAGTAGAACAGATGGAAGTGCTTCCTGTAAAGTATAAACTGTTTCAGAAAAAGAAATCTTTTTTTTTTTTAAATGAGACAGAGTCTCGCTGTGTCGCCCAGGCTGGAGTGCAGTGGCGGGATCTCAGCTCACTGCCAGCTCCGCCTCCCGGGTTTTCCTGCCTCAGCCTCCTGAGTAGCTGGGACTACAGGCGCCCGCCACTGCGCCCGGCTAATTTTTTGTATTTTTTAGTACAGACGGAGTTTCACCGTGTTAGCCAGGATGGTCTTGATCTCCTGACCTTGTGATCCGCCCTCCTGGGCCTCCCAAAGTGCTGGGATTACAGGCGTGAGCCACCGCACCCAGCCAGAAAAAGAAATCTATGAAAGGGTTGATGGGAGAAAGGAACAAAAGGTTTCCTTAAAATTCAGCAATATCTGGCACATAGTAAGCATTCAATACATTTTTGTTGACTGCCTTAAAAGAATAAGTGGGAAATAAATTTTTCAAAACTAGATATTTAGATAAAGCTACATAATATCACCAATCACTATCTTTTTCCTGTGGTAATAAGATGTTAGATTTACTAGACAAATATTTTATTTTATTTTTTTCTTTCTTTTTTTTTTTTCTTGAGACAGAGTCTTGCCCTGTCACCCAGGCTGGAGTGCAATGGCAAGATCTCAGCTCACTGCAACCTCCACCTCCCAGGTTCAAGCGATTCTCCTGCCTCAGCCTCTCAAGTACCTGGGATTACAATGGTTTAATCTCAGCTCACTGCAACCTCTGCCTCTTGGGTTCAAGCGATTCTCCTGCCTCAGCTTCCTGAGTAGCTGGGATTACAGGCGCACAACCACCATGCCTGGCTAATTTTGTATTTTTAATAGAGACAGGGTTTCTCCATGTTGGTCAGGCTGGTCTCGAACACCCGACCTCAGGTGATCTGTCTGCCTCGGCCTTCCAAAATGCTAGGATTACAGGTGTGAGCCACTGATCACGAGGTCAGGAGTTTGAGACCAGCCTGGCCAAGATGGTGAAACCCCGTCTCTACTAAAAAATACAAAAATTAGCTGGGCACGGTGCAGGCGCCTGTAATCCCAGCTACTCAGGAGGCTGAGGCAGGAGAATCATTTGAACCTGGGAGGCAGAGATTGCAGTGAGCCGAGATGGTGCCACTGCCCTCTAGTCTGGGCAACAGAGCAAGGCTCCGTCTCAAGAAAAAAAAAAAAGATAGGGATCAAGCGACTTGAACTATGAGAAGCAGGACCTGATATTAAGTTTAGCTTGAAATACTCCAAAAACATGATTTCAAAGGGCAAACATGTCGAACAGAAGAATTTCAGGAGTTTAGATGTGTACTTGGAAAATACTATTCCTTTCATGCGCGTCCGTGTGAAGAGACCACCAAACAGGCTTTGTGTGAGCAATAAAGCTTTTAATCACCTGGGTGCAGGTGGGCTGAGTCCGAAGAGAGTCAGCAAAGGGAGATAGGGGTGGGGCCGTTTTATAGGATTTGGGTAGGTAAAGGAAAATTACAGTCAAAGGGCAGTTGTTCTCTGGCGGGCAGAGTGGGGGTCACAAGGTGCTCAGTAGGGGAGCCTTTGAGCCAGGATGAGCCAGGAGAAGGAATTTCACAAGACAATGTCATCAGTTAAGGCAGGAACAGGCCATTTTCATTTCTTTTGTGGTGGAATGTCATCAGTTAAAGCAGGAACCCGTCATCTGGATGTGTACGTGCAGGCCACAGGGGATACGGTGGCTTAGCTTGGGCTCAGAGGCCTGACATTCCTGTCTTATATTAATAAGAAAAATAAAACGAAATAGTGGTAAAGTGTTGGGATGATGAAAATTTTGGATGAGGGTATGGAGAGATAATGGGCGATGTTTCTCAGGGCTGCTTCGTGCGGGATTGGGGCGGCGTGGGAACCTAAAGTGGGAGCGATTAAGCTGAAGGGAGATTTTGTGGTAAGGGGTGATATTGTGGGATTGTTAGAAGAAACATTTGTCATTTAGAATTATTGGTGATGGCCTGGATACAGTTTTGTATGAATTGAAAAACTAAATGGAATAAAAGAAGGAGAAAAACAGGTATTAAAGGACTAAGAATTGGGAGGACCTAGGACATCTCATTAGAGAGTGCCTAAGAAGGTTCAGCATAGCCTTGCCAGCAAAGATTATTTATTTACTTTAAGAGTTAAGAGTGGCGGTTTGGGGATAGCACCAGGAGATATCAGCTGTGATGGCTTGGAGAAACAGTGTAAACTGGCAGTGTAAACAAGAGCAGGGCATGTATGAGTAGTTGAGAACGCTGAATAAGAGTATGACTAGACAGAAGATAGTAGGGATGACAGGTTTTTGGGGGCACAGTCTAAGTTGGTCTGGTGTCTGGAAGGAGACTGGGGCCTAATAAAAAGGAGCGTCTATACAGGAGCTTAAATGGGCTGTACCTTGTAGCATTCTGAGGACAGGCCTGAATTCTGAGAAGCGAAAGTGGTAAAAGTATTGTCCAGTCCTTTTTGAGTTGGTGGCTGAGCTTCGTGAGGTGTGTTTTTAATAGACCATTAGTCTGTCACTGGATACTAAGAGCCTGAAAAAAGGCTTGGCTGATTTGACTAATAAAGGCTCGTCTGTTATCAGACTGTATTGAGGTGGGAAGGCTAAACTGAAGAATTATGTCTGACAGAAGGGAAGAAATGACTGTGGTGGCCTTCTCAGACCCTGTAGGAAAGGACTCTGCTTATCCAGTGAAAGTGTCTACCTAGACTAAGAGGCATTTTAGTTATCTTACTCGGGGCATGTTGAGTAAAGCTAATTTGCCAGTCCTGGGTGGGGGCAAATCCTTGAGCTTGATGTGTAGGGAAGGGAGGGGGCCTGAATAATCCCTGAGGAGTAGTAGAATAGCAGATGGAACACTGAGAAGTTATTTCTTTGAGGATAGATTTCCACAATGGAAAGGAAATGAGAGGTTCTAAGAGGCGGGCTAGTGGCTTGTACTATAGCATAGCCTGCCTTTGCTGGTGTGTGGCGATTAGGCCTGGTGGAACCGCCATCAATAAACTAAGTGTGATCAGGGTGAGAAACAGGGAAGAAGGAAATGTGGGGAAATGGGGTGAACGTCAGGTGGATCAGAGAGATGCAGTCATGGGGGTCAGGTGTGGTATCAGGAATAATGTGGGAGGCCGGACTGAAGTCCGGGCCAGGAACAATGGTAATTGTGGGACTTAACAAAGAGTAAGCACAGCTGAAGGAGCCCGGGAGCAGAAAGTATATGCGTCAGGTGTGGGTCAGAAAATAGATTTTGGAAATTATGAGAGCTGTAGAGAGTGAGTTGAGCATAGTTTGTGATTTTGAGGGCCTCTAAAAGTATTAAAGCAGCAGCAGCCGCTGCATGCAGACATGAGGGCTAGGCTAAAACAGTAAGGTCAAGTTGTTTGGACAGAAAGGCTACAGGGTGTGGTCCTGTCTCTTGTGTAAGAATTCTGACTGCGCTAACCATGCCTAGGAAGGAAAGGAGTTGTTGTTTTGTAAGGGATTGAAGTTTGGGAGATTAATCGGACATGATCAGCAGGGAGAGCACGTGTGTTTTTATGAGAATTATGCCGAGATAGGTAACAGATGAGGATGAAATTTGGGCTTGACTGAAGTAATGGGGGCTGTCTACTAAGCCTTGCAGCAGTACAGCCTAGGTAATTTGCTGAGCCTAATGGGTGTCAGGGTCAGTCTAAGTGAAAGCGAAGAGAGGCTGGGACGAGAGGTGCAGGGGAATAGTGAAAAAAGCATCTTTAAGATCAAGCACGGAACAGTGAGTTGTGGAGGAAGGTATTGAGGACAAAAGAGTGTACGGGTTGGGCAGCACAGGGTGGATAGGCAAAACAATTTGGCTGATAAGGCGCAGATCCTGAACTAATCTGTAAGACTTGTCCAGTTTTCGGACAGGTAAAATGGGGGAATTGTAAGGAGAGTTTATAGGTTTTAGAAGCCCATGCTGTAGCAGGCGAGTGATAACAGGCTTTAATCCTTTTAAAGCGTGCTGTGGGATGGGATATTGGCGTTGAGCGGGGTAAGGGTGATTAGGTTTTAATGAGATGGTAACGGCCATGTGATCGGTTGCCAGGGAAGTAGAGATGTCCCATACTTGTGGGTTAAGGTGGGGGGATATGAGAGGAAGACGCGAAGGAGGCTTTGGGTTGGGGAGAGGGGCAGCAATGAGATGTGGCTGTAGCCCAGGAATAGTCAGGGAAGCAGATAATTTGGTTAAAATATCTTGGCCTAATAAGGGAACTGGGCAGGTGGGGATAACTAAAAAAGAGTGCATAAGAGTGTTGTCCTAGTTGGCACCAGAGTGGGGGAGTTTTCAGGGGTTTAGAAGCCTGGCCGTCAATACCCACAACAGTTATGGAGGCAAGGGAAACAGGCCCTTGAAAAGAAGGTAATGTGGAGTGGGTAGCCTCCGTATTGACTAAGGGGACAGACTTAACTTCCACTGTGAGAGTTACCCGAAGCTCGGCATCCGTGATGGTCTACGGAGCTTCCGAGGCAATCGGGCAGCGTCAGTCTTCAGCTGCTAAGCCGAGAAGGAGTCAGTCAGACAGCCTTGGGCCAGAGTTCCAGGGGCTCTGGGAGCGGCTGCCAGGTGAGTTGAACAGTCTGATTTCCAATGGGGTCCTGCACAGATGGGACACGGCTTAGGAGGAATCCTGGGCTGCAGGCATTCCTTGGCCTGGTGGTCAGATTTCTGGCACTTGTACAAGCTCCTGCCGGAGGAGGTTCTGGAGGAATGCCTGGACACTGTGGTTCAGGCATTTGGAAGTTCTTGTGTGCTGGAGATGTGGCTGGGGTTTGTCTCACAGTGGAGGCAAAGAATTGCAACTTTTTTCTATTATTGTACACCTTGAAGGCAAGGTTAATTAAATCCTGTTGTGGGGTTTGAGGGCTGGAATTTAATTTTTGGAGTTTTATTTAATGTCGGGAGCAGATTGGGTAATAAAATGTATATTGAGAATAAGACGGCCTTTTGACCTTTTAGGGTCTAGGGCTGTAAAGCGTCTCAGGGTTGCTGCTGAACGAGCCATGAACTGGGCTGAGTTTTTATATTTGATGAAAAAGAGCCTAAACACTATCTGATTTGGGATAAAGAAAATGGCGCATTAACCTTGACTATATGCCTTTAGCTCCAGCCACCTTTTTAAGAGTAAATTTCTGGGCAGGTGGGGGAGGGCTAGTCATGGAACGAAACTGTAAGCCGGACCAGGTGTGAGGAGGGGAGGTGATAAAAGGATTATAGGGTGGAGGAGCAGAGGCTGAGCAAGAATTGGGACCTAGCTCGGCCTGGCGAGGAGCAGCCTGGGGAGGAAGGGAGAGGTCAGATGGGTCTGTAGAAAAGGAAGATTAGAAAGACTCAGCGACACTTGGGATTGGTACTGAGGGGACAGGCAGGAGGGAAAGAAGGAAGATTTGGGACAAGTTGCACTGGGCACAGAGACTAGGGAGGGACTGATGTGTAAAACAATGCCTGGTTGTCAGGCACCTCAGACCGTTTGCCCATTTTATGACAAGAATTATTTAGATCTTGCAGGATGGAAAAATTGAAAGTGCCGTTTTCCGGCTGTTTGGAACTACTATTGAGTTTGTATTGGGGTCAAGCAGCATTGCAGAAGAAAATAAGGCATTTAGGTTTTAGGTCAGGTGTGAGTTGAAGAGGTTTTAAGTCTTTGAGAACACAGGCCAAGGCAGAAGAAGGAGGAAAGGAGGGTGGAAGGTTGCCCATAGTGAAGGAAGCAAGCCTAGAGAAAAGGGAGAGTAGAGACATGGAGGGAAGGGGTTCGGGGGTTCTTACCTTCCAGAAAAGTGGGAAAGGGGTTGGGGCACAGATATAAGGGGTTGGGGCACAGAGATAAGAGGTTGGGGCATGGAAATAAGGGGTGGGGCACAGAGATAAGAGGTCGGGGCATGGAAATAAGGGGTTGGGGCACAGAGATAAGAGGTCGGGGCACGGAAATAAGGGATTGGGGCGCAGAGATATAAGAGGTTGGGCCACGGAAATAAGGGATTGGGGCGCAGAGATACAAGGTTGGGGTACTTGCCCCTCCTCTACAAAAGCGGGACTTGCCACTAAGAGTGAAGGAGAAGGGGTTGGGGGTTTCTTGCCCCCCAGAAAGGTGGAGAAGGGGTAGAGACACGGAGAGAAATGGTTGGGGTACTTGCCCCTTCCCCAGAAAAGCGGGACTTGCCGCTAAGGGTGAAGGACCAATGCAGGCGTCCCTCCTGCATTGACACCTCTGAAACGTGTGTAAATAATCAGAGAGGTGTCCCTGCAATGACTAAACACCAAGGGAAGGCTGCCTTCCCTAGTCCGTGACCGGCGCCGGAGTTTTGTGTCCATGGATAAAACGTGTCTCCTTTGTCTTTACCAGAAAATGAAAGGAATTGAAATTAAGAGAAGGGAGAGATTGAAGAGTGGAAAGGAGAAAGTGGTTGAGGGACAGTGAGAGAGGTTGGAGAAGAGAGTAAGAAGAGGCCGCTTACCCGATTTAAAATTGGTGAGATGTTCCTTGGGCTGCTTGGTCTGAGGACCTGAGGTCGTAGGTGGATCTTTTTCACAGAGCAAAGAGCAGGAGGACAGGGGATTGATCTCCCAAGGGAAGTCCCCGGATCTGAGTCACGGCACCAAATTTCATGCACGTCCATGTGAAGAGACCACCAAACAGGCTTTGTGTGAGCAATAAAGCTTTTAATCACCTGGGTGCAGGTGGGCTGAGTCCGAAAAGAGAGTCAGTGAAGGGAGATAGGGGTGGGGCCGTTTTATAGGATTTGGGTAGGTAAAGGAAAATTACTGTCAAAGGGGAGTTGTTCTCTGGCGGGCATAATGGGGGTCACAAGGTGCTCAGTAGGGGAGCTTTTGAGCCAGGGTGAGCCAGGAGAAGGAATTTCATAAGACAATGTTATCAGTTAAGGCAGGAACAGGCCATTTTCACTTCTTTTGTGGTGGAATGTCATCAGTTAAGGCAGGAACAAGCCACCTGGATGTGTAGGTCACAGGGGATATGATAGCTTAGCTTGGGCTCAGAGGCCTGACAGTTTGTATATATATACATATATATAATATATATAATACTATATACATATAATATTATACACATATATGTATATAGTTTGTATATGTGTATATAGTTTGCTTGTTTTTTTATCAGAAGAAACCTGACTGTGCAAACCTTCAGCATGTTAGACACTATAGGAACCATATGTGAAGGTGTTTTCTTTGACTTCAAGGGAAACATTTCAGAACGTAAGATATTCACATATGAAAAGTCCAGTAACAAAATACTAAAGAAATGCTACTTAATAACATATGACTGAGTCCCTAATATGTGCTACTGATGATAAATATGACTCATTTTCAAAGACTATAAGCTGGGTTACAGTTGTCAGAAAAAGTTTAATGGCATGTAAATCAGCAAGCAACTGAGAAGTTTCAGGGACCCTCTTTCATCCAGATGTTTCTTATGCTTTTATTCTTCTTACTCTTCTAACTTTAAATCCTCTGACTCTTCTAACTTTAAATCTTTCAAAGAAACAGAAATCTCTCTTTCTTCTTTGAAGGACAGGGTCCTTCTCCTTTAGTCCTAGCCATATCATTTCTTCTATGAGACACTGCCTTGTCTATACTAAGCCATTTTTCTGATTTTTCTGAATTAGATGGTATTATTTTGGGGGATGGGAGAGAGGAGGAGAAGTAGTAGAACAGATGGAAGTGCTTCCTGTAAAGTATAAAGTGTTTCAGAAAGAGAAATCTTTTTTTTTTTTTTAAATGAGACAGAGTCTCGCTGTGTCGCCCAGGCTGGAGTGCAGTGGCGCGATCTCAGCTCACTGAAAGCTCCGCCTCCCGGGTTCACGCCGTTCTCCTGCCTCAGCCTCCTGAGTAGCTGGGACTACAGGCGCCTGCTGCCACCCCCAGCTGATTTTTTTTTTTTTTTGTAGTAGAGATGGGGTTTCACCGTGTTACCCAGGATGGTCTCGATCTCCTGACCTCGTGATCTGCCCGCTTCGGCCTCCCAAAGTGCTGGGATTACAGGCATGAGCCACTGAGCCCGGCCCACAGTGGCTTTTTCAGCAAAATGTTCTTTTTCTTTTCTAGAAATCAGGATACATGGACACATGTTCTGCTATGCAGCTCTGTACTTTTTTAGGAAAACAAATAACTTGTGCTCTTCTGAAAATACCAAAAATACTAATTTCATATAATGTAGGGTTCTTTTGCAGGCTACTTGAAAATGTCTATGAAAGCACAGGAAACAGCATCACTTGATACTGACATAATGATGTATTATTGTTGTAGGTGTGATCTAAGTCCTGTGCTCCGTTTTTTAGGTTTTGCTATATCCTACAAATATTCTCTCCTGAATTTATCTTTTTGTTTTATTATTTAGTTTTTATTTCATAATCATAAACTTAACTCTGCAATCTGTTGGGAACAGGCCCCAAAATCTGGCCATAAAATGGCCCCAAAACTGGCCATAAACAAAATCTCTGCAGCGTCGTGACATGCTTGTGATGGCCTTGACACCCATGCTGGAAAGTCATCAGTTTACCAGGATGAGGGCAAGGAACACCTGGCCCACCCAGGGTGGAAAACCGTTTAAGGTATTCTTAAACCACTAACAATAGCATGAGAGATCTGTGCCTTAAGCATATGTTCACGCTGTGGATAACTAGCCAGGCTCATCCCTTTATTTCGGCCCATCCCTTCATTTTCCATGAGGAATACTTTTAGTAAATCTTATGACTGGCTTGCTGTCAATAAATATGTGGGTAAATCTCCGTTTAAGGCTCTTGGCTCTGAAGGCTGTGAGATCCCGGATTTCCCACTCCACACTCTATATTTCTGTGTGTGTGTGTCTTTAATTCCTCTAGCACCGTTGGGTTAGGGTCTCCACGACCAAGCTGGTCTCGGCAGCAATCCAGCTAGGCATGGATGGGAATAAGGAACATATGGAACCCAAAGGGAACTGCAGCGAGAGCACAAAGATTCTAGGATACTGCGACCAAATGTGGTGGAGGGTGCTTTCCAGAGCGGCAGAAGGAATGCTCCGGTGATTAAGATAAAAAAAAAAAGTCAAACTTTAATTAGAGTTGTCCACAGTCAGTGATCTTCTTGCTGGTCTTGCCATTCCTGGACCCAAAGTGCTCCATGGCCTAGGGTTATTAAAGACTATTGTGCAAATAATAGACTTGGTGGGTCTTACTTATTGCTTGACTTCATGGCAAATGCCCTTAACTGGGAAATCTGCTCTGGGGATAACATAATATGTTTATGTTATCAAGAGTTAGTTCTGTTCAACCCAGACTAGGAGCATTATATTTCATGCTTTCTGGCAGAGATGCTTTACATGAAGTGATCTAGAATTACTCTGCTTACACAAACACTGAATTTTTTTTTTTTTTTGAGACAGTTTTGCTCTTGTTGCCCAGGCTGGAGTGCAATGGCATGATCTCAGCTCACAGCAACCTCCGCCTCATAGGTTCAAGCGATTCTCCTGCCTCAGCCTCCTTAGTAGCTGGGATTACAGGTGCCCAACCATGCCCAGCTAATTTTTTGTATTTTTAGTAGAGACAGGGTTTTACTATGTTGGCCAGGCTGGTCTCGAACTCCTGACCTCAGGCGATCCACCTGCCTCGGCCTCCCAAAGTGCTGGGATTACAGGCATGAGCCACTGTGCCTGGCCCACATACACTGAATATATAAATATTTATGAAATATTTATGATCTGTGCCCAATAAATACATATTGTTTTTGACTGGCTGATCTTGGTGTGTATTTTCACTTGAATGGGTTTTCCTGTAGAATTAGGTATAAAGTGGGGAATATAATGAAATAAAAATTGCTTTGGAAATATTGAATTGGCAGACTTTATGCTTCCGTTATGATCTCATATTCTAATTATACCAAAAATGGATTTTGATTACAGTCCCCAAGTGTGTGTTCAAATATTCAATTGATTTTTATTGAACTGGTACAAATGACTTTTCTTTTTGATACGTTATACTCCCTAGACGTTAATTAGATTTGGCAATTCTTTAATCCTACTACATCCCTACGATGGTGCAACTATCCTTCACTAGATCTAGTGTCACTCAGGTCAATCCATAACTTCTACTGGTTTGTGAAAGCAAGGCATTATTATTATTATTATTATTATTATTATTATTATTATTATTTTATTATACTTTAAGTTCTAGGGTACATGTACACAATGTGCGGATTTGTTACATAGGTATACATGTGCCATGTTGGTTTGCTGCACCCATCAACTCGTCATTTACATTAGGTATTTCTCCTAATGCTATCCCTCCCCCAGCCAACCACCCCACAACAGGCCCCAGTGTGTGATGTTCCCCGCCCTGTATCCATGTGTTCTCATTGTTCAATTCCCACCTATGAGTGAGAACACATGGTGTTTGGTTTTCTGTCCTTGTGATAGTTTGGTTAGAATGATGGTTTCCAGCTTCATCCATGTCCCTGCAAGGGACATGAACTCATCCTTTTTCATGGCTGCATAGTAGTCCATGGTATATATGTGCCAAATTTTCTTTTTTTATTATTATACTTTCAGTTCTAGGGCACATGTGCACAACGTGCAGGTTTGTTACATGTGTACACATGTGCCATGTTGGTGTGCTGCACCCATTAACTCGTCATTTACATTAGGTATATCTCCTAATGCTATCCCTCCCCCCTTCCCCACCCCACGACAGGCCCCGGTGTGTGATGTTCCCCACCCTGTGCCCAAGTGTTCTCATTGTTCAATTCCCACCTATGAGTGAGAACATGCAGTGTTTGGTTTTCTGTCCTTGCAATAGTTTGCTGAGAATGATGGTTTCCAGCTTCATCCATGTCCCTACAAAGGACATGAACTCATCTTTTTATGGCTGCATAGTATTCCATGGTGTATATGTGCCACATTTTCTTAATCCATTCTATCATTGATGGACATTTGGATTGGTTCCAAGTCTTTGCTATTGTGAATAGTGCTGCAATAAACATATGCGTGCATGTGTCTTTATAGCCACATGATTTATAGTCCTTTGGGTACATGCCCAGTAATGGGATGGCTGGGTCAAATGGTATTTCTAGTTCTAGATCCTTGAGGAATCGTCACACTGTCTTCCACAATTGTTGAATTAGTTTACAGTCCCACCAACAGTGTAAAAGTGTTCCTATTTCTCCACATCCTCTCCAGCACCTGTTGTTTCCTGACTTTTTAATGATCGCCATTCTAACTGGTGTGAGATGGTATCTCATTGTGGTTTTGATTTGTATTTCTCTGATGACCAGTGATGATGAGCATTTTTTCATGTGTCTGTTGGCTGCATAAATGTCTTCCTTTGAGAACTGTCTGTTGATATCCTTTGCCCACTTTTTGATGGGGTTGTTTGATTTTTTCTTGTAAATTTGTTTAAGTTCTTTGTAGATTCTGGATATTAGCCCTTTGTCAGATGGGCTAATATCTGACATTATTATTGTAAACATTTTCTCTCATTCTGTAGGATGCCTGTTCACTCTGATGGTAGTTTCTTTTGCTGTGCAGAAGCTCTTTAGTTTAATTAGATCCCATTGGTTAATTTTGGCTTTTGTTGCCATTGTTTTTGGTGTTTTAGTCATGAAGTCCTTGCCCATGCCTATGGCCTGCATGTATTGCCTAGGTTTTCTTCGAGGGTTTTTATGGTTTTAGGTCTAATATTTAAGTCTTTAATCCATCTTGAATTAATTTTTGTACAAGGTGTAAGGAAAGGGTCCAGTTTCAGCTTTCTACGTATGGCTAGCCAGTTTTCCCAGCACCATTTATTAAATAGGGAATCCTTTCCCCATTTCTTGTTTTTGTCAGGTTTGTCAAAGATCAGACAGTCGTAGATGTGTGGTATTATTTCTGAGGACTCTATTCTGTTCCATTGGTCTATATCTCTGTTTTGGTGCCAGTACCATGCTGTTTTGGTTACTGTATCCTTGTAGTATAGTTTTAAATCACGTAGTGTGATGCCTCCAGCTTTGTTCTTTCAGCTTAGGATTGACTTGGCGATGTGGGCTCTTTTTTTGGTTCCATATGAACTTTAAAGTAGTTTTTTCCAATTCTGTGAAGAAAGTCACTGGTAGCTTGATGGGGATGACATTGAATCTATAAATTACCATGGGCAGTATGGCTGTGTTGCACAGGCTAGCCTCAAACTCCTGAACTCAAGTGACCCTCCTGTCTCAGCCTCGCAAATAGCTGGGACTATAGAAATATGCCACTGTGCCTGTCTCCTATTCTCTTTTCTTGTATTAGAATTTTGTGGCTGCATGTTACAAATGTAAGCAAAGGAGAAAAATCCATCAGGCATAGTGGCTCACATCTGTAATCCCAGTACTTTGGGAGACTGAGGTGGGAGGATTGCTTGAGGCCAGGAGTTTGAGATCAGTCTGGGCAACATAGCAAGACCCTACCTCTATAAAAATAAAATTTTCAAAATTAGCCACGTGTGGTGGTGCATGCCTATAGTCCCAGCTACTCAGGAAGGTGAAGCAGGAGAATCTCTTGAGCCCAGGAGGTTGAGGCTGCAGTGAGCTTTGATCACATCATTGCACTCTAGCCTGGGTGACAGAGTGAGACCCTGTCTCAAAAAATGGTGGCGGGGGAGGGGGGAGTGAGAATTTATTGGAAGAATACTGAGTTATTTCATTTAACTAAGCCAAGGAAATAAATTATTGTAGAAACAAATAATAAAATTTTATGTTGCTGTTTAAAAAATTGAGACAGCAGTATACCTGCTTGTATGGCAAGACAGTCAAGATGTAATGTTAAGTTAGGGAATACTGCTTATATCATGATCCCACTGGGTTAAGAAATGTTTATAAATGGATATACAAATTTTGGAAGTATATGCAAGTAAATATTAACAATGATTTCTGTAGGGAGTAAGGTCACCAGAACGGGAGGGGTGTCAGTGGATTTTACCTTCATTTATTCTCTTCTTGAGAACTATTTGTACATTGTGAGCTTTGACAGCCATAGAGGTATGCCACCCAGACCTCCCTTAAGAAAACCTGCTGTAAAATGGTGCAGCTGCTATGGAAAACAGCATGGAAGTTTCTCCAAAAATACAACTACGATATGATTCAGCAATACTACTTCTGGGTATTTATCAAAAAACAAACAAACAAACAAACAAATACACACACAAAACTTGAAATCGAGATCTTGGATGTCTGCCCTTCCGTGTTCATTTGCAGCACTATTCTTAGCCAAGGACTGGAAACAACCTAAAGTCTATTGACCAATGAATGGATTTAAAAAATGTAGTATATACACACATGGAATATTATTCAGCTTTAAAAAAGGAAATCCTGCAATATGCAACAACATAATGAACTTGAGGACATTATGCTAAGAGAATAAGCCAGTCCCAGAAGGATAAATACTCCATGACTCCACTTATATGAGGTCTCTAAAATACTCAAACTTATAGAAACAGAGAGTAGAATGGTGGTTGCAGGAAATGGGAAGTTGCTAATCAATGGATATAACATTTCAATTATGCAAGGTGAATTCTAGAGCTCTGCTATACAATATTGTGCCTGTAGATGACAATACTGCATTGTGCGCTTAAAATGCCATTGAGTAGAACTCATGTTAGGTGTTCTTGCCACAGTAAAACAATGTTAATGCATACATAATGAAAATTATTTTTTAATTCATGTCAAAGAAAAACAGAGAAGGAAGGAAAGAAGGAAGGAAGGAAGGCAGGCAGGCAGGCAGGCCTCTATGAGAAACATAGTTCCCTGGCCAGCCTCTAGCTGCTGTTTTTTTTGTGGGGGAGTGGGGATGGAGTCTCACTCTGTTGCCCAGGTTGAAGTGCAGTGGTACAATCTCAGCTCACTGCAACCTCTGCCTGCCAGGTTCAAGCGATTCTCCTGCTTCAGCCTCCTGAGTAGCTGGGGTTACAAGCATGAACCACCATGTTTGGCTAATTTTTTCTTTTTCTTTCTTTCTTTCTTTCTTTCTTTCTTTCTTTCTTTCTTTCTTTTTTTTTTGAGACAGATTCTTGCTCCGTAGCCCGAGCTAGAGTGCAGTGGTGCAATCTTGGCTCATTACAACCTCCGTCTCCCAGGTTCAAGTGATTCTCCTGCCTCAGCCTCCTGAGTAGCTGGGACTACAGTGGCGAGCCACCATGCCCAGCTAGTTTTTGTATTTTTAGTAGAGACGGGGTTTCACTGTGTTGGTCAGGCTGGTCTCGAACTCCTGACCTCAGGTGATCTGCCTGCATCGGCCTCCCAAAGTGCTGGGATTACAGGCATGAGCCACTGTGCCCGGCCACGCCTGGCTAATTTTTTGTATTTTTAGTAGAGAAAGGGTTTCACCATGTTGGCTAGTCTGGTTTCAAACTCCTGACCTCAAGTGATTTGCCTGCCTTGGGCTCTCAAAGTGCTAGGATTACAGGTGTGAGCCATCATGCCCAGCCAGCTGCCATTTTTGGATCCACCTCAGTTCTCACACTGAGGCCACTTTCTGGTTTACTTCCACTCAATGACTGCACACAGTAGGGGTACTAAGTGTGAGGTACATAATACACAGCCACTGATTTAGTAAATGCATTTTTTCCCCTACTTCTATCAGGAAAGAGACTAGAAATAGTTCACATCCATGTGGGACGACAATATTTACTCAGTTTTGCCCCAAGAATAATATTTGCTCCTTTGATGATAAAATGTGAATTATAGGCTGTTATAGTTTGGATATTTGTCCCCACCCACATCTCATGTTGAATTGTAATCCCCAGTGCTGAATGTGGGGCCTGCCCAGAGGTGTTTGGATCATGGGGGTGGATCCCTCATAGCTTGGTACTGTCTTTTCAGTTCTCTCGAGATCTAGTCATTTAAAAGTGTGTAGCATCTGCCCCCTGACCTTGTTCCTGCTTTCACCATGTGATGTGCCTGCTTCCCCTTTGCCTTCTGCCACGATTGGAAGTTTCCTGAGGCCTCCCCAGAAGCAGATGCTGCTATGCTTCCTGTACAGCCTGTAGAACCATGAGCCAATTAAACCTCTTTTCTTATAAATTACCCAGTCTCAGCTATTTCTGTATAGCAATCTAAGAGAAAATTGGCACCGGGGTGGGGAATTACTATAAAGATACCTGAAAATGTGGAAGTCATTTTGGAACTATGTAACAGGCAGAGGCTGAAAGAGTTTGGAAGGCTCAGAAAAAGACAGGAAGATGAGGGAAGGTTTAAAACTTCTTAGAGACTGGTTAAATTGTTGTGACCAAAATGCTGATAGTGATATGGACAGCGAGATCCAAGCTGCTGAGTCTCAGATGGAAATGATGAAGAAAGTTGGAGCTTACATTTAAAAGGGAAGCAGAATATAAAAGTTTGGAAATTTTGTAGTCTGCCCATGTGGCAAAGAAAGAAAAAGCTTTCTCAAAAGAGGGATACAAGCAGGCTGTGGAGCAACCACTTGCTAGAGATATTTGCGTAATTAAAAAGGAGTGAGGCCGGGCGCGGTGGTTCACCCCTGTAATCCCAGCACTTTGGGAGGCCGAGGCTGGCGGATCATGAGGTCAGGAGATAGCGACCATCCTGGCTAACACGGTGAAACCCCATCTCTACTAAAAATACAAAAAATTAACCAGGTTCAGTGGCGGGTGCCTGTAGTCCCAGCTACTCGGGAGTCTGGGGCAGGAGAATGGTATGAACCTGGGAGGCGGAGCTTGCAGTGAGCCGAGATCGCGCCACTGCACTCCGGCCTGGGCAAAAGAGCGAGACTCCGTCTAAAAAAAAAAGGAGCCAGTGCTAATGTGTCTGGAATTGGTGGGTTCTTGGTCACACTGACTTCAAGAATGAAACTGCGGACCCTTGCGGTGAGTGTTACAGCTCTTAAGGTGGTGTGTCTGGAGTTTGTTCCTTCTGATGTTCGGATGTGTTCGGAGTTTCTTCCTTCTGGTGGGTTCGTGGTCTCGCTGGCTCAGGAGTGAAGCTGCAGACCTTTGCGGTGAGTGTTACAGCTCTTAAGGCGGCACATCTGGAGTTGTTCGTTCCTCCCGGCGGGCTCGTGGTCTCGCTGGCTTCAGGAGTGAAGCTGCAGGCCTTCGTGGTGAGTGTTACAGCTCATAAAAGCAGCATGGACCCAAAGAGTGAGCAGTAGCAAGATTTATTGCAAAGAGCAAAAGAACAAAGCTTCCACAGTGTGGAAGGGGACCCAAGCGGGTTGCCACTGCTGGCTGGGGCAGCCTGGTTTCATTCTCTTATCTGGCCCCACCCACGTCCTGCTGATTGGTAGAGCCCAGTGGTCTGTTTTGACAGGGCGCTGATTGGTGCGTTTACAATCCCTGAGCTGGATACAAAGGTTCTCCACGTCCCCATCAGATTAGATACAGAGTATCCACACAAAGGTTCTCCAAGGCCCCACCAGAGCAGATAGATACAGAGTGTCCATTGGTGCACTCACAAACCCTGAGCTAGACACAGGGTGCTGATTGGTGTGTTTACAAACCTTGAGCTAGATACAGAGTGCCGATTGGTGTATTTACAATCCCTGAGCTAGACATAAAGGTTCTTCACGGCCCCACCAGAGCAGCTAGATACAGAGTGTCAATTGGTGCACTCACAAACCCTGAGCTAGACACAGGGTGCTGACTGGTGTGTTTACAAACCTTGAGCTAGATACAGAGTGCCGATTGGTGTATTTATGTCTAGCTCAGGGATTGTAAAGGTTCTCCAAAGCCCCACCAGATTCAGGAGCCCAGCTGGCTTCACCCGGTGAATCCCGCACCGGGGCTGCAGGTGGAGCTGCCTGCCAGTCCCCTGCGTGCGCCCGCACTCCTCAGCCCTTGGGTGGTCGATGGGACTGGGTGCCGTGGAGCAGGGGGTGGCGCTCGTCGAGGAGGCTCGGGCCGCACAGGAGCCCATGGAGGGGGTGTGGGAGGCTCAGGCATGGCGGGCTGCAGGTCCCAAGCCCTGCCCCATGGGAAGGCGGCTAAGGCCCGGTGAGAAATCGAGTGCAGCGCCGGTGGGCTGGCACTGCTGGGGGACCCAGTACACCCTTCACAGCTGCTGGCCCAGGTACTAAGCCCCTCACTGCCCGGGGCCGGCAGGGCCGGCTGGCTGCTCTGAGTGCAGGGCCCGCCAAGCCCACGCCCGCCCGGAACTCCAGCTGGCCCGCAAGCGCCGCACGCAGCCCCAGTTCCCGCTTGAGCCTCTCCCTCCACACCTCCCTGGAAGCTGAGGGAGCCGGCTCTGGCCTTGGCCAGCCCAGAAAGGGGCTCCCACAGTGCAGCGGTGGGCTGAAGCGCTCCTCAAGTGCCACCAAAGTGGGAGCCCGGGCAGAGGAGGTGCCAAGAGTGAGTGAGGGCTGAGGACTGCCAGCATGCTGTCACCTCTCAATCCCCCCTCTAAACAGGACACCCCAACTGCTGTTGGGAATTTGGCCGATGACCGCTCTAGCTACTTCCTGCTGGATGGGGTGAAGAAGGGGCCTTGCAGTTGTAGTGTCCTTCAGAGGGGAACTCTAGGCCAGGGGAAGTGCCAGTGGGTCGGTCCAGGGGCCCTTGGTAGAAGTTGTTAGTTGAACTCATTTTGGGTTCCATTTGTAAGCCCATCTGTAGCTTGATGGCCTTGATTCTAGAGGAAACAAATTTGACAAGAAGGTTAAAAATACAGGGCCTAAAGGCGAGTAACAGCAAGATGGCTACCACGGGACCTAGAAAGGGGAGAAGCCATGTTGCCCAACTCCAGAGGTTGGTATAAGAATTTGAAAGGCGTTGTCTGATTTCAGAAGCCTTTTCCTGTAAACGCTGGGCAGCATCTTGTACTATCCCTGACTGGTTAGTGTAAAAACAACACTCTTCCCCTAAGAAGGTGCAGAGTCCTCCTTTCTCAGCAGTGAGGAGGTCTAGGCCTCGGTAGTTTTGGAGAGTCACTGCTGCCAAAGAGTCTATTTGGGATTGTAAAGTAAGGATAGATTTCGTTATTTCTTGCAAACTGTCTGAGAGGCAGATATGGGTTGAAGATCCACATAAGTAGAATATGCCTTGGCTGGGTAGATAGACGTTTACCCCGGCTTTTAAAGGAATAGGGTACACTGTTTTTTCTTTACTACTTCCATCTCTTTTTCTCTCCTTGACTTTGTCTTTCTGTCTCTCTTTCACTCTGACTGCTTCTCTTTGTTTCTTACTCTCTGTCTCTTTCTTTGACTTCCTGTCTCTTCCTTCCTTTCTGCTGCCTCTGCCAGCTGCTTATGTTGCTGTTCTCCCCTCTCCTTCCCATTTTGATGGCTTTGTCAGTGTAAGATTCCCACCTCTTTGTGTTTTTGCATTGTGTGCAATAACTCTATAATTTCCTTGTGGTATTTAATGGGGGTTTCCCCAGAGGTTAGGAACTCCCTATTTCCATATTGCAGCATAGGCATGTAGGATTAGATAAGCATACTTGCTATCTGTATACACATTTATTCTTTTTCCCTTTCCCAGTTTTAAGGCTTGGGTAAGTGCCACTAGTTCTGCTAACTGGGTACTGATCCCTGGGGCAAGAGGCTTACTTTCAAGTATGGTTACATCACTAACTATGGCGTAACCTGCCCTTCGTGTCCCATTCTCCACAACTGAACTTCCATTGGTATATAGGTTAAGGTCAGGATTAGTTAAGGGGACTTCTAAGAGATCATCTCGGGCGGCATAAGTCTGGACTATAATTTGTTGGCAGTCATGCTCAATTGGTTCCCCATCCTCTGGGAGAAAAGTGGCAGGGTTGAGGGCCACACACATGTGTATTTGAAGCACCGGTCCCTCAAGGAGTAGTACCTGGTATCTAAGTAGGTGGTTGTCTGATAGCCATAAACTTCCTTTGGCACCTAGTATGCCATTTACATCATGAGTAGTCCAGACAGTGAGATGCTTTCCTTGTATTATTTTGATAGCCTCTGACGCTAAGACGGCCACTGCTGCAACTACCCTTAAACAGTGAGGCCAGCCTTTTGCTACTACATCAATTTCCTTACTTAGGTATGCCACTGGTTGTGGGGTTGTCCCACGAGTCTGAGTAAGGACTCCAAGAGCTATCCTGGCTCTCTCTGTGACGTATAAAGAGAAGTTCTGTCCTGTGGGAAGGCTTAAAGCTGGAGCTTGTACTAGGGCCGGCTTTAAGGTTTTGAAGGCTGTTTCTGCCTCTGGTTCCCATTCTACTAGATGAGTATTTGCCCTCTGGGTTTCCTTGATTGGAGTATAGAGGGGCCTGGCTATCTCACTGTATCCGGGGATCCATAGTTGGCAAAGCCGGTAATTCCAAGGAACCCCCTCAACTGTTTTAAAGTCTTAGGGTGAGAATAAGCCAGTATAGGCTGTATTTGTTCCTTGCTGAGGGCCCTGGTCCCTCTGGCTAAGATTAGGCCTAGATATTTGACCTGCTGTAGGGAAAGCTGGGCCTTCGACCTAGACACCTTGTACCTTTGATTAGCTAGAAAGTTCAAGAGGTCTAGAGTAGCCTGCTGGCATGAGGCTTCTGAACTGGTAGCGAAAAGTAAATCATCTGCATATTGAAGGACCAGAGTGCCTCGACTTGAGAAGTGGCCTAGATCTTGGGCCAGTGCCTGACCAAACAGATAAGGGCTATCCCTAAACCCTTGGGGCAAGACCATCCACGTAATTTGGGACGTGTGGTCTGTGGGATCCTCAAAAGCAAAGAGGAACTGGGAGTCAGAGTGCAGGGGAATACAGAAGAAGGCATCCTTGAGGTCCAGAACCATGAACCATTCTGCTTCCTCTGGTGTTTGAGAGAGCAGGGTATAGGGGTTGGGTACAACTGGATATAGTGGAACTACTGCCTCATTAATGAGTCTAAGATCTTGCACTAGTCTCCACTGACCGTTCGGTTTTTGTACTCCTAGAATTGGGGTGTTGCAGTGACTGCTGCATTTCCTTACTAAGCCTGGAGCTTTCAAATGTTTAACAATATTCTGTAATCCTTTATGAACTTCAGGCCTTAAGGGATATTGCCTTTGATAAGGAAAAGTGGTGGGATCTTTTAACTTGATTTGGACTGGGCAGGCATTTTTTTGCCCTTCCAAACTGTCCTTCTAATTCCCAGACTTCAGGGTTGATTCCCTCCTCATGTAGGGGACAACAAATGGGTAACTTGTTCCCCATATTCATGTAGATAATAGCTCCAGCCTTGGCTAATATATCCCTCCCTAATAAGGGTGTGGGACTTTCAGGCATAACAAGAAAGGCATGTGAAAAGAGCCAAGTCTCCCAATTACAACTGAGGAGGTGGGAGAAATACCTGGTTACAGGCTGTCCCAGGATTCCTCGGATGGTAACGGACCTTGAGGACAGTCGTCCAGGACAGGAGATTAACACTGAGAAGGCGGCGCCAGTGTCCAGGAGGAAGTCAATTTCCTGGCCCTCAATAGTTGAACATACCTGGGGATCAGTGAGGGTGATGACATGAGCTGGCACTTGCCCTGGGCCCCCTCAGTCCTGTTGTTGGATCATCTGGTTGGGGGCTTCTGACCCAGGGAACCTTCGTCCTCTGGGGCAGTGCACCTTCCAGTGATTGCCTCAGCATAGTGGACATGGACAAGGGGGCAGCTTGTTTCTCATTGGACAATCTTTTTTAAAGTGTCCTAGTAAACCACACTGATAACAAGCCCTACCAGGTGATTGGCCTGCTCCATTTTCTGTCCTCTCTGAACCACCAAGGTTTGCTTGTCTGAGGGCCATGACTAAGGCTGCAGCCTTTCTCTGATCTCGCTTTTCCTTTTGGGCCTGTTCCTCTTGGTCCCTATTATAGAACACTGAGGTTGCCAGGTTTAATAATGACTCTAGGTTTTGTTCAGGGCCCAGGGCTTGCTTTTGGAGCTTTCTCCTGATATCTGAGGCTGATTGGGTAATAAACTTATCTTTCAGAATCAATTGACCCTCGAGTGATTCGGGTGACAGGGGAGTATATTTTCTTAAGGCCTCTCGTAGCCACTCAAGGAAGGCAGGAGGATTTTCTTCTTTTCCCTGAGTTATGGTGGATATCATGGAATAATTCATGGGCTTTTTCTAATTCTCCTTAGTCCTTCTAGAACACAGGTCAACAGATGTTTACAACTCCAGTCCCCATGATCTGAGTCAAGGTCCCAGTGGGGATCCATACTGGGGATGGCTTGCTGACCGGTAGGGAATTTGTCCCTTTCTTCGGCTGTCATTCTATCATTTACTTGACTAAGATACCAGGTATCTCCAAGCTCTCGGGCTGCAGCTAAAGCCACATTCTTTTCCTTAAAGGCCAGGGTTTTATCTAACAGTAGCATGACATCTCTCCAAATGAGGTAAAAGGTTTGCCCTAGACCCTGTAGGAAATCTATGTACCTATCAGGATCATCTGAAAACTTCCCCAGGTCTGCCTTGACCTGCTTTAAATCAGAGAGGGAGAAGGGGACATGTAGCTGGGTTGGGCCAAATTCCCCTCCCCCTACAGCTTAAGGGGACATAACCGATAGCCTGGGGGTTTTTGTGGACCTTTGGAGATTTCTTTGCTTATTTCCTTCTGGGCAGGGGAGATTAGAGGAGGATTATCATTCATAGGAAGGGGAGCTATAGGGAGGCTAGGATATGGGGGTAAGCTGAAAGGTCCTCCTGTGGGATGTAAATTGCAAGCTTTGCATAGTTGTGTATTCACCTTCAATGAAAAGAAAGCTTGGACATAAGGTATTTCACTCCATTTGCCTTCCCTCTTACAGAAAAGGTCAAGCTGCAGGATAGTATTGTAATTTGTACTTCCCTCAGGTGGCCATTTTTCCTCATCAGAGAGAGAATATTGGGCCCAAGCCATAGTGCAGAAAAAAATGAGCCGCCTCTTTTTCAAGGTTTGTGGATCAAATTGGTCCCAATGGCTTAGGATGCATTTCAAGGGTGAGCCTGTTGATGCCTGAGTGTTTCCCATCTGAAAGACAAAACCGCCCACAGTTTTGGTTTGTTTCTCCCCCTGCCCAAGAACCCACAAAGGTCCCTGGACCCTGCTGATCGGAATAGTTGCGCTCACCGACGCAGCAGCAGAAACAACCCCTGCCCAAGAACCAGCAACAGTCCCAGGACCCTGCTGATCGGAATAGTTGCGCTCACCGATGCAGCAACAGAAACACTAGTTTTCCTCCCAGACCACATGGAGGACCAAGGAACGTTGGATTTAGTGGTCCTTACTGATGCAGTCTTGAAAACCTGCACCCTTGCCTGTCCTCCTAGACCACAAGGAGGACTGACCGAGAAAAATCGGATTTGGTGGCCCTTACCGACACATTCTCAAAAACCTGTCAGAGTCCTAAGCATTCTCCTGTCAGTATTGGTACTTTACCCCTTTCCTATAAAGATGTTATGCCCCAAAAATGAAGTGGAGGGCCATGCCCTGAGGGAGGGAAGGGATCTTCAGGATTGGAAGAGTGACACCTTTTGTCCTCGCTTACATGAATAGGAAGGATACAATTTCTGAGGCTCCCCATATCCTAGCTTCAGGAATAGCTTTTGTTAGGCCTGTTAGTCTGAGGAGGGATCCTAAAATTCCAGGTAGTCCCCACTACAATGGGGCTTTGGGCAAAAATTGTGTCTTTCTGATTGGTGAGCCCGGGTGCCTACAGAAAGTAGCAGAGACCTGGAGTTTATACTAGAAATCATTCTTATAGGAGAAACTAGAAAAGCACCAGAGACAGGTAGCAATTTTTAGAAGCAGGACTAACCTCAGAGAAGAGAGGCGAGAGGAAGTTTGTCTGGCAGGCATTAGGACCCAGGGGGCAAGGGTCAGGATAGATAGGATAGATGGGCGAGTCTCACTTGGGCGACAGGCCTTTGAGAGTTCCACTCATGGCCGCAGGGTCAACCAACTTGTTGTCGGGACCCTGGAGCTGCATGGCTTTCCTCTCTGTCGACCCTTGGCTCAGCCCAGAAGTACAGGAAAAGTGGAAGCTGGTGCTAGGCAAACCAATGGTCCCAACTCTGAAGAGTTGGGGTTGTTAGCCCTTTCCCAGAAAGCCTGACACCCATGTCTTTAGTCCGGCAGCCGTGCTAGTCACTTTTAACTGGCCGACAGGTGCCCGGTATTTAGCCCCCGAATTCTAAGGAAAGATAGGACAGAATAGCAAGTGAAAGGGGTCCGTGGTACTCACTGCTTGGTGATAGGTGATGGTCTCGCCGCTCAGCTATAGGTGATGGTCTCACCGCTCAGCTATAGGTGATGGTCTCACCGCTTGGTGATAGGCGAAAGTCCCATCTGGGTCGCCAAAATGTGTCCGGAATTGGTGGGTTCTTGGTCTCACTGACTTCAAGAATGAAACTGCGGACCCTTGCGGTGAGTGTTACAGCTCTTAAGGTGGTGCGTCTGGAGTTTGTTCCTTCTGATGTTCGGATGTGTTCGGAGTTTCTTCCTTCTGGTGGGTTCGTGGTCTCGCTGGCTCAGGAGTGAAGCTGCAGACCTTTGCGGTGAGTGTTACAGCTCTTAAGGCGGCACATCTGGAGTTGTTCGTTCCTCCCGGCGGGCTCGTGGTCTCGCTGGCTTCAGGAGTGAAGCTGCAGGCCTTCGTGGTGAGTGTTACAGCTCATAAAAGCAGCATGGACCCAAAGAGTGAGCAGTAGCAAGATTTATTGCAAAGAGCAAAAGAACAAAGCTTCCACAGTGTGGAAGGGGACCCAAGCGGGTTGCCACTGCTGGCTGGGGCAGCCTGGTTTCATTCTCTTATCTGGCCCCACCCACGTCCTGCTGATTGGTAGAGCCCAGTGGTCTGTTTTGACAGGGCGCTGATTGGTGCGTTTACAATCCCTGAGCTGGATACAAAGGTTCTCCACGTCCCCATCAGATTAGATACAGAGTATCCACACAAAGGTTCTCCAAGGCCCCACCAGAGCAGATAGATACAGAGTGTCCATTGGTGCACTCACAAACCCTGAGCTAGACACAGGGTGCTGATTGGTGTGTTTACAAACCTTGAGCTAGATACAGAGTGCCGATTGGTGTATTTACAATCCCTGAGCTAGACATAAAGGTTCTTCACGGCCCCACCAGAGCAGCTAGATACAGAGTGTCAATTGGTGCACTCACAAACCCTGAGCTAGACACAGGGTGCTGACTGGTGTGTTTACAAACCTTGAGCTAGATACAGAGTGCCGATTGGTGTATTTATGTCTAGCTCAGGGATTGTAAAGGTTCTCCAAAGCCCCACCAGATTCAGGAGCCCAGCTGGCTTCACCCGGTGAATCCCGCACCGGGGCTGCAGGTGGAGCTGCCTGCCAGTCCCCTGCGTGCGCCCGCACTCCTCAGCCCTTGGGTGGTCGATGGGACTGGGTGCCGTGGAGCAGGGGGTGGCCCTCGTCGAGGAGACTCGGGCTGCACAGGAGCCCATGGAGGGGGTGGGAGGCTCAGGCGTGGCGGGCTGCAGGTCCGGAGCCCTGCCCCACGGGAAGGCAGCTAAGGCCCAGCGAGAAATCGAGCACAGTGCCAGAGGGCTGGCACTGCTGGGGGACCTAGTACACCCTCCGCAGCTGCTGGCCCAGGTGCTAAGCCCCTCATTGCCCAGGGCCCGCAGGGCCGGCCGGCTGCTCCGAGTGCAGGGCCCGCCAAGCCCACGCCCGCCCGGAACTCCAGCTGGCCCACAAGCGCCGCGCGTAGCCCCGGTTCCCGCTCGCGCCTCTCCCTCCACACCTCCCTGCAAGCTGAGGGAGCCGGCTCTGGCCTTGGCCGGCCCAGAAAGGGGCTCCCACAGTGCAGCGGTGGGTTGAAGGGCTCCTCAAGTGCCACCAAATTGGGAGCCCAGGCAGAGGAGGCGCCAAGAGGGAGCGAGGGCTGTGAGGACCACCAACATGCTGTCACCTCTCACTAACAGTCAAGACAATGAAAAAAGGCCTTGAATACATTTCAGAGACCTATGCAGCAGCCCCTTCTATTGCAGGCCCTGAGACCTAGGAGGGGAGAATGATTTCATGGGCCAGGCCCAGAGCTCCACTGCCCTGCACAGCCTTGGGACACTGCTCCCTACCTCTCGGAAGCTCCAGCTCCAGCCAGGGTTCAAAGGGGCCGAAGTACAGCTTAAGCTACCACTTTGGATAATACAAGTTGTAAATGGCTTCCACATGGTGTTAAGCCTGCAAGTACAAAGAGTGCAAGAGTGGTGGGTTCTTGGCAGCCTCTGCCTAGATTTCAGAGGATGTATGGAAAAGCCTGGGTGTTCAGGCAGAAACCTGCTGCAGCAGTGGAGCCCACATAAAGAACCTCTACTAGGGTAGTGCGGAGGGGAAATGTGGGATTGGAGGCCCCACATGGAGTCCCTTCTGGGGCATTGCCTTGTGGAGCTGTGAGAAGAGGGCCACCATCCTCCAGACCCAAGAATGGTAGATGCACCTGCAGCTTGCACCCTGAGCCTGAAAAGGCCACAGGCACTCAACAACCTGTGAGAGCACCTGAGAGGGGTGAACCCTGCAAAGACACAGGGGCAGAACTGCCCAAGGCCTTGGGAGTCCATCCCTGCCAGCAGTGTGCCCTGGATATGGAATATGGAGTCTAAGATTTAATGACTGCCCTGCTAGGTTTTGAACTTGGATGGGCTCTGTAACCCTTCTTTTGGCCTATTTGTCCCACTTGGAACAAAAATGTTTAGCCAATACCCAAACCCCCATTGTATCTTCAAAGTAAATAACTTGTTTTGATTTTACAGGCTCATAGGTAGAAGGAACTCATTTCCACATAAGAATTTGGATTTGAAACTTGGAACTTTTGAATGAATGCTGGAATGAGTTAAGACTTTGCGGGGACTGTTGGGAAGGCGTAATTGTACTTCGTAATGTGAGGACGAGATTTGGGAGGGGCTGGGATGGAATGATATAGTTTGCATATTTGTCTCTGCCCAAATCTCATGTTGAACTGTAATCCCCAATGCTAAAGGTGGGGCCTCGTGGGAGGTGTTTGGGCCGTAGGCGCAGATCCTGCGTAGCTTGCTGCTGTCTTCATGACAGTGAGTTCTCTGGAGATCTGGTCATGTGTGTGGCATCTTCCCCCATTGGCTCCTGCTTTCACCATGTGATGTACCTGCTCTGTCTTTGGCTTCCGCCATGAAATGCAAGCTTCCTGAGGCCTCCCCTCAGGAAGGAAGATGCTGCTATGCTTCCTGTAGGAACATGAGCCAATTCTTTTCTTGTAAATTAACCAGTCTCAGGTATTTCTTTATAGCAATGCAAGAATGGCCTAATACGTGGGCCATCTGGGCATTCCATAGAACATTACATCAATGACATCATGCTAAATAAGCAAAATGAATGTAAGGTAGCTAGCACACCGGAAGCCTTGCTATGTGTCCCAGGTGAGAGAGAAACTCTACATAGATTTGGGGATCTGCAATTCCTTTTTTTTTTTTTTTATTTTAAGATGGAGTTTTGCTCTTGTCGCCCAGGCTGGAGTGCAATGGTACGATCTCGGCTCACTGCAACCTCCGCCTCCTGGGTTCAAGCAATTCTCCTGCCTCAGCCTCCCAAGTAGCTGGGACTACAGGTGCGCGCCACCACGCCTGGCTAATTTTTGTATTTTTAGTAGAGACAGGGTTTCACCATCTTGGCCAGGCTGGTCTCAAACTCCTGACCTCATGATCCACCCGCCTCGGCCTCCCAAAGTGCTGGGATTACAGGCTTTGTAATCCCAGAGCCACCGGGTGAGCCAATGCTCCCGGCCAGGATCTGCCATTCCTTTAAGGGTTCTAGGAGACCAGGGGACATGGGCATGCTGGAATACTCTACAAAGTAAAAAGACACACTACATTTTGCATCACCTGCTACAAGGAAGCAAGCACTGTAACTCTGGGGTTCTCTAGATTCAGAAAGCAAGACATTCCACCTAGAAACACTACTCCAACCCATATAGTAAATGACATGAAAAAAATGTTAGGCTTGAGTAGGGCCTTGGAGCAAGAAAGGGCTGTTGAAAATTAAGATTCAGGCTATGATGCAAGCAGCCCTACAAACTGGACCACATGATCTGATAAACTTTATAGTATAAGAGGGTATCAGTGGCAGGAAAAGATGCAATGTGATGTGGAGTTTATATCAGAAGCTCATGGAACTGTGGAGGGGCTACCCAAAGGTGTAAAGTGGATCTGTGCAGTGTTAAGGAGTGGAATTGTGCCACTCAGTTCTCAAGAAAACTGGATGCAAGTAACAAATCTGACAGCCACCAGCTGCTAGTCCTCCTGATCTGTTACAGCACTCACATGAAAACCATGTGTTCTCCCCAGGCTGCTCTGGACTAGTAGTCAGGCCATCTCTGCCCAATCTGGGACTGCTCTTAATAGGTAATCTGCTCTGAGATTCCTCATCAGGCTGGGAGACTCTCAGAGCAGCTGAGGTTTGAGTTCTCTTCTCTCTCTTCTGTCACATGCACATTGCATTCTGAAGGCCTTCCCTGCCTACTGATCCCTCTCCCTTGTATCCCTCACAGGCATTTCCCTCAGTACAGCTCTAGTGTATCTGACTCCACCTTGGTGTCTGCCTTTTGGAGGATCCAAGGTGACACTACCATGCATGCTTTAACAATAAACTTGTTAAATGATGATAATCAAAGTGTTTTTTTTTGAGACAGGGTCTTACTCTGTTACCCAGGCTGCAGTGCAATGGCATGATCATGGCTCACTGCAGCCTCGATCTCCTGGGCTCAGGTGATCCTGCCACCTCAGCCTCCTGAGTAGCTGGGACAAGTGTGCACCACCACGCTGGGCTCATTTTTTTGTAGACACCGGATTTTACCATGTTGCCCAGGCTGGTCTTGAACTCCTGGGCTCAAGTGAGCCGCCCACCTCAACCTACCAGTGTTGGCATCACAGGCGTGAGGCACCATGCCCAGCTAAGGCTTTTCAAGCGATTCTCCTGCCTCAGCCTCCTGAGTAGCTGAGATTATGCGCCACCATGCCTGGCTGATTTTTATATATATAATTTTTAGTAGAGATAGATAGGGTTTCACCATGTTGGTCAGGCTGGTCTCGAACTCTTTGACCTCAAGCAATCTGCTCACCTGGGCCTCCCAAAGTGCTGGATTACAGGCGTAGGCCACCATGCCCAGCATCATGCTTTTTTTTTTTTTTTTTTTGGTGACGGAGTCTCACTCTGTCGCCCAGGCTGGAGTGCAGTGGTGTGTTCTTGGCTCACTGCAACCTCTGCCTCCCGGGCTCAAGGGATTCTGCCTCAGCTTCCCAAGTAGCTGGAATTACAGGTGCCCGCTACCATGCCCCACTAATTTTTTGTATTCTTAGTAGAGACAGGGTTTCCAGGCCAGGCTGGTCTTGAACTCCTGACCTCAAATGATCTGCCCGCCTCAGCCTCCCAAAGTGTTGGGATTGCAGGCATGAGCTACCGTGTCCGGCCATTAAATTTTAATAAGATAGTTGCCATTGCGTTGCAATTGTCTACAGTATTCACATGCTCTACAGGATAGTAGCTTACAAGCAGTAAGCTATACCACATAGCCCAGGTGTATAGTAGGCTGTACCATATAGGTGTAAGTACACTCTATGATGTTCAGGGTGAAATTTTTAAAAAGTTTGCATTTCTTCAGAGATTAAAAAGTACAGCAACAACTATTCAGCATGGACAGATAAAAGTGTGATTAAAAAGGACAGGGGAAAATCCATTGAATAGTGCTCACCTATGTGCCAAAAGAGGAGTAATCATTTTAGAAGGTATCATAGAAATCAGTCTGTTAAGAACCAAAGGACTCAAGAGCAAAAGGCGAAGAGTAGAAAAAAAGGGAATGACATGTGGAGCTAGAAATCAAGTCTAGATATCTGGACCAAAGTGAACTGATATAAAGAACAAGTCACACGGCATGCTATGTTATTTCCAGCGCATAGTGTCTTTATTTAGAAAACAGACGGAATCAAACAGGTTGGAGTTATTGCTTTCTTGTTCTGTATATTCATATTCTCCACTTGAAAAAGCACACAGTCAAATCTATCTTCATCCATTCTGTTGATGAGGGTAAGCAAAAAAGATCACTGGTTACTTCAAAAGAACCTAGGGGGGAAAAACACAACTTATTTAAATCATAGATTTTAAAAGTCTCTATAACCAGGATAAGAAAAAATACAAATAAAGACAGAAAATCAACTAACATGACAATAAAACATTCTAAATTGATTAGACTACCAAAAACCACAGTTTTGTGTTATTATCACTTTGTCTTGGTGAGCTCAGTTAACAAAGATATACTCTGATTCTGACTTAGAAGACATTTAATGTTCTTATCATTAAAAAATAAAAGCTAAATCTATTACTGTTTTACAAGAGCAACCTTATTTCCCAAATTTATTTGACTCTCCTTCAGGAAAAACTATTCTAACTCCCTGGAAATTGTTCTCTCTAGTGAGTGAACAGTCGCAAGTTCAATTTATAGGTCCATAATATTTTCTACTTAATTAAGATGCTGACACCAAAACAGCCAAAATGTGCTTCCTTTTCTAATCTGCAAGTTTTGTGACTTATTTTAGACAGCTTATGTTAAATATATATATGTGTGTGTGTATAAAACCACAAAGATGTCTCCGTACTATTACTCCTTAGCAATCCTATAATAAAGACAATTATGCTGCATTTTAGTCAGAAAAATTGTACCAAAAGAAAAAATCTAACAAAAATTCCTTGTAGAACATACAAAATAAAACAAAATTATTGTGCCAATATGCCTAGACAAACAAAATTCAAGTTAAATGCTCTCTTGTGTTCCAGGTTAACTTAACAATAAATTACAGAAAAAAACAATTTTTGATTCAGATTAAAACTCAAGTTTATCATTTTCTTTCAGTTCTAAAGCATTAAAATTTTTATATAGTAATCAAAATTACTGTTCTGTCACCCAGGCTCAAGTACAGTAGAGAAAGAGTGAGACCCTGTCTCAAGGAAAAAAGGAAAAAAAAAAAAAGCTGAAATAAGATAAGAACCATATGCCTTTCATTTCTGTCCAACTGATCATACACAGCTTGGTTGCCAGAAACAACAGATACTATAGTTAAATAAGTAGTTGGGTGAATAAACAGGTCTGCATCTTATAAATTTAATTGACATTTACATTCTATAAATTTAATTGAAATTTACATTCTTTAATTCTAGAGAACTTCAAAGTATCATTTAATTTCTATTCAGTCTAGTCAAATTCTAATGAAGAATGCAAATGAAAAGTGGGGAGAGAGGGAGGAAGAGAAAGACAGACATGCACACTCTCTTAGGAAAAACAGGCAGGCAGAGATGGAAAATGGCAACATCGGATAATTAAAATTCAGGACTGAATGTGAGAAAAAGCAGCTTACAAACAGACTTGGATAAGGGAGAGGCACAAAGACAGGGAGAGATAGAGGAACAGGGGAAAAGCCCAGCCAGATAAGCAAGAGAGAAAGGTGAACAGGCAGGGTGGAACTGATGGCAGAGTGGAACATGGCACAGTGACAAAGAAATGGGTCTTGACCTAGATAGCCAGCTGGAAGAGATCACGCCACCCTCAGTAATTTTTTTTCCAATTATACTCTTTGTTATCTCCCAAAGCTCCCACTAAAAAGGGAAGAATCTTTTAGTTTTGATTTTTATTTATTTGAGATGGAGTTTTGTTCTTGTTGCCCAGGCTGGAGTGCAGTGACTTGATCTCCACTCACTGCAACCTCTGCCTCCTGGGTTTCAAGCGATTCTCCTGCCTCAGCCTCCCGCGTAGCTGGGATTACAAGTGCCCGCCACCACGTCCAGCTTATTTTTGTATTTTTAGTAGAGATGGGGTTTCTCCATGTTTGCCAGGCTAGTTTTGAACTCCTGACCTCAGGTGATCCACTCTCCTCAGTCTCCCAAAGTGTTAGGATTACAGGCGTGAGCCACAGTACGTGGCCAGAACCTTTTATTTGTATAAAATGATTAACAATGCATATTTTATTTATCTTGCAAATTAAAAACATTCAGATTTACTGTCCACATAATTTTGCCATAATTAAAGGTCACATATACCAACATGCTGAGGAGAAAAATCCTAATTTTACATACTATTAGTTATTATTCAAAGTAAAGAATGACAGTTTACCAGTGAGGTCAAATTCAACGTTAAGGCAAGGACCTACAGGCATTTATGATTACATGCCATAGTACCAATCATATAATTTATATAACATTGCTATCAGACTAAAAACACATTCTTAGTTAAAGATAACTTACCATTTAGAGTCAAAATGCAGGAATCTTAGTCCTGTTTCCATTTTTGTCCCCCTTGCTTCACTTGGTATGTCATGCTCTATCTCTTCTCCTATGCAGACTTTAAGTCAGTAGCCATCAATCTGAAGAATTCCTTCCTCTGCTGCCACCTACCAGTTTAGTTGTCTGCTGCAGCAGAAGGGTATATAGAAAAAGTTCTTGCTTACCATTCAGATTAAATAAGAAAAAATTCCTTTGTTTAACATTTCGTATTTTTGCACATACACCAACTTTTTAATGTTTCTCCAAGACCTTCCCTCCAAAAATAAAAAACAAAAATCTCAATCACATAAAATCAAACACTGTATGATCCATGTTCATGCTAAGCTGGGAAAATTTCCAAAAAAAGTAGAAAGAAAGTGGTAAGATTTAGCCACTCAGCAGCTGCCACCTCAAGAAGCCATTTTCTTGTCTGTTTCCTTCTTTACCTACCCCTACAACCTATGAACAAATACCATAACTTAAAAATTTAGGTAGTCTACAACTCCTACAAATTTTAAGTTCAGAGACTACCCAAAGAACTGTGGAAGATGCAGCAATATAAAAGTTTTTTAAAGTAATTCTAGAAACTAAGGGTGTTAGGTGCTTTACCTGCTTGAGTTTTCAATGTTCTGGACTGCTTATTGCCCAATGGCTCTGAATACATTAAAACACGAACACATACGCCACCTACATTTAAAATAGGGTAGCATTTGTATGCCCATATAAGCAGTGGGTATATTTTTTGCAAAAGAGTAATAAATTCATTAAGTCTTTTAAAAAGGACTGACCATAGATGCACATTTCCTCAAACTGTATACATACATACATAAAAGAATTAGGGGAAAAGGGGAGACAGAATGACAAATGTAATAGCAGTTGTAGAACTGGGCATCAACACAGCATAAACGTCTTCTGTTTGTTCAAATCCTGAGATTCATTTCTATTCCCATTCTTTTTGTCATCTAGGTCTATGTTTCAAATTTATTCTACATTAGCTATTAAGGGACAGTCTCCAGTAAATGAACTAGAAATAGCAGTAATGGCTTGTTTTTGTTCCACCCTCCCACTGCCTTCATCAAGATAAAAATATGTAGTTTTGCCAACTTTAAAAAAATCAGGAAATAAAACAAATACTGACATAAGCACCAAAGACTAGTCAACAGTGGCACTGAAGTGACATTGCTTCTACTTTCTCATTCCTTCCCCCGATCTCAAACCCCACCCTTTGACCTCTGTATATGGGATGAGCCTGAGCAGGAGAGTTGGTGATGTCAGGACTGCGCCGTTCCCACGGATGCTCCTAGAGGCCTGCTGTGCTTCTGGGAACTGAGGCACAGGGATGTCTGTCTGACTGAAACCTAAAACAACAACAGTTCACCCCACCCCTCATGTTCCCAAACCCCACAATAGCAGCCAGGTATATATGCTATATAAGGCTCACCTAATAAGTTTGAATATGGTAAAATCTAAAAGCAAGATCATTCTTAACAAGTCAGTGGTATTCAAACAGGCAGCTGACTGGAGGTTGTTTAACTCTCCATGCCTTATACAATCACATAGTCTGTATGCTCTAATGTTAGCCACTCTTGCTGAGTACAAGGCTCTCCTGAATGAGCCTTTTTTTATTTTTTAGTATACATCACAAATTCTTGCATGAGTGCAGCTGGAAGTAAATTCCAATTCAAATTCCCTCTGTTAGTAAATTCCAATTCAACAGATAAATATTTTTGTCTTAAGATGCTTAAAGGGAATGACTGTCCTTATAAGAGTCAACTGAAGCACAGAACAGGTTAATCACTTATCACATGTCTTCCTTCAGCTACAAGAAATGGCATTACACGCCAAGAATTCCTATTCACTAACTAGTGACTTGCTGGATGTACAGCCTCTTTGGATAGTACGTCCAAAGCCACAGGATGAAATTATGCAGAAGTCTATCTTGAAAAGGTCCTGATTACTTTCACTAAAATTCTACCTATTAGAAAGATGACAATATCCCAAAATAATAAAAGCTCAGAACTAAAACTTTAGGAAGTATAGGAGAAAGGAAGAATGGGTAGGTAGACTGGGGTAAAGACGGAGGAGAGGATAGTTTAGTTTATTACCTAACAGAAAGGCTATTAAAATGGACGAGTTGTAGTCCTATCCCTGACATTTTATGTCCTTGGTTAATGTGCTTAGCCATCTTGTGCTTCAGAAATGTCCTCCTATCTGTTCAAACCTGTAATTTTTGAAGGTTTAAACCATGATTTTCTGATAATCTCAAACTGCTCACATCTCCTTGTTAGAACTAGTATCTTAGAAATGCTAAAACGATTAGTTCTGAAATCACATTGCTCCTAAAAGAACTAAATTTTTTTGTATTATCTTCGTCTTACTATTCCCTTTCACTTTTATAAAGTCACAGAGAGAAGCACTAAGGTAAAATGAATGCTATGTTGAGTTTTTACCATATATATAACCTAGAGCCTAATTTTACCTTTCAAAACTCTAGTTTTCCATACCTGTCAACTCCTAATTGATGTCTTTATACTGTGAGCTCACTGTGTATTCGGAACACCAACCCCTGAAAAAGCTTAAGCCAGAGTAGCACAATGGAAGAAACAAACAAACCCAAAACAAAAACAAAGCCAAAAAATTCACACTCTGAAATACTTAATTATAGACATATATGCAAGAAATGGAGTCATCTAAATGGCTAAACAAAATTCCCAAGTCTTGAGTATATCATAACCAAGTCAAACTTTACCCCCAAAAGCTCTTCTTTAATCATATTATTTGCTAGATACATTTATGCATTATTTTTAAGTGAGAATTATGACAAACCCATGGTTACTTTTTAAAGTACGTAAAGAAAGGAAGTTTTAAAAAAAGAAAGTTAGCCTAGTGATGGAAAGAAAGGAGAAAGAGTTAAATTACCTGTAGGCAGACTGGGGCTGTGCCTGAATCCAAACCGGTGCATTTACCATTCATTATACAGCTGCATTATTGGGGGAAGGGGAGTTTAGAAGGGCACTGACCCCGAAAGTTCTCAATACTTCTCACTCATCATCAGGAAGGGGGAAGAAGGAAAGTTTTTTCTCTGGGTATTTTTTTGTTTGTTTGTATTTGTTTTTTTGGCTCCTGAAAAGGCTGGTAAAGAACAGTAACAGTGCAAGCAGTTAGAATATTTCTTTAAAAACAATGTAAAAAATGCAAAACATTAAGGATCTTCAAAGGCCAAACTTTCATTAATATAGAAAGAATTTTCACTAGAGTTAGGCAGCCACCCCAAAACAGCATGGCAAAATGGCATTGGTATAAAGGAAATAAAATACCACACAAAAATCCAAAACAAAACTAAAAACATTTCAAATTAAACCTGGAAGACTAGAAGATTCCAACAGCAGATTTCTGTCCACTACTGAAACATTCCAAAATCCAAGCTCCAAAGGTGCCTAAATGTATTTTAAATGAAACTTTGTTTTGTTTTTTTAAGAAGAAAAAAAAAAAAAAAAAAAAAAAAAGAAAGCAAGCAAGCAGTCAGTGAACCTGGTTATAAATCCTGCAATATATTACATTTTTTAAAATCCTAGTACAACAAAAACAAATCTTAAATAAAATTGAACAAACAAACAAATAAAAACAGTAGCAGCAGTGGTTACCTGTCTGAGCACCTACATTTTCTTAGGAGGGGATCGTGTCTCACCAGCCAAATAGCCCATAAACCTTCTCAAAAAAAGTGAGCCAGGAGAAAAGTATAACACAAGATTTGATTTCACAATGTCTCTAAGCCCCACAAGCCCCAAACTGGGGATTCACTGAATGAAACAAATTTGCTTCTCCATTGCTTTCTTCTTGAGAAAAAGAGATGATTTTCAAAGTCAATGCCTTCAATATGTTCTCAAAGTCTGATAATGTGCTTGATGAATGCCAAGTCTCTTGTTGGGTTTTTCTACTGTTCCAGGGTAGTTTTCTTATTGGTAACATATACAGGAAGATTTCAATGTTCATTGGAGAAAAGCCAGCAGAAATGACCAATCAATTATAGGCACCAAAAAAGAAAAAAACTATTAAAAATTTTAAATAGAATAGTTCATACTTGTATGTTTAGATATATAAAGTCCAGTTTTCATCATGGGTGACATAAAAACAATATCAGAAATAATCATTTTTGAAATACAATTTAGAATTACAATTTTAACAATATACAAAAATTTTACAATTCAGATTTTATCATTACACATATTTGATATATACATTCTCTCTCATAATAGCAATGAAGATTATACAAAAGTTATTAAACAATTATGAAAATAAGTTTAACCTAAATATCTGCTGCTGTTTGTTTCCTTAAGGTACTTCCAGAATGATTTGCTCTTATTCTCTACCTCAATCTTGAAGGAATTCAAGAAGATATCCATGTTTTTAAAATCTAAGATAACTACTGCTCTTTTCATTCTAACATGTGAGTGTACGTTTTAATATCATGTGAATGCATAATAGTGAATAAAGCTAATGAACTAATTTCACATATTTCCTATAATATAGTTGGTTAATTTGGTATAAGTTAAGAAAAGACTAACTACATTTTTCCTGATGCCTTACCCCACCAACACAAACATGAACTACATACTTGTGATATGTAACTATTCAAAGTGTATGTGTCATAATACACATGGCAACCAGATGGTCTCTATATGAACATATGAATGATAATTTAATTAAGCAGTTCTTTCTTCCTCATTTATTTCTCTATACCAAATAGTATGCATCCTCCACAGTATGGTCATTCAGCGAAAGAAGTACCAAGTATTTCTTTCTGTTAATGAGTCAGAGGTATTAATATATGTATGTGAGTCCCCCATTTACCCTGCGCAAGATAAGTTCTTTTAAATGCAATTAGAATATCCTAAGATAAATTACAAACTCCTCTTATGTATCCTTTTCTCTGAGGTGAAATGAGACACTGCACAGATGAGAGGTACTATTCTATTCATCAACAATCAACCTTTCACTCAATTTTAATATTATTTAATTCTATGGAAAAAACAAATTTTATTACATTCCTTTTTAAAACGGGGGAAAAACTGTACAAGTAAGCATGATCAAACCTCTGTTATAGCTGGTTAATACTGATCTTTTATTATTGCCTCGAAGTCTCTCTAGTAGTGTCCAAGAAATTATGTTTAAGGTCCATCTGAAGGAAAATAGCACTGGAGAGGCAAGAAAGGGCTTGGGTAAAAGCTTCAGAGGATTCGTAGGGAGATGGAAAACTTGCTGTTTAAAAAATTACGTTGGGCTCTGCAGCATCTCCATTTCTTAACATACCATCCAAACCCATCAATGGGATTAGTTTTACCCATGTTTTAAAGGCTCATATTATATGCAGTTTGGGGGCTTTTATAAATTCTGCAAGTAAAGGAATATAAAGAGTGGACAGTATTGAAGGCTTAAGAGTAGGGCTATAAGAGACTCAATACTACTAAATAAGTCCCCAAACAAAAACATCCAACCCACCCCCAATCCCAAATCCTATATGTAAAAAGAGAAAATGCATAGCCAGAAGCATTAAAGAAAAGCATGTAGCCTTGAATAAACTGTACACTGAACAGGCTAGAAACAAAAGGAAAAAAACAAACAACGTACATATACACAAAAAGGCCTAAAAAAGCATCTACTCACCCTATGTTTTAAGGTGAATACCTCTACCCCAGTGGAGTCTACTTATGAAAACAACTCATCTGTTTTTTAAAGTCAAAAACTCTGTTTCCCATCATGCTCCATTTTCTAAATTATCCTTTTTGATTAGTTGATGGAAACAAAAAGCAAAACACATACACATGCATGCGTGCACACACATACACATATACTCCCTCGTAAAATGTGAAAAATGCAAATATATAACGCTGGCATTCGAAATCACTTCAGCTTTATACTTAGAACTCATAGGCTCTTGATTTGCCCCCAAAAATATTTTTCCTTGTCCTTATTTAAATGCCCAACTACCAAAACAAAAAGGGAAAAAATAAAAGGCTTTAAATGTACATGTTTCAAGTCAGTGTCTTGTTAACAAAAAAGGTAGCATTTTCTTCACTTTGGCCATTGTTAAAGATGCAGGCATAGAGCAGGAAATGTTAGACTAGCATGTATTAAAAAAAAAAAAAAAAGCAACATTAACAGAGCACATCTTTCAAAAAAGACTAAAACACTAACAAATACAAGTGAATGCACATATTTTAAACTAGTGTAATTTTATCTACATTGAATTAATGTTATTTTGTATACCGGACATTGCAATACTGTTCATTTCCATTTCATCATGCAAACATGCCAATTTTGTCATTAAGAAGCCTTTATTGGGTTATATTCAATTTGACCTCCCACCAAATTAAGCGGGAAAAAACAAAAAAATAAGAAATCCCAGTAAAAGAGCCCCTCAAGATTTCATAAACTACAAACTAAAGCTGCTAGTTAATAAGGAAATGGCAGAATTTTCAGAGCTGTATAATACAAAAATTCCTGTAATTTATGCAGATGTTTTCCTCACTGATGACAAATCTTCCAACACAATGTGAAGTTATGCTACTTGGATATTTGTAGCAAAACCATTTTTTTTTGTACAAAAACAAAAGCAAGGGACCATGAAAAAAAAAAAGTATTTGTTCCTCATGGCCTATGAGCATACACATTTTTTAGCAATTTAAAAGGGTAACTATGAGAGCCTGACATTTTTCTATACCCCACCTATTCTGCCTCTCTATTTGTAGGATTTGTAAATGAAAGTAACATCTTACTAGCAGAGGTCTCATCTATCTCCCACTCTCTCCAACTAATCCTACTAATTTTCTCTCATCTTCCTGAGCATCCTCCATGAACAGCATTGCAAGTTGGTTTTAAAAATAGAAAAGAAGAAAGAAAGTTTTACAAGGGTTTTGTTGGTTAATTACCAGTGGAGTCAGTCCACCAGTAGTTTGATTTCATTGGCTAGCAGCTGGTTCATGTTGAACAGGCCCCCTGGGAGCTTGGTGAGCAGCTCTCGCTCCGTGCTTTCAGGGTCGCTGTCAACAGAGCTGGAACTTGCACTCATGTTGTCAACAGCAGTGCTGGCTGGGGGACCCAGCTCCGGCTCACTAGTCTCACTGGCAGTGGACACCACGGAGAGCAGGGACATACGCCGGGTGAGCCGGCCAGAGGGTAGAAGGGAGGCGGCATAGTCTGCTATGATACCAGCTACATCTAGATTACAAGCCTTATCAAAGGCGATGAAACCTACATTTGCATTGGCCTCACAGACGCAGAAGGAGCCGTCATCTTTCATCAGCAGATCAATGCCACACACATCCATCCCCAGGATATTAGACACCTGGATAGCTAGCTGCTTCCCTTGTTCACTCAATGAGCACATCATCCCCACACCACCTGGCAAAAGAAACAAGACAGGAAATTAACAAAATCATAAACTTTTGAAATAAAATTAAAGTTGGCCTCCAAGGCTAAGCCTTTCTTCTAAATTAATAGTGAAAACAAAGGCGTTATTCTAGTGTAAAATTAGGACTTCTAAGTCTAGATTTCCTTAATCAGGAATCCTCTCCCTATCCAGTCTCCCAGGAATTGATGATTTCGTAAGTTGTCAATATTTTTTCCAAGTCTATCTTACTTGCAATAATATAAACCAAGTATAAGGAAGTTCAGCATAAATACAATTAGACCACTTGATAGATGGCAAAAGTATTATTGGTTTTTGATTTATAAAAATAATAAAAATGCATAACAGAACGGAGGATGGGGTGAAATCTGGGAAGGTGGTGACGTGAACACAGTTTTCTTCCTCTATAGCCCCCACTTCAATCTAGCTGTCATTCCTAAACCAAAAGGCTTCTGGGTTATAAGGTAGCTGGCTGGATATAAGTGAAGTCTTTGGCCTTGCCAAAAGGAAGGAAGAGAAAGGAAGTAGAACTTGATTTTCTCACTTGGAGATCAGCTTCACGAAGCTCTGAACTAAGGACAGGAAAGTAAAGAACTTTAAGAAGAGCTTGGTTCCAAGAGCTCTGTGTATCCATAGGAGTGAGGATGACATGTGAGTTTACCCGTAGTGTTTGACCCCAAAAAGGCCAGAAGTAGCTGGACAGGTGAGGTGGATCCTCCCTACCACTGAGGCTGTAGGAATAAAGAAGTCAAGGAAACAAAAGGCTTCTTTTAGGTACCTCCGTAGAAGACTGGCCCGTGAATTAAATGATTCTGCTTCACAGCACTTCTAAGACTGAGGCCATGTAGAATACTACAAATAACCCAAGCTGAGTGAGCCCTGATGTAAAAACAAAACAATAATAATCCATCTATGACTTTGATGAAAGAAATAAGAGCTCTTTAAGGAGATTCAAGTTCAGCACAAAAAGATTTTCTGAAGTTAAAACAAAAACATGATTACTCAACTAAAAAATCCAATAGAGAAACTCAAAGAGAGTACAGTCGCTTTGAGAGTTGACTTAGAAAATCAAGTAATATGCAAAGCATAGCTAAAAATGTGAGGTGAAATCATAAAGATAAAAAATTTGGGCCAGCTGTGATGGCTCATGCCTGTAATCCCAACACTTTGGGAGGCTGAGGTGGATCACTTGAGGTCAGGAGTTCAAGACCAGCCTGGCCAACATGGTGAAACCTCGTTTCTACTAAAAATACAAAAATTAGCCCGGTGTGGTGGCAGGCGCCTATAGTTCCGGCTACTCAGGAAGCTGAGGCACAAGAATCGCTTGAACCCAGGAGGTGGAAGTTGCTGTGAGCCAAGATTGTGCCACTGCACTCCAGCCTGGGCGACAGAACGAGACTCCATCTCAAAAACAAAAACAAAAACAAAACAAAACAAAAACAAAACTGGAGAACTGAATCAGAAAAATATTCCTCAGAAGGACAGAAACAGATGGAGAGGCAATAATTAATGAAGACATTTTCCAGAAAACTGTATAAGGAAGAAATTTAGTCTGCTGACTAAAACAGCTAAAATCCAGGTTGAACTGATAAGACACAAATATATCTACAAAATCCCAATAAAATGTGAGCGCCACTAAAAAAATTTACAAAGAATAAATTACCCACAAAGGAAAAAAATGAGAGTAGATTTGGACATTAAACTGCAACAATAAAATCTTCAAGGCAGTAGAATTGAAGCTAGACTCTTACAATATAAGAATTATATCTCAGACAAAGTATTATTCTTCTTCCAAGGAGAAAGATGTGTGATATTCTGATCTAAATTATATATTGGTTTTTGTCCACAGTTCCTGGCATATCACTCCAACAGCCCTTGTTATAGTCTTTTGTTATAATGTTGGGGCACTTTCCTTAGAAAATAGAATCTAACCTTCCCCTGTCCTCCTTTCACCTACCCCACAGCAGGACTCTAATCTTTCACAGCCTTTCTGATTGTGGGTCATAAGACCTCATTCCAGATGAGGTCCTGCCCCATACCCTGGAGGAAGGAATGTGGCACAGAGAGGCCAAGAAGAATCTGAACATACAGGCCTTGCTGGGTTTCCCTACTCAGTCTACTAGTGTTAGATCATACCCTTTTGGTCCAATTACATTTTTACATGGTTATCAATTATGTCTATCCAATTGGATATCAAAAAGGGCAAGGTTCAGAAAACTTCTGGATAGCTGGACACGTAGAGGCTCCTGAAGGGTGGCAAGCCGTGGGAGGGCATGGAAGCTCCATATCCTTTCTCCCATACCTTGCCCTATGCATCTCTTCACCTGTATCCTTTGAAATATCCTTTATAATATACAGATAACACAATGTAAGTGTTCTTTGAGTTCTGTGAGTTGCTGTAGCAAATTAATCAAACCTAAGCAGAAAGTCACGGGAACCCCAACTTGAAGCCAGTTGGTCAGAAGTTCTGTAGGCCTGGACTTGCAACTGGTGTCTGAAGGGGGTGAGGTGGGAAGTTGGGGATATTCTTGGTGACTCCTGGTGACTGAGCCCTCAACCTGTCAGATCTGATGGTATCTCCAAATAGAGAAATCCCCCACACGTGGTCAAATAAGTGTTCCATGTGAATTGTTGTTGAATGAGAGAATAGAAAAAGCACTTTGAGTGTATTTTTTGTATTAACAGAATATGTGAGGGTATCTATGACTCTGATAGCCCACCAGGAAAAATAATCAAGAAATGATACTAACATACTAGTAAATGGCTAACAGAGATCTCAAGATATGGGAAGATGAATATGAGGAGTAAACCATGGTGAGTACTTTGCAATATAGGTATAATTCATTTTAAGTGGATAAAGACAGACTGCCTGGGAATGGATAAAGTGCTATATAAGGGTTCATGAAACAGAAGAGACATACAGTAAAACAAATTCCAAACAGATGAACTAAAACTATTAGATGATTTCAGCAAAACTGGAATATAAGGTCAATGAGACTAGGGATTTCTGTCTGTTTTGTTCACTAGTATATACAAAATACTGCTACAATAGGCCAGGCGCGGTGGCTCATGCCTGTAATCCCAGCACTATGGGAGGTCGAGGCGAACAGATCACCTGAGGTCAGGAGTTAGAGACCAGGCTGGCAAACATGGTGAAACCCCGTCTCTACTAAAAATACAAAAATTAGCTGGGTGTGGTGGCAGGTGCCTGCATGTGGGAGGCCAAGATAGGAGAATCACTTTAACCCGGGAAGCGGGGGTTGCAGTGAGCTGAGATCATGCCATTGCACTCCAAGCCTGGGCAACAAGAGCAAAATTCCATCTCCCAAAAAAAAAAAAAAAATTATTGCTACAACAGTACTTGACGCTTTGGAGGTACTTGAAACTATTTACTCAATAAATGAGTCAATCAAGTGGAAAGAGTAGGAAGGAAATAAAATTGTTCTAATATTCCCATTGGAGGGGAGAGGGAACAAGGAACACCAGGGGAAAGTAAAGGTATTCCAAAGACTTCATTATTATTATGATGATACAGTGAAGTAGTAAATAAAGTATCAAGGAAAATTATCTTCTCAAGTAACTGTAGAGAATCTGTCTGATTATGAGCATAAGAAAATAGAAGGTAACCATTAATGGAATGCAAAACCCTGGTTGATCTCCCAAATTAACTGGGTTTGGTGGCAGGAGTGAAAATAAAATGGTACCTTACTAACCAGCAAAAATTAGAAAAGAAAAAGAAAAAGGAACAATTTGAGTTAAATAATAAACACAAAATAAGATGGAAGAAATTTTAAGTATATTAGTAATTACACAAAAAATGGACCAAATCTTCCATTAAAAGATGGAAACTAGTCCGATTTGAATAAAAAACAAAACTTAGCTATATACTGCTTATAGAAAACACGCAAAATAAACTTACTTCACAGCTTTATTTCTCCTGACCAGAGTATATATCCATATATACATTTTTTCCTTTGTTAAATATAAAAAACAATTATGCTAGTCACACACCAAAAAAAATTAATGAAATTAAAAAAAAATGTTACAGGCCACATTCTCTGACAACATTAGTAAGTCAAGAAAATCAGAAGGTAATAGGGTAATGGTAAAGGTAGCCAAAAGAATATTAACTACTTTGAGGTTGCAAAACTGATCCCTTGGATCAAAGAAATCACAAAGGAAAATGAGAACCAACTGTAAATAAAAGAGAAAAATGCTTTGTATTAATACCTTCCAACACTGTGAAAATTCTCCAGAGGAAGATGTTTAACATGAATTGCCTTCATTTTGAAACAAGAAACTAAGTGTTCTAGCCAAAGAAACTAGGAAGAGAGATATAATGAAAACAAAAAGTAAAATGAATACAACAGAAAGATAGAATTTTTTAAAAATACAAAAGCTATTTTGACAAGAATAAGAATGACAATAAAGAGAATCACATACAAAGCAGAGATTAAAAGCAGCATATGCAAATATCTCACAAAACTCTTTGGCAAAAAACTGGAAACCTAAAAGAAATGTATCATTTTCCAAGCAAATGATAAATTTCCAAAACCGCCCCCAGAAGTGGCAAACTTTAACAGGGCAATTATTACAGAAGGGTTTCAGAAAGTGATAAAAGCTATTACTGCAAAAGGAACTAGGATGAGAAAGGTTCACGGCTCAGTTTTACTTAGCTATCCTTTATTCCAATGTTACTTTACCAATATAGAATGCCCTAGGAAAAGACTGAAAACTCCCCAATACATTAAATAAAGCCAGCATAACCTTAATATCAAATGTGATAAAGTTTTTTAAAAATAATAATATTGGCCAATCTTATAAAAACAGATGAAAACATTCTAAGGCAACCCCCTTTGGGTCCCCTCCCTTTGTACAGGAGCTCTGTTTTCACTCTATTAAATCATGCAACTGCACACACTTGTGGTCCGTGTTTGTTACGGCTCGAGCTGAGCTTTTGCTCACTGTCCATCACTGCTGTTTGCCACTGTCCCAGACCCACCGTTGACTTCCACCCCTCCAGATCCAGCAGGATGTCCTCTGTGCTCCTGATCCAGTGAGGCACCCATTGCTGCTCCTGATCGGGCTAAAGGCTTGCCATTGTTCCTGCACAACTAAGTGCCTGGGTTCTTCCTAATCGAGCTGAACAGTAGTCGCTGGGTTCCACAGTTCTCTTCCGTGACCCATGGCTTCTAATAGAGCTATAACACTCACCACATGGCCCAAGATTCCATTCCTTGGAATCCCTGAGGCCAAGAACCCCAGGTCAGAGAACAAGAGGCCTGCCGCCATATTGGAAGTGGCCCTGCCGCCATCTTGGGAACTCTAGGCACAAGGACCCCCTGGTAACATTTTGGTGACCACGAAGGGACCTCCAAAGCAGTGAATAATATTGAACCACTTTGGCTTGCTATTCTGTCCTATCCTTCCTTAGAATTGGAGGAAAATACCAGGCACCTGTCAGCTGGTTAAAAATAATTAGCATGGCCGCCAGACTTAAGACTCAGGTGTGAGGTTGTCTGGGAAAGAGCTTTCTAACAAACCCAAACCTTCTGGATTGGGAGCGTTGGTCTGCCTGGAACCAGCTTCCGCTTTCAATTTTCCTGGGATAGCTGAGGGCCGACTAGAAGCAGAAAGCTGTCATCCCGAACTCCTGGTGTTAGCCGGTTGAGATCATGGCGCAGACAGAAGTCTCTACTCAACAGATGCCCATGCGTACACCCCTACTTTTCCTTCTGACCCATAGCTTCTGGGTCCCGACCACGACTTTCTTGAAAGTGTAGCCCAAAATTCTCCTTACCTCTGAATCTACTTCCTCTGATCCCTGCCTCCTAGGTACTAATGATTCAGACTTTCATTTCCTCTAGCAAGCTGTATTTCCAAAGGGATCTAAGGAAGCTCTACACTGCGTCCTTAGGCCCCTAGGCTACGAAGCCAGAGAGTCTTGTCCCTGGTGTCTCTCCCAATTTAGGCATACAGCTCTCGACATGGGCAGTTATGTGGGACCTGTTCCCCACCACCCTTGCCAGGGCCCCAAGTTTGTAAAGGGCTAGGAGAAAAGAGAAAGAGAGACAAAGGGGGCCAAAGAGAGAAAGAGAAAGATAGAAGTAGTAAAGGAAAAACAGTGTGCCCTATTCCTTTAAAAGCCAGGGTAAATTTAAAACCTATAATTGATAATGGAAGGTCTTCTCCGTGACCCTGTAACACTCCAATACTACCTTGTTGTCAGGGTAAACAAGGGCGTAGCCCGAAAACACTGAGACCACTGACAACTCCGTAGCCTTCCTATCAAAAATCTTTCACCCAGTGACCCATGGATGGGCCAAATGCATTCAGTCGGTAGCGGCAACTGCATTGCTAAAAGTAGAAAAATAATCTTTAGAGGAAACCTCATTGTGAGCACCTCACCAGTTCAGAATTATCCTAAGTCAAAAAAGCAAAAAGTTAGCTTACTAACTCAAATCTTAAAGTATGGGGCTATTCTGTTAGAAAAAGGTGATTTAACATTAACCACTGAAAATTCCCTTAACCTAGCAGATTTCCTAACAGGGGATTTAAATCTTAATTACCATACAAAGGTCTGACCAGACCTAGGAGGAACTCCCTTCAGGACAGGAGATAGAGGGTTCCTCCCGGTGACTGAGGAAAAAAACACAGTGGGTATTCAGCAATTGATAGGGAGAATCTTGTGGAAGCAGAGTTAGGAAAATTGCCTAATAATTGGTCTGCTCAAACCTGCGAGCTGTTTGCACTCAGCCAAACCTTAAAGTACTTACAGAATCAAAAAGACTCTATCTCAATCCCGACTCAAAAGGTTACCTACACCCTCTCTGAAACAAATTTGCCTAAGAACTGTTGTTTATGGGAATGCATGTTGATGGGGCAGCTGGGGTGTTATGAAATGCTCAGGAACCCAGCCCAGCTCTAGAATTCACCTCTGAGTGCAAAGGCAACGTTGGGCACGCTGGTAAAGGACCACTAGAATCCAGCAGCCGGACCCCTTTCTTTGTGGTCAAGAAAGGCGGGAAAACAGGTGCAGGACTGCTACATCAGTGAGCGTAACTAATCCGATAAGCAGAAGTCCATGGGTGGTTACACACCCTGGAAAGGAATAAGCATTAAGACCATAGAGGACGCTCTAGGACTAATGCTCATCAGAAAATGATTTGGGGTGCTGGCATCCCTATGTTCTTTTTTTCAGATGGGAAACATTCCCCCCAAGGCAAAGTACATCTCCTAAGATGTACTTTGGAGAATTGGGACCAATTTGACCCTCAAACGCTAAGAAAGAAATGACTTATATTCTTCTGCAGTACTGCCTGGCCACGATATCCTCATCAAGGGGGAGAAACCTGGCCTCCCGACGGAAGTATAAATTATAACATCTTACAGCTAGACCTCTTTTGTATAAAAAAAGAGGCAAATGGAGTGAAGTGCCATATGTACAAACTTTCTTTTCATTAAGAAACAAGTCACAATTATGTAAAAAGTGTGATTTATGCCCTACAGGAAGCCCTCAGAGTCTACCTCCCTATCCCGGTGTCCCCCCAGCTTCTTCCCCAACTAATAAGGACCCAAAAGGAGATAGACAAAGGGGTAAACAATGAACCAAAGAGTGCCAATATTTCCCGATTATGCCCCCTCCAAGCAGTGCGAGGAGGAGAATTCGGCCCAGTCAGAGTGCATGTACCTTTTTCTCTCTCAGACTTGAAGCAAATTAAAATAGACCGGGGCAAATTATCAGATAACCCTGATGGCTATATTGGTGGTTTACAAGGGTTAGGACAATCCTTTGATCTGACATGGAGAGATATAATGTTACTGCTAAATCAGACACTAACACCAAATGAGAGAAGGGCCGCCATAACTGCAGCCCGAGAGTTTGGTGATCTCTGGTATCTCAGTCAGGTCAATGATAGGATGACAACAGAGGAAAGAACAATTCCCCAAGGCCAGCAGGCAGTTCCCAGTGTAGACCCTCACTGGGACACAGAATCAGAACATGGAGATTGGTGCCACAGACATTTGCTAACTTGCGTGCTAGAAGGACTAAGGAAAACTAGGAAAAAGCCTACAAATTATTCAATGATGTCCACTATAACACAGGGAAAGGAAGAAAATCCTACTGCCCTTCTGGAGAGACTAAGGGAAGCACTGAGGAAGCATTCCTCCCTGTCACCTGGCTATTAAAGGCCAACTAATCTTAAATGATAAGTTTATCACTCAGTCAGCTGCAGACATTAGAAAAAAACTTCAGAAGTGTGCCTTAGGCCCTGAGCAAAACTTAGAAACCCTATTGAACTTGGCAATCTCGGTTTTTTATAATAGAAATCAGGAGGAGCAGGTGGAATGGGGCAAACGAGATAAGAAAAAGGCCACTGCTTTAGTCATGGCCCTCAGGCAAGCAGACTTTGGAGGCTCTGGAACAGAAAGGCTGGGCAAATCCAACGCCTAATAGGGCTTGCTTCCAGTGTGGTCTACAAGGACACTTTAAAAAAGATTGTCCAAATAGAAATAAGCCGCCCCCTCGTCCATGCCCCTTATGTAAAGGGAATCACTGGAAGGCCCACTGCCCCAGGGGACGAAGGTCCTCTGAGTCAGAAGCCACTAACCAGATGATCCAGCAGCAGGACTGAGGGTGCCTGGGGCAAGTGCCAGCCCATGCCATCGACCTCACAGAGCCCCGGGTATGCTTGACCATTGAGGGCCAGGAGGTTAACTGTCTCCTGGACACTGGCGCAGCCTTCTCAGTCTTACTCTCCTGTCCCGGACAACGGTCCTCCAAATCTGTCACTATCCGAGAGGTCCTAGGACAGCCAGTCACTAGATACTTCTCCCAGCCACTAAGTTGTGACTGGAGAACTTTACTCTTTTCACATGCTTTTCTAATTATCCCTGAAAGCCCCACTCCCTTGTTAGGGAGAGACATTCTAGCAAAAGCAAGGGTCATTATACACCTGAATATAGGACAAGGAACACCCGTTTATTGTCCCCTACTTGAGGAAGGAATTAATCCTGAAGTCTGGGGAACAGAAGGACAATATGGACAAGCGAAGAATTCCTGTCCCGTTCAAGTTAAAGGATTCCGCCTCCTTTCCCTGCCAAAGGAAGTACCCCCTTAGACCCGAGGCCCAACAAGGACTCCAAAAGATTGTTAAGGACCTAAAGCCCAAGGCCTAGTAAAATCATGCAGTAGCCCCTACAATACTCCAATTTTAGGAGTACAGAAACCCAACGGACAGTGGAGGTTAGTGCAAGATCTCAGGATTATCAATGAGGCCGTTGTCCCTCTATACCCAGCTATACCTAACCCTTATACTCTGCTTTCCTAAATGCCAGAGGAAGCAGAGTGGTTTACAGTTCTGGACCTTAAGGATGCCTTTTTCTGCATCCCTGTACATCCTGTCAATTTTTGTTTGCCTTTGAAGATCCTTCAAACCCAACGTCTCAACTCACCTGGACTGTTTTACCTCAAGGGTTCAGGGATAGCCCCCATCTATTTGGCCAGGCATTAGCCCAAGACTTGAGCCAGTTCTCATACTGAAGGACACTCTTGTCCTTCGGTACGTGGATAATTTACTTTTAGTCGCCCATTCAGAAACCTTGTGTCATCAAGCCACCCAAGCGCTTTTAAACTTCCTCGCCACTTGTGGCTACAAGGTTTCCAAACCAAAGGCTCAGCTCTGCTCACAGCAGGTTAAATACTTAGGGCTAAAATTATCCAAAAGCACCAAGGCGCTCAGCGAGGAACGTATCCAGCCTATATTGGCTTATCCTCATCCCAAAACCCTAAAGCAACTAAGAGGGTTCCGTGGCATAACAGGCTTCTGCTGAATATGGATTCCCAGGTATGGCGAAATAGCCAGGCCATTATATACACTAATTAAGGAAACTCAGAAAGCCAATACCCATTTAGTCAGATGTACGCCTAAAGCAAAAGCGGCTTTCCAGGCCCTAAAGAAGGCCCTAACCCAAGCCCCAGTGTTAAGCTTGCCAACAGGCCAAGACTTTTCTTTACATGTAACAGAAAAAAAACAGGAATAGCTCTAGGAGTCCTTACACAGGTCCGAGGGACCAGCTTGCAACCTGTGGCATACCTGAGTAAGGAAACTGATGTAGTGGCAAAGGGTTAGCCTCATTGTTTATGGGCAGTGGCAGCAGTAGCAGTCTTAGGATCTGAAGCAGTTAAAATAATACAGGGAAGAGATCTTACTGTGTGGACATCTCATAATGTAAACAGCATACTCACTGCTAAAAGAGACTTGTGGCTGTCAGACAACCATTTGCTTAAATATCAGGCTCTATTAAAGAGCCAGTGCTGCAACTGTGCACTTGTGCAACTCTTAATCCAGCCACATTTCTTCCAGACAATAAAAAAAAGAACATAACTGTCAACAGGTGATTGCTCACACCTACGCCGCTTAAGGGGACCTTCTAGAGGTTCCCTTGACTGATCCCGACCTCAACTTGTATACTGATGGAAGTTCCTTTGTAGAAAAAGGACTTCGAAAAGCAGGGTACGCAGTGCTCAGTGATAATGGAATACTTCAAAGTAACCCCCTCACTCCAGGAACTAGCGCTCAGCTGGCAGAACTAACAGACCTCATTCAGGCACTAGAATTAGAAGGAAAAAGGGTAAATATATATACAGACACTAATATGCTTACCTAGTCCTCCATGACCACGCAGCAATATGGAGAGAAAGGGAATTCCTAACTTCCAAGGAACACCTATCAAACATCAGGAAGCCATTAGGAGATTATTCTTGGCTGTACAGAAACCTAAAGAGGTGGCAGTCTTAAACTGCCGGGGTCATCAGAAAGAAAAGGAAAGGGAAGTAGAAGGGAACCACCAAGACGACACTGAAGCCAAAAGAGCCGCAAGGCAGGACCCTCCATTAGAAATGCTTATAGAAGGACCCTAGCATGGGGTAATCCCCTCCGGGAAACCAAGCCCCAGTACTCAGAAGAAGAAATAGAATGGGGAACCTCACGAGGATGTAGTTTCCTCCCCTCAGGATGGCTAGCCACCAAAGAAGGAAAAATACTTTTGCCTGCAGCCAACCAATGGTAGTTACTTAAAACCCTTCACCAAACCTTTCACTCTCGCTGCACCTCCTCCTTGCCGCTGTACTACCAGTAGCTCCCTTTACCAAGAGCTTCTATGGAGAATGCAGCTTCCCAGAAATATTGACGCCCCATTGTAGTTTTTCTAAAGGAAACCCCACTTTCACCACCCACACCCATATGCCCCTGCACTTCAGGTCATACATTTCAATTCCTGTATCTTTAACCTCCTTGTTAAGTTTGTCTCTTCCAGAATCAAAGCTATAAAACTACAAATGGTTCTTCAAATGGGGCCCCAGATGCAGTCCATGACTAAGATCTACCGCAGACCCCTGGACCGGCCTGCTAGCCCATGCTCCGATGTTAATGACATCGAAGGCACCCCTCCCGAGGAAATCTCGACTGCACGACCCCTACTATACCCCAATTCAGCAGGAAGCAGTTAAAAGCAGTCGTCAGCCAACCTCCCCAACAGCACTTGGGTTTTCCTGTTGAGAGGGGGGACTGACAGACAGGACTAGCTGGATTTCCTAGGCCAACTAAGAATTCCTAAGCCTAGCTGGGAGAGGTGACTGCACTCACCTTTAAACACAGGGCTTGTAACTCAGCTCACACCCGACCAATCAGGTAGTAAACAGGGCTCACTAAAAGACAAATTAGGCTAAAGCAGGCGGTAAAGAAATAGTCAAATCATATTATCGCCTGAAGAGCACAGGGGGAGGGGCAATGATCGGTATATAAACCCCAGGCATTTGAGCAGGGAGCGACAATCCCCTTTGGGTCCCCTCCCATTTTATGGGAGCTCTGTTTTCGCTCTATTAAATCTTGCAACTGAAACAAAAAAAGATCTAAATAAAATATGAAAAAAACAAATTCGGTAATTTTTGAAAGAACAGTAAGCTATCCAAAGAAGGTTTATTTTTAAAATGCAAAGGGCAATTTGGAAAAACAAATTCTTTTTTTTTTTTTTTTTTTGCTATCTCCCCCTCACCCTCTCGTCTCAACCACCTGAGTTAACCGGGTTTACAGGCATGTGCCAGCATGCCAAGCTAATTTTTGTATTTTTTGTAGAGATAGAGTTTAGCCATGTTGCCCAGGCTGCTCTCAAACTCCCGAGCTCAAGGCCCACCCTGGCCTCCCAAAGTGCTGGGATTACAGGAATAAGCCACTGCACCCGGCCAGAAAAATTATTTTTAATCTAAAATATATCAACATAATCCATCACACCAAGAAATTAAAGGTCTTAAGGATCCTTATTAGGATAGCTAAATAAAACTGAGCTGTGAACCTTTCTGGTCCTAAATTAAAGATGCCAAGATGGCACAGCAAAAGAAACTACCATCAGAGTGAACAGGCAACCTACAGAATGGGAGAAAATTTTTGCAATCTACTCATCTGACAAAGGGCTAACATCCAGAATCTACAAAGAACTCAAACAAATTTACAAGAAAAAAACAACCCTATCAACAAGTGGGCGAAGGATATGAACAGACACTTCTCAAAAGAAGTCATTTATGCAGCCAACATACACATGAAAAAATGCTCATCATCACTGGCCATCAGAGAAATGCAAATCAATAACCACAATAAGATACCATCTCACACCAGTTACAATGGCGATCATTAAAAAGTCAGGAAACAACAGGTGCTGGAGAGGACGTGGAGAAATAGGAATGCTTTTACACTGTTGGTGAGACTGTAAAGTAGTTCAACCATTGTGGAAGACAGTGTGGCAATTCCTCAGGGACCTATAACTAGAAATACCATTTGACCCAGCCATCCCATTACTGGGTATGTATCCAAAGGATTATAAATGCTGCTGCTATAAAGACACATGTACACGTATGTTTATTGTGGCACTATTCACAATAGCAAAGACTTGGAACCAACCCAAATGTCCATCAATGATAGACTGGATTAAGAAAATGTGGCACATATACACCATGGAATACTATGTAGCCATAAAAAAGGATGAGTTCATGTCCTTTGTAGGGACATGGATGAAACTGGAAACCATCATTCTCAGCAAACTATCGCAAGGACAAAAACCAAACACCGCATGTTCTTACTCATAGGTGGGAATTGAACAATGAGAACACTTGGACACAGGAAGGGGATCATCACACACGGGGGCCTGTTGTGGGGTAGGGGAAGGGGGAGGGATAGCATTAGGAGATATACCTAATGTAAATGACGAGTTAATGGGTGCAGCACACCAACATGGCACACGTATGCATATGTAACAAACCTGCACGTTGTGCACATGTACCCTAGAACTTAAAGTATAATAAAAATAAATAAAAAATAAAGATGCCAAGATGGCACAGGATAAAATCTGACAATCATCCCTCCTAAACACTCTAATAGAATCTCTAATAGAATCAATCTCCTTAAATATAGTATCCTAAATAGCAAAACACTAAACCTATTTCAGTGGAAATCAGAAACTAGACAGAAATCACTGCAATCCTTATTGCTTAACACTATACTGGAGGTTCTAAAGCAGTGGTTCTCAACTGGGGAGAATCTGGAAATTGTATGGTGGCATTTCTGCTTGTTTGAGATCTGGGGCGGACATATTGGCATTTAGTAGTCGTTGGTCAGAAATGCTATGCAAAAGACAAAACTGCCCAATTTAAAACTAAGCAAATATAATGAAGAGCAATACATACACAAGTAAATACAAATGACCAAATAAACTATGAAAAGATTCTCTCATCGTTCATGGTGAGAAAAATACAAATTAAAATAGCCATAAGATAGCAATTAATTCTCATCTGATTGGAAAAAAAATTGCAAGTTGAAATGCAAAAAGTTATGGGCTTTTTAAAAAGTAATCTGATTGATTATTTAGAGACGGAGTCTTGCTCTGTTGCCCAGGCTGAAGTGCAGTGACACGACCTTGGCTCACTGCAACCTCTACCTCCCAGGTTCAAGTGATTCTCCTGTCTCAGCCTCCTGAGTAGCTGGGACTACAGGTGGCTGCCACCATGCCCAGCTAATTTTTGTATTTTTAGTAGAGATGGGGTTTCACCATGTTGCCCTTTGGTCTCAAACTCCTGACCTCAAGTGATCCTCCCACCTCAGCCTCCCAAAGTGCTGGGATTACAGCATGAGCCACTGTGCCTGGCCATACATTTTTTTAAATATGTATTTTGTTCCATCAATTCCAACCTTGATGAGACTTATCAAGACAAAGGCACCAGTATATAAAGCAAAGCATATTCACAGGATGTTTATAGTATTATTGCTCACAATAGTAAAACACTGAATACAAATTGCAATTCAATTCTGGCAAACAAGGTAGAGAGGCTCTTGCTCTATCAGATATCTACCCATAGTACCAAAAGAATAAAGACTGGTATTCATACATAAAAAGCACGATACAATAGACTAAGGGACCTTGCAATAGACCAATGCACATATGGAAATTAAACACGTTACAAAGTAGTAATAAACAGACTATTCAATAAGTAGTGTTCAGACAACCGGTTATTCATTTCGAAAAAAGAAAACAGGATCTCCTTCATGATGCTGAACAGCAAAATCAATTTCAGGTAGATTAAAGTCCTAAACACGGAAAAGCTTTTAGAAGACTATTCAAGAACTGAACATGACCAAAGGGTGGAGAAGAATTTCTTCAATTTAAAAATAGTAGAGAATATAAAGAAATAGATGAATATGCTTGACATTAAAAGGGACAATTTTTGTCCATCAAAATCTATAATCAAAAAAAAGAAGAAGAAATACCACAGACTGGGATGAAAATACTGTACTTACAATTCATATAACTGACAGAAGAATTTGAAGTCAGATTAGATAAATCTGGTCAGGTGCAGTGGCTCAAACCTGTAATCACTGGACTCTGGGAGGCTGAGATGGGAGGATCACTTGAGGCTAAGAGTTCAAGACTAGCCTGGGTAACATAGCAAGACTTCACCTCGATAAAAAATAAGGTATTTTTATAAAGGAAAAAAAGAAAAAGAGCCTGCAGATCAATACAAAAAAGGAAAAAAAAAATCTCGATTAAAAAAGGACACAAAGGACCTGAACAGGCAATTCATAGATGAGATACCAGAATATGCACTAAAAAAAAGCAAACAGATGCATAATCTCAACAGTGAGAGATAAATTAAAATAATGACATGACAGGCCAGGCGCAGTGGCTCACGCCTGTAATCCCAGCTCTCAGGGAGGCAAGAGGCAGGAGGATAGCTTGAGCCCAGGAGTTCGAGACCTGCCTGGGCAATATAGCGAGACCCCATTCTCCAGAAAAAGGAAAAAAAAAAAAAAGACAAAAGTTCACATTATTTTGGCAGGTTTAATGTCTACCGACCTTACAGGTTGGCAAGAAGTTGGCACTATAAGAAACTATTCAATGAGGAGAAATTCTAAGGTAGTATGCTCACTTTGGAGAATCATTTGGCAATATCTAGTAGAGCTGAAGTTATTGTAATACACTACAACACAGAAATCCCACTTCTGGGTGAATGGGCTAACCCAGAAATACTCTTGACGATGTATCTAAGGATGAAGTTTTATAACATAAAATAATAACTAGTTTAGGAATACAGACAGAAGAACTAAAAGTACATTATAGGAAAGATAAATACCAAGTTCAGGATGTGGGGAAGAGAGAAGAAAATGATCAGAGAGAGTAAACAGATAACTATATTGACAACTTATTTCTAAAGCTGGTTAATGGGTGCAAAGGAATCCTTTATACCTTTTTGTAAGCCTCAATGATCTCAAAACAACTTTTTTTTTTTTTTTTTTTGAGACAGGGTCTTGCTGTGTCACCTAGGCCAGAATGCAGCCTCCCAAGTAGCTGGGACCAGAGGTGTGAATCACCACGTCTGGCTTATTTAATTAATTAATTTTTTATAGAGATGGGGTCTCTCTACATTGTTCAGGCTGGTCTCAAACCTCAGGGCTCAAGCCATTCTCTTGCCTCGGCATCCCAAAGTGTTGGGTGGGGGACTACAGGACTGAGCCACAGCACCTGACCTCAAAACAAACTTAATGAAAAAAGTATACTTCTTAATATAAAACTAAGTTACTTTCTAAAGTTCCTTTTGCCTGAACTATGAAGAGTAACTATTAATTAAATCTCAATGTAGTAAAGTAAAAGTGACTCATAAAAGAAAAGATGCCATTTAGCTCTCTTCTAGCTAGTCAGCAGGACGTGTTATAATGAAAAATTAAAATGAGACATGAAGAGCTAATTCAAGGAGGCAGAAGTCATTTTTCAAGAATAGGAAGTAGGCTGGGCACGGTGGCTCACACCTGGTGGCTTCCAGCAATTTGGGAGGCTGATCACTTGAGGCCAGGAGTTCAAGACCAGCCTGGTCAACATGGTGAAACCCCATCTCTACTAAAAATACAAAAATTAGCCCAGCATTGGGGTGCACACCTGTAGTCCCAGCTACTCAGGAGGCTGAGGCACGAGAATTGCTTGAACCTGGGAGGCAGAGGTTGCAGTGAGCTGAGATCACACCACCGTACTTCAGCCTGGGTGGCAGAGCAAGACTCCATCAGAAAAAAAAAAAAAAAAAAAAAAAAAGTAGAAAGTAAAATTAATATAACCAATATCTTTCAAATCTTCACTGTGTTCTTACTCTATCATGTATTCTGAATAAGCCACCATATTGAATTTCATACTTATCAATATATTGCCTTTTCTTTAGTTTTACTAAATGTTTGTATTCCCAACACTGCATTGTTTAGTTTTGCATATATTTAAATTTTATATAAATGCAATACATGTATTCTCTTCTTTGACTTGCCTTTTTAAATGAACATTATGTTTCTGAGATTCATCCATGTGATTATAGATCTCAGAGAGATAAGTAGGAATCTGGGGCCTGGTAGCCAGGGCAAGAACTTAAAATTTTTCTGGGAATGAAACTGGGGAGCTATTGGAGGAATTTTTTTTATTTTTGTTTTTGAGACAGGCTGGAGTGCAGTGGTACGATCATGGTTCACTGCAGCCTCGACCGCCCAGGCTCAAGCAATCTTTCTGCCTTAGCTTCCTGAGCAGCTGGGACCACAGGTGCATGCCATGATGCCCAGCTAATTTTTTTTTTTTTTTTTTGAGGCAGAGTCTCACTCTGTTGCCCAGGCTGGAGTGCAGTGGTGCAATCTTGACTCACTGCAACCTCTGTCTCCTGGTTCAAGAGATTCTCATGCCTCAGCCTCCAGAGTAGCCGGGACTAAACAGGAATGTGCCACTGCACCTGGCCAACTTTATATTTTTAGTAGAGATGGGGTTTCACCATGTTAGCCAGGCTAGTCTTGAACTCCTGGCCTCAAGTGATCCATCGACCTTGGCCTACGAAAGTGCTGGAATTACAGGTTTGGGCCACCAAGCTTGGCCCCAGCTAATTTATTTTTATATTTTGTAGAGACAGGGTCTCTCCCTCGATTGCCCAGGCTGGTTTTGAACCTTGAGGTCAGGATGATCTTCCTGCCTCAGCCTCCCCAAGTGTTGGGATTACCAGTGTGAGCCATTGTGCCCGGCCCTATCGGAGGATTTTGAGCAAAGGCTGATTTGACTTGCAATGTAAAAGCATCCGTCATATCACTGCGGTGTTAGGAAGAGATTAGGAGGGAAGGGTAGAAGCAAGAAGACCCCTTAAGGGGCTACTGTAGGTAATCCAAATAAGAGAAGGTGGTATTAGGAGTGCAGATGGTAAAAAATGGTCAGATTTGGAAACATTCTGAGTAGAGATTTCAAGGGGTTCCTGACAATTTGAATATGAGGTATAAGAAAAGAGAGGGACCAGGATGCCTCTAAGGATTTGGGTCTAAATCAGAAAAACAGAGCTGTCATTAACCAATAGAGAGAGGCTGGATGTGGTGGCTCTCATCTATAATCCCACAAGTTTAGAAGGCCAATGAAGGAGGATTACTTGAGCCCAGGAGTTTGAAACCAGCCTGAGCAACATAGGGAGACCCTATCTCTACAAAAAAAAAAAAATGTAAAAAATTAGCCCGGCGCTGGGTGTGGTGGCTCATGCCTGTAATCCCAGCATTCTGGGAGGCCGAGGCAGGCATATCACCTAGGTCAGAGGTTTGAGACCAGCCTGGTCAACATGGTGAAACTCCGTCTTTACTAAAAATAAAAAAATTAGCTGGGCATGGTAGCAGGTGCCTGTAGTCCCAGCTACTCAGGAGGCTAAGGCAGGAGAATCACTTGAACTCATGAGGTGGAGGTTGCAGTGAGCTGAGATTGCACCACTGCATTCCAGCCTGGGTGACAGAGTGAGGCTCGTTTCAAAAAATAAAATAATTAGACGGGCATGGTGGCATGTGCCTGTGGTCTCGGCTACTTAGGAGGCTGAAGCAGGAGGATCGCTTGAGCCTGGGAGGTTGAGGCTGCAGTGAGCTGTGATCCTGCCACTGCACTCCAGCCTGGGAGACAGACAAGACCCCATCATTCACTCACTCATACATACATACATATATACATATATAAGAATAAAATGATAAGGAGATAACTACAGGTAGAACACATTGTAAGGAGTTCAGTTTTGGAGATACTGAGTAAGCAATTCCTTATATAAACCTGGAGGTGGAGCAGGGAAAAAAGCCTAAATTGGAGATAGAAATTTGGAAATAATAAACATACAAATGGTATTTAAAGTCATGAGCTGTACAAGATTACTAAGGAAGTGATATAAACAGAGAAGAGGAGGATAAAAACCCAAAGCCTAAGCTCTGATGTACCTAACAATAAGAGATCTGAGAAAATACATATTTAAGAAAATCAAAATCAGCAATCTTGTTTGGACCAATGGGTAAAATGGGTTATGACATCTTATAGGAACTCCAATTATATACAAAATAAGTACATCACCAAAGAGGGAATCTCTTAACTTTTGTCAGATAACCAATACATGTGTAAATTGGGTTACAAATTGAGAACGGGTGAAGGCAGATTTAATATGATTCAGTGAAACAGAATTATATTACTAGAAAAATAACTCAAGAGTTTAATTACATTGATGGCATGTGTAAAAATCATATTTACATGTAAAAGGAAATACGTTTTTCAACTTATTAAGAAGGTCTAGAGTTACATACATATGAATACTCACTGGACAATTATAAATGTTACTTTATATACTAGAAAGATAATTGCATTATTTTTACCTAATGAGCAGTTGCTTTGCATTCTCCCATCTGTTGAACAACGTAACATGGTGCCAACCACACGGCCTCCCACGACAATGACACGTACATCCCGTCCATGAGACTCTTTAACATACTTCTGGAACAGGTATGGCGCTTCATGGCGAATAAGATGGCTTAGATCAGCCAAATGGTGCTTATCTCGAGCCAAGAAAACAGCTTTACCTATGATTGAAAAGAATAAAAATACATGTTAAGTCATCAATTGTGGGCAGATGATACCTATTATCTGAATCTTCTTGTATCACAATCTGCTATTTCAGAACCAACTACATTTTTTTTTTAAGTTTTCTTTGTTAGAACTGTTTTAACAGTGAAATAATACAAAAATATATAAAGACAAGGTAAATAGTCTCCTTTTACTACTCCCTAAACTCTTTCATGACAAACTAAAATTTATTTTGATATATGCTGAGGCAGGGGTCTAGATTTGTACTTCTCCCCAGGTTAGCCAATAATGAAACCTTATTCACTAGCAAATCTTTTTATCTCTGAATTAAAACATGTGTGATATATTATTATAGAATACATTAATATACGATATTAGGATATAGTAATATAGCAGTATGTTACCTCAATTTATTTCTGAATTCTCTAGCCTGTTCCACTGCTCTATTTGTCTATTTCTGTGCCAACGGAAGTGGCTGTTTTTGATATATGGTTCTAAATTCTTCCCATGGTGGGGAGGGGAAAGGAGGGATACTGAATCTATGTCACTTCTGGCTGAATCTAGGAGGGCTTGTGATTGCTCCAAACAAGAGAATATAGCAGAAGTAATTCTATTATGACTTATGAGGGTAGACCATAAAAGGTCATACAGATTCTTTGTTCACTTTAGCATTCACTGCAGGAGGCCTGAGACTCTTGGCTGCTCTACTGGAGAAGCCAAATATAAAGAATCCAGTCAATAGTTCCAGTTGAACTCTGATCCAGCCATCCCTGCCGAAACACAAAATATGTCACTGTACTCAGACTGATATATCATTTTATGCCTTAAAATCCTACCTTAGGCTGGGCGCAGTGGCTCACACCTGTAATACCAACACTTGGGGAGGCCGAGGCAGGTGGATCACCAGAAGTCAGGAGTTCGAGACCAGCCTGGCCAACATGGTGAAACCCCGTCTCTACTAAAAATAGAAAAAACAAAGTAGCTGGGCGTGGTGGCAGATGCCTGTAATTCCAGCTACTTGGGAGGCTGAGGCAGGAGAATCGCTTGAATCTGGGAGACAGAGGTTGCAGTGAGCTGAAATCACGCCACTGCACTCCAGCCTGGGCAACAAGAGCAAAACTCCATCTCAAAAAAAAAACAAAAAACAAACAATAACAACAACAACAACAACCTACCTAAACTACCTTAATTCAAAGTCATTAAGATATTTTCATATGCCATCTTGTAAAGTGTTATAGTTTTACCTTACGCATTTAAGTCTTCAAACTATATATCTTTAGAGGGCAATGACTGGAGTTAGTGATCTAAGGTCTTATTGTTTCTTTGCCCTTTTTTAGACACAGTCTGGCTCTATCGACCAGGTTGGAGTGCAGTGGTGTGATCTCGGCTCACTGCAACCTCCGCCTCCCGGGTTCAAGCAATTCTCTTCCCTCAGCCTCCCGAGTAGTTGGGATTACAGGCGTATGCCACCACATCTGGCTAATTTTTGTATTTTTAGTTGAGGCGAGGTTTCACCACATTGGCCAGCTGGTCTTGAACTCCTGACCTCAGGCGATCCGCCTGCCTTAGCCTCCCAAAGTGCTGGGATTACGGGCGGTCTTTACATTATTGAGGAAGATACAGACATTAACTTGAGACTCAGTCTAAGTATGTATGTTAAAATCTCTAGGTAACCACTAAACAAATAGCTTTTAGCCAAACTGAACAACTCATAGTAGCCTTCTGTAAGTCTGAGGTATCATGCATCTAACAATTTCCCTCTAACTATTCTTCAAAGTCACTCCATATTAATAAGCAAGAATAGTTTCAAAACTATATACCTTACCAACAACTCATACATACCTCTGTGACCCCGCGTATTCTTTACTACCATTGGGAACTCCAGAACTTCAGCCTCATCAATCATTTTAGCAAAATTTTCGTGGCCACCTGGTTTGAGCAATACAAAAATTTAAGACAAACAGCAGCAGAAGTATTTTGTGATCAATTTTATCAACGCTAAAGACAACCAACAGCACAAGGAAGTTGAAGGTAAGAGCCTGATGGCTAACTTTTTTTCTTGGAGAAAGTATGTGTAAGTTGAAAATATAACAGAATATCAGTTTAAAACAAATAATAGCTCCCTTAATCTATACATATTCTGATATCTAACTTAAGTATCTTTCAGCTAAAGAGTTTCCTAATTCTATGCCATTTCTCATGTTTTTATCCTTATTATTCTCCCACACAAATAACAGAAGCCCCAAGATTTACTTTAATATATTCAATTCCCTGCTTGGATTAAGGAACTGAAGAATGAGTTGGTTAAGATCTATCCAAGGTTGAAGAGATGCTGCACACACTGACACATTCTCTTTTTATTATCAACAAACACACACACACCAATTTTTCTTATCTCCATTACTAATCAGAGTTCTTTCTACACTAGGGTAACTAAGCATCCTGGGTTAAGTCTCCTTTCTTATTCTTTTTATTGCCCAAAAACAAATGATACAATAACAAGGTTAGAGCAAAAATAGACTGTAGCTACAAAAATCAGCATGATTAGAGAGAAAAGCTGAGACAGGAAAAAGTCCATTAAACAAGTGAAATACGAGAAATGTGTAGCGTTGCAAAATTATGACTTGGTCACCAAATTTTAATCCTTCATCAATAGAACAAAGGTAATACTTGTTAATTTGGTTAACCTTTTTTTCCTTCTTTCCATTCTCATAAAATCAAAATTGTACAATCATGTTATAAACTATTAATATCCCCAAAGCACTAAAAACACAGAATTCTCAACTTATATTAATTCTGTCTCTTCTTATGCAATTGCTAAAAACAGAAACTGCGTCCACACATGCCATACAGGCTTGGTGGGGGTTGAGGGGGAAGAGTTCCTTTTTTTTAAAATATTAACAATAAGGAGAGGACAAGGGTTCCTTTGTAAAGCCTCATGAAATCTCCAAGCACTCTACTGGATATTTATTTGGAGAAATACCTTTATGGAAAACTCTGATTTAAGTTTGATCTTTTCCAAACAAGAAAATTAAAGGCAGGAAATACATTAGCAAAATATTGTTTAAAGCAGTGCTACTCAGAATGTGGTCCTGTAACCTATGCCTGGATAGGACTTGTTCACTACTGTTATGTGGTCAGATAAATACAAAAAGGGTAGGCAGCAGAAGCTTTTATAGCAATCTGGCACTGCTGTGATCATTTTATTATATTTTACATGAGTATTAATCTACCACAGATTGATCTTTTAAAAAAAAAAACCCTTTTACCAGAAGTTCGAAAGCATTGCTACACCTACTAAAGTGTTACTTTCTTTAAAAACATTAAAATATTTGAGTTATCAAAATGGTAATGAAGAAAATGAAAAACTAATGTCATAAAATTAGAATTATCTTTTACCACAGAGGTTGGCAAACTAAGGCCTGTGGGTCAAATTTGACCTATCAGCTGTTTTTATAATAATAAAGTTTCATCGGAACAAAGCTACTCATTTGTTTAAGCATTGTCTATAACAGCTTTCATGCTACAACAGCATTACGGAGGGTTACCAGAGAACTTAATGGCTTATAAAACCTAAAATACTTACAATCTTGCCCTTTACAGAAAAAGTTTTCTAACCCTATTTTCCCCCATAATATGAAACAAATCTTAAGATATAATTTATAATTATCCTGTCCAGTGTGTTAAAACTGAAAGACACTTCTATAAGGTGTTCTTTCATGTCTGTAAATTTATCCTATTAAAACTATCAGTGGTTAATATTCAGGCTATGTATGCTCTTTAGTAGGCTCACCATAAGAGAAAGTATCCGGCAGAGGAACACCATGGCCAGCCAACTCTTGAAATGTCCAGAACTTATTAACGCAGTTCAGGATGGCTTGAGGTCGGTTCATTAACCGACATCCCATCTTCTCTAGATGGCGCAAAACAGTGATGTCACTATCACTTTGCACCCAAGGGGTTGGTACTCTGACTACCACCACTTGTGGGTAGGCAGTGATTAGCTCTCCATTGATCCGCAGACCTGAAATATATAAATACAAGACCAACACAATTAGAGGGAAATATACAACAAAATAGAGGAATAGTAATACGCCAAAGTTTGGATCACAAAATGAAATGTACTATTTTGTTAATATTAAATTGGGATAGAGATACTCCTAAGAAAAAAGAAAATTTAATTAGAAAAATCTCTGATTAAAGAAATTATAGTACACATCACTACAATGAATTACCACATAGCCATTAAAAAGAATGTCATAAACATATATGTTCAGAGATGAACAAATGCCCAGATACATAATGCTGAGTTTTTATTTTAAAGGGCAAATCTGAGAAAAAGTTTTATTTGTGCATACACATAAAAAATACCTAAGTGGGCCGGGTGCAGTGGCTCATGCCGTAATCCCAACACTTTGGGATGCCAAGGTGGGTGGATCACGAGGTCAAGAGATCAAGGCCATCCTGGCCAACATGGTGAAACCCCAACTCTACTAAAAATACAAAAACTAACTGGGTGTGGTGGCAGGCACCTCTAATCCCAGCTACTCGGGAGGCTGAGGCAGGAGAATCACTTGAACCAGGCAGGTGGAGGTTGCAGTGACCAGAGATAGTGCCACTGCACTCCAGCCTGGTGACACAGAGAGACTCAAAAAAAAAAAAAAAATCTAAGTGGTTTAACAATTTAAACTGGCTTCCTCTGAATATGACTGGGTGTCAAGACAGGAAAAAGGTTGAAGAGAAAAGTTTAATATTGTGCCCTATGCAATTCTCAATCTATATTATGTTTTGTATGTTTTTTAAAAAGTGAGAACATATGCCTCTATAATGAAAAAAGAAAATAATTTTTTAAAATAAATGTTTCTTGAACATTTATCCAATACCATTCTATTTAGGAAGACCCCAAATAATACACAAACAAGGTATTTATATGAGTTGCTTCTTTTTTTGAGACAAAGGCTCACTGTCACCCAGGCTGGAGTGCAGTGGCATGGTCTCAGCTCACTGCAACCTCTGCTTCCTGGGTTCAAGCAATTCTCCTGCCTCAGCCTCCAGAGTGGCTGGGACTACAGGCGTCCGCCACCATGCCTGGCAAATTTTTTTGTATTTTTAGTAGAGATGGAGTTTTACCATGTTGGCCAGGATGGTCTTAAACTTCTGACATTGTGATCTGCCTGCCTCGGCCTCCCAAAATGCTTACAGGCATGAGCCACCACGGCCGCCCCGAGTTTCTTCTTAAACCCTATTTTCATTAAAAAAAAAATTATATATATATAAAAAATATATAAATTGTGTATGAATATAAATTTTGTGTATATATATATATGCACACACACACACACACACACACACACACACACACACACGAATAATCCCACCTTGTCTGTGGGGGACGTTTCAAAACCCTCAATGGATGCTTGGAACTGTGGAAAGCCTAAACTGTAAGAACTATATATACTGTTTTTTTTCCTATACACACATACCTGTGATAAAGTTTAATTTATAAATTAGGCATAGTAAGAAATAATAACTAGTAAAACTGGACAATTATAACAATTACTGTAATAAGAGTTATGTAAATGTCCTTTTCTCTCAAAATCTTATTGTACTGTACCATGGGTAACTGAAAACTGCAGAATGCAAAACCATGGGAAGCAAAACTGTGGCTAGGGAAGACTACTATAGTTGTTTAAAACATTCAAACACAAAAATACAGAACATATTCACCTTCCATACAACATTCTAGGTACTTAAGGTTATTAGTATGTATTTTCCCTACTGTCATCTAAGTATACAGAAACATATATAGATATATAATCACTTAAAGTTATTGGCTGGGTGGTGGCTCACACCTGTAATCCCAGCACTTTGGGAGGCAGAGGCGGGTGAATCACCTGAGGTTGGGAGTTTGAGACCAGCCTGGCCAACATGGTGAAACCCCATCTCTACTAAAAATACAAAAATTAGCCAGGTGTGGTGGTGCATGCCTGTAATCTCAGCTACTCGGGAGGCTAAGGCTGGAGAATCGCTTCAACTCGGGAGGCGGAGGTTGCAGTAAACTGAGATTGTGCCACTGCACTCCAGCCTGGACAATAGAGTGAGACTCTGTCTCAAAAAAAAAAAAAATTGTACCAGAGACATCTTTCTGTATCAGAGTATATATAGCTTTATTTCATTACTTTAGGTGGGCTGAATGGAATTACATTTTATAGATACACCATATGATCAATTCCTTACTAATAATTGATATTCATCCAGTAAATATTAAGTACTATGTGTCAGATTCTTTTCTATATGGTCAAAATAGATTAATAAATAAAATAAGGTCCTTGCTCTCAAGAAGCTTTCTAGTGGGAGACAGACAGTATATTAATTTTTATGGTATTAACTTTTAAACATGGTAATAGTTCTGATGGAAGAAAAATCAGGGAGGTAGAACTAATGGCAAAATTAAGGCATAAACCATGAGCCGGGGGTGTGTGTGTTTAAAAAAAAGAGAGAAAGGACAATTCAAATGTAAGGCAGAGCATAAATCACGGGGCAAAAATGTTAACAATATGCGTGTCTCTCTGCGATTTGTATTGATGGTATTGATGTACAGTAAAAGATATGGTTGGTCAGGTAAAGTGTCAAATATGCAAAGCCGTATGTTCTGAACTAAAGAATTTATATCTGTTCTGATTAGGAGAACTGAGAGTCTGTGCTGGATATTGCCTGCTGATAGTCCATGCCATCCCATCTTTCAATTCTTCCCCTGTACGTATAGTAGGGACCAGAAGCATTTTCCATATACTCCTCATTCCATCTTGAGAATCCACCACCAAGATGACAATTATACAAAATTTTGGCCAGGCCTGGTGGCTTACTCTGTAATCCCAGCACTTTGGGAAGCAGAGGGAAAAGGATTGCTTGAGATTAGGAATTCGAAACTAGCCTAGGCAACATGAGATCCACGTCTCTACAAAAAAACTTAAAAAATTAGCCAGGTGTGGTTGTGTGTGTCTGTAGCCCTAGTTACTCAGAAGGCTGAGGTAGGAGGATAATTTGAGCCCAGGAGTTTAAGACTGCAGTGACCTATGATCAACCTGGAGGACAAAGACCCTGACCCTAAAAGGGAAAAAAAAAGTTTTTTGAAGGTGAAAAAAGTAGAAATTATTCTCCAGGAGCACCCATGGGTAGGTATGTGGTCATCAGCAGATGTGAGGTTTGCCTGTGGCTAACACCATTCTCCTCACAATCATTTGTTACGAGCATCTTGATATCTTTTTCTTTTTTTTTTTTTTTTTTGAGACAGAGTCTCAACTCTGTCGCCCAGGCTGGAGTGCAGTGGCACTATCTTGGCTCACTGCAACCTCTGCCTCCTGGGTTCAAGCAATTCTCCTGCCTCAGCCTCCTAAGTAGCTGGGACCACAGGCATGCACCACCGCGCCCGGCTACTTGTTTGTATTTTTTAGAGATGGGGTTTCACCATGTTGGCCAGGCTGGTCTCAAACTCCTGACCTCAGGTGATCTGCACACCTCAGCCTCCCAAAGTGCTGGGATTACAGGCATGAGCTCCCGGCCCTTGATATCATTTCTTAGGCGTTAGCAGTGACTTGCCTAGATAAGCAAATCTAAAGAGCATTCTAAAAATTGAAAAAAACCTCGGCGCCAGTTTGAGGATGAAAAATTTTGAGATAAGGATATAGAGAATGGGAATGTTAAGAAGGGAAGCTGGTTTGGGGCAGAAGATGTTGGATTTGGATCTAGATAGGAAAGACGTTGGTAATGACATAAGGATTTTAAAGTAGAATTACTGTACTTGAAATGTAGACTGGAACTATACATATATGTATACAGTCATACTGGTGGAGTGAAAACTGTGTATTTATGTTTAAATATTAATTTATGGGGTCAGGCTCAGTGGCTCACGCCTGTAATCCCAGCACTTTAGGAAGCCGAGGTGGGTGGATCACCTGAGGTCAGGAGTTCAAAACCAGTCTGGCCAACATGGTGAAACCCTGTCTGTACTAAAAATAGAACAATTAGCCAGGCATGGTGGCAGGCGCCTGTAATCCCAGCTACTTGAGAGGCGGAGGCAGGAGAATCACTTGTACCTACGAGGCAGAGGTTGCACTGAGCTGAGATCCAGCCACTGCACTCCAGCCTCGGCGACAGAGTGAACTTCTGTGTTTAAAAAAAAAAAAAAAAAAGGCTGGGTGCAGTGGCTCACGCCTGTAATCCTAGCACTTTGGGAGGCTGAGGAGGGTGGATTACCTGAGGTCAGGAGTTCAAGACCAGCCTGACCAACATGGAGAAACCCCATCTTTACTAAAAATACAAAATTAGCCAGGCATGGTGGCTCATGCATAAAATCCCAGCTACTTGGGAAGCTGAGGTAGAAGAACTGCTTGAACCAGGGAGGCGGAGGTTGCGGTGAGCCAAGATCCTGCCATTGCATTCCAGCCTGGGCAACAAGAGTGAAACACCATCTCAAAAAAAAAATTTACGGGAATCAGCCTGAGAACAGCTAAAGAAATAGGAATATATAAGTTGAAAATATGAAAGTAAAAAAGGGACACCTAGGACCTCAATAAGAGCCAGGAGAAGAAAGTAAAACTTAAAGGAAAAAAATCAGTTAAAAAAACAAACCAGCAAGGCCAGCCACAGTGGCTCACGCCTGTAATCCCAGTACTTTAGGAAGCTGAGGTGGGCAAATCACTTGAGGTCAGGAGTTCAAGACCAGTTGGCCAACATGGCAAAACCCGTCTCTACTAAAAACACAAAAATTTCACAAGGACAGAAAACCAAACACTGCATGTTCTCACTCACAGGTGGGAGTTGAACAATGAGAACACACAGACACAGGGTGGGGAACATCACACACCGGGCCCGTTGGCAGGTGAGGGGCTGGGGGAGGGATAGCATTAGGAGAAACACCTAATGTAAATGACCAGTTGATGGGTGCAGCAAACCAACATGGCACACGTATACCTATGTAACAAACCTGCACGTTGTACACATGTACCCTAGAACTTAAAGTACAATAATAAAAAAAGAAAGAATTTTAAAAAATGCAAAAATTAGACATGGTGGCACACACCTGTAATCCTAGCTACTTGGGAGGCTGAGGCAGGAGGTACACTTGAACCTAGGAGGCAGAGGTTGAAGTGAGCAGAGACTGTGCCACTCCACTCCAGCCTAAGCAACAGAGCGAGACTCCATCTCAAAATAAATAAATAAAGTTTAAAAAACTAGCAAAATCTATAATTATTAAATAGTATTATAAAAAATAAGAAAATCAGGAGAGAACAATCAAAACCATTAAATGAAAGAAACAAAACAAGAAGATTAAATTTTGAGAAAAGCTTGAGTCATCAGGAAGAAAGACAATGTAAATTGTCAAGAAAAAATTCAACCATTATTACCTTGTCATTATGCTAACCTGGAAACAGCTTTTGCTCCTTTTTAAAAATGGGATAAAGAAAGCAAAAAACTGTTCCACTCTCCAGTATAAACAGCCTATCTGTTGCCACCGGAAAATGGGAGTGCTCTACCCAAAGTATAGTTGGATCTGCACAGTGTACTATGGGGGTATTAGTGAGGATGGAAAGAAATTCAATGCCTCCTGTAACAAATACCTGATGTTATTCTAGGAAAACAGAAGTGATCCAAGGCTGGAAAGATGAATGTGAGCCAAAAAGGCAAAGTGGCATCTCTTAGGACTCTGCCTTATGAGCTACTGATCTCTTGAGCACTCACCAAATATCACTCATGCCTTTGACGTAGAGCTTATAAATGGATATAAAAGGAATGGTTTCTTCCCTTAGACCCATGTTATTTAGTAAACAGATGCACATAATTGTTCAAAGAACTTTACCCACGATTCCACTCTCATTGTAAAAACATGTATTCCAACTGAATGTGCTTTGTTTTCAACCCCATTTCCTCTAACACATATTGTCTTTTTAATAAACATCTTAAACCCCAACTTATAAAATTTTTCATCTAGCTTGTTGACTTAATACTGAAATTAAGATTTTGGTACAAATATTTTAGATATAAGTTTCGGATCAGTGTATAATAAAGTGCTAACGTAACAATAAGGTTAATAAGTTAACCCTCGAACAGCAATGGGGTGGGGAAGCAATCTTTGTTCCTGTTGATTAGGATATAAAAGGTATTGTGTGTATTAAAAGGTTGCTGCTGTTGTCAAAGCAGAGTGACAGTGTTAAGGGCTGATTATGCTCTGATCTGAATGGTAACAATCTCTCCCTCCCCATAATTAAGTGGGGGAACTCCTCATATGACCTACCATAAACTTCTGTTTTTTTGAAAGCAGAGTTTGGCTATACTCTTAATAATAGTAAGTACTAGTGGACAGTTTGGCTATACTCTTAATAATAGTAAGTACCAGTGGTTTTCTTCTCAGGAATCAAGGAACAGACAAATGGCAGCCTCCTTCCTTACTGATATTTACTTTCATTCCATCCTTGAGCATTCCAGATTATTTTTTAGGACTTCCGGAATTTTTTTTTTTTTTTTTTTTTTTGAGACAGACTCTTGGCTCTGTCACCCAGGCTGGAGTGCAGTGGCGCAATCTCAGCTCACTGTAACCTCTGCCTTCCAGGTGCAAACAATTCTCTTGCCTCAGCCTCCCAAGTAGCTGGGATTACAGGCGAGCATCACCACACCCGGATAATTTTTGTATTTTTAGTAGAGACAGGGTTTCCCTATGTTGGCCAGGCTGGTCTCCAACTCCTGAGTTTAGGTGATCCGCCCGCCTCGGCCTCCCAAAGTACTGGGATTCCAGGCCTGAGCCACCGTGCCCAGACTGCTCTTCTTTTTCAATCTCTTCAGAATCTCTGCAGAAGTAGAGACCAGACATAATCTACCATGGGTGTTCACAGGAGGTGGTGCCATGCGTTTGCAGAACTTCCCAGGGCCAACATCTACCACATTGGACCCCCTGAGAGAGCTCCCTTGTTGCTGCATGGGATGCCAATGTCCACACAGTGCAGAGAATCTGTTACACAGAGTAATGGTCGGCAGGTTAACTAAGATGTCTCTGTGAAAGGTTGGTGGTCAGCCTTGGGATCAATAACCATCAGAAGGCACAGCTCCTGGAAAGCTGCCTGGACTTGGTTAGTGAAGGTTCCAAGAGTCAAGCAACCAGCAACAGGAGTGGCTCCAGTGGTGGTAGCAAACTTCAGCACAGGCTGCCAGCCAGCATTCCTAGAGGATATATCACTGACATCAATACAGTTTTCAATGGCAACAACAGAAGGAGCTGCCAGTAGAAGCTTCTCCCAGGTCCTCTTCAAATTGATGATGCAGATGCCATCACTTTTTCTTTTATAGATACATATTCCATCTGAAAGTGAAGGGTGGTGCCCCCTAAGTGGGTTCCTGCTGCAAGGAACTTGAGGACATCCTCCTCCTCCATGTGCTCTTTGTAGGACATAAAGGTTCCAGACACCATGAAAACTTCCCTGTAAGTTACAATGAGAAGGCCACATGGACCCCTCCCTCTCTAGGTAGCGTAGAAAGGGACAGTGTCATTCTTTAGGATGGCAGTAGAAACCACAGAATAGTCAAATGAAAAGCATTAAAATCCACATGCTTTCCCTTCTACTTTTTAGGCTAAAACTATTGATGATTAATGATTTTTATGTTAAATGTGTAACAAATGTTATTAAAAGGCTCTCCAGCCGGGCATGGTGGCTCGTGCCTGTAATCCCAACACTTTGGGAGGCTGAGGCGGGCGGATCATGAGGTCAGGAGCTTGAGACTAGCCTGGCCAACATGGTGAAACCCCATCTCTACTATAAATACAAAATTAGGTGGGCATGGTGGCGCATGCCTGTAATCCCAGCTACTTGGGAAGCTGAGGCACGAGAATTGCTTGAACCTGGGAGGCGGAAGTTGCAGTGAGCCAAGATTGCACAAGAGCAAGACTCTCTCAAAAAAAACAAAAAAAAAAGCTCTCCTTTTTTAATAATTTAAACTTTTATTTTAGATTCGGGGGTACACATGCAGGTTTGTTACATGAGTATATTTGCATGATGCTGAGGTCTGGGGTATAACTGATCCTGTCACCCAGGGAGTGAGCACAGTACCCAATAGTTAGTTTTGGTCTTGCTCTGTCGCCCAGGCTGAAGTGCAGTGGCGCCATCTCGGCTCACTGCAAGCTCTGCCTCCTGGGTTCACACCATTCTCCTGCCTCAGCCTCCCGAGTAGCTGGGACTACAGGCACCCGCCATCACGCCAGGCTAATTTTTTGGATTTTTAGTAGAGATGGGGTTTTCACCATGTTAGCCAGGCTGGTCTCGATCTCCTGACCCCGTGATCCACCCGCCTCACCACCCAAAGTGCTGGGATTACAGGCATGAGCCACCGCACCCAGCCCCAACAGTTAGTTTTATAACCCTTGCGCCGCTCCCTCCTGGTTCTTCTATTTTATTGATTTATTTTTTCCTTCCATCAAGTTATACTTCAAATTGAAGAACTGATTCTCCTTTTTTTTTTTAAGGTGGAGTCTTGCTCTGTCGCCCAGGCTGGAGTGCAGTGGTGCGATCTCGGCTCACTGCAACCTCTGCCTCCCAGGCTCAAGTGAATCTCCTGCCTCAGCCTCCCAAGTTGCCAAGACCATAGACACACACCACCACACCTAGCTAATTTTTTTATTTAAAAAATCTTTTTTGACAGAGTCTCCCTCTGTCGCCCAGGCTGGAGTGCAGTGGCTCAGTCTCGGCTCACTGCAACCTCCGTCTCCCGGGTTCAAGCAATTCTTCTGCTCCAGCCTCCCAAGTAGCTGGGACTACAGCACACACTACCACACCCAGCTAATTTTTGTATTTTTAGTAGAGCTGGGGTTTCACCATATCGGCCAGGCTGGTCTCGAACTCCTGACCTCATGATTTGCCCGCCTCAGTCTCCCAAAATGCTGGGATTACAGGCGTGAGCCACCCCGCCTGGCTAATTTTTGTATTTTTTAGAGGGGATGGGGTTTCACCATGTTGGCCAGGCTGGTCTTGAACTCCTGACCTCAAGTGATCTGCCCACCTCAGCCTCTCAAAGTGCTGGGATTATGGGCATGAGCTAACACATCCAGTCGGGTTCTCCTATTTTTAAGAGTAGCTCAGTTATCACTGTTAGGTCAAACAACCATGAGAATTCTCTAAGTGCATGTCAATTGTAGAGAAAACAGCAAAAGTAGACATATGCTCTTTAAAATATTAATAAAGAATAAAGCATCTTCCTGGAGTTGGAGACCATTATTTTAAGTGAAGTAATTCAGGAAAGAAAAGTCAAACATCGTATGTTCTCACTTACGAGTGAGAGCTACGCTATGAGGACGCAAAGGCATAAGAATGATATAATGGACTTTGGGGACTCAGGGAGAAGAGTGGGAGGGGGTGAGGGATAAAAGACTACACACTGGGTACAGTGTACACTGCTTGGATGATGGGTGCACCCATCTGAGAAACCACCACTAAAGAACTTACCCATGTAACCAAACACCACCTGTTCTCCAAAAACTACTGAAATAAAAAACACTGTAAAAAATAAGTCTATAATGACCATCGGGGAAAAAAGTATTCTAAAAGAGGGGACACAAAATAGAATGTGTTGTTATTCACCATGTTGGTATTATTATTTACCGTATCAAAGAATTCAGAAACTAGAAAATACAAATATGGCTGGGTGTGGTAGCTTACACTTATAATCCCAGCACTTTGGGAGGACGAGGCAGGCAGACCACTTGAGGTGAGGAGTCTGAGACCAGCCTGGCCAACATGGTGAAACCCTGCCTCTACTAAAAATATAAAAATTAGCCAAACGCAGTGGTGAGCGTCTGTAATCCCAGCTACTGGGGAGGCTAAGGCAGAACTGCTTGAACCCAAGAGGCGGAGGTTGCTGTGAGCTGAGATTATGCCACCACACCCCCAGCCTGGGTGACAGAGCGAGACCCTGTCTGGGAAAAAAAGAGAAAATATAAATACATCAGTCATCATTTCAATGTTTGTGTCCCCCAAAATGTTAAGTGTTGAAATCCTAACCCTCAATGTGATGACACAAGGAGGTAGAGCTCTCATCAATGGGATTAGTGCCTTTATAAGAAGAGACAAGAAGCCAAGTGTGGTGGCTCACACCTGTTAACTCCACTTTGGAAGGCCGAGGCAGGAGGGTCGCTTGAGCCCAAGGAGTTCAAGATCATCCTGAGCAACATGGTGTGACCTCGTCTCTACAAAAAAATTTTTAAAAATCAGTCCAGCATGATGGCATATGCCTATAGCCCCAGCTACTCAGGAGGCTGAAGCAGTAGGATAGCTTGCACCTATGAGGTTCAAGCTGAGCTGTGATTGCATCATTGCGCACCAGCGTGGGTGACAGGCCCTGTCTCAAAAAAAGAAAAGAGATGGCCCTGCATGGTGGTACACACCTGTAATCCCAGCACTTTGGGAGGCCAAGGTGGGATGATCACTTGAGTCCAGGAGTTCAACACCAGCCTGGGCAACATAGTGAGAACTCATCTCTCTAAGAAAAATAATTTTTAAAAAGAAAGGAAGAGATGAGAGCTTGTACACATGCTTTCTTGTGCACGTGCTCTCTCTCTTCTCCATGTAAGGACACAGCAAGACGGCCATCTGCAAACCAGGAAGTGGGCCCTCATCAGAAACAAATCTGCCAGTACCTTGATATCGAACTTACCAGCCTCCAGAACACTGTTCTTCAGAACAACAGAAACAATTTCTGTTGTTTAAGCTATCCAGTCTATGGTAATTTGTTATAGCAGCCCAAACTAAGATCATCAATTTAAAAAAGTCTTTTCTAGAAGCAAGACTTTCAGAATGGTGGAATGAAAAGGCATTTTTCTAGCTCACCAGCAATACTAGAATCCTAAGTGTTAACCTCAAATGTGACAAAGCTGTATGGTAGATCTCTAATTCACAGAGAAGGAACTGTCCTTGTCTGTCTTACCACACACAAACTACCAAGATCTCTTAAATGTTCTGATGGAATGGACTATTCCAACAAAACTACTAACTCAGAAACTATCCAGTTGAGAAGTAACATGCCAGTCACTTTTTGTAACATCTTCCATCTATATAAATGAAATTTCTTGGAGCTTCCCTCACCAATTAGCTTGGCTGGGGGACGGGGGGTATCACTCCTCCCACCCATTCCCCATGAACACTGTAATTCTCAATAAGAAAACTACAACTTTTCTCTCTACTCTCCTTTTCTTATTTAGACTAAATACATTTTTGCAATCGTGTTGTGTGTGTGTAATCAGACAAAAAGATTTAAAAGTCTTATGAAATAATGAATAGTCAAGAAGAAAACATCACGGATGACCATACAAATACTGTCCAGGAAAGAAGACATTTTAATGGACTTCACATAGGTCATTACTTCAGGCCTTGGTTACTGCATTTTCAAAATGAGTTCTAAGAAACAGCTCGTTATTACTACATCAACTTTTTATGAAGAATGCTATTTTAAGCTTTGCGTTCTCCAGCAGAAACACTTAGGATGTATATTCAAAAACCATTAATTGCACGGTGTGGTGGTTCATCCCTGTAATCCCAGAACTCCAGGAAGTTGAGGCAGGCAGACTGCTTGAACCTCAGGAGTTCCAAGGTAGGCTAGGCAACATAGCAAAACTCTGTCTCTACAAAAAAATACAAAACTTAGCTGGGCACAGTGGTACATGCCTGTAGTTCCAGCTACTCAAGAGGCTCGGCTTGGGATCACCTGAGGCCAGGTAGGTCGAGGCTCCCACTGTCCCTAACCCTGACAATTTAAGCAAAATGAATAGTGACAGTAATGGATTATAATTTTTTGAATGAGACCATAAATCCAGAAGATAATAGAGAAAATTCATGGGCCAGGCGCAGTGGCTCACACCTGTAATCCTAGCACTTTGGGAGGCCGAGGCAGGCGGATCACCTGAGGTCATGAGTTCGAGACCAGTCTGACCAACATGGAGAAACTCCGTCTCTACTAAAAATACAAAATTAGCCGGGCGTGGTGGCGCATGCCTGTAATCCCAGCTACTTGGAAGGCTGAGGGAAGAGAATCGCTTGAAGCTGTGAGGCAGAGCTTATGGTGAGCCAAGATCACGCCATTGCACTGCAGCCTGGGCAACAAGAGTGAAACTCATCTCCAAAATAAAAAAGAGAGAGAGAGAAAATCCTTCCTTACAGTACAATACCAACTAATAAATACAGAATGAATAATAGAGATGAGGGGGGGAAAATCCATTTTGTAACAACATCATAATTGATTGAGGCAAGATTCATCAATGGAGGCTAAAACTATTCAAAGTCTGATATAAAAATAGGATATTTACAGTCTCAATCTCCCCACATATTATTAATAAAGAAAAACACTATATCTATATAGTAAGGAAACTTGGAAGACCTTAACCAAGTAATCAAATGTTGAGAAAAATGGGTATATGCCTCCTGATCTAAAGAATTATGAAGTACAGCATTTCACTTATGTGATATTCTTACCAAAAATGCATAACCTAACTCTAATCCTTAGTATATATCAGACAAATCCAAACTGAGGGACATTCTGCAGAAAAGCTCACTTGTACTCTACAAAAATGTCAAAAAAGACACAGGCAAAAAAAAAAAAAAAGTCATGATTAAAGGAAACTAAAGACACATGACAAATACAATGTGTGATCTTGAAATCCTGGATAAAGGAGAAAAAAATGCTAAAATGATATAGCTATTTTTGAGTATGAACTATATATTAGTTAATAGTAATTAATAAGGCTGGGCACGATGGCTCACGTCTGTAATACCAGCACTTTGGGAGGCCAAGGCGGGAGGATCACCTGAGGTTAGGAGTTCAAGACCAGCCTGGCCAACATGGTGAAACCCCGTCTCTACTAAAAATACAAAAAATTAGCTGGGCGTGGTGGCACATGCCTGTAATCCCAGCTACTTGAGAGGCTGAGGCAGGAGAACTGCCTGAACGCGGGAGGCAGAAGCTGCAGTGAGCAGAGATCGTGCCATTGCATTCCAGCCTGGGCAAGAAGAGCGAAACTCCGTCTCAAAAAAGAAAGTAATTAATAGCAGTATTAAAATTCCTGAAACTGGCTGGGTGAGGTGGCTCACATCTATAATCTCAGCACTTTGGGAGGCTGAGGCAGTTGGGATTGCTTGAGCCCAGGAGTTCAAGACCAGCCTGGATAACATAATGAAATACCTCATCTCCACAAAAAACAAACAAAAATTAGTTGGGTGTCATGACACACACCTATACTCCTACCCAGGGAGGTCAACGTTGCAGTGAGCTGTGATCACACCACTGCACTCCAGCCTGGGAGACAGAGCAAGACCCGTCAAAAAAAAAAAAAAAAAAAGGAAATACATGCTTAAGAATTTGGGGCACCTTGATCTAAATAGCTCAGAAAACAAACAAACAAACTACACGGAGTGGCAAAGCAAATGTGGCCAAATATTAACAATGGGTGAAAACTGAATAAACAGTATATACGAGCTATTTGTATTATTTTTGCAACATCTCTATAAATTTCCAACTATTTCAAAATAAAAAGTTCTTAAAAGAAAGACAAAGCTAGTAGACTTTTCATTTTAACTGCTTGGAGAAAGAAATTACCCAGCCTCCCTAAATAGCACCTTATAAAAAGAAAATAATTTTCAAGCAGACACCAAACTTGTAGCTTTCTAAAATTAGGCCCATCCTTAAAACTAAAATAGAACTAACAATGGTTTTCCACTCCAAAACTGGAAAACACTACCATGTGAGGAAGAAATCTTTCAGTTGTAACAAAATTGGTTAACTTGCTGCACTGAAGAGATTAATACAGACAATAAAAAGTCTAAAATTAGGCCAGGGCAGTGGCTCACACCTGTAATCCCAGCACTTTGGGAGGCTGAGGCAGGCAGATCACCTGAGGTCGGGAGTTTGAGACCAGCCTGACTAACATGAAGAAACCCTGTCTCTATTAAAAATACAAAATTAGCGGGGCGTGGCAGTGCATGCCTGTAATCCCAGCTACTCAGGAGGCTGAGGCAGGAGAATTCCTTGAACCTGGGAGGCAGGGGTTGCAGTGAGCCGGGATCCCGCCATTGCACTCCAGCCTGAGCAATAAGAGCGAAACTACGTCTTAAAAAACAAACAGACAGACAAAAAAAAAAACGAAGAAAGTCTAAAATCAATAACCATTCCCATAAATATGTCATTAAACAAAAACAGGCAAAAGTTCAGTGAATAAAGTTTTAAAATTTTTGACCCAAAGCTAATTATGTATCTCATCTACTTAGCAATACTTCCCCTCTGTTTTAAAGCTTAATCTCTTGGTATTTACATTAAAAAAAAAAAATTTAGGCTGAGCACAGTGGCTCACGCCTATATTCCCAGAACTTTGGGAGGCTGAGGCTGGCAGATCACCTGAGGTCAGGAGTTCGACACCAGCCTGGCCAACATGGCAAAGCCCCGTCTCTACTAAAAATACAAAAATTAGCTGGGCATGGTGGTGTGCGCCTGTAGTTCCAGCTACTTTAGAAGCTGAGGCAGGAAAATCACTTGAACCCAGGAGGTAGAGGATGCAATGGGCCAAGATTGTGGCAATGCATTCCAGCCTGGGCAACAAAGCAAGGATCCATGTAAAAAAGAAAAAAAAAAATTTTAGCCTGCTTGATAAATATTGCTGCCTGATAAGTAGGCAGCAATACCCCACAGCTGACATCATTACCAAATATTCTGCAGCTCTCTGACCAAGGAAAACAAAATTTTTGATTTGACCTACAAACTTTCTGTACCCATATAAGGACAGTTTTTCTTATTGCCTATTAGATGAAATTTAAGAAATATAATCCAGAAGATGACAGAAGCGAGAAAACTACCTCAATTCTCCTCATTTTCCCCTGAAGTGAAATTTCTGATCCTTAATGTATTATTTGCTTAGCTGACATCAAGTCTCATAAAAGGACTACAAAGAACTCCAAAGGTTTTAACCAATGGCTAACTGGAACATCGAAGATAGAATTCAGTTTGCCTCTTGGCATTTATTACTTTCTCCATCTGGAAGATGCTTTTTATTTTAAATAAATAAATATATCTATTTTTATAAAATAATTTGGAATACAAGTTAACCCCTTCCTACTTCCTGTGTTGAATTAGTTAATAAAAAGAAACAACTAAAATAAACTTTGAGAAGCTACACAATACTATGGGCAAGTAAAACATGACAACATCTAAACCCAGTGGCCACCAACAAAAACAAAATCAAGGATTTTTACACCCATGAGTACCACTAAATGAACTCACATTCAGTCCAAATATAGCTTGATTCCTTAGATGTCATTAAATACTATATGATTTAATAAAATATTTTTCATCTATGAGACAAAGCTTCTTATGCATACATAATAAAGGTATTAAGGTGAGGGTAGTAGGCACTAACTTCCTGCTCATAAGAACATAAACAAACTTTCTAAGCGTCAATAGGTCACCAGAACCAATATATTTACTTTCAAAATACCTTTCAGGTAAACTAGCTCATTCTATTTCCAGCCATGTTAAAATACAAGATTACTGTCTCCCATGAACAGCTTTGAACTGCTCCCCTAGTTCAAACCCTTATATTTCTGAATTTGGCAATAATTAGGTCAAATTATCCTTTCTCCAAGTTCTCCTTCCTTCTCCCATATCTCAGATTTAGGCTCCTTTCTTTGCCTTAAGTCTACTTTGGTACCATTAGGCCTAGGTAAAATACAACTTTTCCACGAAACTTCACCATTCCTTTGCCTTACCAGATAATTCCTCTGTGTTCTCCAAGTACCTTATTTGTACTTCTATTATAACCACTATTTTATTGTCCTCTAGTAGACCTACAAGCACTTGATGGGGTGAGGACAGTGTCCTCCTCAAACACTGTACCTTTCAAAGTGTCAATATATAGTAGACACTCAGTAAGTAGTCATACAATCTACCTAAATCAATCGATCAATCTAACAATCACCTATCATCTATCCAGAGACAGGGTCTCACTGTGTCACCCAGGCTAGAGTGCAATGGTCATAGCTCACTTCAGCCTCCAATTCCTGTGCTCAATCAATCCTCCTACCTCAGCCTCTCCGAGTAGCTAGGACTACAGGTGTGCACCATCACGTCCGGCTAATTTCTTCTTTTTATTTTATTTTTTGTAGTGACAAGGTCTTGCTATGTTGCCCAGGCTGGTCTTGAACTCCTGGCCTCACATGATCTTCCTGCCTTGGCCTCCCAAAGTGCTGGGATTACAGGCGTGAGCCACCATGCCCAGCCTGAATCAATTTTAATTAACAAACTCTTTTCTTCACATGAATTTAAAATCTCAACTTATTCTAGTTTCTCACTTTTTCAGACTTAAAGCAATTTCATGTTTTTCCTTATATTCAGGTTACTTAATAATAGAACATTCTCCTCCTCCGTGTCTATTCATGGCTATGGTAGTAAACAGATACTACACGATGGATCTCATCTTGTAACTTTGAAATAATAGTAGATCCTGAGTTAAGATGTGGCAATGATCTGAGCAAAGGTTTTAAAATGAGTCTTTTTTTTTTTTTTGCTTTAACAAGAAGCATTTGTTTTCTAAATAAAATATGTATAATATAAATTCAAGAACTGATATTTCTGAACAGAATAATTCTTTGTTGTTGGGGGCTGTACTATGCCTTACGAGATATTTAGCAGCATCCTTAGCCTCTATCCATTAGCTGCCAAGAGCAACCTCCTGCCCAGTTGTTTCAAACAAAATGTCTACGGGTATTTCTAAATCACAATTCTATACAACTGAATAGTATACAGCCATACTAAATATTGGGTACATTCCCAAGAAAAACAACAATAAACGTCATCAAAAAGATTTGTTTATAGCTGACTTATTCAAAGTTGCAAACTGGAAACAACACAAACGTCCACCAATAAGAAGACCTATGCGGTATATTGTATGAATTATACCTCAACTAAAAATGGAAGAATAAAGAATTTTGGCTGGGCTGACATATAAAAACCTCTAAAATATTAAGTCAGGGAAAAATAATATTCAGAGCAATGTGTATGATTCTTTTGCGTAAAAAAATTAAAGAGAGTGTGTGTGTGTGTGTGTGTGTGTGTATATATATATAATTTTCTGTTGCATGCATAACGCTTTCCCCCGGAAGAATATTCAAGAAGGCAGGTGATGGGCATTATCTTCACAAAGTGTCTGCATTTTAATTATGCCATTAGTACTTTTTGACTCTTAGGATACGCATACAATAGTTATTAATGTTAAAATGTCAGATTATCTGAATGCTAAGATTCTGAACCATTTTTCCTTCTTCCTTATTAAAGAAGAGGTAACACCACCCCAAAAATACACAATGCAGTAAATATACAGTTTTTAATTTTTTAAATACTCAGCCATGTTAAAACACAAGATTACTATCTCCATAAACAGAAATGGAATAGGAAAGCGTGACTGTGACTTCAATTAATGGACCTAAATGTGTTGGGCTCCATATATTACAAAGGGCAGAAGAGTCCAGTAATTTGATTCCTTAGGATCAAAAGTGCTCCAAATGAGATAAGCAACTAAAGTCTTGATCAATGGCAGAAACAAAGGGCAAGTAGGAATCACCTGCTAAGTAAAAGCTAAAGGCTAGAGTGGCAAGAGAAAACAGCCTCACATTATACAGACCTGTGCCCATTTATGTGTTGATTTGGTCATTAAATCTACAAAAATCTCCAATACCAACAGGGTCTCAAGCTCCAGTCCACAATAAAAGTTCTAGTTCTAGTTCTAGGCCAAGGGACCCAAGACACCAAGCAGAAGCAACCAAAGTTACTATTCAGCAAGAAACAAACTTGGGCAGGGGAAGAGGAAGGAGAGTACTTCATACTCTAAAATAAGCCTGCAAAGTAAAATGTTAAGGCACATGAAAAAAGTAAGAAAAACAGGCAATAAACTTAGTAATCAAGAGATGAATTCTATCCTGATGAAACAAACATGATAAAGCAATCTGAAATGACTTTAAAATAAGTATGCTCAAGATCCTCAAAAGGATAAAATATATATCCTCGCTTGAGATATTGTAAAAGCTAAAAAAGTTAAAAAAAAATCCGCAGGTATCCAAGAGGAATATCAGATTAACTACAAATGACAGGAGACTATTCTACATATATAAGATGCCAAAATAAAAACAACATCTTCAAAACACTGGAGTACAAAGTAACTGACTCTCCACAATTTAAAACCCAACGAAACTATCATTGAAGAATAAAGCAAATAAAGACATTTCCAGGCACACAGCAAAGATTGTTTACCAATTGCTGACCAGAGCTTAAAGAACCACTAAAGGATGTCAGCAAAGTGGTGGAATAGGAAATTCCAAGCCCTCATCATCCCCTCCTTGCCTAACATTAAAAAAAAAAAACCACCACCAGGAACTGGCTAAAATAATCTTACTGAACCTCTGAAAAACAGTGAAAGGAGGCCCAGGGCAGTGGCTCACACCTGTAATCCCAGCACTTTGGGAGGCCGATGTGGGTGGATCACCTGAGGTCAGGAGTTTGAGACCAGCCTGGCCAACGTGGCGAAACCCTGTCTCTACTACAAATACAAAAAATTAGCTGGGTGTGGTGGTGGGAGCCTGTAATCCCAGCTACTCAAGAGGCTGAGGCAGGAGAATCACTTGAACCCAAGAGTCAGAGGTTGCAGTGAGCCGAGATTGCGCCACTGCACTCCAGCCTGGGCGACAAGAGCGAAACTCCGTCTCAAAGAAAAAGAAAAAGAGAAACAGTGAAAGGTCTACAGCACCAAGCAAATGCCCAATCAAGAAAGCTGCATTGAGGCCGGGCACGGTGGCTCACACCTGTAATCTCAGCACTTTGGGAGGCTGAAGTGGGCAGATCACTTGAGGTCAGGAGTTCAAGACCAGCCTGGCCAACATGGCATAACCCCATCTCTACTAAAAATATAAAAATTAGCCAGGTGTGAAGGCATATGCCTGTAATCCCAGCTACTTACAAGGCTGAGACAGGAGAATCTCTGGAACCTGGGAGGAGGAGGTTGCAGTGGGCCGAGACCACGCCACTGCACTCCAGCCTGGACGACAGAGCAAGACTCCGTCTCAAAGAAAATTTTAAAAAAAGAAAGAGCTGCATTGAAAATGGTAGAAAAGATGGTATTTTATTCACCCTTGCCCTACCCTTTCCACAATGCAAAGTTGTCTTGATCTAGAAGACTTTAGGCAGCCCAATTCCCTACGTAAAATTGGAGGGTGTAGGGCAGATCTCATTAGCAATATTCAGATCTGTCTAAGGTCTGGTCTGTTTCACCTAACTAGGTTCTCAGGTTGGAAAAGCTGCAAGCCAGCTACAGTCCAGCAGAGGCCTGAGGCAAGCTATTATAGCTGGAGACATGCAATGGACCATCTTAGGCCCTGTGACCAAGCTGGAGTGAGATGATTTGGGAAATTAAGACATCTAAAAGCAGCCAGGGTGGCTGAGCACTGTGCCTCATGCCTGTAATCCCAGCACTTTGGGAGGCTGAGGCAGGACTGCCTGAGCCCAGCAATTCAAAACCAGCTTGGGCAAGACAGCAAGACCTGTCTCTACTGAAAAATAAAATAAAATAATTAGCCGGATGTGGTGATGCATGCCTGCAGTCTCAGCTACCTGGGAGGCTGAGGTGGGAGAATCACTTGAGCCTAGGGGTTGGAGGCTGCAGTGAGCTATGACTGCAACATTGTACTCCAGCCTGGGTGACAGAGTGAGAAACCCAGTAACACACACACAAAGAACAAAAGCAGCCAAGGCCAGTCAAAACACATGCTCAGAAAAGGCTTGACAATTTCTTAAACTCTTGTGTCAGTATTATCCCAAGGACTTGAATACACATATTTCTCCAAAGATATACAAATAGCCAATAGGTCCATGAAAAGATGCTAAAAATCACTAATCATTAGGGAAACACAAATCAAAACCACAATGGGATAACCCATTAGGATGGCTATTATAAAACAGAAGTTGACAAAGATGTGGAAAGTTGAAACCCTTGTACACTCTTGATGGGAATGCAAAATGGATAAACAAAATGCAGCAAACACATAAAATGGACTATTAGGTCAGGTATGGTGGCTCATGCCTGTAATTCTAGTACTTTGGGAGGCTGAGGTCATAGGGACAGGAGGCAGGGAAATTCTGGACAAAAGAGGGCAGATCCCTGGTGAGGGCCCAACCCTCAAGCCAAAAAGCCTGGTACCATGGCCCAAAGTAAGAATTTACATCCCTGTTTTCCTGCTCGAATGCTGCCTTTTCCAAAACCACCCATGGCCTGCCCCTCCCCACTCTCCATCTTGTGCCCACAAAAACCCCAGGCTCAGCCAGCACAGACAGGAGAAGCAGCTGGACGTCGGAGACTATGGTTAGATATCAGAGAGAAGCAGCCTGACTTCAGAGGGACAGCTCGAGAGCGCAGCTTCAGAGAAGAGTCCAGCCACCTCTGGCTGGACACCAGGGGAAGATTACCTTCCCGCTCCATCCCCTTTTCAGCTCCGCTTCCCACCGAGAGCCACTTTCATCTGCAGCAAAATACCCCACATTTACCACCCTCAATTCACTTATGCGACCTGATTCCTCCTCAACACTGGACAAGAACTTGGGTGCCAAGAGTGTGGGTGCAAAATGCTGTCACACTGACCCTCCATTGAGCTGTTAACACTTAAGCCGTCTGTGGATGGCAAAGCTAAAAGGGCACTGTAACACTTCCTTTGGGGCTTTAGAGGGTTGTGGGTACCCTCCCCTACACACTGTGGCGGCGCCAGTATGAAGTTTGCTCTTGCCAGCACCCAAAAGCACTTGCCCCCAGCTCCTGCACCCGCTTACCTGTGCTCCCCCTCCCATGAGGGGTGGAGCAGTAAGTGAGTGGAGTTCACCCCTGCTGGAGCCCATGCACTCCAGTTCCCATCCCACAAAGCGGTCAGGGAGATACTCTGCTTCAGAGGCAGGTGGAACATTTGAGCCTAAAAGTTCAAGACCAGCCTGGGCAAAATGGCAAACTCCATCTCTTAAAAAACAAACAAACAAACAAACAAACAAAAACACACACACACACACACACACACAATTAGCAGAGCATGGTGGCAGACTACTAGGGAGCCTGAGGTGGGAAACTGCTTGAGCCTGGGATGTGGAGGTTGCAGTGAGCCAACATCATGCCACTGCACTCTAACCTGGGAAACAGAGTGAAACTCTTGTCTCAAAAAATAAAAAAAGCCTAAGTAGGACTTCCAGTTTCTGGTAAGCTTAGAAGACTAAGCTACCAACTTGCTGGGATTTTACTAAAATCTAACCTACCTAGGGGGAGAAAAATACAAAACTCCAGCCCCCTCTGGACATTATGTTCCACCTAAAGGGAAATAAAAATAATTGGGATACACTAGTTATGTTTGTAGTCCAGTAGCAAAGGCTCATCAAAAGGCAGAGACCTAATCATAGGATGCTTTACCTCCCCACACACCTTACCACTATACCACTAAAGGCCTATTTACTCCAGTTCCTTTTACACAATTCCCACCTTTCAACCAAAAAATACAAGTTATCTGAAAAGGCAAAAACACAGTCTGAAGAAACTAAACCAGAGTCAAAAACTAAACTAACCAGAGACAGATGTAGCAGGAGTGGTAGGATTTTAAAAGACTGTGATTTATAGGCTAAAGACTTCCACAAAAATAGTAGACAACAAGCAAAAACTGATGGATAATGTAAGGAGAGATATGGGAATTGTAAGAAAGAACTAGTTCCAGGATCCCCCACAGATACCAAAATGCATACAACAAGTTCAAGTTCCCCTAGCTGGCAATGCAGAACCTATGGATACCAAAAGTTGGCCCTAACTGTGGGTTTTGCATTCCACGAATGTATGCATGTATAGATAGACAAATATATTTCATCATGTGTTCAAAAATACTAGATTTTTTTTTTTTTTTGAGACAATGTCTCACTCCGTTGCCCAGACTGGAATGCAGTGGCACAGTCTTGGCTCACTGCAACCTCCACCCCTGGGGTTCAAGCAGTTCTCTCCTGCCTCAGTCTCCTGAGTAGCTGGGATTACAGGTGCCCGCCACTATGCCTGGCTAATTTTTATATTTTTAGTAGAGACAGGGTTTCACCATGTTGGCCAGGCTGGTCTTGAACTCCTGACCTCAACTGATCCGCCCGCCTCAGCCTGCCGAAGTGCTGGCATGAGCCAACAAGGTCCGGCCAAAAACACTAGATGTTTGATCTGCATTTGGTTGAATCTGTGAATGTGAAATTCAGATGCAAAACCCATGGATACAAAGTGCCTACTTTGGCTGAGTGCAGTGGCTCATGCCTGTAATCCCAGCACTCTGGGAGGCCGAGGCGGGTGGATTACCTGAGGTTGAGTTCAAGATCAGCCTGATCAACATATAGTGAAACCCTATCTCTACTAAAGAAATACAAAAATTAGCTGGGCGTGGTGGCACACGCCTGTAGTCCCAGCTACTTGGGAAGCTGAGGCAAGAGAAATGCATAAACCTGGGAGGCAGAGGTTGCAGTGAGCCAAGATCATGTCACTGCACTCCAGCCTGGGCAACAGAGATTCTGTCTCTCTCAAAAACAACAATAATAACAACAACAACAACAAACCAAAGTGCCAACTTTATTTGATTGCGTGTATAATCACTCTGTGTGTGTGTGTGTCTGTGTGCACGTGCAGGCACACACATACAGTTACATATAACACTTAAAAGAAATGAATAACAGCAATGATCTCAGGGACTGGTGGGAGGAATTAGCAATATTTTGCACTACCCATGAGGTGGGTATTTAAAAGTGGACTTAGATTAATTGTAAATGTATATTGCAAACCCTAGGGTAACCACTTTAAAAAGCTACATAAATGAAATGCCAAGAAAGGAGGGAAAACAGAATTAAAATGCTCAATTAAAATGACAAAGGGCAAAAAAAGAATGGAAGACAAAAATAAGAAAAACAGGGGTAACAAAGAGAAAACAGTAACAAACATGATATGTTAATTTAACCATATCAACAGCACTGTAAACGTCAATGGTTTAAATATTCCAATTAAAATACAGAGATTGTCAGTGGATCAAAAAACAAGACCCAACTACGTGCCATCTATAAGAAAATTTACTGTAAATATAGACAAACATACATTTTAACAGTAAATAAAATGAAAAAAAAAAGAATAAAATGGCCCAGTAAACTTGTGGGTAAAAAATAAAAGAATTAAAAGTTTAAAAATTAAAAATAAAAAAGCAAATGGATAGAGAAAGATATACCATGCTAGATATACCATGCTACACTAACCAAAAGAAAGTGTAGAAAAACAGCTGTATTATTTTCAAACAAGCTATAGTCTGGGAGAAAATATGTGCAAATAATATAACTGACAAAAGATTGTTATGTAAAATATACAAAGGGATCTTAGAATTCAACAATAAGAAAATAAACCACCCAGCTAAAAAAACGGGCAGAAGACCTGGACACCACACCAAAGAAGATATACAGATGGCAAATAAGTATACGAAAAAGTGCTTCATGTCATGTCTTCAGGTAACTGCACATTTTAACAGTGAGAGATACCACTACATCTTACTGGCCAAAATCCAGAACGCTGACAACACGAAACAATGAAGAGGATGTGCAACAACAGGAACTCTCATTGCTGGTGGGAATGCAAAACAGTACAACCTGGGCCGGGCACAGTGGCTCATGCCTGTAATCCCAGCACCATGGGATGCTGAGGCGGGCAGATCACTTGAGGCCAAAAGTTCAAGACCAACCAGGCCAACATGATGAAATCCTGTCTCTACTAAAAATACAAAAATTAGCTGGGCATGATGGCACATGCCTGTAGTCCCAGCTATTCGGGAGGCTGAGACAGGAGAATCGCTTGAACCTGGAAGGCGGAGGTTGCAGTGAACCAAGATCGCACCACTGCACTCCAGCCTGGGTGACACAGTGAGACCTTGTCTCAAAAAACAAACGAACCAAAAACAGTACAACCACCCTGGAAGACAGTGTGGCAGTTTCTTACAAAAGTAAACATACTCTTACCATATGGTCCAGGAAAACTGTGCTACTTGGTGTGTACCAAAAGGAGTTGAAAATTTATGCCCACACATACCTGAACATAGATGGTTAAACCAGCTTCATATGGCGCTAAAGCCCTACCCAGCAGCCACTCCAGAGCAGGGCTCCCCTTGGCTCCTACCTGCCCCCTTGCAGCCTCTGCCAGGGCTGGTGTGCCTCGCAGGCTGAGAACATATGCAAAGGGGCCGGGGCAGACTTTGGGAAGATGCAACTCTAGGATGACTTGAAAGTAGAGCATCCTGACGTCAGGTGAGACTAGCCTGGCCAACATGGCAAAATCTCATCTCTACTACAAACACAAAAATTAGCTGCGCGTGCTGGCGTGCACCTGTAATCCCAGCTACCCAGGAGGCTGAGTCAGGAGAATCGCTGGAACCGGGGAGGTGGAAGTTGCAGTGAGCCAAGATCGCACCACTGCACTCCAGCATGGGCAACAGAGCAAGACTCCATCTCAAAAAATAATAATAAAAAAAAGAAAGTAGAGCATCCTTTGCCTTCCTGGGAGAGAAAATTGTAACTAGCACACAGTCTACACATGGAGTTTTCAGAAAAGTCTTCACCTGAATGAGAAGCCTACCTCCATCAGGACCTGGAATGTCTGATGTCTGTGTGTAACAAGTAATTTTCTTCTGGATGTTAGCAAGCTGGTGAAATAAGATGGTCCAGTGTTTGTCATCTCACAGAAACAACAGTTTAAACAACTACCACAAAAATACATTTATCAGAGCTAAAAAATCGACTGAGAAATTATAGTACCTGGGTGTAGCATGGAAATAAGACAAATGCATTAAAGAGGGTAAGAAGGACAGTGTCACATTACCTACATCAGCCCTCCACTAACCCTAAGCAGGAGAATGAAGCAAGTAACAGATGTGCCTTAGATCCCAACACCAGCCCTATATCAGTAAAACCCAGTGACAGGCAGTTCCCCACAGCACCATATCCCACACTGGTAACTGAGGACTTAGTTTCCAGGCCAGGACCTGCAGATCCAGCCTCCAGCCCTATCCCACTGTCAGGTCAGCAACTGTAGACCCAGGTGCCAAGCCTATCCCAACACCTGGCCAGCTCCTGCAGACTCAGGCTCAGGGTCTAAGTGAAGCACTTATGAAGCTAGACTCCAGGCCCAGTGCTGCAGACCCAAGTGGCAGTCCAAACCACTCAGACACCACACCATACAGAAATCTCTGCATGAGCTGACTATTCAAAGGCTTTCTCTGCTAAAGCCACTGGACTGGAATAAGTGTGCACATCACCAATTACACAAACACGAACACTTGGCCTCAGGATCAGGAAACAAAAAAAATCAGAAAAAAGGACACCATCAAATAATAACATACTGCAAAAGTAAATGATCCTAAAGAAATGGAGATTTACAAAGTACCTGACAAAGAATTCAAAATAATTTTACAGATACAGATAAACAAGATCAGGAAGAAAAAAAATCAATGAATCAAATGAGATGTTCAACAAAGAGAATCATCTTTAAAAATCAAACGAATTTTACAGCTAGAGAAAACAAATGACAGAATTGAAAATCTTCCCTAGGGAGCGAACTTGAAAACTGACCATCCAAAATTACCAAGTCAGTGAAACAGAAACAAAAAAGAATGAAAACGACTGAAGAATGGCCAGGTGTGGTGGCTCACACCTTTACAAACCTAGCATTTTGGGGGCTGAGGTGGGCAGATTGCTTAAGCCCAGCCTGGGCAACTTGACAAAACCCCAACTCCATAAAAACAAAACAAAACAAAACAAAACAAAACTTAGCCAGGCATGGTGGCGCGTGCCTGTAGTCCCAGCTACTTGGCAGGCTGAGGTGGAAAGATTGCTTGAGCCCAGGAGGCAAGAGGTTGCAGTGAGCCAGGACTGCACCACTGTACTCCAGCAGCCTGAACGACAGAGAAAGACTCTGTCTCCAAAAAAAAAAAAAAAAAAAAAAAAGGGAACTGAAGAAAGCCTATGAGAATTACAGGCCAGTGTCAAGTGAACCATAATATGCATTATGGATATTCCGGAAGGAGTAGAGAAAGACAAAAGGACAACAGTTTATTTTTTTTTAAGTTCCCTAATCTAGAGAGAAATAAACATCTAGATTCATGAAGCCCAGCAAACTCCAAATAGATTAAATATACAAGCATGCCTCATTTTATTGTGCTTTAACTTATTGCCTTTTGCAGTTATTGTGTTTTTTACAAATGAAGATTTGTGGCGACCCTGTGTCAAGCAAGTCAATCAGTGTCATTTTTGCAACAGCAAGTGCTCACTTTGTGTCTTTGTGTCACATTTTGATAATTTTCACAGTATTTCAAACTTCCATTTTGATCATATCTGTTATAGTGATCTTTGATGTTACTATTATAAATGGGCGACACTAACTGCAACCACATAGAGGGCAAACTGAATAAATGTGTACATTCTCACTGCTCCACCAACTGGCTTCCCCATCTCTCTCCCTCTCCTTGGGCCTCCTTATTCCCTGTGACAACAATATTGAAATTAGGCCAGTTAATAACCCTACAGTGGCTCTAAGTGTTCAAGGGCAAAAAAGAGTCACACAATCTCTTACTTTAAATTGAAAGATTAAGCTTAGTGAAGAAGGTATTTTAAAAGGTGAGACAGGCCAGAAACTAGACCTCTTGTGCCAAAGTTAGACAAGTTGTATATGCAAAGGAAAAGTGCTTGAAGGAAATTAAAAGTGCTACTCCAGTGAACACATGAATGATAAGAAAGCAAAGCAGCCTTATTGGTGATATGGAGAAAGTTTTAGTGGTCTGGATAAAACATCCAACCAGCCACAACATTCCCTTAAGGCAAAGCCTTATCTAGAGTAAGACCCTAACTCTCCAATTCTTTGAAGGCTGACGGAGGTGAAGGAAAGTTTGAATCTAACAGAGTTTGGTTCATGGGATTTAGGAACAGAAGCCATCTGTATAGCACAGTGCAAAGTGCAAGGTAAAGCGGCAGCTGCTTATGTGAAAGCTTCAGCAAGTTATCCAGAAGATCTAGCTAAGATAATTGATGAAGGTGGCCGCACTATACAATGGATTTTCAATGTAGACAAAACAGCCTTTTGCTGGAAGAAGATGCCCTCTAGGACTTTGATAGCAGCTAAAGAGAAGTCCATAACTGGCTTTAAAGTTTCAAGGGAGAGGCTAATTCTTTTGTTAGGAGCGAAGGCAGCTGGTGACTGTAAGTTGAAACCAATGCTCATTTAGCATTCCAAAAATCCTAGGGTTCTTAAAAGTTATGCTAAATGGACTCTGCCTGTGCTAAGTGGAACAGCAAAACCTGAATGACAGCACATCTGCTTGCAGTATGGTTTACTAAATATCTTTAGCCCACTGTTGAGACCTACTACTCAGAAAAAAAATATTCCTTTCAAAATATTACTACTCACTGATGATGCACCTGGTCACCCAAGAGCTCTGATGAAGATGTATAAAAAGATTAACATTATTTTCATAGCTGCTAACACAACATGGACTCTGCAAGCCCATGGATCAAGAAGTAATTTTTTTTTTTTTTAGCTCTGTGAGACAGCTGACAAACAGGAGTAATTTCTACTTTCAAATCTTATAATTTAAGACATACATTTCATAAGGCTATAGCTGCCACAGTGATTCCTCTAAAAGATCTCGGCAAGTAAACTGAAAAAGTTCTGAAAGGCATTCATCATTCTAGATGCCATTAAGAACACTCATAGGCCAGGCGCGGTGGCTCACACCTGTAATCCCAGCACTTTGGGAGGCCGAGGTGGGTGGATCACCTGAGGTCAGGAGTTTGAGACCAACCTGGCCAACATGGCAAAACCCCATCTCTACTAAAAATACAAAAATTAGCCAGGCATAGTGGCACACACCTGTAGTCCCAGCTACTTGGGAGAGTGAGGCAGGAGAATCGCTTGAACCCAGGAGGCTGAGGTTGCAGTGAGCCAAGATCGTGCCACTGCACTCCAGCCTGGGTGCCAGAGTCAGACTCCATCTCAAAAAAAAACAAAAAACAAAAAACACTCATAATTCATGAGAGAAGGTCAAGATATCACCATTGATAGGAATGTGGAAGAAACTGATTCTCACCCTCATGGATGACTATGAGGGCTTCAAGACTTCAGTGAAGGAAATAACAGCAAATGTGGTGGAGATGGCAAGAGAGCTATAATTGAGAGTGTAGCCTGAGACGGGATTAAACTGCTGCAGTCTCATGAAGATTGCTGAACAGATGAGTTGCTTCTTACAGATGACCAAATGGTCATTCCAATGGAGATGGAATCTATTCCTGTGAAGAGGCTATGAACATTGTTGAAATGACGACAAAGATTTAGAATATTACATAAATTGAGTTGACAAAGCAGCAGCAGGGTTTAAGAGGACTGACTCCAATTTTGAAAGAAATTCGGTGGGTAAAATGTTGGAAAATAGCATCACATGCTACAGAGAAATCTTTAATGTCAATGGGGCAAATTTCATTGTTTTCGTATTTCAAGAAAATGCCACAGCCACCTTCAGCAACCACCACCCTGACTAGTCAGTAGCCATCAACCAAAAGTTTGTGTTACTCGCTTTATTGTGATATTTGCTTGACTGTGGTGGTCTGAAACCAAATCTGCAGTATCTCCAAGGTGTGCCTATAAAGAGATCTTCATCAAAACACATTACAATTAAACTCTCAAAAGGCAGACATTACCTATTAACAGTCTCCTTTTTAAACCATATCCTAGCACTTCTGGAAGAGTCACTGGTTAACATTTTTGTTTTTAAATAGTCTTTTAAAAATTACCTGGTTCCAGGGTATTAAATCTGTCCCAGTAGACTCTGAGGCAGCATAACATAATATTCAAAGGGGTCTCACTTTGTGTCTAGCTACAAGGCCATAGGCAAGCTTCTTAATCTCTTATTTAAAACGGGTAGGCCAGGCGCGGTGGCTCATGCCTGTAATCCCAGCACTTTGGGAAGCCGAGGGGGGCGGATCATTCAAGGTCAGGAGTTCCAGACCAGCCTGGCCAACAAGGTGAAACCCCATCTCTACCAAAAATGCAAAAATTAGCTGAGCGTGGTGGCAGGCACCTATAATCCCAGCTACTCGGGAGGCTGAGGCAGGAGAATCGCTTGAACCCGAGACAGAGGTTGCAGTGAGCGAGATCGCGCCACTGCACTCCGGCCTGGGCGACAAGAGCCAAACTCCGTGTCGCACACACACACACGAGGGATAATGATACTTTACCCTCAAAGGGAATTAAAATGCATCCTCAGCTGCTTAGTATAGTTTATAGTCTTTAATTCTACTAGACTCCTGAGCTCCATGTGAACAGAGACCCTTTATTTACTATTATACACTGGAAAGTATCTGGCACATAAAAGTTTCTCAAATATTAGTTGACCACTAAGCGTCAAAAGATTGAACTCAAAAGTATGAATCCAACTTTGTACCTTTTAATTAGGTCTTTTACCCATCAAAAGAAACTAAGAAAAAGAATGTTACTGATGATATGACTTCTCATATTCTCCTAATGAATGTGTTTTAATATGGATTTTGTGGTGTCAAAATATATGTCCTCAATGTCTTAATGTTCTATATTCTACTCACAACTGAAAAATGTCTTCATTACTGGCTCAAATCCGGACTCTATCCTGGCACTGAAAGTTCCATCATCTAGCTATACCAAACTTATCACCAAGTCTCAGTACCAATCTTGCTTTGAATGAAGGCTTCATTCTTTACCATCCTTGGTGCACACCTACACTCACTCCCAAGTAACCCAAATATGAAAACAGCTCATGATCTATCTCTACTCACAACCAGGCCCTACCTTGAGGCCAGACTCCTTGTCAGTCTCCTTTATCAGAACAAGAACCTCAGGAGTTGACAATTTTGTCTTTTCCATCCTTGTATCCACAACCTTGTACATTGTCCTTTATGAAACAGGCATTTCATGAATGCAATTTTGTATTTTTACTTGGTTTTCTATATATCTTTTTGCTGTTAAGCATCTAAGCACTTGTAATAGTTATTTTGAATCTCCCACATTACTAAGTAGATCCTCAATAATTATTAAATTGGAAGACAAAAAACCCAGCTTAGGCTGGGCACTGTGACTCATGCCTGTAATCCTAGCACCTTGGTAGGCCGAGGCGGGCGGATCACCGGAGGTCAGGAGTTCGAGTCCAGCCTGGCCAACATGGTGAAACCCCGTCTCTACTAAAAATACAAAAATCAGCTGGGCGTAATGGTGGGCGCCTGTAATCTCAGCTACTTGGGAGGCTGAGGCAGGAGAATCGCTTGAATCTGGGAGGTGGAGGTTGCAGTGAGCCGAGATCGCACCATTGCAGTCTAGCCTGGGCGACAAGAGCGAAACTCCATCTCAAAAACAAAACAAAACAAAACAAAAAAACCCAGCTTAATTTATAATCCCAGGGCTTAGAATTAGAAGCAAGGTGTCTTTTAGCAGTTGAATAAATAAACTACAGTATATGAAGGCAATGAAATATAATTATACAATAGAAGAAATGAGCTCTCAAGCCAGGAAAAGACGTGGAAAAACCTTAAATTCATATTACTATGTGAAAGATCCTAATACGAAAACACTACATACTGCACAGTGCCAACTATAACATTCTAGAAAAGGCAAAACTGTGGAGACAGTCAGAGGGTCAGTGGTTGTCAAGAGATGGGTGAGAGGGAGGGAAGGAGGAGGATGAACAGGAGGGAGAAAGAGAAAGGAATGAACAGCCAGAGCACAGGATTTTTAGTGCAGGGAAACTATTCTGTATGATACCACAGTGGTGGATACATGTAATTATGCATTTGCCCAAAGCCACAGACTATAGAACACCCAAGAGTAAGCAGTAATGTAAACTATGGACTTTGCATGATGATGTGTCATGTCAGTTCATCAAGTTCAACAAACATGTCCTTCTGGTAAGGGATGTTCAAAATGGGGCAAAGATATCCATGTATGTGGGCAGAGGATACATAGGAGATCCCTGTACTTTCTGCCTAATTTTGCTGTAAACCTAAAATTACTCTAAAAATGATTATACACACACACACACACACACACACACACACACACACACACATATATATATATATATAGAGAGAGAGAGAGAGACGGAGTCTCGCTTTGTTGTCAGACTAGAGTGTAATGGTGCTATCTCAGCTCACTGCAACCTCCACCTCCGGGGTTCAATCGATTCTCCTGACTCAGCCTCCTGAGTAGCTGGGACTACAGGCGCATGCCACCAGGCCCAGCTAATTTTTGTATTTTTAGTAGAGACGGGTTTCACCATGTTGGCCAGGATGGCCTCGATCTCCTGACCTCGCGATCTGCCGGCCTCGGATTCCCAAAGTGCTGGGATTACAGGCATGAGCCACTGTGCCCAGCCGCAGTTATATTTTTAAAAAGAGGTCGACAAACCTTCACCCCAAAGAACAAGCATAAAACTGGAAATATTTTTGTCAATTCTATTTCAGAGCTCTGGTAATTAATCAAAGACAGACAAATTAAGACACATTTAAAACAACAACAACAAAAACCTGCTAGAACACTGGGTATCAACAATGGAAATCTATGGTCTTTTTTACCTAGATCTGATTCCATTTCCATAGAGGAAATGGAATAGCTGGCACAGTAGTTTGACTACAGTGGGATAGTTGTGAAAAATCAGCACACTTGCTACCGGGAGATGGTTTTAATTTGAGGCACAGAGGCTGAAAATCCAAGGCCACACTGTCAGTAAAAGAGATGAACAAGGAAAATACAATTCTGCTAGCCCAAGGACAGTGCTACAACAGGCAACAGCACAGTACATTATTCGTTATTTTAAAATAGGCGTATATTGGGGTGAATGTTTCAAAAGTTTTTAACCGATGAAGATACTCAACAACAACAAAAAAAACTTGGAGGATTAGGCAATAAAAACATAAAGGGGATTTGGGAAAGGCAAATATAACTAGAGCCATAATTCCGAGAGATTAATTTGACTACAGTACGTTAGAAGATGAGTTTAAAGTGGAAACAAATTTAGAGGTTACTGTAATAGTTCAGGCAACTTTGATTTCATTAGCAGTAGTAAGAACAGACATTATGTCAGATATACTATGAACAAAACAGACAAGCCTTTTACATTATATCTGGAAGTAAGGGAGAATGAAGAAGAAAGTTGACTCCATGATTTCTTCAAGCTTAGGCTAGGAATAGGACACCATTAATAGAAAAGACTAATATTGGAGCTAGAACAGATTTGTAAGAGAAGTTCAAGAGAGCAGTTTTACATACACTGACACAAAGGGAGAGGCAATGAGGGAAAAAAAAAAGGAAAAGGAAAAGAACTTCTATGCCTTCTACTCATTTACAACTATACCCTCTCTTTAACCTGACTGTGAAAACATTGCACAGATAATGTGTAAATGACGTGTAACATTTTTTAAACGGCTTTGAGATATAATTCACATATTGTAAAATTCATCCATTTAAAGTACAGAACTGTGGTTTTTAGTATTTTCACTGTATTATGCAAAATAGCCACAATTTTAGAACATTTCCCTTATCCCAATTTGTTTAAGTTTCTCCACTTAATTCTGTGAAAGAGGCTGTTTCCTCATCTGCATAATGGTAATATCACCTCCCTTATAAGATATGAGAGTTAAATAATACATAAAAAATGTAAAAAAAAAAAGAAAAAAAAAAAAGAAAAACCCTCCTAGAAATGCCTGAATATATAGGAGACACATCAACAAAAAGTCTGAAAAATTTTTAAATTAGATTTAACACTACAGGGGAAAAGTAAGCTTCTGAAGATTTTTAAAACAATATTAAGATGATAAAAGTTGTGTTTAATGAAGATGTGAAAATGCTAGAGAGGAAAACACAATTTTGAAAAAGAAAGAGCTACTGAGGTGGGAAGATCGCTTGAGCCTGGGAAGTTGAGGCTGCAGTGAGCTAAGATCGCACCACTGTACTCCAGCCAAGGTGACAGAGCGAGACCCCGTCTCAAAGTAAAAAAAAAAAAAAAAAAAAAAAAGAAGGAAAAGAAAGAAAAAGCTAGAGGGCTAACTAAAGTCATTAAAATTTGAAGCCATGGGAAGCCCCACTCAGGTGCCCCTCTCTCTCACAGGAGAGCTGATCTCCTTTCTCTTTCTTTTACTATTAATTAAAACTTCACTCTTAGTCTAAAAAAAAAAAAAAAAAATGAAGCCATGATAGCCTGAGCCAGGATAGTGAGAAGATAGAACAGTTATGGCTTAGAAGGAAAAAGCAACAAAAATTTTGTAGCATACTGGCTCTTGTGAATTAAAAAAAAAAAAAAAAAAAAAAAGACATGTTAATGGTAAGGCTAGGTTAATGGGAGAAAGGTGATATTACAAACAGAGACAGAGAAGCTGAAATAACAAGACAGCTTTGATGGAAAAAAGCAAGTTCCACTGTGATAGAATGGCACAGAAATGCCACTTGAGAATAAAGTGAAAATGTTCACTAGGTAACTGGGAAAAATATCAAGAGCAATGGTTTTCAACCCTAGATCCTTTTCAACCTACACACTTTTAAAAAATAGAGATGCCCATTTCTACCTCCCAAATTTTGTGTTATTACTTAGTAGCCACTAGATTTCATAAGGAACTATGGCTGTAACCTTTGGTTTTCCAACCACCAGAAGCCTTGTAGGAGTAGTGTTGAGTGAACTAACGTTTTACACTGGCATGTCTCTTCTCATGCAGACTTCAAGAACATGGCTCCCAATACACTAAGTGTCTGAGTTTCTGACTCCAATTTCAATAATAACTGTACATACACACTTACACTGAAAAAGCTGTGTAAGTTGAACAAGCATGTCACAAATATTGAGTTTTAGAGATTTACCTTGATTTGATCAAGGATCTTCGTCACAAATGTGAGAGGGGTTCAAAGTGACATTCACATTTTTCATTCATAACTTACCAGTTATAACTTTACATTTATTTGTGTGATTGACTAATGTTGACCTCATCCTTTAGAATATATGAGGACTTTATTTTATTTCGTATACCATACCACTATCCAGCACATAGTAAATGCTCAAATAATACTTAATGAAAAAATGAAGTAGACTCTTATCCCAGATTTCCTGAATCTAAATAACTAGGTATTGGACCCAGGCAGTATATACTGAAAAGAGAATTACACTGAAAATAAAATAGTGAGCATCATCCTGATAAAGGCAGTAACTACATTCAAGAGAACAAGAGTAGGTGGGCATGGTGCCTCATGCCTGTAATCTCAGCACTTTTGGAAGCCGAGGTGGGTGGATCACTTGAGTTCAGAGTTGGAGACCAGCCTGGCCAACATGGTGAAACCCGTCTCTACTAAAAATACAAAAATTAGTCGGGCGTGGTGGTGCACATCTGCAATCCCAGCTACTCAGGAGGCTGAGGCACAAGAATTTACTTGAACCTGGGAGGCAGAGGTTGCAGTGAGCTGAGATAGTGCCACTGCACTCCAGCCTGGTGACAAAGACCCTGTCTCCAAAAAAAAAAAAAAAAAAGAACAAGAGCACTTATCCATTTAAGCAAAACAACAAAGAAACATTTCTGGCAACAATAACTGATCAAAAGTACTGTGGATGAAATAAATAAATGTTACAAGAGGATTGAAAATAAAAGTGATGCTTGCTAAGAGATTATACTTAGTGTGATACTCAACCTATGGTAACATTTTTAATTTAGACAAGATTCTGGATCTGTTAGCCTGTGAATGAAATTATCCTACCATGGCAGATAAAGGTAAGATTTTATTGTACTTTGCATAGCCTTAATTCTCACAAAAACTGTCTTTCTCCATTTCATTGATGAGGAAATTAAATCATGGGGCTTAGTATAATTCTAGTCACAAAGGAAGAAAGTGATCTAAAATGTATTTATACTATCATTAAATTATGAAGTATTTTCTGAAAGCCAGTCAAAAAGTCCATTTATATGACACCATATAATGCTCCCTGACAGAAACTACCAATTTAGCTATAGTAAGCCATAAAACTTTCAAAAGCAAAAATTTAGTTTTCTGAAAATTAATACTAAAGAATTTCTATACTTTTCTAGGATATCTTCCCCTACAATCCCAAAACAAATATGAAATATTAAAAATACTAGAAAAATTTATCACCAATTGAGTTAAATCATTAAGACACTTTCACCTATAAAACCGTATTAGTTTATATTACATGTATAGTGTTTTATAAAAAGGAATCACATGGATCTAATTTATTAATCAAGTACTAATCAAAGAACCTCCAAAGATACAAATTTCCTTAGCAGCACCTTATAAACAAGGTATTTTAAAAATAGAAGACAGTAAAAATGAAAGGAACTTGAGAATCATCTTTACTTTTATTTTTAAGAAACTGTGTCTTACAATGTTGCCCAGGCTGGACTCGAACTTGTGGGTTCAAGTGATCCTCCCACCTTAGCCTCTGGAACTACAGATATGCGCCTACTTTGTTTTATTGTTTATCTGTTTTGAAGGTCACCTTTAATTTCCCTCACAACTGTTTCCTAATAAAGTTAATAAATATTAGTGTTTATATTACTTTCATAAAATATATTAGACCTTATAATTAGAAGATACTTAGTAATGACAAGGCTAAGAATTCCTCTGTCCTAATTATTCCTAAAACATGCAGATTCATCATATTCTAGGTAAAAATCCAAAAGATCACTTAGTATACAGACTTACCCAGGTTTCCTTGCTCGATTGTCAGCACCACCTCATCCATCACCACAGCCCTAAAGTCCAGTTCCTCCTCACAACATTTGGCCTTCAATGCTCGTAAAATCTCTTTTTGAGGATAGTCTTCCCTGATGCGACGATCTGTCAAAAACCACAACTTGGCAGCCACAGAACTACACATCTTGATCAGCTTGTGCTTCCTTGCCTGGATTATTTCCTCTTGGATGTAACGTCTACCTAGATGGAAGAAAAAATATACATAAAAGGTAAATCAAGAAATCTACTTGATTTCTGGATTTCATACAAATAAATGCCGTGATTATATACTAATTATATAAACAGGAAAAAACACGTGTAGAGATATTGTTTCCTTTTCATTCAAACTAAAATTTTTATACACTAGTAATATGGAAACTGACCACCTCTTCAGAAATATGATTTCTCCATTTTTCCTTGGGGAAACTGGCACTGCAACTTAATAACTGTAGCTCGTCACTTAGCAGAAAGTTTAAATACCCTTCCCAATATTATATATTGTCTAGGAATATACTTTAATCTGATCACTGACTTTTTGTTTTATCTCCTCCCTCAACATTCTGTTCTTGATATGAAATGAAATGCCAATCAATATATTTCCATCTTTCCCATCACTAGAAACCCCGCTTAAGTATATTTTTGTATCTGTGGTTAATTTTACATTCAATTTTCTTCCCTGGTTTTGTTATAGGTATGTAGAAAAAAAAAATAGGTAGTAGCACTTATCTTACTAGGTAAGCTTCAATGATGAAGTCATTTACACAGTAGCTTTAGTGAAAATAAATAATTGGAGAATGAGCAAAAGGGCTCTCAATAACCAAAATAAATGTCCAGGTCTATTCACTAAATTTCATTTATTCCAGTCAGAGGACAGCACGCTCTTACTCAATGTTTTTATTCTTCCTATAAATAGAATTTTTAAAAATAAATGCAGCTTGTTTACTAAAATGCAAAAAAGGACTTTTTTTCCAGATGGTGTTGCTTCTCTGAGTTTGTATCATGAACAATGCAACATTAAAAAATCACCTTCCTGAGAAGCAAAAAAGTTACAAGTTTCAGAACAAGCAACAAAACGATTTTTTTTAATGTTTACCAAAAAAACAAAATGTCAAGTATCATTCAAGTATTATTCCAGATAACATGGCACATCTAACACAAAAGGAAAGGTCCTGGGCAAAAACTACAGGAAGGAAAGGCTGTACAGACCAGCAGCTTCCTGAATAGTGGCAGCTGGACATGGTCCACCCTCCCAGGTACCAGCAAGAAGGGCCTGCTCCACAGTGCACACGGTTTGAAACCAGAGCATTGCTGGGCAGAGGCCCCATCAGAGCCAACAGCACACATTCCCAAGCACCTTGAAATGCCATGTCTGCCACACTTGACCACCTACCTCTCTCTTGACCCACCTACTACCCCACAATCCACTGCCTCAAAGGCCTAAGTCTCTGTTAAACAAGCAGGGTATCTAAACTGGATTATGGTAGTAACTCAGCTTACACACATGCTAGGAAGGAACTATGCTAACTTAATGTCGGATGCTCTAGGGTTAGCAGTTCTGAATATTTAATAACTTTTTATTTTTATTTATTTATTTATTTTGAGATAGAGTTTCACTCTTGTCACCCAGGCTGGAGGGCAATGGTGTGATCTAGGCTTGCTGGAACCTCCGCTTCCCGGGTTCAAGTGATTATCCTGCCTCAGCCTCCCAAGTAGCATGTGCCACCATACCTAGCTAATTTCTTCCAGAAGGCGGAAAGGTTGCAGTGAGCCGAGATCACGCTATTGCACTCCAGCCTGGGCAACAAGAGAGAAATTCCGTCTCACGCGCACAAAAAAGAAGATAAGGACCAGGCTCATTAAAATGAAAAATATATAAACACTATGGCTTCCCTACAGCAGGATATTCCATGCATATTACAGGCAGTAAACCTTATCCTCCCTCCTCCTTAAACAGAGTGTTTCTGATAAACTTTTTCTCCTATGAAACTTTTCTTGAAAAGAGATTTCCATTTTAACCACAGTATGGGAAAGGTACAGTGCAAACCTGCACTGTCAATTCAACCTGATGGAACGACTTTTTTTATGGGTTGCATTTCGGTCTCTTCCCTGCGGACAATCATAGGGAAGGCCACAGTGTGTCCCTGACCAGACGCTGTACCCAAAGACATACTATGCTCATTAGAAAAAAGTTATAGCCACACAGTGCCTTCCAGGCCACTTGGGAAGGTCTCAGAAAGCAAAGCTCCACAAAAGAAAAAGTCACGCCAGAATACCTGACGTAGAATATCCCCAGCTCCCCTTGATGAAGGAATTGTAAAAATGCCCTTAAAATGTTTGGGGGAGGGGGGAGGGATAGCATTGGGAGATATACCTAATGCTAGATGATGAGTTAGTGGGTGCAGCGCACCAGCATGTCACATGTATACATATGTAACTAACCTGCACATTGTGCACATGTACCCTAAAACTTATAATAATAAAAAAAAAAAGTTTGTAATCAGTAGTGATTAAAAGACTCTGTCACTGACTTCCAACACTCTGAAGCTATGTCCGTGCCTTGGCCTGACACTCGGCTCTTGAAACTCATCCGTTTGCAGATGATTTTTTTTTTCTTTCTGAGACATGGTTTCAGTCACCCAGGCTGGAGTGCAGTGGTGCAATCATAGCCCATTGCAGCCTCAAACTCCTCGGCCTAAGTGATCCACCTGTCTCCTCTGCCTCCCAAGTAGCTGAGATGACAGGAGCAAATCACATCAGGCTAATTTTTTTTTTTTCCTTGAGATGGAGTCTTGCTCTGCCACCCAGGCTGGAGTGCAGTGGCGCAACCTTGGCTCACTGCAACTTCTGTCTCCTGGGTTCAAGCAATTCTCCTGCCTCAGCCTCCTGAGTAGCTGGGATTACAGATGCCCACCACCATGCCCAGCTAATTTTCGTACTTTTCTCTTTTTAGTAGATATGGGGTTTTGCCATGTTGCCCAAAATGATGGAATTATAGGCGTGAGCCAACAGGCCCGGTCTCTAATTTTTTTTTTTTTTTTTTTTTTTTGGTAAAGATGTGGTCTCACTACGTTGCCCAGACTGATCTCAAACTCCTGGCCTCAACCAATCCTCCCACTTTGGCCTCCCAAAGTGCTGGGGTTATGGCTGTGAGCCACCATGCCTTGCCAATCAATGATTAATTTCATTGCACAGTGGGTCTTCACCTGAGTGTGGCAGTTGCTGCCCCAATAGCAGTCAGGATGGAATGTTATAGTCACTAGCAATTGGGAAGCAGAAATGTTCCGCTGCTGATACATCAGTAGTCAGAAATTACATGGGCTACAACAGTGTTCCCGATGATTCTGAAATCAGAAAATAATATTCCCCTCTGAAGAGCCACAAAGCCTTCAGTCAACATGTTTTTCTAGGCCAGGCATGATGGCTCCTGCCTGTAATCCCAGAACTTTGGAAGGCCAAGGTGGGCGGATCACTTGGTCAGGAGTTTGAGACCAGCCTGGCCAATATGGCAAAACCCTGTCTTTACTAAAAATACAAAAATGAGCCAGGTGTGGCAGTACATGCCTGTAATCCCAGCTACTCGGGAGGCTGAGGCAGGATAATCGCTTGAACCCAGGAGGCGGAGGTTGTAGTGAGTGGAGATCGTGCCACTGCTCTCCAGCCTGGGTGACAGAGCGAAACTCCATCAAAAAAAAAAAAAAAAAAAAGAAGGAAACAAACAAACAAACAAACAAAACTGGCGGGGAGCGGTAGTTCATTTTGGGAGGCTGAGGTGGGCAGATCACTTGAGGTCAGGAGTTCAAGACCAGCCTGGCTGACATGATTAAGACTCCATCTCTACTAAAAATACAAAAAAAAAAAATAGCCGGGTGTGTTGGTGCATGCTTGTAAACCCAGCTACTCAGGTGGCGGAGGCAGGAGAATCACTTGAATCTGGGAAGTCGAAACTGCAGTGACCCCAGATGATGCCACTGGACTCCAGCCTGGAAAACAGCAAGACTCCATCTCAAAACAAAACAAAACAAAAACCACATTTTTCTACATTAAATCTCTGATTACCAGGTACAGTAGTCCCTCCATATCCACAAGGGATAATTCCAAGACCCCCAGTGGATGCCTGAAACTGCAGATAGTACATATACTATGTTTTTTCCTAAACATACATATCTATGATAATTTGCATATTAGGCACAGTAAGATGTTAGCAATAAAATAGAACAATTATAACAATATACTATGATAAAAGTTATATGAATGCGGTGTCTCTCCCACTCTCAAAATATCCTGTTGTACTGTGTCAGGGCGTAACTGAAACCACAGAAAGTGAAACCAGGGAAAGTGAAACCTGTCCAGTGGTACACTGCCATTCCCACAGGAGGACATGCGGCTAGCCTTCCTCGGTGCCCAAGCGATGGGGCCTCCCCAAGGGCTGCTGCAGCAACAGCTGCTTGCCTTCTTAGGGGTGCTCCAACTGGATTCACATCTGAGATGCCAGAAGTGTTGGGTGAAGACTTCAATCCCAAAGGTAGAGGCTCCAGGCGTGCCTGCCTGCTTCTGCCCCTCAATGGTTCTCTCCTAGCCTTGGGCACAGCTGTTTCCTCTTAACAGAATTTCAAAACATCTACTTTTCTATTTTTCCCATCTGCTAACATAAAGAAAAAAGAAAAACAGGAAAAAACAGAAATGCTGACAAGTCAAAAGGATTCCAGTAAATCTAAATAGTACAGGAGCTCAAAAGTGCACCAATAAAATGACAGTCCTGCTAATGATCCAGAATCTTAAAATTCAGACAATATTCACTATTTTAAAAGACAGTAGAGTCCTCTATAAAATAAAATGGCAAACTTTTTTCCTAGTAGTTTAAAGGAGTAAACTTGGTTACCCAATAAGATAACTGTAAGAAAATATTCTCCAGTAGCGAAACATAAACGCAGCAATTGCAAATGTCCACATATAGTATAGATGAGTACCGTATAGTATTTCCTCTCTTAGAATGTAAGCTCAGGTCAACCAATCCCATCCTCTCTTTATTTCCTCCAGTGCATCAAGAAAAACAATGTATAAATATCAGATGCTGAATAAATACTACTGACAAAAGTACCTTTTTTGAAATAAAGAGAAATTCTACAAAGAGAGTTTATTTTTGAGAGTTTTCCCACACAAACTTCTGGATCAGCATACCAATAAAAAACAGCACTGCATCTTGGAATACTCAGGCAAAACTGAGTATATGGGAATCTTAAAGTGCTTCATTCATCTTCTGAAATAGGAAATAAGCAGACATTTGTTTCACTGCTTAAGATTTCCTAAATTTTTTCTAAGGTAATAGTTTAGAAAGTACCACTTTGTTTCTCCCAACTTTTAGTTCCCTTATTAGACCAACCCGAGGAATAATTTTTCTACTTTAAAAGTTTTTCAAGTCAACATCCTGGGATCTAAAACTTAGTGTTGTTTCTTACTGGATCAAATTTCCTTAATAAACAAAGGAAAAGTTCAATGTTTAGAGTCAAAATCTCAAAATACATTACAAATATTTAAAGCTTCCAAAAGGATGTGTCAACCTATTCTGTACAGAGGACAAATGAGAGCATAAAAGATTTCTATTACATCACAGAATAAAAGAAAAAAAGTTAAAATGAAAGTCATTTCTCTCCCTCTCATCTTTCTTGTGAGGACCCTTCCCAAAGGTATTTATTCTAGTACAGAAAAAGCAAAAAATCACAATCTACCATCTGAAGATATTAAGGTACCTCTTACTAAGAAAATCCATTAACATATGAGCTCAAAATCCCAAATACTGAAGAAAAATAAAGCTAAAGGAAAAAAATACACTAATATAAAATAGAATATGTATAAAACTCTAACACACAATAGAATCTGTATAGAACTCTACTGTAACACATAATGGAATCTGTATAGAACTCTATTGTAACACACAGTGGAATCTGTATAGAACTCTACTGTAACACACAGTGGAATCTGTATAGAATTCTATTGTAACATACGATAGAATTTTAATAGCATTTATTCCATTTGTCAGTTAATACAGGCTTGCTTCGGGAAAGACTGTACATAGGATAAAAAATAATAATACTAAAGACTTGTTTTCAACACTATCCCCTCTTGGATAGGAATCACGGGAGTTGAATCAGGTTTGTGGAGAAAAATAACAAATTTGTGTCTCTTAAAAGTGTGATATTACAAAATATATACTTGGTCTTCAACCCTGTTTCCTGGCATACAACTCCTAAAATCATAAGAATCTCCAAAATGATGTCTTTCTGTATGCTAATAATTGACTGATGGCTGGCAGCCCCTAGGCAGCTTTAGTATGGAGGCTGGTCACCAGAAAGACCAAGGCATGATTAGAGGGTTGGAACCTTCCGTCTCATCCCCTAACCTCTGGAGACGGGAGACGGGCTAACAGTCAAGTTGATCACCAGTGGCCAGTGGTTTAATCAATCATGCCTGTGTAACGAAGTCTCCAAAAAACCCAAAAGGATTGGGCTCAAAATGCTTCCAGATAGCTGAACACGTAGCAGATCCTGGAGGGTGACGCACCCAGGAAGGGCAAAGAAGCTCCGTGCCCCTTTTCCATACTTTGCCCTAGGCACCTTTTCATCTGTATCCTTTATAACATACACGTAAACATGTTTCCCTGAGTTATGTAAACTGCTCTAGCAAATTAATCAAACCCAAAGACAGGGTTGGTGGGAACTCCAACTTAAAGCCAGTCAGCCTTCTGGCTGAAGTCCAGAGGCCTGTACTGGTGGGGGGCATGGTACGGGGTCGTTTTGGCAACTGAGCACTTAACCTGTGGGAGACAGTGTCAGAAATTAGAGGACACCTAGCTGGTGTCCGTTGCAGAAATGACTGTTGGTGAGGAGAAATCTCCATCAGTGGATCTTCTGTGTTGATTGGTGTTGCTGAAAGAACAGGAAAAAGCACATTGAATGTTGTTTTTCCACGCTCTCTCATTAAATTTTAGGTATGCTATCAAGCCTCTTTTTCTGTGACTTTCCTCCTGACATCTCTCCTTCTGCATATGATCCCCCGAGTTTCATTCTTAAACTCTGCTTTCCACTTTCTAGAAATGTCATCCGAATCCAGGTTTCAACTTTATTCCTTCTGAACCACTGACCCACTAGATATTTCTTTCTCAACTAAATTTCAGAATCCATTTCAATGAGCCTACTGGGCATCCCTAACTAAATGCCACCCACTGTTGCCTCAGTTAAGCATGTTTTTTAAAACAAAAAAAGGACAGGCATGGTGGTTCATGCCGGTAATCCCAGCACTTTGGAGGGCTGAGGTGGGCGGGATCACCTGAGGTCAGGAGTTTGAGACTAGCCTGGCCAAAATGGTGAAACCCTGTCTCTATTAAAAATACAAAAAAATTAGCCGGACGCAGGGGTGCACACCTATGGTCCCAGCTACTCAGGAGGCTGAGCCAGGAGAATCGCTTGAACCCAGGAGGCAGAGGTTGCAGTGAACCAAGATTGTGCCATTGCACTCCAGCCTGGGTGACAAGAGCGAAACTCAGTCTCAGGAAAAAAAAAAAAAAAAAAAAGTCCAGGCGTGGTGGCTCACACCTGTAATTCCAGCACTTTGGGAGGCCGAGGCAGGTGGATCACCTCACCTGAGGTCAGGAGTTCAAGACCAGCCTGGCCAACCTGGTGAAACCCCATCTCTACTAAAAATACAAAAATTAGCTAGGCATGGTGGTGGGCACCTGTAATCCCAGCTACTTGGGAGCCTGAGGAAGAGGAGTCACTTGAACCCAGAAGGCGGAGGTTGCAGTGAGCTGAGATCGCACCATTGCACTCCAGCCTGGGTGACAAGGGCAAAACTCCGCCTCAAAAACAAAAAACAAAACAAAGAATGTATTTTTATTCACAGAAATGTTTCAGCACCTATATTCCCCATTGTGATCATTAAATTTTACATCAACCTGGTGAGGCAATGGTTCCAAGCTATTTGGGCAAACAATAGTCTATACATTGCTGAAGGTATTTTCTATACGTGATTAACATCTAATCAGTTGACCTTAAGTAAAGGAAATTACCCTCCATAATGTGGAGGGGCTTCATCCAATCAGTTGAAGGTCTTGCTAAAAAGTAAAAACTGAGGAGGAACTCTTCCTCAAGACTCAGGACTTATAGACAGACTCACAGAAATGCTACCTGAGTTGCCAGTCTGCTGGTCTCCCCAAAAATTTCAGACCCAAGACTGCAACATCAAGTCCTGTCTGAGTTTACAGACTGCTGCTTACTCTACAGATTTTGAACTTAGCAACTCCGCAATCATAAGCTAAATGCTTAAAATACGTATACAATTAAAAATACATATATAAACATATCTTATTGAGTCTATTTCCCTGGAGAACCCTGACTGATATACCTATCCTTATTAAGGCACTCGATTCAGACAACTGGGCATCAATTTTTATTTCCATCCTTCTTTCACTGTTTACAAAAAGCTAATTCTAACTTCTAAATATTAATATCACCGGCATTTTACTTTTTTTTTTTTTTTTTTGAGATGGAGTCTCAATCTGTCACCCAGGCTGGAGTACAGTGACGTGATCTTGGCTCACTGCAACCTCTGCCTCCCGGGTTCAAGCGATTCTCTTGCCTCAGCCTCCTGAGTAGCTGGGACTACAGGCGTGTGCCACCACACCCGGCTAATTTTTGTATTTTTAGTAGAGATGGAGTTTCGCCATGTTGGCCAGGCTGGTCTCGAACTCCTGACTTCAAGTGATCCTCCTGCCTTGGCCTCCCAAAGTGCTAGGATTACAGGTATGAGCCACCATGCCTGGCCCACTTTACTCTTATCTCCAGTATATTCAACACTTGGACTACTATAAAAGCCTCCAAATAAATCTTCTGCCCTCTGTCACTTCCAATTTTCTAAACACATTATATTCGTCCATGCTTCCTGTTGCTTGGAATATATACCCCAAACACTTACCTATTTAGTAAAGTCTGAGCTCAAATGGTTTTAGTTTGGGGTTTTGTGTGTGTGTGTGTGTGTGTGTGTGTGTTTTAGAGGTGAGGTCTTGCTCTGCACCAAGCCTGCAGTGACGCAACTGCAGCCTTCAATCTTGGGCTCAAATAATCCTCCCACCTCAGCCTCCCAAGTAGGTGGGATGACAGGTATGTACCACCACACCCAGCTAATTTTTTCCTCTTCTTTTAGAGGCAGGTTCTCACTATGTTGCCCAGGCTGGTCTCAAACTCCTGGCCTCAAGCAAAATTCTCCTGCCTCAGTCTCCCGGATAGCTGGGATTACAGGCATGAGCCATGGCTCAAGTGTTAATGCATTAGTTAAATAACACATCCTCCGGAAGAATGACTTTAGGAGTCAGGGAACACTTAACAGACGTGCTAACATTTGCACCCAAGCCATTATCATAGCATATAATTAAGGTTTACTTTTAAAAACTAGGGTCTGCCAGTGCTATAAGATGAATTCTTAAAGTCTATGTTTAAACAATTCTATTTGTTACAAAGACAATTTCTCTTTCTACAGGTTAAGTCATGATTGAAAACATGTTCAACAAATAAGCATGTTTAAGTGATCTGAGTTTATAAAATGCCATTTTCCTTACCAAATCAATTTTTTTTTTTTTTGAGACAGGGTCTCACTCTGTCACCCAGGTTGGAGTGCAATGGTGTGATCTTGGCTCACTGCAACCTCCGCCTCCTGGGTTCAAGTGATTCTCCCACCTCAGCCTCCTGAATAGCTGGGACCACAAGCACACACCGCCACACCCGGCTAATTTTTGTATTTTTTGGTAGAGACAGGGTTTCATCACGTTGCTCAGGCTGGTCTCAAACTCCTGACCCCAAATGATCCGCCTGCCTCAGCCTCCCAGTGTTGGGATTACAGGCGTGAGCCACCACGTCCGACCCATAAAACACTTTCTACATATATTTTGGCACTTAATCTGTATATAATAATGTGAGGAACACAGGCTTCTATTATTCCAATTTAAAGAAAGACCAGCCCAAGATATCACAATAGTAGACCCAAGACTGGAATTAAGATTTTCTATTTCTCTATGCTTTTTTTCTACAAAGAAATCAGAACCATCAAAGCTAATTTGGATAAAGAAAATAAATTCACATACTGAGTAATTATATGTACCAAACACAATATGAGATGGTTTATTTTTATCATTTAATCCTCACAACCATCCCTCTGCAGTGTGCTATGGTCTTCATTTGGCAGTGACGCTGTTCTAGCAGAAAGGTTAGATAACTTGTTTAAAGTCACAATTAGAAAGTGGTAGGGGCCAGGCACAGTGATTCACACCTGTAATCCTAGTACTTTGGGAGTCTGAAGCAAAAGGATTGCTTGAGGCCAGGAGTTTGAGACCAGCCTGGACAACACAGTGGGACCTCATCTCTACAAAAAAATCAACACTTTAGGAGGCTGAAGTAGGAGGACAGGAGTTCAAGACTAGCCTGGGCAACATAGTGGGGTCTCATCTCTACAAAAAGTGAAAGAAAAAAAAATTAGCCGGGTATGTTGGCACAGGCCTATGGTGTCAGCCACTAAAGAGGCTGAGGCAGGGGGTTCGCTTGAGCCTAGAAGTTCAAGGCTACAGTGAGCTATGATCACATACTACTGTACTTCAGCCTGGGTGACAAAGCAAAACCCTGCCTTAAAAAAGTTCTTCTGGAATCCAAACAACATTTCTCTTTTTCTTTTCTTTTTCTTTTTTTTGAGAGGGAGTCTCACTCTGCTGCCCAGGCTGGAGTGCAGTGGTGCGATCTTGGCTCCCTGCAACCTGCCTCCTGGGTTCAAGCAATTCTCCTGCCTCAGCCTCCCGAGTAGCTGAAATTACAGGCACGTGCCACTACACCCAGCTAATTTTTGTATTTTTAGTAGACATGGGTTTTCGCCATGTTGGCCAGGCTGGTCTCAAACTCCTGGCCTTAGGTGATCCACCCATCTTGGCCCCACAAAGTGTTGGGATTACAGGTGTGAGCCACCATGCCCAGCCTCCAAACATTTCTAATGATTTCACTTAATAGAAGAAACTTACATCAAATTATTTCTGGAACATGGCACAGAAGACAGTTCCTAGGTTTAATGCACAGTACAAAGTCCCCAAGTTTCATATTTAACATGATAAATGTCTGGCCTTCTGTCTAAATTTTCTTCCCAGATATTACTTTGAAAAAGGAGTTAGAAAGCTATTCATTTACTCTCAAGCCCAAGGCTTTACAGATATGGCTAACTAAATCACATGTCAAAGGAATAAACTAACAACTGAGAACTCCAAAGCCTCAGGGAAGAATTCCAAGGTTGCTATTTGGGCAACCCTGCCTGACTTTTCAAAATGCAGTTTTCTGATAAAGTATGAAAAATTCAAATACTCCTCAAAATTGGAAAGCACAGTAGTAAGAAATGGTCTGATCTTATACAGCAATTCTATATTCCACTTTAGAGACCTTATTTCTAAATTTATAGGAACGTGAAGCCAAAAGCTAGTATCAGAAGGAAAAAAAAGAAATGTAAGAAGCTGAATACAGAATAAAAGCATTTAAGAAAGGAACAAGTTTGAATCTGTTTTGTCACAACTTGATATAGACACTTTTGAAATAAAAGGTAGTAAAATTAATCAGGCATGTAAATGTTTAAACAGATTTTTGTTTTGCCAGCTCATCAATTCACAAATTAGTACGCATTTCCTAAGAATCCAGTAGACTCCTTCAGACACTGCTCGGATAACTGATAGACAGATAAAAAATACAGAGATTACCAAAATTAGTCTGTAAACTCCATGAAGAAAGAACCGACAACCATTTTATTCCCTGATGTTATCCCCAGTGGGAAATGCATAACCTGACATGTAACACTGACAAGTTATGGAACAGAACATATTTTAATAATCTGCTATATCAAATTGTAAGAGAGTATCAAAAAATCATAGCTATTTTAATATTAAATACCAGGCAAATGGGTGTCCCCATAAGATCTATTTTTTTTTTTTTTATTGAGATGGAGTCTTGCTCTTTGACCCAGACTTGAGTGCAGTGGTACAGTCTAAGCTCACTGCAACCTCTGCCTCCAGGGTTAATGCAATTCTCCTGCCTCAGCCCCCCCGAGTAGCTGAGATTACAGACGCACACCACCACACCTGGCTAATTTTTGTATTTTTAGTAGAGATGGGGTTTTGCCATTTTGGCCAGGCTGGTCTCAAACTCCTGACCTCAAGTGATCCGCCTGCCTCAGCCTCCCAAAGTGCTGGGATTACAGGTGTGAGCCACCGCACCTGGCCCCTGTAAAATCTAAATGTAGCTATCCAAAATTCCTAATTAATGTTTTCGGGTTCTCTTAAAAAAAAAAAAAAAAAGAGATCAGGCCTGTGCTTACTTCCCATAACGGTCATATAACTGATCCAGAAATGATTAGCTTTGTTAACAAAGTTAGAAAAAAAACAAAAACATAATTTCAGAAAGAAGAAAAAAGATATAAACAGATGGGTTCCATGCAGACCAGCCTCTAGGGGAGTAGAGCTGGCTAGCTCTGTGGCTTTTGTCCTCCAAGCCAATTTTGAGAGGGGAAAAAAAAAACACTGAAAAAGAAAACATTAAAAATAACACCATGGCATTAGTTACCATGAAGCCAGAAAGTCAGTACTTTTCTACAAACCTAACATGTACACAGATACATATGGCATATAAATCTAAAATGTATTACGTAGATACTTTTGGAGGTACTATCTTATTTAACAATCCCTCATATGACAAGCAGAAAATTCCGAGACAATTAAGAGACAATTTCCAACATCTGTACGTAATCTCCCTACTCAACCTCTTGAAACAACTGCACATATCAGCACAGCTAACATTTAAAAATAATACTTTTTTCACTATCGCAGTCTCCTCCTCCCTCAGATTCTAATAACGTATTACAGTTTCTTTTTTCTTTTTTTTTGAGACAGTCTTGCTCTGTTGCCCAAGCTGGAGTGCAGTGATAAAATTTCGGCTCACCGCAACCTCCACCTCCCAGGTTCAAGCGATTCTTGTGCCTCAGCCTCCTGAGTAGCTGTGACTACAGGTGTGCGTCACCATGCCCAGCTACTTTTTATATTTTTCACAGAGACAGGGTTTCGCCATGTTGGCCAGGCTGGTTTCAAACTCCTGACCTCAAGTGATCAGCTTGCCTCATCCTCCCAAAGTGCTGGGATTACAGGTGTGAGCCACTGCGCCAGGCCACATAATTACAATTTCTAGAGGCTCTTTTCTCATTTGCTTGTGACTTAATCCCACTTGCAGAATACTCTTTGTAAACTAATCTGCCATAAAACAAAGTCTTTCTATGAATGTATATCACTGAAGCGCCCCCAAAACAGTTGTCAGCAAGCAACATACAATAAAACTCACCCTCCTTACTTTATGTTTGGTTCTCTCTCTTCACATGTTGTTCGTGGGTATAGAAGTTCTTCCTCCACCCATTTTCACTCAGTTTATGTCTCTATGCCTGCTCCCCAGAGGAAGATGATAAAAGCTACTCCTGCTTCCCAAAGTGTGGAACAACTGGCTCTGCTCTGTCCCCTTTCCCCATCCCCTACTAGTGTTCATGGTTGGTCAGTCTTTCAGCTCATAGAGAGGGGAGCTTTGAGAAATAAATCTAGTGACTTACCCCAGCAGCAAATCCTAGGTGGATACAAATTGTGAAAAGGGTAATTGGGAGATATTTTAAAAGAGATGTTTCTCCATGTGCCACAACAAACCAATGCCTGAAGCTGGGTTCGTGTTCACTGGTCAAATAATGTCCACTTTAGTGTGTTTCTTCACAGTATGACTGAGAAGGGGTGGAAGATTTAGAAGAGTTTACTGGTAATTTCCCTCTGGAGAGGAAAAGGGGCCTGAATGACAAGGGAAAAAAGAAGGGGCTAATTTATTGTCACTCTCCCTGCTACTCCTAGATACTACTACTGACAAAAGTATATTAAACAGGGATTCTAAGAAAACATGGGCAAAATAAGAAAGCTATCCACTAGAAACTAAGATAAGTAGAATTTTAGCTGGTAGCCAACCGGCTAAAGATTAAACGCTCAGTTCCTTACCCCCTGCGGGGGGGCAAGGCAGGAAGAGAAAAGTGGCTCTTGACCGAGTGGAGGATTGTCTGTGACTGAATTTGCTGTTCCCCTTCTTGGCTCTGTTCTCAGAATCACAGACTGCCCCCCTCCCTGACAAGCAGACTCCAGCACCTGGTAGGGGTAAGAGAAGACAAGAGAGAAAAAAGGGAGACAGAGAAAGATAAAAAACATCAACAGCCATGTTGCCAAACTAACAACTAAATCAATGACATGAAAGAAGGAAATTAACAGCACTAACCAAGATAGAAAAGAATAAAATAGGATTACCTCAAGACAAAATAGGCCTCCTCCCCTTTGACACACTAACCAAATAAAACAGTAACCATTGGAAAAGAAATTTAACTATGATTATTTTTAAAATTAGAGGGTTGCATACTAAAATTTAGGAAATAAATGTTAAATCTCTGAGACCGGAATTTCAGAGAGTGTTTTATTCCAAATGAATATCTTAAAAGTATTCTCATAATTGCTTTTAAGAAATCATTTTTTAAAATAGAAGAAATGACCTTTAAGGTACCCAATATTGTGAAAGTAACAAAAATGAGATTTAAAAACATTTCAATTTAAATGGTTATAGTTAATAATTAAGAACACCCATAAATATAATGAACATACCAAGCCCACAAAAAAAAATCTGCATAGTAGGCTGCCCATATACTTTCTATACCTATTTAGAGTTGAACCTAACTCCACAAAGATGTGGTAACAATATATATAACTAATGGGAAAATGACAGCATACTGAAAGAATTTACATAGCAGTTGCATTGAGCATGGTTAGTGCAATAACCCCTCACAGAACAGAATTACCACCCCATCGCTATTCGCCAATACAAATGGGATAAAACAGTGAAATAACAAATGTGTGATCAGAGATAAGGACATATTAATAAGGGGAGATTGAAATTATTACCACTCTGGTTTGGGTTTTTTTTGGGGGGGGGTGAGGGGCAAGTAGTGTAATATTTACATCATGCTCAAATTTTTAAAGAATCAAAACTGGACAAGCAATTATTTGGTCATCCCCTTCTCATTCAGAGACTGTCAAAGGAAAAGATGGAATGACTGTCACACTCTCTAAAATTTACACGTAAGGAGGAAAACGTGGAATCGAATACAGTAGCTGCGGGACCGCACCACGTGATCCTCCTCCCGCGGTCGCTCCATAGAATTTGTGGGAAGGGGGGGGAGGGGGAGTGTCGCCGCAATCCCGAGGACAGGTCAGCAGCCCGCGGGTCCGACTCCAGCCGGCGTTCCCGGGGTTACCACACCCCCTCGCCGGCGGGGAAACCATACTCCTTACACGCCCGAAGTCGCCGCCCCCTCGACACGGCTCGCCCGGTCGCACGCACACGCCACGGGCCGGCGCCTCCCGGCACACGCGCGAAGGCCGGGCCCCGCCTCGCTCCCCACCGACTCCGCGGAGCGGCGACCACCGGCCTCAACTAGCCCCGGACCCCGGGCGCGCTCGGGCCGGTCCCCTCCCCGGCCCAGCCCCCGCTAATCGGGGGATCCATTCCGCTGAACTCGCCCACTCGGGAGGGCGCGCCTTCGCCTCACTGCTCTACACCCGAGGGCAACAGCGGTCGTACCGCTCACCTGGGTCGGGGGGCTCCTCCCTCGCTCTCGGCCGACTGAGCCGGGCTGGGGCCTTCGAGGAAGCGCGGGCCGCCGGGCGGCTGGAAGTGGGGGAAGGAGAGGAGGGGGAGGGGGTCGGGATACCGGGAGCCGCCTCCTTTCTCCTCCGCCGACTGCGGCTCCCGCAGGCTGGCCGGGCGTCCTCGCACACTCGCCCAGTTTCTCACAGCCTCGCGTCCCGTCAGCTTCTCCCTCACCCCACTCCCACACACTCTCACTCCCACACACTCACACCCGGCCGCTCCTCGTTCCCTCACTCGCCTGCCGCGCGCGCGCGCGACCCCGCTCACACACAGCGCGCGCGACGCCGGCGGAGACCGCCCCGCTCCCTCAGACCGAACGCCGCCCGCCCGCTTGCTGAGGAGCGGCGCGCGCCCCGGCCCCGCCCTCCTGGCGCCGCGGCGCGGCGGGCGGGGGGCGGCGGCCGGAGGAGCTGGGGGCCGGGCCAGCGCGCCGAGCACTGCCGAGCGGATCTGACACCTGCGTCGAGAGCCGCCCTCCCAGCTCCTCGCCCGCACCCGAGCCATCGCTGGCCTCGGGGGAAGAGAGGCGATGGATCGCGCGCGGGGAGCGAAAAGGGAGCGCGAGGGCGCTCCGAGGACGCGCCTCCCCACCCGCCCCCAAACCGTCTTCACTGAGAAAGGGAAACGGATGGGGGGGGTGGGGGGCGAGGTTTGCTCCCAACTCGAAACCGCGAGATTAGTCCCTTCCGTTGTACGCCCTCCCCGCCCTCACATTCCCTGCTTAGGCCCCATCAATCTGCGCCTGGAACCCCGACACGAGCCCCCTACCCCCTCGGGCGCAGGGTCCTGCCGGCATCCCGACGCCTCCCGCCCAGCCCTTCCGCCGGCCGCCGCCCGGAGTCTCCGCTTACGGTGGTTCCTCCCTCCGGTAGGCAAAGATATGGAGACAAAGATCATTCATACCTAGAAGGTCTTTATCCGGGACTGGAGTAAAGACAGTACCTCTGTATATTGAGAGGCAAATTTAAAACCACATGATAAATTTCCTGGCTGAAGCGGGTTTGGAGATACAGGCGGGGTGGATAGCGCCAGCTCTGCCCCCTAGAAACCGGCGTAAACCTTGGACAAGTTAGTTGCTACGCTTCCTCTGAGCCTTTGTTGTGAAAAGATAAAAGAGTACAGTCCGGAGTCGTTGTGAGAATGAAATGAGATATTTTAAGAGCATTTTGTAAATTCTAAAACTATGTATAAAAAATAAAAGTATAGCCCAAAGGAGGCTAAGAATATGAATGTTCAACTACGCTATTACATTTTCTTAAGGAGAAAAAAAAAGGGCTACAGACGACCTCCCAGGTTTACATGGAAGATTCACTTCCAAATAACTTCAGTCACCAGAGACACCAGGTGTGAGGTACGGTAATGTGCTCACCAGTTTGCCTTCTTGCTGGTCTCAGCCCTGTCTCAGTGACCTCAGCCAACAACTTTTCACTGCTCCTCTCCCAGTCAATTGACAATATAATTTCATTTTCTGCTTTTAAAAAATTTTTTGACTAATTTCCTTCAGCGTCTCGAGAGTCCTTTAAAAGATGTAGCATAACCCAGGGTGGTAACTTCTGGATCCAGACTGCCCGGATTGGATTTATGGTTCCACTCCCTATGTGAACCTCTGCAGTAACTTAACCTCTCTGTATCTTTATCTGCTGAGCTGTAAAAGTGAGGATAAAAATAGTCACCTACTTCATGGAGTTGTCATAAGGAGTAAATGAGTTAATAAGTATATAATATTTAACAGCTGACACAGATCAAGTGCTGTTCAAAGTGTTTAGTGCTATTATAATGTTAGGTCAGTGAGAGTAACCTAGGATAGGCGTCTAGTTGGTTTACAAAATTTAGAGGAACAAACGCCCTATAAGATAGATACACTATCTTGAGAACAAAGGGGATAAGGTCTACAGAACTAAATTGTTGCTATTTACTTCCACTCTGATATTCAGCCCCCTGGGACATAAAGTATATTCAACTCCAAGACCAAGAGAAGCATTTTGTGATCAAGGGAAGCTTGAGCACAGAGATACTAACACTGAAAATCTGACAAAATAAACACAGTGAAATTGACACAGGGAAAAAAATGTACAGAGGATCAATAATAATATTTAATTAACCTATTCCTTCAGTCCCACTCTTAAGGAATCCAATTCGTGGTAACTGCATCCCCAGAAAAAGTGGGTTGTACTGGTGAAACTGAGGATAGGAAGTATGACTATTAACTCACTTGCCACTTGCCCTTAAAAGTTGTTATTCAGGGCAGGGCGCGGTGGCTCACGCCTGTAATCCCAGCACTTTGGGAGGCTGAGGCAGGCGAATCACCTGAGGTCGGGAGTTTTGGACCAGCCTGACCAGCATAGAGAAACCTTGTCTCTACTAAAAATACAAAATTAGCCAGGCGTGATAGCGCACGCCTGTAATCCCAGCTACTCAGGAGGCTGAGGCAGGAGAATCGCTTGAACCTGGGAGGTGGAGGTTTCAGGCCGAGATGGTGCCATTGCACTCCAGCCTGGGCAACAAGAGCAAAACTCTGTCTCAAAAAAAAAAAAAAAAAAAGTTGCTATTCAATTTATTGCTTCTATGTGCCATACACATTCTAAGATATTCTCATGTATGTAACAACGTTGCTTTTGACTTAAGCTAATAGGGAGTAAAACAAAGCTCAGGAGGGTATTTAAAAAAAGCCAATGATAAGGCTTAAACACATTACCATTATCATGATATTGTTAAGATAATGTTTATGTGAGTAATGATCAAATTCATACATCATACTTTTTATATGAAGTAATAAGGGGGCAAAAATTATTTACACCATTTCCATATTGGAAACCCAAGGTTCAGAAAGGCTGTACATACATTCAGTCATAATCTTTGAGAATTCATGGTTGATATGTTTAGGCGGCTGTGGACTCACATCTCCTTTGGGTAGCAACACCTGCTCAAAAATATTTTAAGTAGTTTTTCTTGACATAATCATGCACCACACATTTTTAACCAGTGAATTAATATTTTTCAGGAAGTTCGGAGGTGTCGGGGCCGGGCGGGGCGGGGCGGGGGGGCGGGGCGGTGCGGCAATTGAATCCCCTGGGAAGACATACTATAAGTAACCTAGCATGTCTGGAGTCAGATCAATCTGATTTGAAATCCTAGCTGTATTTACTAGCAGCATGAGATTGTTGCTTAACTTCCATAAACCTCAGTTTTCTCATCAGCAAAATGAAGATCATATTAGCACCACTTTATTAAGATAGAAGGATGAATGAGGTAACTCAAATGTAATGCATAACATAGTAAGTCTCAGTGAATGTTAGCTATTATTATTCAAGACTAACTGATACCAAAACAGTCAAATAGTAATCAAAGAGAAATTATACAATGTTTAGATATGTGTGATAATCATACAAATAGTTATATTTATTGCATATCCCTATGAGTGTAAGACCAACTCTATAGGTAAGTAATGTCTTTGAGATGAAGTTAGGGTTCATCCTTTGCCTGCACCAAAACACTTCCAGATTTTTGCTCTTATTCCTAGACACATGAGAATCAACAGGAGGGACCGGGCAGGGTGGCTCATGCCTGTAATCCCAGCACTTTGGGAGGCCAAGGCAGGTGGATCACCTGAGGTCAGGAGTTCGAGACCAGCCTGGCCCACATGGTGAAACTCTGCCTCTACTAAAAATACAAAAATTAGCCGGGCGTGGTGGCAGTTGCCTGTAATCCCAGCTACTGGGGAGGCTGAAGCAGGAGAATTTTTGAACCTGGGGGTGGAGGTTGCAGCAAGCCAACATTGGGCCAGTGCACTCCATCCTGAGCAACAGATGGGTACTCCATCTCAAAAAAAAAAAAAAAAAGAAAAAAAATTCAACAGGATGTTGAGTGTGATGGCTCACACCTGTAATCCCAGCAGTTTGGGAGGCTGAGACAACAGGATCGCTTGAATACACGAGTCCAAGACCAGCCTGGGCAACACAGGGAGAGCCTGTCTCTATTTTTATTGTTTTTTGTTTTGTTTTTTGAGACGGAGTCTGGCTCTGTTGCCCTGGCTGGAGTGCAGTGGTGAGATCTTGGCTCACTGCAACCTCCACCTCCCAGGTTCAAGTGATTCTCCTGCCTCAGCCTCCTGATTAGCTGGAATTACAGGCGCCCAGCTAATTTTTGTATTTTTAGTAGAAACTTGGGGTTTCACCATGTTGGCCAGGCTGGCCTCGAACTCCTGACCTCAAGTGATCCGCCCACCTGAGCCTCCCAAAGTGCTGGGATTACAGGCATGAGCCATCTCACCTGGCCCCTGTCTCTATTTTTAAAAAATAAATAGAATCAACAGGAGAGCTCCCAAAAACTGATTAAATCAGCATTGGCGTCCAGGCACCAATATTTTTTCAGAGCCCTCCAGGGGATTTTAATACACAGCCAGGGTAAAGACCCAAGTTTACACAACAGAGATGTTAGAATTAACTATCCATTTGGTTGTGCTGAAATACACATGTTATCTAGCCATTTCAGCTAGTCAGATTAGCTGATTAGAATATGACAACTAAATTTGCAGTACAGGCCCGGTGTGGTGTCTCCCATGTGTAATCCCAGCATTTTGGGAGGCTGAGGTGGGCGGATCACCTAAGGTCGGGAGTTCAAGACCAGCCTGGTCCAACATGGTGAAACCCCATCTCTATTAAAAATATAAAAATTAGCTGGGCGTGGTGGTGGGCACCTGTAATCCCACCTACTCAGGAGGCTGAGGCAGGAGAATCACTTGAACCTGGGAGGCGGGTGTTGCAGTGAGCTGAGATAGTGCCACTGCACTCCGGTCTAGGTGACAGAATGAGACTCCCTCTCAAAAAAAAAAAAAGAAAGAAAGAAAGAAAAAGAAAACAAATTGCAGTACAAAGCATTTTAAAGTTTTTGATGGGATAATATGAAGGTACTGGGGGAAGGCCTATAAAATTGAGGGTTTAATGAAAACAAAATCTTCCCTAACAGAGTTACCCAGGTCCAGTCAACCCCACGTCTCTGATTCTACTTGAGTACACAGTATATCTACATCAGCCAGAAAAACATAATTTACAAATGAAATAACAATAAATTGTTTGTCTGTTGCAGGTCAAGCGAAAACCTTTAAGTGCCCTATACACATCATCTGTTGCAAATCATTTCCCCCTGGGTTTGAAGACAAGGAAACTAGCGGGGATTTGATCAAAACTAGAGGCCTCGAAGTAGTAAAGAGAATTGTAAACAAGAATTTAATCTTTGAGATAGTTATCATCAGTACCTAAAATAGTGTTCTTTGTGGATTATCTAACGTTATAACTGCAAAATTCACGTGGCTGGAGAAAAGGTGGTTGGTGTCTAATGTTAGAACCTTGACTAGCAAATAAGGAACGGTAGCGGCAGCTGCAGTAAATCTAGCTCTCCCCACTGTTTCCTCTCCTGGAGCCAGCCGGCTAGAACCAGCCTGACAACAGTCTTTGCAGTAGAATAGCTAAACACTGATCTAGCCTTTCTCCACCCACATCCCTCCTCCTTTTCCCTGCTCCATCTCAGCACATTAAACTGAGCTTTCTCTCTATGCTAAGAAAATGCAGATGCCAGACACAAAGGGAGGAAAGACCATACATTGGCTGAATCACAGAAGAGAAAGAATGGGTGGAAAGAAAACACAGTCTTGGCAAGAAACATGATACAGGTTTTCCCCCTACTTCTTTAATTGTATCTGGTTAAGATTTTTTTTTCCTCTACCACATAGAAATTACCTGGAATGCTTGTTTAAAATGCAGATTCCTTGACCTCTGCCTCTGACCTGAATGAGCCTGTGTACCTGCATTTCTTGAGCAACTCAAAGCATCTAAAATCAGCAATTTATCTGCATTTGGAATAAGCATACTAAATGATCTTTAGACACATGAAAGTTTGAGCACAGTGTCTTAGAGACCAAAATAACCATTTGTAAAATGCTCTTTATTTAAAGCCCTCAACATTTATAAACTCATTGTAGCCTCAAGCAACATTCTAAGGTTGAGCAAATATTGTTAGTCCTCTCTGACTGAAGAGAAAATGAGGCAATGAAATTAAATCGTTGGCAGCAATTTCCTAGTCCTGATTTCCCTGTCTTTGGGAGGATCTTAGAAGTATAACAACCTGGGAAGAATGAAAGAAGAAAAAAATGAAATAAGAAAATATGGAAAGGCACATTAGATGTGTTCTCATTTAAAGAATAGAGGAAGCATCAAGTATTAAAGGAAAAAAAAAACCCTCTCTTGGTGCAGGGAAACATGACTGAATTTGTAGATAATGCATCCATAGAATCCAACCAGAGAAATGATAATATGCAAACCACATAAGGGCTGTGTGCATCTGTCACACATCTGTGTCACCAGCAACACCTTGAATGATTAGTGAACATTTACAGATTAAATGAATGAATGAAGTCTGGAAGCATCCTAATGGCCTGGCACCACCATAATTATCCTGATCTGCCTTGCTGTTTTTTGTACAATGAAAGACTTAGACTGGGGAGCCCTGTTCAGTAGTCTAAGTTCATGTGGTTATCCTATGTTCAAAGAAACATCAGTTTATTTCTATTCAATCTAAATTCTTAACCTGTCCTATTTCCTAATTCTTTTCTTTTTTGTTTGTTTGTTTGTCTTTTTGAGACAGTCTCACTCTGTCACCCAGGCGGGAGTGCAGTGGCTCGATCTCTACTCCAACCTTTGCCTCCTGGGTTCAAACAATTCTGGTGCCTCATCCTCCGGAGTAGCTGGGATTACAGGCATGCACCACTGCACCTGGCAAATTTTTGTATTTTTAGTAGAGATGGGGGTCTCACCATGTTGCCCAGGCTGGTCTTGAACTCCTGACCTCAGTTGATCTGCCTGCCTTGGCCTCCCAAAGTGCTGGGATTACAGTCGTGAGCCACTGCACCCAACCCCTACAAAAACCAAAAACTTTAAAAAAAAAAAATTTGGCCAAGTGTGGTGGCACATGCCTATAGTCCCAGCTGCTTGGAAGATTGAGGCAGGAGGATTGCTTGAGCCCAGGAGTTCTAGGCTGCAGTGAACCATGATCATGCTACTGCACTCATACAGGTTCCCATCTTTCGTATTGTTTCGCAGAACTTTTCTGGGTAACTGGGACAGACAACTTAGATACTTGCTTAATAAATAAATGGTAAAGGTAGACTTAGGCATGAGGATCACACCACAGAAATACTTGAAACACATAGTTACATCACTGTCCCCAGTCTCATAATAAACCTATCGTATCTTAGAACATGGAGTGTTCTAACCCTACTGGGTTTGGATTATCTTCTTTTTTTGTTTTGTTTTGTTTTTTGAGACGGACTCTCGCTCTGTCGCCAGGCTGGAGTGGAATGGCACAATCTTGGCTCACTGCAACCTCTGCCTCCCGGGTTCAAGTGATTCTCCTGCCTCAGCCTCCCAACTAGCTAGGATTACAGGCATGCACCACCACACCCAGCTAATTTTTGTATTTTTAGGAGAGAGGGGGTTTCACCATGTTGGCTGGGATGGTCTCGATATCCTGACCTCATGATCCACCTGCATTGGCCTTCCAAAGTGTTGGGATTACAGGCGTGAGCCACTGCACCTGGCCTGGAGTATCTTCTTTTTACAGATGAGCAAACGGAGACACAGTGAGGTTAAGTAACTTGTCCGAAGTCACTCAGCTAGCAAAATAGCAGAGCCAAGATTTGAATCCGAGTAGCAAAGTACATGCTCTTAACTGCTTTGTCAAACACTGTTTGTAATCCCTCCGAAGACTATAAAAAGGATTGTCTGCAGTTTCCCCCCACTTCTTAGTAAAGTTTTACTTAGATATCAATGCCTGCTGTTTGGGTTCATGCTTCAGTAGCATTTACTAACGTGAAAAATAATGGTACATACATTATAATTTGCCACAAAGGACCCAAGAATCCATTAACTGAGCATCACCTCTAAAGATTCAACAAAAAATTGTTACTAACACATACATGATTCTTCAAATATGTATGGATTCTATTTTGATAAAGTATAACTCCATTTAAGTCATAAATGGATTTTCTACAGTCATAGAATCTTTTTATCAATTATGCTTTTTCTCGAACTTCAGGCATGAAAAAATGACTGTATTGTAGGAAACTGTAAAATGTTTTGAGGTTTAAAAAGGGACCCACTGACATGCTGGGACAAAGAGGGTTTAGCAGAAAATCCTGAGTTTAGTGGAGAAAACATGGCTTATTGCCTAATAGAGTGGGCAAAAGTAGGTCAGAGTCCCTGACAGTCACAGCTGGTAAGGAGTGATGTCACTAGAGAAATGGGGATGGGGGAGGTGGAATTTAAGGTGGGGAAGTAGAGAGACCCTTTGAGGGCGCAGAAGAGGGGGGATTTACAGAGGCAGGTTTTAAGTCAGCCTTTTGTAGGCTGATTGCAGAAACAGCTGAAGCCCCATTTTCTCCTACCTATACCCAGCCTGCGTTCTCCCAGGCCTCATTCCCCACCTCCGCATCACCACCATACCCTCTCTGCTGGAGACAAAGACACCGGAGAAAGGACTGGGGAGAAAGACAAACCTGAAAAGGAGTGATTTCAATAAAAGAGAGAAAGGTGAGGAAAAAGTGAAGGAGACTTTAATCAAATCCAGGGAAACGTGACAGAGAGGAAGAAATAACAAAGAGAGGCAGATGGAAAAAAGAGTAGGAAGTACAGGAGGAAAATATGGCTGAATGAAACAAGACAGATTAATGAATAGAGCAAAGTAGTGTTAGAAATATAATTTCTATTAATTATTTTGGTTTAAAATATTAATTGAGCAAAATGCTGAGAAAGAGAGATTGTAATGGTTGCAGTTTGAAGTCAAAATATATAGTTACAATGTTTTGGCAACAAAGCAAAACTAGGCTGCTCCCAACGAGGACGTCTCTTTTCAGCCCACATTCAGTCTAAAAGTTATGCTGTCCTTGTGTTTACCAAATCTAGAAGAAAATCTCATGACTAAGTTAAATATCTTATTCCAGGTATAAGTAGCCCCTGTTAAATTTTGCTAATAAAGTAATAACCATAGATCTTTAGAATGTGGAGATAAGGTGTATTTTATTATCCCTGTTTTGAAATATGTCATGCATGGCCGGGTGCAGCGGCTCACGCCTGTAATCCCAGCACTTTTGGAGGCTGAGGCAGGCAGATCAGCTGAGGTCAGGAGTTCGAGACTAGCCTGGCCAACATGGCGAAACCCTGTCTCTACTAAAAATAGAAAAAATTAGTCGGGTGTGGTGTCGGGCACCTGTAATCCCAGCTACTTGGGAGGCTGAGACAGGAGAATCTCTTGAACCCAGGAGGCCAAGGCTGCAGTGAGCCGAGATCGTGCCACTGCACTTCAGCCTGGGCAACAGAGCGAGACTCCACCTCAGAAAAAAAAAAAAGAAAGAAAGAAATACGTCATGCACTTCACACATTATTTTAATCACACACACAAAATTCTCTAATCCTGTTCAATTAATCCCTGGATCAAAACTTTCATTATGCTCAACAGCCCTCCTTTAACAACAACAAGTTTTTTTAATTATATAAAAACAGTAATGCTCATTTCTGAATAATTGTTAAGGTTTAAAAATCCTCTGGTATAACCAAAATATACCTGTAATATACATTATTTCAAGATAAACCATCCAGAAAGAAATGGGGGAGACTAAGAACTATGTCACTGGAGTACCAGGAGAACTAAAAGTATGCAGTGCCTATATCTGAAAGAATGTGTTGTTTTTCTTTCTGCTCTTCTTCAAAATTTTCCTTTCTAAGAAAATAATTTCTATTATTTATCTTCTGTTTTCTCATTCCCCTTTCCCTAAATCTCGCTTTTCTTGTCTCTTATTGTAACAGCTTCTGTTTCCCTCTCATGTTGCCCCCATATTTTCTTCTAAATTCTGACTTTGTTGTGTCTTGGCTTAATCTGCCAGACTTCCACTAAACTTTCAGAGCTGGAATCAGAACAGTGCATTTGGCAAAAAGCCACACATACCACACAACCACAAACAAGCACTCTGGCTGCAAGATCTTTTCAACAATCCACTCCCGTTTCTTGCAGTCAGCAATTCATACAGGTTCATACATGATCTGAAATAAGCAACACATACATTCTCATACATTTCACATGCACATGGCCTCTGCAGTCAGCTCACAAAGACACAATGTCTGCAGAAAGGTCTTGCAGCATACACAGGCAGTGCATTCTCCACCCCTTTCATAAGCTCTTCCTGAATGGCTGTTTCTTCTAGACACCTCCTCCCCTCATGCTGCCTGGCAATGACTCCCCTCCTTTTCCTGCAGTTCTCCAAGTCCTAACTGCAGTGCCATCCATCACTCTCCCAACAGATCCCCAGGCAAAGCAATTGTTTCTTGAAGCTCTCCCAGGTCACCTGCTTTTTTTTTTTTTTTTTTTTTCTTCCTGACTTGGAACTTGCTCTAGCAAAAGGACTGTCAGAACAGATTCTCCTTCTGGAACACAATAATGTAGGCTGGTCCCCAGTACCCTGACTCCCTAATTTGTTCCTACAGATTTTAATTTTGACATGGATGGCTTAGGGAGAAAGCAGAAAGGAAGGAAAAAGAGAAGAAAACAGAAAGGAAGAAAGGAAGGAGGGGAGCCCTGGTAGAAATTTCATTTTGTCCAGGGCAACTTGGGGACTTACAAAGGAAAGACGAGAGAGCAGAGGCAGAGAGAGGAAATGGAGCAAGAAGTGTGAAAATAAAAGGAGAAACAAAGAAAAGAGGAAAAAGTATGAAAAATAAGTTGTAACATTTCTCTGGAGCTTTTTGTTTCAGAAGTGACCACAGAAGGAGGATGGAGATACTAAGAAAAAGTTAACAGGAGAAACAGTAATGAAGAGGAAAATCCTTTGATGAGGTTGTATGTTTTGAAATGTCCTAAAAAGACAAAATCATCATCACAAATATCTGCCACAAGGGAGATTTAAACTCCTAATTTGAAAGTACTCATGATGCTTAGAGAGGAAGCACATTTGAATTTTACTTAGATTATTTGCCCAAATATTACAGTATTTGAGACACATACTAAAAAAATTATATTGTTTATCTGAAATTCACAGTAAACGGATCATCCTGTGTTTATCTGGCAATCATGCCCTCGGGGGATTCAGGTACATACTCAAATTTGAGAAATACTGGTATGAAGTAAGAAAGCCTGCATTTAATGAGATCATCTGAATCAGAATCACTTGAAGGTGGTCGCCAAGTACGTATTCTTACCCCACCACAGACACACCAGATTGAAATCCTTAGAGAAAGAGCTGAAGATTCTTCATTTTGTTATACATTGATGATTCTGATGCACTAAAGTTCATAATCGCTGATTTCTCCATAATTCCTGTGTGGCGCCCTCTCCAAATCTGCATAGGATTGAACACTGCAGCTATATATATGCAGCTGTCTATATAGCATTAACTTTTTAAAAGTCAGTGGAGGCCGGGTGTGGTGGCTCACACCTGTAATCCCAGCAATTTGGGAGGCCTAGGCGGGCGGATTACGAGGTCAGGAGATCGACACCGTCCTGGATAACACGGTGAAACCCCGACTCTACTAAAAATACAAAAAAAAATTAGCCGGGCGTGGTGGCGGGCGCCTGTAGTCCCAGCTACTTGCGAGGCTGAGGCAGGAGAATGGCATGAATCCGGGAGGCGGAGCTTGCAGTGAGCCGAGATCGCGCCACTGCACTCCAGCCTGGGCAACAGAGCGAGACTCCGTCTCAAAAACGAAAGAAAACCCTGAATAAAAAAAAAAAAAAGAAAAGAAAAAAGAAAATAGCTGGTCATGGTGTCACGCGTCTGTGGTGGGGAGGCGGAAGTGGGAGAATTGCTTGAGCCTGGAAGGCGAAGGTTGCAGAGATCGGGCTACTGCACTCCACCCTGGGTGACAGAGTGAGACTCCGTCTCCAAAAAGGAAAGGAAAGGAAATGAGAGGAGAGGAGAGGAGGGGAGGGGAGGGAAGGGGGAGAGGGCTCGGTGGCTCACACCTGTAATGTAATCCCAGCACTATGGGAGGGCAAGGTGGGTGGATCAGTGGATCAGCTGAGGTCAGGAGTTCGAGAGCAGCCTAGCCAACATGGTGAAACCCTGTCTCTACTAAAAACACAAAAATTAGTCCGGGCGCGGTGGCTCATGCCTGTAATCCCAGCACTTTGGAAGACCGAGGTGGGCGGATCACAAGGTCAAGAGCTCGAGACCATCCAGGCCAATATGGTGAAACCCCGTCTCTACTGAAAATACAAAAATTAGCCGGGCGTGGTGGTGGGCGCTTGTAGTCCCAGCTACTCGGGAGGCCGAGGCAGGAGAATCGCTGGAACCTGGGAGGTGGAGGTTGCAGTGAGCCGAGATTGCCCCACAGCACTCCAGCCTGGGAGACAGAGCGAGACTCTGTCTCAAAAAAGAATAAAAAATAGCTGGGCGTAGTGGCACACACCTGTAGTTCCAGCTACTTGGGAAGCTGAGGCAAGAGAATCACTTGAACCGGAAGGCGGAGGTTGCAGTGAGCCGAGATTTCGCCACAGCACTCCAGCCTGGGCTCCAGATTCCATCTCAAAAAAAAAAAGTAAGAAATGAAAGAGCAGGCATCACTGCAAATCCTATGGATATTAAAGTATCTGTCATAAATAAAGATGTAAAAATCCTCAAAATATTAGCAAACGGAATGCAACAATTTAATAAAAAGAATTATATACCACAACCAAGGCAGACTCAATATTTGAAAAATCAATTAATGCAATCCATCGCATCAACAGACTAAAGAAATATCACATGATCATACCAATAGATGCTGAACGAGCATGTGACAAAATCCAACACCCATTCATGATCAAACAAAACAAAACAACAAAGAAACCTCTCAGCATTTTGAAATGAAGTATGGGATAAAAATAAAAACTCTCCAAAGACTGAAAATAAAGAGGAACTTCCTCAACTGCTTAAAGAACATCTACAAAGAAACTACAGCTAACATCATGTTGGTGAGAAACTGGAAGCTTTCCCACTAAGACAAAGGACCAAGGCAAGCATGGCTTCTTTTACTACTTTCAATACTGAAAGTTCTAGCTAGTGCAACAAGACATGAAAAGGAAATAAAATGTGTACAGATTGAGAAGGAAGAAATAAAACTCTGTTCGCAGATGACATGATTGCCTATATAAAAAATCTAAGAGAATTTACAAAAAAGCTCCTGAAACTAATAAGCAATTCTAGCACAATTGCAGGATAAAAGGTTTACATACAAAAATTAATTGCTTTCCTATATATCAGTGATGAGCAAGTGTAATTTGAAATAAACACAGGCTGGGTGCGGTTGCTCACGCCTGTAATCCCACCACTTTGGAAGGCCGAGGTGAGCAGACTGCCTGAGCTCAGGAGTTCAAGACTAGCCTAGACAACGTGGTGAAACCCCGTCTCTACAAAACATACAAAAAAACTAGCTGGGCGTGGTGGCATGCACGTGTAGTCCCAGCTACTTAGGAGACCGAGGTGAGAGAATCACTTGAACCTGGGAGGTTGCAGTGAGCCGAGACTGTGCCACTGCCCTCCAGCCTGGGCAACAGGGTGAGACTCTGTCTCAAAAAATAAAAGTGCTGGAACAACTGGACATTTACATGAAAAAAAGAAAAAGAATCTACACAGTAGACACAGACCTTACACACTTCACAAAAATTTACTCAAAATGGATCACAGACCTATATGCAAAATGCAAAAGATACCACTCCTAAAAGATAACATAGGAGTAAATTTAGGCCGGGTGTGATGGCTCATGCCTGTAATCCCAACACTTTGGGAGGCGGGGGCGGGTGGATCACTGGAGCTCAGGAATTCCAGACCACCCTGGCCAACATAGTGAAAGCCCAGCTCTACTAAAAATACAAAAATTAGTTGGGTGTGGTGGCGTGTGCCTGTAGTCACAGTTACTCGGGAGGCTGAGGAAGGAGAATCGCTTGAACCGGGAGGCAGAGGTTGCAGTGAGCAGAGATGGTGCCACTGCACTCCAGCCTGGGTGGCAGAGCGAGACTCCATCTAAAAAAAAAAAAGAGAAAATTTAGATGACCTTCAGTATGGCAATAACTTTTTAGATACGACACCAAAGGCATAATCCTTTGAAAGAACTTAGAGATAATTGAGAACTCAAATTCATAATTTGACTTCATCAAAATTACAAACATTGGTGGGGCGCAGTGGCTCAAGCCTATAATCCCAGCACTTTGGGAAGCCGAGGGGGGTGGTTCACTTGAGGTCAGGAGTTTGAGACCAGCCTGGCCAACATGGTGAAACTCCACCTCTACTAAAAATACAAAAATTAGCTGGGTGTGGTGGCAGGCGCCTTTAAGTTCAGCTACTTGGGAAGCTGAGGCAGGAGAATTGCTTGAACCCGGGAGGTGGAGGTAGCAGTGAGCCGAGATCGTGCCACCACACTCTAGCCTGGGCGGCAGGAGCGAGACTCTGTCTCAAACAAACAAACAAAAAACCAAAATTACAAGCATCTACTTTGCTAAAGAGAATGTCAAGAGAATGAGAAGACAAGCCAGACCGGGAACAAATATTTGCAAAAGACACTTCTGGAAAAGGCATATTATTTAAAATAATACAAGAACAATTAAAAACAACAATTTAACCTAAATTTTTAAAATGGGCAAAATATCTGAACAGAAACCACATCAAAGATATACAGATGGCAAATGGGCATATGGAAAGGTGCTGCACATTATATGTTATTGGGGGCATAAAAATTAAAACATAAGATACCACTATGCCCCTATTAGATTGGCCAAAATTCAGAACACGGACACCACCAAATGCTGGGGAGGCTGTGAAGCAACAGAAACTCCATTCATTGCTGGTAGAACATAAAATGGGACAGCCACTTTGGAAGACAGATTGGTGGTTTCTTACAAAACTAAACATACTCTTACCATATGATCCAGCAATCATACTCCTTGGTATTCATCCATAGGAGAGGAAACTTAGTGCCCACACAAAAACCTGCACATGAATGTTTATAGCAGCTTTATTCATAATTGCCAAAACTTGTGGGCAATCAAGACGTCCTTCAGTAGATGAAGGAATAAATAAACTGTGGTATATTCAGACAATGGGATATTAATCAGCAATAAAAAGAAATGACCTATCAGGCCTCCAAAAGACATGGAGGAACCTTAAGAGCATATTACTAAGTGGAAGAAGTCAATCTGAAAAGTCCACATACTGTATGATTCTAACTATATGACATTCAGGAAAAACCCAAAACTATGGAGATGTTAAAAAGATCAGTAGTTGCAGGCCGGGCGCGGTAGCTCACGCCTATAATCCCAGCACTTTGGGAGGCTGAGGCCGGCGGATCACCTGAGGTCAGAGTAAGACACCAGCCTGACCAACATGGAGAAACCTCGTTTCTTTTTTTTTTTTTTTTTAATTTATTTATTTTTATTTTTATTTTTTTTTGAGGCGGAATCTCGCTCCCTCCCCCCCGGCGGGGCTGCAGTGGCGCGATCTCGGCTCACTGCCAGCTCCGCCTCCCGGGTTCACGCCGTTCTCCTGCCTCAGCCTCCCGAGTAGCTGGGACTACAGGCGCCCGCCACCACGCCCGGCTAATTTTTGGTGTTCTTAGTAGAGTCAGGGTTTCACCGTGTTAGCCAGGATGGTCTCGATCTCCTGACCTCGTTATCCGCCCGCCTCGGCCTCCCAAAGTGCTGGGATTACAGGCGTGAGCCACCGCACCCGGCCATTTCCCAGTAAATTCTTGACTCCTTGACTGACTCATCATTTTAAAATATCAGTACTCAACGCAGTGCCTGGCATTGAGAAGGAAACCGACTATAAATGAAGTACAGGTCTTAGTTATTAGGAGCCTTTCATCCTGTCAGGCATAGTTCAATATTCTTGCTACATGAACTATATTAGCAACCAACGGGAAGTGTAAACCCCTTGGAAAGAAAAGCAGTTCGACGACAAGACTCTGGAGGTTATTTGTTGCCCTCTCGTGTCCCGATTTAGGAACTACATGTTCTTCCCTCCACTTTGAAGAATTCTGATTCCTTTAATTTTATGTGTTTTTTAATGCATGTATTGTAAGAAATACACTTGTTTCTTTACACCCTCACACAGAACACTTTTGACACCAGATGTGCGAGTTTTTTTCCCCACACTGACCTATTCTCCAACACCAGCTGGGTGTCCTACAATCCAACTCAATACTGACACTATCTACCTGCAGTCAATGTCAGATCCCACAAGTTTAGAGCTGAGTCCCACAAGACTGCTCCCACCCAGATGCCAGTTGAAAGTCCCGGTACTTCCGACTGACCAGCTATAAATTTGGGGGTTCCCATGACCTTCTCCTTGAGTTCCATCATTTGCTAGAATGCCTCACAGAATTCAGGAAAACATATTACTTACCAGTTGATTATGGAAGATGAACAGCCAGGTAAAGAGGTCTGCAAGAGTCCTGAGCACAGACAGGGGCTTCTGTCCCTGAGTTAGAGTACACCACCCTCCTAGCAGGTGGAAGCAGCCCACGAATCCATAAACCCGGAAGCTCATCAAGACCCACTGTTCATGAGTTTTTATAGAGCTTTATTTCCAGCCCCCTCTCCAGCCTGCTTCCCGAAGGTCAGTGGGTGGGGCTGATAGTTCCAGTCCTCTTATCCCTTGGTCTTTACGTGAGCAGTTTCATCCGGAATAGGAGCCACACCTTACGTCATGCATTAACGTAGCACAAGTTCAGGTGTGACTGATGGTTACGCAACATCAGGGGCTTGTTGTGAATAACAAAAGACACTCTTATCACTCAGGAAATTCCAAGGATTTTAAGATCTCTGTGACAGGAACCAGGCCCAAAGACCAAATGTATTTCTTATTATACCACACTTATTCAACATATTTTTTTTTTGTACAATTGTTTGTTTACATTGGCAGCAGCCCTCAAAGCACTGGTATATGAAGACCAGAACCGCCAGACACAGTGGCTCATGTCTGTAATCCTAGTACTTTGGGAGGCGGAGGAGGGTGGATCGCTTGAGCTCAGGAATTTGAGACCAGCCTAAGAATGGTGTCCCTATGCTATGGTGAAACCCCATCTCTACAAAAATTAGCTGGGCGTGGTGGTATGGACCTATAGTCCCAGCTACTTGGGAGGCTGAGGTGGGAGGATCATTTGAGCCCAAGATTGTGCCACTGCACTTCTGCCTGGGTGACAAAGTGAGACCCTGTCTCAAAAAAAAAAAAAAGACCAGACCTGAAGAACAGCAGCTCTGACCCCAGGAACAAGGGGCTTGTAATACACAATGCTTCATTGTAAGTTTGTTTCCTTTAGATGGATCTTTTAGATGTAGCACACAAAACTTTTTAGAAGACCTTTCCGTAATAGATGAAGGTCAAGGTCACACATTAAAATCTGCCGTAATTGGCATTTTGCTGGGAATGAGAGTCCCTGGCTGTCTCAGGAAGATCTCTAGCGACGCTTTTCATCTTAACTGAATGAGGCAGTGCCCTCTGCAGTCCAATAACTTCAATGCCTGAACCCAGACAGTATAGCGGTGTTACAGGAAAGGGGTCCCCATCCAAACCCCCGGAGAGGGTTTTTGGATCTCGCGCAAGAAAGAATTCAGGGCGAGTCCACAGTGCAAAGCAAAAGCAAGTTTATCAAGAAAGTAAAGGAATAAAAGAATGGCTACTCCAAAGACAGAGCAGCCCCGAGGGTGACTGGTTGCCCAATTTTATGGTTATTTCTTGATGCTATGCTAAATAAGGGGTGGCTGGCTGGGCGCGGTGGCTCACGCCTGTAATCCCAGCACTTTGGGAGGCTGAGGCAGGCGGATCACGAGGTCAGGAGATGGAGACCATCCTGGCTAACATGGTGAAACCCCGTCTCTACTAAAAATACAAAAAAAGATTAGCCGGGCGTGGTGGCGGGCGCCTGTAGTCCCCAGCTACTCGGGAGGCTGAGGCAGGAGAACGGCGTGAGCCTGGGAGGCGGAACTTGCAGTGAGCCGAGATCGCGCCACTGCGCTCCAGCGTGGGCATCAGAGTGAGACTGTCTCAAAAAAAAAAATAAGGCGTGGCTTATTTATGCCTTCCCTTTTTTTGACATATAGGGTAACTTCCTGATGTTGTTATGGCGTTTGTAAACTGTCATGGTGTTGGTGGGAGTGTAGCAGTGAGGAGTACCAGAGGTCACTCTCATGTCCATTTTGGTTTTGGTAGGTTTTGGCTGGCTTCTTTACTGCAACCTGTTTTATCAGCAAGGTCTTTATGACCTGTATTTTGTACTGACCTCCTGTCTCATCCTGTGACTTACAATGCCTTAACCATCTGGGAATGTAGACCCGTAGGTTTCAACCTCATTTACCCAGCTCCTATTCAAGATGGAGTTGCTCTGGTTCACATGCCTCTGACAGCAGGATGACTCGCAGGCTTCGCTCAGGCCTCACCTCATCTTTCACTAGTTGCTGTGAGAAGAAATCTTTTTCTTGGTTTTTAAATATGAATACAAGACCTTATTGTTCGTGGTCTAAAAGAGAATACATAGTAGATAAGAGGCCGTGCATCACTTGGACTGTGTGAAGAAGGCAAGGATTTGCTGTGCTACCTCTTGTCCAAAAAGCTGCTTGAGTTCTCAGATGGAATCATTACTCAGTTCCTGGGTACTTGGAAACTTCTGAAGCAAAAGGAAGGCTTTAACTTTTCCAACTCCTGGAATCTGCTGCACATTTCAAAGAAGGAATGGGCTGGGCGCACTGGCTCATGCCTGTAATCCCAGCACTTTGGGAGGCCCACACGGGCGGATTACTTGAAGTCAGGAGTTCAAGACCAGCCTGGCCAAAATGGTGAAACCCCATCTCTACTAAAAATACAAAAATTAGTCAGGCACGTGGTGGTGGTGGCGGGTGCCTGTAATCCCAGCTCCTCAGGAGGCTGAGGCAGGAGAATCACTTGAACCGAGAGGGGGAGGTTGCAGTGAGCCAAGATCATGCCACCACTGCACTCCAGCCTGGATGACAAAGTGAGACTCCGTCTCAAAACAAAAACAAAAACAAAGAATAAATGGCTCAGAAAACAGAGCCCCTTTCTTCCTGAGAAATGATTTTTCCAGAGCTCTTTGGTTTGCTCTTCAATTCACCGGATGGTGAGGCAGGATGCTTCCATCTGGCTGGCCATCCCAAGGTAAAGCACAGTGAACTTCTGTATGGCTGGAAAGTATTGCTCACTCAAATGAGTTTTTTCAACGAATACAACCCCTTGAAGATTACTGGAATTCCTAACCTGACCAAGCCTCTTCATGTAGCTATTATCTGGCTACTGAATCATCTTCAGTGACATAAAGAATGCAGAATCTGCTAAATAGGTAAAAATCTGATGTCAGATCATCCTGAAAAATGAGCTTAATTTTCCTTTGCATCCCCTGCACCAGCTGGAATCCATGCCATTTCTCAGTGACCACAATGAGGGAAATGCAAGACAGAACTTGAACAGTCTCTCCTGAACACAGCCCCGCATTCCAGAAGTTAGGGCCTCTGGCAGCATCTTGTCTGCAGAGCATTCTTTCAAAGACTGAAATTATTTGCCAATGTCTTAGACATAAGAAAGACCACTGGGCGCAGTGGCTCATGCCTGTAATCCCAGCACTTTGGGAGGCCGAGACAGGCGGATCACCTGAAGTCGGGAGTTCGAGACCAGCCTGACAAACATGGAGAAACCCCGTCTCTATTAAAAACAAAATTAGCAGAGCGTGGTGGTGCATGCCTGTAATGCCAGCTACTCGGGAGGCTGAGGCAGGAGAATCGCTTGAACCCGGGAGGCGGAGGATGCGGTGAGCCAAGATCTCACCATTGCACCCCAGCCTGGGCAACGAGAGCGAAACTCCATCTCAAAAAAAAAAAGAAAAGAAAAAAAGAAAGACCGGCCAGGTGTGGCGGCTCACACTTGTAATCCTAGCACTTTGGGAGGCCAACGTGCGAGGATCACTTGAGTCCAAGAGTTCGAGACCAGCCTGGGTAACATAGTGGGACCCTGTCTCTATTTTTAAATTAAAAAAAAATTTTTAATTAAAAAAAAGAAAAATAAGAAAGACTTCTGAGCTTTTGAAGAACTGCAAGTAATTCAGTATGGCTAAAAAACAAGGGGCAAGGCTGGGTTTGTGAGCATGGTGGTTTACACCTGTAATCCCAGCACTTTGGGAGGCTAAGGTGAGCTGATTGTTGAGTCCAAGAGTTTGAGACCAGCCTGGGAAACATGGCAAGATGCTGTCTCTACAAAAATAAATAAATAAATAAATAAATAAATATAATAAAAATAAATTAGCCAGGCATGGTGGCGCATGCCTGTAGTCCCAGTTACTTGGGAAGCTGAGGTGGGAGGATCACCTGAGCCCAGGAGGTGGAGGTTCCAGTGAGCCGAGACTGTGCCACTGCACTCCAGCTTGGGTAACAGAGTGAGACCCTGTCTCAAAAAAAGAAGAAAAAAAAAAAGGGCAAAGGTTCTGGGGTGGGTGGGTTGGAGCTCTGATGACACAACATAAAAATATTATGAATAGCTATGTATGTCATGCTAAGGAGTTTCGTCCGCATCCTAAGGATAATGAAGAGTCTTTATAGTTTTTAAGCCAGGGAATGACTTAATCAGATTAGTGCTAAAGAGATTACTCTGGCTGCTTTGTATCACAAAGATGGGGAAGTGTGGATGGGAACTGGGGGATCACTTAGGACTCTGTTAAGAGTAATGACTGAACAGAGCTGAAGCCGTGTGGAAAGAATAGAGGATGGATGGATTTGAACAATATTAAGGAGGTAGGCTCAATGGGATTTTGGTGATTAAGGGTGTGGTGTGTGTGATAAAGGGTGTGGTGTATGTGCTGGGACTCAAGTTAGGCAAAGAGAGAAACTGAGGAAAATGAGGATGATTCACACATATTTCAACTGTGTAACTTAGTAGATCATGGCACCAGTTTAGCTGAGGGTGGGGGTGCACTGTGCGGGAAGATGACAATTCTGTCCCAGACATGTTGAGCTATTAGGGATTTAGCTTGCTCAACATTTATCCACACTTTTTCCTTGAGCTTTTCCTGTACTACAGGTGGTGGAAAACGAAAAACTACATATTCAAGACTCTCCTACAGCTAGAGTTTGAATGTGATTTAGATTCCAGACTGTATACCCTAGAATGAGACTTGAATTAAAAACCAAGCTCAGTGAGAACAGCAGCAAGGAGTGAGCATCTGATTTCTTGGTGTGGACTATAGCACGGCCAGGGTGGCTCTCATGCCCGAGTGGTGACATTCCAATTTTGGAAGGTGGCCCCTAGATGGTGGAGAAGCAATAGAGTCCCTTGGTAGTCACTCCTGGGGGCTCAGACTAGAGTGTTTCTTTAGCTTTTCCCCTTCCTGAGTCGGTTTCCTGTAATTAAAGCCTGTCTGACTCAAGGTGCCTATGGGATGTTCAAACAATGATGTGCTATTGCATATTCAGACTTAGAGTTGAGGACATAGATATGTAAAAATAAATATAATTTAAAAGCTGTTGGGCTGCATGTGGTCGCTCACACCTGTAATCCTAGCACTTTGGGAAGCCGAGGCGGGTGGACCACTTGAGGCCAGGCGTTCAAGACCAGCCTGGCAAACATGGTGAAACCCCGTGTCTACTAAAAATACAAAAATTAGTCAGGTGTGGTGGTGCACACCCGTAGTCCTGGCTACTCAGGAGGCTGAGGCAGGAGAATCACTTGAACCCGGGAGGCAGAGGTTGCAGTGAGCCGAGATTATGCCACTGCACTCCAGCCTGGGCAACAGAGCAAGACTCTGTCTCAAAAAAAAAAAAAAAAAAAAAAAAAAAAAAAAAAGCTGTTGGGGGTTGAGCACAGTGGCTCACTCCTATAATCCTAGTACTTTGGGAGGCCAAGACTGGGGGATCACTCAAGCTCAGGAGCTCGAGACCAGCCCAGGTAACATGGTGAAAACCTGTCTCTACAAAAAATACAAAAAATTAGCTGAGTGTGGTGGTATACGCTTGTGGTCCCAGCTACTGGGAGAGCTGAGGTGGGAGGATAGCTTGAGCCCAGGAGGTCGAGGCTGCAGTGAGCCAAGATCACGCTACTGCACTCCAGCCTGGGTGACAAAGTGAGACCCTGTCTCAAAAAGAAAAGCTGTTGGAACCCCCCAAAACATTTAAACCTTGACAGAGATGAGATTGATCTGAGTCACATATGGCTATAGCATGTTTCTCAGATTATAGATTAACTTGTTTTCTTATTTTTCTTGTCCTGCACAATGACTAGAGAAAATTTAACGACGTCAGGGACAAAAACCTCCTGCCTTCTTAATTAATGACCTTTGTTACAGATTAACTTTTTCTTTGTTGTTCTGCCTTGCTTAGACCAGATGACAGAAAACCCATGACTATTACACTTCCGTTAAAAAAAAAAAAAAAGAAAAACAAGAAAACAACTATATGTACTCTCCCAAAAAGAAACACTTTTATAACCAATCAGTTTGCTATAACTATGTGCCAACCTTGTCTAAAAAAAGTTGTAATCCTGCTAAAGGCTCCTCTGTCTATATAAATGAACCCTTAACTTCCTGACTTCACAAAGCTGACTTCCTTCTTTTGGAGTTGATGTTTCCACTCTTTGTACCAGAATAAACTGTTTTGAAATTAGATCTTGACCCTTTTGATTATTTTAGGTGATAGATAGAGGTTAGACTGAAGCATAGATCTGGGAGAATAAACCAATAGATGGTAAATGAAGAGTTGGGAGTGGATTAAGGAGAGGGAGAAAGTACAGTAAAAAGAGAGGTGGCCGGGCCAAAACCTTGAAAACCAGCACTTAAGAGTAAACAGAAGAAGAAGAAAAAAGAAATGTAAAAGAACAGTAGAGAGGTGTTAAGAGGAAGACAAGGACTGTGATATTATAGATGTCAAGAGGAGGGGACATTTCAAAAGTAGGGACTGGTCAGCAATGACTAATGTTTCAGAAAATAAGAAAATAAGACTGAAATGTGTCTGTATTATTCAGCAACAAAGAGGTTCTTCTGTGACAGCTTTTCTTAAAATTGTGAGAAAAGGGCCAGGTGTGGTGGCTTACGCCTATAATCCCAGCATTTTGAGGCCAAAGTGGGTGGATCACCTGAGGTTGGGAGTTCAAGACCAGCCTGGCCAACATGGTGAAACCCTGTCTCTACTAAAATACAAAAATTAGCTGGGTGTGGTGGCAGGCACCTGTAATCCCGGCTACTCGGGAGGCTGAGGCAGGAGAATTGCTTGAACCCAGGAGGTGGAGGTTGCAGTGAGCCAAGATCGTGCCATTGCACTCCAGCCTGGGAGACAGAGCCAGACTCCCTCTCAAAAAAAAAAAAAAAAAAGAATTGTGACAAAAGGCTGGACGCAGTGGCTCATGACTGTAATTCTAGTACTTTGAAAGGCTGAGGTGGGCAGATCACTTGAGGTGAGGAGTTCGAGACCAGCCTGGCCAACATGGTGAAACCCCATCTCTACTAAAAACACAAAAATTAGTTGGGCATGGTGTCACATGCCTCTAATCCCAGCTACTTGGGAGGCTCAGGCAGGAGAATTGCTTGAATGTGAGAGGCAGAGGTTGCAGTGAACTGAGATATCGCCACTGCACTCCAGCCTAGGCAACAGGGCGAGACGCCGGACCCCTGGTCCCATAAAAAAGGAAAAAAAAAGGGCTGGGCGCGGTGGCTCACGCCTATAATCCCAGCACTTTGGGAGGCCGAGGCAGGCGGATCACAAGGTCAGGAGATCGAGACCATCCTGGCAAACACGGTGAAACCCCATCTCTACTAAAAATACAAAAAAATTAGCAGGGCGTGGTGGCGGGCACTTGTAGTCCCAGCTACTCGGGAGGCTGAGCCAGGAGAATGGCATGAGCCCGGGAGGTGGAGCTTGCAGTGAGCCGAGATCAGGCCACTGCACTCCAGCCTGGGCAATGGAGCGAGACTCCGTCTCAAAAAAAAAAAAAAAAGGAAAAAAAAAAAAAAAAGAATTGTGAGAAGAGGTGAGTTAGGCTTCAGGGAAAGGGCAAAATGTAAATGTTGACTATCTGACACTTAACCCTAGTCTGTTAAAACGATGAGGCTTAACTTCAGAGATGCTGTGGAGGACTAAAGATGACTGCATGTTTGTTTTTTGCCACTCTTCCCAGTAAAAGGTGGAGTTTATTTCTCTTTCCCTTAAATTGGAACCGACCCTGTGGCTTATTTGAACCAACAGAACATGGTGGGGACTTCTGAGACTGTGCCTTAGGAGATGTGATGTTTCTTCACATACTCTCTCAACCCATGATTGTGCTGTCAGAAGGCCAAGTGAGGCCGGGTGCGGTGGCTCACTCCTGTAATCCCAGCACTTTGGGAGGCCAAAGCGGGCGGATCACCTGAGGTCAGGAATTCGAGACTAGTCTGGCCAACATGGTGAAACCCCATCTCTACTAAAAAATACAAACATTAGCCAGGCATGGTGGCACGCACCTGTAGTCCCAGCTACTGGGGAGGCTAAGGTAGAAGAATTTCTTGAACCTGGGAGGCAGAGGTTGCAGTGAGCCAAGATTGTAACACTGCACTCCAGCCTGAGTGACAGAGCAAGACTCCATCTCAAAAAAAAAAAAAGAAGCTCGAGTGAGTTGAGTTGGTGGAGATACTACATGGAAGATAACTGAGGCTTCTGCCAACAACCCTATTTGGGATTCCCACTGGCAGCTAGCACCAACTAGCCATTCAGCCATCCCCGCAGCCCAGCTAACACTATGTAAAGCAGAATTCCTGCCTGATCAACACACAAAATCAAGAAAAATAATCATTATTGTTGTTTTAGTCACTAAGTTTTTGGTGTAGTTTGTTAAATAGCACCATTCAGGGAGTTGAGGAGAATGCTCTTCAAATGGAAAGGTATCAGTGATTCACGAAAACTTGTCAGTAAGGAGTATTTGAAAGACCAGCACTGTACCTCTACCTGTCACTGCTCTCAGCATAGCTCTGTCACTGTATTAGGCTGTTCTTGCATTACTCTAAAGAAATACCCGGTCAGAGGCCAGGCATGGTGGCTCAGGCCTGTAATCCCAGCACTTTGGGAGGCCAAGGCAGGTAGATCACCTGAGGTCAGGAGTTCAAGACTAGCCTGGCTAACATGGTGAAACCCTGTCTCTACTAAAAATACAAAAATTAGCTGGGCATGGTGGCGGGCACCTGTAATTCCAGCTACTCAGGAGGCTGAAGCATGAAAATCTCTTGAACCCGGGAGGTGGAGGTTGCAGTGAGTCAAGATGGCACCACTTAACTCTAAGACTGGGTAATTTATAGACAAAAGAGGTTTAATTGGCTTATGATTCCACAGGCTATACAGGAAGCATAGCGGCATCTGCTTTTGGTGAGAACTCAGGAAGCTTTTACTCATGACGGAAGGCAAAGCAAGGGCAGGCCATTCACATGGTGAAAGCAGGAGCACGGGGAGGCGGGGAGGTAGCACACTTCCAAACAACCAGATCTCATGAGAACTGATATGGTTTGGTTGTGTCCCCACCCAAATCTCACCTTCAATTGCATCTTCCAGAATTCCCATGTGTCATGGGAGGGACTCAGGGGGAGGTAATTGTATCATGGGGGGGTCATCTTTCCCATGCTATTCTCGTGGTAGTGATTAAGTCTCATGAGATCTGATGGGTTTATCGGGGGTTTCCACTTTTGCTTCTTCCTCATTCTCTCTTGCTGCTGCCATGTAAGAAGTGCCTTTCTCCTCCCGATTCTAAGGTCTCCCCAGCCATGTGAAACTGTAAGTTCAATTAAACCTCTTTTTCTTCCCAATCTTGGATATGTCTTTATCAGCAGCATGAAAATGGACTAATACAGTAAACTGGTACCAACAGAGTGGGGTATTGCTGAAAAGACGCCCGAAAATGTGGAAGCAAATTTGGAACTGGGTAACAGGCAGAGATTAGAACAGTTTGAAGGGTTCAGAAGAAGATAGAAAAATGTGGGAAAGTTTGGAACTTCCTAGAGACTTGTTGAATGACCTTGCCCAAAATGCTGACAGCAATATGGACAATAAAATCCAGGCTGTGTGGTCTCAGATGGAGATGAGGAACTTGCTGGGAACTGGAGCAAAGGTAACTCTTGTTATGTTTTAGCAAAGAGACTGGTGGCATTTTGCCCCTGCCCTAGAGATTTGTGGAAATTTAAACTTGAGAGAGATAATTTAGGGTATTTAGTGGAAGAAATTTCTAAACAGCAAAGCATTCAAGAGGTGACTTGGATGCTATTAAAGGCATTCAGGCTTTGTTTTGTTTTGTTTTGTTTTGTTTTGAGATGGAGTCTCACTCTGTCACCCAGGCTGGAGTGCAATGGCGCAATCTCAGCTCACTGCAACCTCTGCCTCCCGGGTTCAAGCAATTCTCCATCTCAGCCTCCCGAGTAGCTGGGATTACAGGCACCCACCACCACACCTGGCTAATTTTTGTATTTTATTAGTAGAGATGGAGTTTCACCATCTTGGCCAGGCTGGTCTTGAACTCCTGACCTCGTGATCCACCCACCTGGGCCTCCCAAAGTGCTGGGATTACAGGTGTGAGCCACCACGCCCGGCCAGAATTCAGTTTTATAAGGAAAGCAGAGCATAAAAGTTTGGAAAATTTGCAACCTGACTGTGCAATAGAAAAGAAAAACCCAGCTGGGTGCGGTGACTCACACCTGTAATCCCAGCACGCTGGAAGGCCGAGGCGGGCAGATCACCTGAGGTTGGGAGTTCAAGAACAGCGTGACCAACATGGAGAAACCCTGTCTCTACTAAAAAATACAAAATTATCTGAGGTGGTGGCACATGACTGTAATCTCAGCTACTCAGGAGGCTGAGGCAGGATAATTGCTTGAACCTGGGAAGCAGAATTTGCGGTGAGCTGAGATCGTGTCATTGCACTCCAGCCTGGGCAACAAGAGCGAAATTCCATATAAAAAAAAAAAGAAGAAAGAAAAGAAAAAACTGTTTTCTGGGGAGAAATTCAAGCCAGCTGCAGAAACTTGCATAAGTAGCAAGGAGCCTATAAGCCCCAAGACCATGGGGAAAATGTCTCCGGGCCATGTCAGAGACCTTCATGGCAGCCCCTCCCATCACAGACCCAGAGACCCAGGAGGAAATTGTGGTTTCATGAGCTGGGTCCAGAGTCTCTGTGCTGTGTGCAGCCTAGGGACTTGGTGACCTGTGTCTCAGCCACTCCAGCCGTGGCTGAAAGGGGCCAACATACAGCTTGGGCTGTGGCTTCGGAGGGTGGAAGCCCCAAGCCTTGGCAGCTTCCATGTGATATCGGGCCTGCAGTTGGACAGAAGTCAAGAATTGAGGTTTGGGAACCTCTGTCTAGATTTCAGAAGATGTATGGAAATGCCTGGATGCCCAAGCAAAAGTTTGCTGCAGGGGTGGGGCCCTCATGCAGAACCTCTGCCAGGGCAGTGCAGAAGGGAAATGTGTGGTTGGAGCCCCCACACAAAGTCCTTCCTGAGGCACTGCCTAGTGGAGCTGTGAGAAGACGGCCATGGCCCCCCAGACCCCAGAATGGTAGATCCGCCAGCAGCTTGCACCTTGTGCCTGGAAAAGCTGCAGACACTCAACACCAGCCTGTGAAAGCAGCTGGAAGGGAGACTGTACTCTGTAAAGCCACAGGGGCAGAGCTGCCCAAGACCATGGGAACCCACCTCTTGTATCACTGTGGCCTGGATGGGAGACCTGGAGTCAAAGAGATGATTTTGGAGCTTTAAAATTTGACTGCTCCACTGGATTTTGGACTTGCATGGGCCCTGTAACCCCTTTGTCTTGGCCAATTTCTCCCACCTGAAACAGCTGTATTTACCCAATACCTGTACCCCATTGTATCTAGGAAGTAACTAGCTTGCTTTTGATTTTACAGGCTCATAGGTGGAAGGGACTTGCCTTGTCTTGGATGAGACTTTGGACTATGGACTTTGGGGTTAATGCTGATATGAGTTAAGACTTTGGGGGACTCTTGGGAAGGCATGATTGGTTCTGAAATGTGAGGACATGAGATTTGGAGAGATCAGGGACAGAATGAGATGGTTTGGCTGTGTCCTCACCTAAATCTCAACTTCGGTGAATTCCCACATGTTGTGGGAGGGACCCGGGGGAGGTAACTGAATCATGGGGGTCTTGATTCCTTCTTTTTTTTTTTTTTTTTTTTTTTTTGAGACGGAGTCTTGCTCTGTCGCCCAGGCTGGAGTGCAGTGGCGTGATCTTGGCTCACTGCAAGCTCCACCTCCCGGGTTCGCACCATTCTCCTGCCTCAGCCTCCCGAGTAGCTGGGACTACAGGCACCCGCCACCACGCCCGGCTAATTTTTTGTATTTTTAGTAGAGACGGGGTTTCACTGTGTTAGCCAGGATGGTCTCAATCTCCTGACCTCGTGATCCGCCCGCCTCGGCCTCCCAAAGTGCTGGGATTACAGGCATGAGCCACCGCACCCAGCCGATTCCTTCTTACTTTCCATGTCTCTTCCTTCTGTCCTGTCCCTTCTCCCTTATCTCTTCTTTATTTTTTCTTTTCATTTCCTTCTTTTCTCTCTGCTTTCCTATGAATGTATTATTTTCCAAAGGAGGTATATAATTTATGTAGCATAATCATACTGTACTTACTTTTTAGCTACCATAGCCTAACACATGACAAATTCTCCATAAATATTAGCCATTATTACTAATTTACATTAATATTTAATATATGAGGTAATTTATAGTATTTCATCTTAATATAACTGTGTTGATACTATATTGTATAATTATTATATACTGCTATGGTTTGGATATGGTTTGGCCCCTCCAAATCTCATGTTGAAACTTGACCCCCAATGTTAGAGGTAGGCCTAGTGGGAGGTGCTTGGATCATGGGGTGAGATCCCTCATAAATGGCTTGGTGTTCTCCCCATAGTAATTAGTGAGTTCTCCCTCTATTAGTTCTTGTGAGAGCTGGTTGTTAAAAAGAGCCTGGCTCCTCCCTCCCCTCTCTCTTGCTTCCTTCCTCTCTTGCCAGCTCCCCTTCCCCTTCATCCATGAGTGGACGAACCCTGTGTCCCTCACCAGAAACAGATGCTGGCACCATGCTTCTTGCACAGCCTGCAGAATCATGAGCCAAATAAACCTCTTTTCTTTATAACTTACCCAGGCTTGGGTATTCCTTTACAGCAACACAAATGGACTAAGAAATATACTATATATAGTTACAAATATATATATATTAAATTTATATAATAGATAAAAATAATCCTGTATTGTAGTTATACAACATATTAGTTATCTATCTAGCCCAAAATTTAACAGCTTAAAACAAAAACATTTATTTTCCCAACGTTTCTGTTGATTAGTAATCCAAACATGACTTAGCTGGGTACCTTTGGCTCAGGGTATCTCATAAGGCTGTCATCAAGGTGTTAGCTGGTGCTGTCATCATCTCAGGGCCCAATTGAGAAAAGATCCACTTCCAAGTTCATGCACGTGGCTTTTGGCAGGCCTTGGGTTGCTGGCTTTTGGCTACAGACATCAGTGCCTTGCCACTTGGGCATCTTAATAAAGCAGCTCACAGCATGGCAGCTGGCTTTGTTCAGAGCAAAGAAGAAAGCAGGAGAGCAAGAGGGAGCACCAAAAATAGAAGCCAGAGTCTTCCTGTTACATAATCTGGGAAGTCACACCCCATTACCTCTGCTATGTTCTATTTGCTAGTAGTACCTAAGATCACACTCAAAGCAGGAGGATCACACAGGGGATGAAGAACGGGAGGTGGGAGGCCAGGCACAGTGGCTCACGCCCGTAATCCCAGCACTTTGGGAGGCTGACGCAGGCAGGTCACTTGAGCTCAGGAGTTCAAGACCAGCCTGGCCAACATGGTGAAACGCCGTCTCTACTAAAAATACGAAAACTAGCATGGTGGGGTGGCTGGCACTTGTAATCCCAGCTACTCGGGAGGCTAAGGCATGAGAATTGCTTGAACCTGGGAGGTGGAGGTTGGGAGTAAGCCAAGATCGCACCACTGCACTCCAGCCTGGGCAACAGAAAGAGACTCCATCTCAAAAACAAAACAAAACAAAACAGGAGACGGGGATCATTGGGACTGTCTTACAGGCTGCCTAGTATTAATACATATAATTTATAAAACTATATTATATAGATGTGCTGAAATTACTAATTATATGAGTTATTATTAATAACTATATACATTGAACTTTCCTGTTTTAAACCATATTTGCAAATTCCAGAGTTTCTCTCTCTCTTTTTTATTTTGGCAGGTAGAATGAGAAGATGGATGAATGAATTTTTAGAACTTGTCCTGTTTTGTTTGTCTATAGCCAGTTTTATCAGAGTTATTTATATCTTTTTAGTTGTGGGTTCAGGAACTTGAGCAGAATCTTAAACCTGGATCAAACATTTTACGTCTGTGTGGTCAAGAAAGTATGACTGTAACAGTGTAAGACCGACTACCAGTGCCATCAGAAAATTTACACAAAGCAAAATGATGAGACAGAAGCACTAATTATTGTAGATATAAATTATATATGTTTTACGTGAAATAACTTTTACAGTCTTACTGCTAAAATTCCTTTAAGACTAGCTGTTGCCCAATTTTTCTGCTTTGGGGGAGCCTATTCCTTTTTGTTCTATTGCCCCCATATCACTTCAATACATTGATTGCTTGTTCCATTTGCTGAACTCCATGTATACTCTCAAACTGCTTACTTCCCTAAAACGTTATCCTCTACCCCCTTGCATTTGACTAAGTCTTTGAATGTTAATATTTCAAAAATAGGAAGTTACTATTTCAAGTCTTCATCTCAATTCAATCCAGTTGACCAAATTTAGATAATTTTTTTTTTTGAGACAGGGTCTCACTGTGTTGCCCAGGAGGGAGTGTAGTGACACAGTCATAGCTCACTGCAGCCTAGACCTCCTGGGTTCAAGTAATCCTCCTGCCTTAGCCTCCTAAGTAGCTGGGACCACAGGCATATGCCACCATGCCTAATTAAAAACAATTTTTTGGCCAGGTGTGGTGGCTCATGCCTGTAATCCCAACACTTCAGGAGGCAGAGGTCGGTGGATCACCTGAGGTCAGGAGTTTGAGACCAGCCTGGCCAACATGGTGAAACCCTGTCTCTGCTAAAAAGTACAAAAATTAGCTGAGTGTGGTGGCAGGTGCCTGTAATCTCAGCTACTTGGGAGGCTGAGGCAGGAGAATCGCTTGAACTCGGGAGGCAGAGGTTGCAGTGAGCTGAGATTGTGCCATTGCACTCTGGCCTGCGTGACAGAGTGAAACTCTGTCTCAAAAAAAAAAAAAAAAAAAAAGGCCGGGCGCGGTGGCTCACATCTGTAATCCCAGCACTTTGGGAGGTGGAGGCAGGCAGATCACGAGGTCATGAGATCAAGACCATCCTGGCTAACACGATGAAACCCCGTCTCTACTAAAAATACAAAAATTATCCAGGCATGGTGGTGGGCACCTGTAGTCCCAGCTACTCGAGAGGCTGAGGCAGAAGAATAGCGTCAGCCTGGGAGGCAGAGCTTGCAATGAGCTGAGATTGCGCCACTGCACTCCGGCCTGGGTGACAGAGCGAGACTCTGTTTCAAAAAAAAAACAATTTTTTTTTTTTTTTTTTTTTTTTTTTTTTTTTTTTGTAGAGACAAGGTCTTGCCATGTTGCCCAGGCTGCAAATTTTGAGTTTTAATGTGCTAACCATTATGTCACCTAAAGAGGAGTAAGACAGCCTCTTCCATCAAGAAACACTCAGCCTAGGCTAGGGGCAGTGGCTCACGCTTATAATTCCAGCACTTTGAGAGGCCGAGGCAGGGGGATGACTTGAGCCCAGGAGTTCGATACCAGCCCGGGCAACATAGTGAGACCCCATTTCTATAAAAAATAAAAAACTAAGAAAAGAAACCCTCAGCCTAATAAGGATTAAAGATATGTAAAAGAGTTTAATAAAGTGGATTATATAATTATACAAATAAACAAAGAGTTGGTTTAATAGAGGGAATGATGAACTCTTTAGAGGCAGAGGAGACCAGGAAAGGTTTCTGGCAGGAGGCGACATCTAGGCCGGATTTTGATGGACAAACAAGTGTTCCCTAGCTTCAGTTTTCTAAGGACATATGTCTTTTGGCATCTAAGTCCATCTTTTGTGTTTGGCTGTTACTACTTCATTGCTTCATTCCTCTACACACACCACTCCCTCTCCCTGCCCTCCCTGCCTCATATAACCTTCCCCCTTTCTTTTCCTTCCTTTTATGGGAAATTTTTTGTGTGTGTGTTTAGCTCCTGGGTTTAATTTAGTTGGATGGGACTGTAGTAATAACGTTTCTGTACATTTGCCCAGAGGCCTTCAGCTAATGGGTGTATTCTTTACAAGCCAATAAACAGATGAATAAAACCAGCTTGACATCTCGCATCTCTGTCTCTCTCCTCTTTCTTTGCCCTTTGCCCATCTTTCACAGACATTTTATAAAAACGAAAATTTTCCTGGGTAACTCAAACATAGATTGCCTTCATTAAGTCACTTCTACACGCGCCAGTCAGTCCCATGAGGGGCTTTCTTATTGCTGGAGAATGTGTTGTCTACCCTCAGGAGATCCAGCCTATATGGGATGGAAGTATGGATTGCTACTCAGTGAGTCAAAAAGAACCCCAGAAAATTATGGACTTGTAACTCTGGATGGCATTTGCTCGTTTCTGACCATTGGTGCTGATTTTGACTTGATGTCATTAAATGATTAATTAATGTACAATGCAACAGAGGCTGACAAAATCACCCTGAGAAAAGCAAATCTGAGGATCTCTAAGCCTGGGGATCCAAACCTGGGCTCTGAGAACAAATGGGGAACTGTAGTAGAATAAAGGGCCCGCCATAGTTGCCATGAAAAAATTAACCAACCTTGGCCAGGTGTGGTGTCTCACACCTGTAATCCCAGTACTTTGGGAGGCTGAGGGGAGCAAATCACTTGAGGTTAGGAGTTCGAGACCAGCCAGGCCAACATGGCGAAACCCCCTCTCTACTAAAAATACAAAAATTAGCCGGGCCTGGTGGCGGATGCCTGTAATCCCAGTTACTAGGGCAGGAAAATCACTTGAACCCAGAAGACGAAGGTTTCAGTGAGCCAAGTTCACGCCACTACACTCCAGCTTGGGCAACAGAGCGAGACTCTATCTCACAAAAAAAAAAAAAAAAAAAAAAAGAAACTAACCAACCTTGAAACAAACTGCATTCTCAAAAGTCTTTAAAACCCAACAATATATGGTTGTCCTGCTCTTCTGCCAGTTCCTGTCTCACTACCTCTCCTTTCCTTCTAGGATGCTACTCCCTGCCTGTTCTCTTCTTCAGCCCTGCTCTGAACATTCTGTTCCTATTTTCACTGCCCCAACTCCAGACTACCTCCTACAACCCCAGGAGAACGCCCCCTCCCACTGCCTGGGGAGGCTCTCCTAAACTATAGCCTCTAGCCAGGCCAGCACATTGAGGTCATTGCTCTCCCTGCCAAATGACTGGCCTGAGTTCAGTGTCTCCATCTGTCTGAGCTTCATGGAAAACTTGATTGTTGCTCTAGGCTCTCTATTCTATGTCCTGCCTTAGCTATGTCCTGCTTTGCATCTGCTTTTTTGTTTCTTCTCCCAACACCCTTTTCTTCCCCTGACTCTCCTCAGACTAGAATCACATCTGTTTTCTAGTCTCAGCCCCTTCACTGGGGAGCAGATGGAAGAAGAGCAAGTTCTGGGGCAGGAAGATCAGGAAGAGCTGGGCGTAGCACTCAGCTTGTTCTGCGGACTGACCAGATTCCATGTATCTTAGAGATGTAGCACTTACAGCTCCCTCGGAGGTCCCAGAGGTGCTTACAAAGTGCGATTTGCTTATTTCTGTGTCCACTGCTCTTTTTTCCTCTCAACTAGACTCCTTCCTTCCTTCTTTCCTTCTTTCCTTCCTTCCATCATACCCCCTTTTATTTTCTTCTAGTATGTAATTTATTAATACTATCTGCTCTCTGTCTACCTGTACTCTTCTCTAATTTATTTCATCAGGGAGATATATAATGTAGACTAAAGGGGAGCCAACAGGAAACCTGAAACTTACATATTTCTATGGCATACAAGGTCCACCATTCCTCAGACTTGAGTTTCTGTAATTCAAGTTTGCTCTTGAATCCAAAGCGGGAATGTTTTAGTGGTTGAACCACTAGAGTCTCTGTGAATAAGAAGAAATACAAAGCCTTTAAAATTCCTGAATCAAGGCTGAGCAACATAGCAAAATCCTGTCTCTACAAAAAAATACATCTAAATTCGCCTGGCATAGTGGCATGCACCTGTAGTCCCAGCGACTTAGGAGGCTGAGGCAGGAGGATCACTTGAGCCCAGGTCAAGCCTGCAGTGAACTGTGATCATGCCACTGTACTCCAGCCTGGGTGACAGAGCAAGACCCTATCTTAAAAAAAAGAAAAAATCCTGGATCAGAGAAAGTGTTATCTACACATTATATGATCTAAGGAAAAATATTGGTAGAAAATGAGGCAAGCATAATAACCTTGCCTTTCAATTTTCTTTGGGCATCTGATTGCATTTTATCCTTAAGAGCCCAGAAACCCAGATTCTTAGTTAAGCTCAAACAAAGCCAAAAGACAAAGTAAGGCTGGCACCCCTTTCACAGAGCTTCTCTACATTTGAAAATGATTTGGAGAGTTCTGAAAAGTTCCTCAACTTTTTATAACCCTAAGGTAGCCAGCCTTCCTCTTGGACAAAACTCATAAGGTATCTGTGTTCGCTTGGTTGTGAGAATACATAGGATATTCCAAGGGGAAAAAAAACAAGAAGAGTCTAAATGTGTAGGTCAAGAAAGAGGCAGAGATGAAAAAGAAATACAGGAATAAAAAGAAATTTGTTAGTGCTGAAGAGACGAATATTGAAAAAGAAAGTGAGAAAGAAGGATGAAGGAATGATTCAAATATGGAATATAAGGAGGCTGAGGCAGGATAATTGCTTGAACTCAGGAGGCGGAGGTTGCAGTGAGCCAAGATCACATCATTGCACTCCAGCCTGGGTGACAGGAGCAAAACTCTGTCTTAAAAAAAAAAAACAAAAAACAAAGAAGAAGAAGATAGCCAGAGAGAGAGAAACAGCATCTATAATGTGCATTAAAACACACCAAGGAGGAGACGGAACTTTTCGGTAAGAAAGAACCCAAGGAACAAAGGGGAGCTGGGACCAGATCGTGAGAGGAGGGAAAATAGGCTAATGGAAGAAAGGCAATACATGAGCTGGGGCCAACACTTCCAGGGAGCAGCAAGAGCTCTCACCAGTGTAGTCATAACATTTGGAATGAGGGTGTGAGCAACTGCAAATTCCCATCTCCCTTCTCATTCCAGCCTCATTGTAACACACATTCTACGCCTAGCCTGGCTTTCTTGCTCTCCCTCATCTCATTGTTTCAGCGGAGGCCAAATCTGAAGTCCTTTCCAGGGAGTGGCTCTGTTCATCTTATTCGCCAGCCAAAGTAGGAACAGCGTAAGAGGAGAGAGACACATTCAGCAGCCAAAGGACTCGGTGGAAAGAGCAGAACACCATAGACAGTGAGTTATTTGATTACCTGAAACCCTAAAGAGACAGAGGGAATGTGTGTATGTCTGTGTGTGTGTGAAAGGGCTGGAGGGGGCAATGGGGAATGTCACTGAACTTAGTCTTGAGCAGACCTCCCAAATAACCGTGGAATTCTGATGAAGGAGACGCCAAGATGAGCAGATGATATGAAAAAGTCACGCATATGAGAAAGGAAGATTCCACATCAGGGGTGAAAGAGGCCAAAGGGTAGGGCCAAGTACGGACCATGTAGAATGTAAAATTTCCTCTGACTTGGTAGCAGAGAATAATAAAAGCAAGAATAATGGTAAGTGACCAAGGAATAGATTTGAGGGAGAAATGAATGTTGGGTGAAAGGTAAGAAAAGAGAGAAAGGGTTTGAGTCATAAGGGAAAATGAAGAAAGTTCTGGGAAGACAAAGAGACAGGGACCTCAGAGGCATCTTTCCCTGGCACTGAAATGCTGATGTGCCTCTGAGCATCACATTCTCTGCTATGCCCACCACCCCTATAGATATGTCGCTCTTGGGACCCAAGGTGCTGCTGTTTCTTGCTGCATTCATCATCACCTCTGGTGAGTCCTTTATTCTTTGCTCCCTAAACCCTCAGCTCCTCAGCTATACACGTGTGTGGCAGGAGATGGGATGGAATGAGGTCGAAGAGGAATAGCAGTAGAGATGCTTGGTATTGAGCTCTGGAATTCCTATTAGAAGAACAGATTTTGTGTTAAGAAAAAAAGTTCAGGAATGTGACTAGACTTCAGACTAGGGGAAAGGCCTCCCAAGAATTATGAAACTAAGGTGCAACTAAGATACACACAAATGCATATTAACCACCCAAAGAGGGTCACATATGAGTAAACAAATTGCAAAGCAAAAAAGAAGCTGATATACAAATGCATACACAAACATAGAGGAGGGACTACCTAGAAAGAAACTGGACCTGGGCTGGGCATGGTGGGCTCACACCTATACTCCTAGCACTTTGGGAGACTGAGTGGAGAGGATCACTGAGACCAACCTGGGCAACATAGTGAGATGAGTTAACCTCATCTCCATTAAAAAAAAAAAGGAAAAAAGAAAAAAAGAAACTGGACCAAATGTAAATCTTGAAGAAGAACAGTGGGAATACATACACTATTACCATCATGCATGCAGGTATACTCACATGCATGCAAAAAATATATGCCATACTGACACACAAGAGAAAAGTGATCTTCACAGATTTCCCAGAATCTGGCTAGAAGACTGGCCACAGAAAGTGAACTTTAGGCTGTAAAGATGTCCTACTCTATTTTTTTCCCTCCTTCTTCCGATACAGATTGAGAAAAATAATTCTTCTGTCTTGTTCACTAGCATAGCTAGCGGGGAAGCCGTGGGGCTAGAAGGGCTGCCAGGCCTCTCAGTGGAGCTGGACTTCATTCCTGGCCAGGAATGAGGGTAAGAGGGCAGCAGGGCTTTGTTCTCAGGAACTTGTCTTTTTTTTCTTTTTACCAAACAAATGCACAGCAGTGAAGGAACTTGTCTTTCTGAAGTCTTTCTATTCCTATTGGTTTTGTTCATAGCACTAATGGTCTCAGTAATTTTATATTGAGCTATATAGGAATAAGTCACAAAGATAAAGTATAACCATTTCTCCATGATTTTCTGATTTGTCTCATAAAAGGGTTACGAGGTATAGAGCTGCAGTCACTCACATCTCTTTTCTCTTCCTTTGCTATAGACTGGATACCCCTGGGGGTCAATAGTCAACGAGGAGGTAGGTGAACCCTTGGATAGCGGCTCTGTTGGGGTTCTTATCAGGAAAATTTAGATGAACAGAGTTAAAAAATCCTTCCTGCTTATCTATCGCTGCCAAAAAAAAAAAAAAAAGAATATTTCCTACAACAAAGAGATGCATTGCCAAAGTGTGAGAAATAGGATCAACTTCACCAGTTTCCACAATCCTATTATCCCATTCATAAAAGCTTCTTGTGTGTGTGTTTTTAAACTACTGAAACACCTTCCCAAGACATCCTCTATGACCATTTCTGTTTTCATTTTTCTTTACACATCTCCTATCTTACTCAGAAAATGCTTACTAGTCCTTACAAAAAGCGTTCCTTAATTCATGTAACAGTGGAAAAATGAAAGACAGGATAAGAAGTCATCTTATACCCATAATCCCAGCACTTTGGGAGGCTGAGGCAGGAGGATCGCTTGAGCCCAGGAGTTTGAGACCAAACTGGGCAGCACAGGGAGACCTCATCTCTAGAAAAAAAAAAAATTAGCCTGGCATGGTGGCGCATGCCTGTGGTCCTAGCTACTCAGGAGGCTGAGGCATGAGAATGGCTTGAACCCAGGAGGCTGCGGTTGCAGTGAGCCATGATCATGCCATTGCACTCCAGCCTGGGCAACAGAGTGGAACTGACTAAAAAAAAAAAAAAAAAATTAGAAAAAAAGAAGTCATGTCAATCCTAGGTGAAATTGTGGCACAACTGAGCAAAACCCAAAAGGTATTTTTTGGTTTTTCAGCTTTTTAGGTAATTTTTGCTCACACCATTCTCTATAACAAAAATCCCAAAAGTTGTGACCCCTAGAGGACCACTTCCTTCGACTTCATGAAGAAAACTCCATTCTGCCTCAAGGCATTCAACATAATTATAATTTATCTCTTTATTTCTCCCATCCCAGGAGAGTTAGAGGACAGAGCGCTCCAGTAGGCAACCTATTAATGGGATCATGAAATCAATTTAGTGGGTCACAACTGGTATTAATTTTTAAAATGAATTAAGATAGACCAAAACAAATATACCGGGATGCATTGCATGTGTTTTGCAAGAGTAAAGTATTATTTCATACAACTTTAATAAAACTTCTCTTAGTTTTCCATATGTATATACCAGGGTACAGTATATTTTTCTTGCAGTGGGTCCTGGTACAGAAGATAAAAATACAAAAATTTTTTTTCTGTTGTTGGTAAAAATACCCGAATCCCCGAGTTTCTGAATCTAAATCTGAATCTAGGAAAAAAGGGCAGGAATGTGACTAGACTTCAGACTAGGGGAAAGGCCTCCCGAGATTTTAGTACCAGCAAAACTGAAAATCGGAATTCATTTTTCTGGGCTGATTAGGAACCAGTCCTGTGTTAAGACTTTAGATGCTTTTCTCGCAGACATATCATAAGGTATGATGAACTGTCTTGCCTGGTGTGGTGGCTCATGCCTGTAATACCAAGCACTTTGGGAGGTTGAGGTGGGATGATCACTTGAGGCCATGAGTTTGAGATCAGCCTGGGCAATATAGTGAGACCCTTTTATTTTTTTTTTTTTTCGAGACAGAGTTTCGCTCTTGTTACCCAGGCTGTAGTACAATTGCGCGATCTCGGCTCACTGCAACCTCCATCTCCCAAGTACAAGTGATTCTCCTGTCTCAGCCTCCTAAGTAGCTTGGATTATAGGCATGCGCCACCACAACTGGCTAATTTTTTGTATTTAGTAGAGACAGGGTTTCACCGTGTTAGTCAGGCTGGTCGCAAACTCCTGACCTCAGATGATCTGCAGGCCTCGGCCTCCCAAAGTGCTGGGATTACAGGTGTGAGCCACTGCTGCCAGCCTGAGACCCTATCTCTTAAAAAAAAAAAAAAAAAAGCCAGGTGTGGTGGTTTGCTGGTTGTCCTAGCTACTCAGAAGGCTGAGGTGAAAGGATCGCTTGAGCCCAGGAGTTCGAAGCTGCAAAGGAGCTATGATGGCACCACTGTACTGCAGCCTGGGCAACAGAGTGAGACTCTCTCAAAAAAAGAAAAGGAAAAGAAAATACGTTAATTTTTTTTTTCAGAGAGAACTTCATGAATACTAGATAAAGCATTTATATGGTGATAGCTCTTGGAACAGTTGGTTAAACTGAGGTATATGCAGAAAAGCAGTACTCTGCCCTGAAATCCCAGAGACAGCTAGGATACATTCTCAAGCCCTCTGTTCCCCCATTGCTTTGCTCCTGTTTCTGTGAGTGGCTGGACTGGAATGTAGCTAGGCCTCTAGAGAAAGGGAACCAGGAAGGATTGGGCTACACCCGGGAGAGGCTCCACTCCTCTCCTGCAGTCTCTGGAATGATTCAGGTTAGTGGTTTTTCAAATATCCTGTGGGATTGGAACAGACTTGGATTCCTTTTGTTAAAAGATTGTTCTTCCAATCAATGACATCCTACTTAAAAAAAAAAGTGTTCTGAAAGAAGAAAGCCCATAATGAGTGTGAAAGGTTAAGAGGCTTTTTTGTCAAGCCTGATGAATTTTTTTTTTGGCAGAGTCTCACTCTGTCCCAGGCTGGAGTGCAGTGGCAAGATCTCAGCTCACTGCAACCTCCGCCTCCTGAGTTCAATTCATTCTCCTGCCTCAGCCTCCTGAGTAATTGGGACTACAGGCATGCACCACCCATGCCCAGCTAATTTTTGTATTTTTAGTAGAGATGGGATTTTACCATGTTGGCCAGACTGGTCTCAAACTCCTGACCTCAAGTGATACGCATGCCTTGGCCTCCCAAAATGCTGGGATTACAGGCATGAACCATGAAGCCCAGCCAAACCTGATGAATTTCTATCTGGAATTTAGAAAACAGGATGAGGTAAGCAAGGGAAATTCCTATGAAATGCTTTATTTGTATTTCACCTTTTTTATAATTATCCATAACTCTGATATGCTTTATAAAAATATTTGTTCCCATCAGATTTACATTTGACATTTATTAATAGAATCTGAAGTTAAAAAAAGAAGTCAGGCCGGGCATGGTGGCTTATGCCTGTAATCCCAGCACTTCGGGAGGCCAAGGTGGTTGGATCACCTGAGGTCAGGAGCTCAAGACCAGCCTGGCCAACATGGTGAAACCCTGTCTCTACTAAAAATACAAAAACTAGTCGGGCATGGTGGCACATGCCTGTGTCCCAGCCACTCAGGAGGCTGAGACAGGAGAATCACTTGAACCTGGGAGGCGGAGGTTGCAGTGAGCCGAGATCATGCCGCCACTGCACTCCAGCCTGGGCGATAGGGCGAGACTCCGTCTCAAAAAAAAAAAAAAAAAAAAAGTCAAAGCAAACTATGTGAATTTGCTGACCCCTAGTGGGTAGAATGGATTATGAATATAAGCTATTTACATTGAAGGGTAATTGCTGATGGAATGTTTGCTTAATATTTATTTTATTGTTATTACTATTATTTTATTCTTATTTTTTGAGATAGGGTTTCTCTCTTATCACCCAGGCTGGAGTGCAATGGCGCGATCTCAGCTCACTGCCACCTCTGCCTCCTGGGTTCAAGCGATTCTCCTGCCTCAGCCTCCAGAGTAGCTGGGATTACAGGCGTGCACCACCACGCCAGGCTAATTTTGTATTTACAGGAAACTGTAAATAATAGCACTTCCTAAAACCAGTGGTCTCTACTTTAAAAAGCAAAATAACAAAACAGCATTAACATTTACTTTTATTTTTTAATTTACATATAAATTATATTGTATGTGTTTACAGTATCCACCATGACATTTTGATAGATGTGTATAAAGTGAAATGGTTACTACAGTCAAGCAAATTCACATATCCATATCCTCATTAGTTTCCTTTTTTGTATGTGTATAATAAGAGCACCTGAAATTTACTCTCTTAGCAAACATTTAAATATTTAGCAAACAGGCCAGGTGCAGTGGCTCACACCTGTAATCCTAGCACACTGGGAGGCCTAGGCGGGCAGATCACCTGAGGTCAGGAGTTCAAGACCAGCCTGGCCAATATGGTGAAACCCCATCTCTACTAAAAATACAGAAATTAGCTGGGTGTGGTGGCGGGCGCCTGTAATCCCAGCTACTCTGGAGGCTGAGGCAGAGAATTGCTTGAACCCGGGAGGCGGAGGTTGCAGTGAGCCGAGATCGTGCGCTGCTGTATTCCAGCCTGGGCGACAGACAGAGCCAGACTCTGTCTCAAAAAAAAAAAATATATATATATATATATATGTGTGTGTGTGTGTGTGTGTGTGTATGTGTGTATATATATGTGTGTGTGTGTGTGTGTATATATATATATATATATTAGCCAGGCATGGTGGTATGCGCCTGTAATCCCAGCTACTTGGGAAGCTGAGGTACGAAAATTGCTTGAACCCAAGAGGCGGAGGTTGCAGTGAGCCGAGACTGGCCACTCACTTCAGCCTGGGTGACAGAGCGAGACTCTTAAAAAAAAAAAAAAATCAATACTACCTTTTATGAACACTCCTAAGCATATCAGCAAATTCATACCCAATTATATCAGAATTATGGGCTGGGCGCGGTGGCTCACGCCTGTAATCCCAGCACTTTGGGAGGCCGAGGGGGGCGGTTCACGAGGTCAGGAGATCGAGACCACGGTGAAACCCCGTCTCTACTAAAAATACAAAAAATTAGCCGGGCGCTGTGGCGGGCGCCTGTAGTCCCAGCTACTTGGGAGGCTGAGGCAGGAGAATGATGTGAACCCGGGAGGCGGAGCTTGCAGTGAGCCGAGATCGCGCCCCTGCACTCCAGCCTGGGCGACAGAGCGAGACTCCGTCTCAAAAAAAAAAAAAAAAAAAGAATTATGAATGTCAAAATCACAATGCCTTTGGTATATCCGATTTCATTTTAAATAAGTATTGCAAAGAAGTCATCAATCGTTTGTCATTATTGTAAGCAGTCAAGGAAAAACATTTGTGGGATACTCAACTCCGCTGGGCACTATGCTTCGCAATTTAACTTACTGGAAGTGCAAGGGTGGCAGGGAGACAGAGAATCTCAGAAATTGTTTTCTAATTTTCTTTTCAGACGATGTGACTCAAGCGACTCCAGAAACATTCACAGAAGATCCTAGTAAGCTACACTTTTGTTTGTTTGTTTGTTTGCTGTTTTATTGGGGATAGATAAAGGATCATGTCTACATAAAGAAAAATAAAGACTTCAGAAGGGTTGGAGGGTGCTCTGAGCTCATGCAGAGTTCTGTTGTCACCTTAGATGCCAGCATCTCTGTACGCATGCCCAGTCTTACTCTCTCTTCCATTTCTTTCTGCGATAGTCCCTCATCTGCCCGAGTCCACAGGCTTTCACTTCAGCCTTTCTTGCCTCCTTTGAGATCATCGTCCCCTTATCCTGCTTTCCTTAGCTACTTTTCCTGACTGCATTTTTTCATTCCTTGTTATGTGTCTTTGCAGATCTGGTGAATGATCCCGCTACAGATGAAACAGGTAAATTTTACCGCAGTTAAAAAAAAAATGGCATGGTTCTTGTTAATATTCACAATATTTATTCCAGCTCTTGAATTCATTCTGTGCTTTTATATTTGCTTTTGTTTTTTGTTATTGTTGTTTGTTTTTGAGAGGGAGTCTCATTCTGTTGCCCAGGCTGGAGTGCAGTGGCACAATTTTGGTTCATGGCAACCCCTACTTCCTGGGTTCAGGGGTTCAAGTGGTTCTCCTGCCTTGGCCTCCTGAGTAGCTGAGATTATAGGCACCCGACACCATGCCTGACTAATTTTTGTATTTTTAGTAGAGACGGGATTTCACCATGTTGGCCGAGCTGGTCTTGAACTCCTGGCCTCAGCCTCCCAAAGTGCTGGGATTACAGGCATGAGCCACAGCGTCCAGCCTGCTTCTATCTTTGGATACTGAGGTTGTGAGAGTGTTGTTCAGTGACAGTGCTAATTTTTTTTTTTTTTTTTTGAGACAGAGTCTAGCTCTGTAGCCCAGGCTAGAGTGCAGCAGCACAACCTCAGCTCACAGCAACCTCTGCCTCCAGCATTCAAGTGATTCTCCTGCCTCAGCCTCCTGAGTAGCTGGGATTACAGGCGCCTGCCACCATGCTAATTTCCGTATTTTTACTAGAGATGGGGTTTCACTATATTGGCCAGGCTGGTCTTGAACTCCTGACCTCAAGTGATCCACCTGCCTCAGCCTCCCAAAATTCTGAGATTACAGGTGCGAGCCACTGCGCCCCACCCAGGACTAATATTCTTTAAAAAAATTTATAATTATTTAATTAATTCTATTCCCTTATACATAAAACACAAAGCCAGACATAGTCTTCCACCTGCCACGGTATCTCCATTCTCCCTTTTCTTACTCTGCCTTGTGTTTGCAATTTGAAGCCCTCCTCATACCTGCTGTTTTGTGCCTTTTCAGTTTTGGCTGTTTTGGCTGATATTGCACCTTCCACAGATGACTTGGGTGAGTTCAGATCTGGGACCCCCAGGTCATCAGGGCCATTCTAGGCTTTCCCCAGAGCCCATTCTGGATAGTGTGCAGCTGCTGAAGGATCCTAAAAAGACAGGATGACAGTTTATGGAGCACATATTTCCAGTAGTTCAATTCAAATTAATGACATTGTTGAACACCTGACAAACAGGAACTGTGCTAATCTTTCTCTCAAAGTTTCAAGACTTGATGGGTAAAGGCAAGATAAAAGTATAAACACGTTTTGGAGGATAAAGGGTAGAAGAAGTAATGCTTTGACTGAATTTTTTTTTTTTTTTTTTTTGAGACGGATTATTGCTCTTGTCGTCCAGGCTGCAGTGCAATGGCGCGATCTCCGCTCACTGCGGCCTCCGCCTCCTGGGTTCAAGCGATTTTCCTTTCTCAGCCTCCCAAGTGGCTGGAATTATAGGCACCTACCACCATGCCTGGCTAATTTTTTGTAGTTTTAGTAGAGATGGGGTTTCGCCACGTTGGCCAGGCAGGTCTTGAACTCTTGACCTCAGGTGATCCACCTGCCTCGGCCTCCCAAAGTGCTGGGATTATAGGCGGCTAGATTATTTTTTAACAAATCATTATTGAAAACTTGCTACTAGGTGCCAAGGATATAAAAGTGAACAAAACTGATTTTCTTCTACTAGACATCTTTTGTGTAATATACAAGATAGACAAATAAACAGATAACTTTATTCAGTTTCACAAAATTCGATAATCAGGATAAGCAAGAGAAGCTATGGAAGACACAGAAAGAGTTCTTGACTAGGTTCGGTGCTGGGGGTGAGAAAAGGTTTTTTGTGGAGGGCACATTTGACTAAGCTGCTTCCTGAAAGACAAGTAAAAGTGAACTAAGTTAATAGAAGAGGGAAGAGCTTTTAGGTAAGGAAAACAATATAAATCAAAAGGTGTAGGGTGGACACGAAAACCAACCAGAGAGACGTTTATGCAAGGTAAGATTATAATTAGATTTGTGCATTGGAAGGATCACACCCCACTTCCAAACCCCCTACTGTACTCCCAGGGCAGTGTGGAAAACTGATTTGACCGTGATTGATCGCCTGGAACCCGGAAAACCAGCAGGGCCACTGTTGCAGTGTTCCCAGTAAAAGATGCTGCCCTGAATCAAGGTAGAGATAGGGAGAATTAAATGTGAGCTATAAGGGAGAGGGGATTGTTGAGTTGACATCCAGTTTTCTTTTTCTTTTTTCTTTTTTTTTTTTTTTGACACAGAGTCTTGGTCTTGTTGCCCAGGCTGGAGTGCAATAGCGCGATCTTGGCTCACTGCAACCTCCGCCTCCCGGGTTCAAGCAATTCTCCTGCTTCAGCCTCCCAAGTAGCTGGGATTACAGGCGCCCACCACCAAGCCTGGCTAATTTTTTTGTATTTTTAGTGGAGACGGGGTTTCAACACGTTGGCCAGACTGGTCTTGAGCTCCTGACCTCAGGTGATCCAACCACCCTGGCCTCCCAAAGTGCTGGGATTACAGGCATGAGCCACCACGCCCAGCCATGACATCCAGTTTTCTAGATGTGGCTATTGGGTGGATGGTGGTCTCATTCACTGTATAACAACTAGAATTAGTGAAGGGAAAGATAATTAAGTCTGTTGGATATACATTGAATGTGAAAGATCTTTGAAATATTCAAGAACTCTTCCATAAAAAGGCAGTTGGATTTATAGGTCTGGAGTTTAGGAGAGAGATGAGGTTGGAAATACAGGTTTGGGAATTATCAGCATATACACCTGCCTAGAAACCATGGGATAGATGAGATCTCATAACACAGGTCCTAGTATTCTATTTGCAACACTTCCAGTGACATTTTTCCTGGTAACTCCCCTGACTAGTCTATTCATCTAACTCCTTGGCTTGTTCTTCATTCTGTGAATAAGGCCCATGTTAAATTTGCCCCTAGGTTAGGATGACTCTCATTATTCTTTATTTATTTATTTATTTATTTATTTATTTATTTTGAGATGGAGTCTCCCTCTGTCACCTAGGCTGGAGTGCAATGGTACGATCTTGGCTCACTGCAGCCTCTGCCTCCCAGGTTCAAGTGATTCTCCTGCCTCAGCCTCCTGAGTAGCTGGGATTACAGGTGCACATCACTACACCCAACTAAGTTTTGTATTTTTAGTAGAGAGGGGGTTTCACCATGTTGGCCAGGCTGGTCTCAAACTCCTGACCTCAAATAATCTACCTGCCTTGGCCTCCCAAAGTGCTGGGATTACAGGTGTGAGCCATTGTGCCCAGCTGACCCTCATTATTCTTTACCCAACAGCTTCTATCAAGAGAATTTATGATGATGTATCTAATCTACAGAAAATAAATTTTCTCTTATAAGGAAGAGCTTGTACAGGATAATAATCTTTTCTCTGCTTAGCTCTAGGAAGAAGCTCCTCTGGGCATGTAACTCTTTGCCTTGTGTTCCTACTAAATTTGCTTCTTGTCAACAATACAGAGATACTCACAATACAATGAATTTCTCAACTCTTTAGAAAGGAAAGGAGAAAGGAAAAAAATCCCATCCTGCCTCCTAATGTCTTCAATTTTGTGGAGCAAATCAGCTCAATAAGGGTTTTCTTTTAGAAGTTGCTAAGAGTTATTAATTCATTTGCTCCCTATTTATGGGCACTCCAAGCAGGTCCTAAGTGAGGCAGTGTGGCAGTTACAGAAGTAGTAACTTCTAGAATTGGTAACAGTGGAATAAAATTTCTGCCTTTCAGCCTCCCTCAGTGAAAAAAATACCACTGCAGGTATGATTGTTGCTTGCATGCCTTCTTAAGCCTTTTTTTCTTCCTGTGGATTCCTTACCTCCTTGTTCTTTGGAGGGTACTTGGCACATCTTCTAGTTTACTTCCAATTATTTCTCAAAGAGTATTAGTGTTCTTCACTCCCTTACTCTTTTTTTTAAAAAAATGAGCACCTGTCATAAAAGTCAAGGGGAAAGAATGGAACAAATGTTGCATGGTCCCCAAATAGCCCTCTCCCTAAAGTACCCTTGCACATTATGTGGTGGTTAGTGGATTGGGAAGTGAAATCAATTTAACTTCAAGGACTCCATATTACCACGGAGGCCATGGTTAAAATTGCATTTCCTAATGTACTGATAATTCTGATATATAGCTAGGGTTGAAAACTACTGGAACAGAGAAATAGCAACCTGCCTAAGAAATCTGATTCTTTCAGAATGGGATTATCAGCATTTCTATTTTATTTTACTATTTTGTTTTATTTTATTTTATTTTTCTGAGATGGAGTCTCACTCTGTCACCCAGGCTGGAGTGCAGTGGCGTGATCTTGGCTCACTGCAACCTCCGCCTCCCAGGTTGAAGTGATTCTCCCGCCTCAGCCTCCCGAGTAGCTGAGATTACAGGCAACTGCCACCACTCCTGGCTAATTTTTGTATTTTCAGTAGAGACGGGGTTTTACCTTGTTGGCCAGGCTGGTCTCGAACTCCTGACTTCAGGTGATCTGCCCGCCTCGTCCCCGCAAAGTGCTGGAATTACAAGCATGAGCCACCGTGCCCAGCCTATTTTATATTTCATAACGGACAATTCTAGAAAGACTTTATTCCTAGAAGTGCTCTCAGAGATTATTTTATCCACTTCTACTTCCAAGTAGGGAAGCGCCAAAACTTCATTTAGTCAATTCCCTCTTGCTGTGTTTTTGGTGGACGGAAAGGATGTAGCCCAATTTATAATGATTCTCTGTAGAGATTACTCTGTATTTTTTTCCTACTCTATCTATCCTTCCCAATTCCTTCAATCCTTCATTTATGCTGCTTCTATTTGGACCTCCTTATTTTTTTGTATTGGGCTTCCTCAGAGTGCTGGGATGAGAAATTTACCTGCACAAGGCTCTACTCTGTGCATCGGCCGGTTAAACAATGCATTCATCAGTTATGCTTCACCAGGTAAGGGATCCCAGAATGCCCAAAAAGCATCTTCCATGGTAGTGTTTCTGTGTTGATAACTATTTAATGAGCACCCACTATGGAATTGCAAACTTTGATGGGGCCAAAGTTTTTAGCACAACCCTCCTAGTTATTGCTGAATGTACCAACTAGAACCTGGAGTATGGGCTGAAGTGTACAAAGAACAGGCAGAGTAATAGAACTTAGAAGGGAAATGAAGGTGGGCGCTGGAGGAAGAAGGGTCATGAGGGAAATACTGGCATGCTCAATTTATTACCTGATAGAAGGAGACTGAAGAGAATGGCCCAGCTCTAAGGTAGAAAATAGTGGGGAGGAATATTAAGCCTGACTTTAGGTAGAGTGTGCAAAGTGTCACTAAGAAGAATAACTAAAACAATGGCCTTTGCAACAACTTGGATGGAGCTGGAGGTCATTATTCTAAATGAAGTAACTAAACAATGAAAAACCAAATATTGTATGTTCTCGCTTATAAGTGGGAGCTAAGCTATGAGGAGGCAAAAACATAAGAATGATATAATGGACTTTGGGGACTCAGGGGAAAGAGTGGGAGAGGAATGAGGGATAAAGGCTACACATTGGGTACGGTGTACACTGCTTGGGTGACGGGTGCACCCAAATCTCAGAAATCACCACTAAAGAACTTATCCATGTAACCAAAAACCACCTGTACACCAAAAACTATTGAAATAAAATTTAAAAAACAGAAGAGTAATTAATACCATTCCCTCCCCTATTTTCCAGTTGGGGGGCAAAAGTCTGAAATACTTAAGAAAATACAGTTGGGGAAAAGCAGATAGGGAAAGTGGGGAATATGAGAGTTGAAGAGGCATCCCAGACCCAGGTGAGTTCTCCTCTCAAGGCTTTCTTCCATCTCCTTCCTTGCCTATGACACTGGGACGTCTGCAGTTTACGACGTATGTACATCGTCAACAAGGAGATCTGCTCTCGTCTTGTCTGTAAGGAACACGAAGCTATGAAAGGTAAGATGATGTCTGGATGTTTAATGGAGAGAAGCAGTTATGAGAAGGGTAGATAGGGACATGATATTACTATATCCAAAGTCTGGTACTAGAGGAGGGCTTCAGGCTACCCCCTTAGAGTCCATCAGCTCCTGCTGGAAGTTATCTCAAATAAACAATCTACATAAAGCAGTATGCTTGATATACAAACATAACCCTAAGAAAAGTACCCCTAGATCCCTGTCCTACTAGATTGTAACCCCACAGTGTCTCCTACTTAGAGAGCTTTCTGACACTCTGGCTATTTTAAAGATCATTCACTGGGGTTCTAGGGAAAATTTCAAGTCAGCCATTACAGATAATAGACTCTGCTAGTCCGCAGCCATGTTCATAACTAAAAATAAAACATACACACGCACATGCACTAATTTGGAGACAGTAAGGTTTGGATAGGGCCTATAAATAAAAAATAGATGGGACATTTAGAAATCAGCTATGTTATAAATAGTTCACCAATTCCAAGAACAATGAACATTTCTTACTGTGACATTTCAGGTAGAAGAAGGTAGAAAGATGTTATGGGGCAATTACGAGGGCCCAAAATGTGTGGTTGTAGACCATACATGGTGGAAACAAAGATACTCTCACCTTCCCCATGGCCAGCCCCGAACGATGGCTGTGGTTGGTGAAAACACCACAGACAAAGCCATTTCTGACTCAGCAGCCCGCTTTGTGCTGAGTTCCTGAGTAAGAGCTGTAGTTAACTTCGCAGAAGGAAACTTGCTGTGTGCCCCCATTGGCTTTGTGCAAGCCACCTGCAAGGGAAGCACCTTGAGATTGAGGATGGGTATTTGGGACTCTAGGCACTTTCAAGTATCTCAAGGGACTTCCTAAAGTTAGCTGTTTGCCCATAGTAAGCACGTAAATGTATACTGAATGATTGGATCTCATTTTTCTATTTAATAGATCCATGATTAGAAGAATTGGCAGCTGGATATATAAAGGAAACTAACATTTACTGCTCACCTGTGCTAGGTACTTTGCATACATGATTTCATTTTAATACTCAGAAATATACTGTTGAGGTAGGTATTTTAATTCTCATTTTACAGAAAGGGATAGTGAGGTTTATAAAATTTAAGAAACTTTCTAGGAAGTGGCAAATAACTAAAGTAAGTGGCAGAGCTGGTTAAAACCCGGATCTTTTTCTCTCCAACCTTTTCACTACACCACACTGAAAAGTCTTCTCTATCCCTTAAAACAAGAGCCTTTGTTATCTTCTGCATTCTCTTCCCATGATGTTCTGCTTCTCTTCTAGATGAGCTTTGCCGTCAGATGGCTGGTCTGCCCCCTAGGAGACTCCGTCGCTCCAATTACTTCCGACTTCCTCCCTGTGAAAATGTGGATTTGCAGAGACCCAATGGTCTGTGATCATTGAAAAAGAGGAAAGAAGAAAAAATGTATGGGTGAGAGGAAGGAGGATCTCCTTCTTCTCCAACCATTGACAGCTAACCCTTAGACAGTATTTCTTAAACCAATCCTTTTGCAATGTCCAGCTTTTACCCCTACTCTCTACTTTTTCACCCAAACTGATAACATTTATCTCATTTTCTAGCACTTAAAATACAAAGTCTATATTATTGCATAATTTTGCTGCTTCTCAATATCATAGACACAGTGAATAGATGATGACTATATGGCTTATATACAAACATTCTATGTACAATTTCAAGGGAGACTAAACTTTAGGCTAATAATCTTTACTATTGAATCTGTCTGATATAGATCTTAGGGTTGAAGAAGCTATCTTTGTCTATTTGGGCTAACCATAGAATTTCATTTATTTTCCTCACAATATTTTCCTAGACCAACTCCCCATCATTCACGTGTTCCTCTTTACTCTTACTTTAACTATTTTGCTGGCTTGCCCGAAAATTTGCCTGGCAAGTCTTCCTTATAAGACACATCATGGTAAGTTTTGTAGTCCTGTAAGATTCTGCAACACAGTCAAGAATTATACAATCCTACTAGCAATATATAAGGACCCAAAATGTCTTCTGCTAAGCTCAGAGGCTGGGGCTAAAGCATGAGGACTATGCCAGCTATAGAACTTGGACTCATAATTCGCTATCCAATTTTTCATGCAGTTGTCTAGTCGGGAAGTAAGGTTGGAAACTAAGTCTCATTTACTGATTCGTTTATGGGTAGTACCGGGATGAACCCACCACCACAAAGCAAATTAGACAACTTAATGTGAAATCATACCATTGGTTGACGTTTCCTTGAGTTGCTACTTCGTTCATCTTCACAACTTAACAAGTGCACGGTCGAATTATTGTGCAAGTGGCTTTTGGATATCCTGATTGGGGCCTAAGAAGGGCATTCAGACTTGAATTTTAATAGGCAGACAGAAAGTTTGCCTAATAGTTAATACGAAAGAGTGAAAGAAACACAATATTCAGACAACCCACATTCTTATCCTGGCTCTAGCAGTAACCACGTAGCCTTGGATAAGCCATTTTCCTTCATTAGGTCCTGGTTTAATTTCCTCATCTTTAAAATGAGAAGGTTAAATTTATCTTAGTACTGCTGGGCGCAGTGGCTCATGCCTGTAATCTGAGCACTTTGGGAAGCTGAGGCGGGTGGATCACTTGAGGTCAGAAATTTGAGACGAGCCTGGCCAACATGGTGAAACCCCATCTCTACTAAAAATACAAAAATTAGCTGGGCGTGGTGGCACGTGCCTGTAATCCCAGCTACTCGGGAGGCTGAGGCAGGAGAATCAATTGAACCTGGGAGGCAGAGGTTGCAGTGAGCCGAGATGGCGCCATTGCACTCCAGCCTGGGTGACAAAAGCAAAAGTCCATCTTAAGAAATATATATATATATTATATATATTCTTAGTTCTAAGATTTCCTTTAATTCTATGATTCTCTGGATTTAAATGCATTATTCATATTTCTTGAAGCTTAGATACAGTCTAATTCATAGCAACCATATCTGCTTTATCCTAGGTGAGGGTAGCAGTCCACAATGGAATAGAAGAAAATCCCATTATAACAAATGACAAATTATATATCATGAATCCTTCTGTCTGACTAACTCAATAACTTTCTATAAAAGCCAATGGAATTCAAATAGGAGCTAGGAGACAACAAGTTATATATGACAGTGGAGGTTGTATTCCTTTTATATTGCTGAGAAAACTAGTTAAATGATCAGATTCTTGCTGTTAAGAAACAATTTCGTTTAATGGGATCTGTACAACTGATTTTAAAAAAATGCTACAAAAAGCCCCAAAGCATATAATCTCTACTCCTTACAGTCTCTAGAATTAAATGTACTCATTTAGACAACATATTAAATGCATATTTTAGCCACTTTAGAGAAACCTCATAGGCACAGAGTTTCCAAGATTAATTTTAAGAATATCTTCACGAACTTGACCCTCCTACTCCACATTGCAACATTTCCATCAGACAGCATTTCAATTCCAGTATTATGTATATTGCAAATTAAACATTTTAAAATATTTTTTTCCAATTTATTTCTCAAAATAAAATGTCTTTTGTTCTGGTTCTTTTTCTCTTCTATGTTTACGAAAAAGGCCTGAATTTATGAACTTTTATTCCACTTTAAAAAATGTGTATCAGCCGGGCGTGGTGGCTCACGCCTGTAATCCCAGCACTTTTGGAGGCTGAGGTGGGCGGATCACCTGAGGTCAGGAGTTTGAGACCAGCCTGGCCAACATGATAAAACCCTGTCTCTAAGAAAGATACAAAAAAATTACCCAGGCATGGTGGCGGGTGCCTGTAATCCCAGCTACTCGGGAGGCTGAGGCAAGAGAATCGCTTGAATCAGGGAGGTGGAGGTTGCAATGAGCCAAGATCATGCCACTGCACTCCAGCCTGGGCAACAACAGTGAAATTCCGTCTCAAAAAATAAAAGAAGATTCAGAAGAAAGTTTTTACTCATTAAGGTGTTAATATATTTTTTTTCCTGGTGAGCCCAAATGACAACCTTGCTAAGCAATGGCTTTCAATGAAAAGCCATTTTTTAAACCAAAATAATGGATCTTTAATGTTAGAATTAAAGAATTTGGTAAAAATATCAGTAGATATTGAATGCCCTCCTGGTATCCTGAATAGATAGCAGCCTCATCTACCTATTCATAAAGATTCACTTTTATTTTCCCTTCTCTAATTGAGTTGATTCTACTCTGAGGCTTTTTCCATATTCCATGCTTACGATTCAAGAAAATTCTACTTTCTCCTCAAATGAACACATTCTGGAAATTTGAGTGTGTCTTCTACTCACTAAATACAGTTCTATGCACACTCAGTATTGTTTTGACTCATGGCAGAGAGTGCAAACCGCAGCTGGTTTCCCAATTTCTGAGTCTTACTTTGATGACATATACAGCAGTATATGTTGCTAGACACAAGCTCCTCCCTTCTCTGCTTCAGGGTACTTGTGGCCAAAGTTAGATGTTTAACTAACCACTTTACACCTGGTGAGAAGGCACAAACAACCTCTAAGATCCCTCTTCCTTTTGTACTGAAGCAGCTGTAACACAATGAAGAAGGAAAACAATCCTAAAAGAAGTGGGAACAAAGATGGCACCAGACCAGGGGATAGCCAGATGAGAGAGTGACAACAGGCTGACACCAGGGTTGGGGAGCCAGGAAGCTAAAAGATGGAAACTGTCAAATTCCAAATTCAAAGGGAATTTGAGAAGTGGGGAAGGGGTCCTGGGGGATCTGGAAACTTAGGGTAAAACAGAAAGACATCAGGAGCACAGTGGAGGAGAGGCAGGACTGTCCTTGTAGCTTTGTCAGCTCAGGGAGGCCTTACTTAATAAAGCAATACTCTGATAAAAACGGAAGCCCTTGTATCTTTGAGCATTTTCACCAACCAAACATCAGGGAAAGTGACTTGTTAAGACTGCGGTAAGGAGAGGAACAGGTGGCCACAGTTTTGTTTTCTTTCTTTCTTTCTTTCTTTCTTTTTTTCTCTAAAAACCAGTCAAGCAGACCCAGAAGCAGCAGTCAGACGACAAATTCTGGGCAGAACCCAAGATGGAAAAAGCAAATGTTTATATAAATAGAGGTGCAGAGCCCACAGCTTCCTGTTGACAAATCGAACTTCACTTTACCTCAAACCCTCATTTTTTTTTAATAGCTGATAATGATTTGGTGTTATTTTTCAACTTGTCCAATCACTTAGAGTAAGGTTCTAGTTTATTCCTAACCCTTGGGTCTTGCAGTTCTTTTCTCTACCTCTGGTATTTTTCCCTTTCCTCTCCCTTTTCCTTTCTCCTGGGTACTTACCTGGCTATACATCTGTACTGTGTAGCTTTATGGAGTGTTTGGTTAAATTTATGTAACAATCCATAGGTATTCAAGATGATCTCATAAATTTGTGGGAGATCCACCTTGTCTTCCCTCCTCCACCAGACAAACAAACAAACAAAAACCCCAAACCAAACCAGAATAGATAAGTTTTGAGCAAGTATAAGGAAATTCATTTTATGGAAAATAATCTGTATTATATTGAAGAGATTGATGGGTGTTAAGGTATCAACTGCATCACTGTATACCATTTCCTAATATGTGGTTCTGTCCCAAATGATCAAAAACAAGGAGTTATAATGAAGGGTAATGAGAATTGTACAAAGAAACATTTCTTCCATTTGTATAAACCTCTATAAATCCATCTATTCTTGAAAATGGATGAGATTTTAGGGGAATGGGGAATGAAGTAGTAGTAACACAAATAAGCAGGCCAGGCGCGGTGGCTCACACCTGTAATCCCAGCACTTTGGGAAGGTGAGGCAGGCAGATCACCTGAGGTCAGAAGTTTGAAACCAGCCTGGCCAACATGGCGAAACCCCATCTCTACTAGAAACACAAAAATCAGCCGGACGTAGTAGCAGTAATTTCTCTCTTGTCATGTAGAAACTAAAAAAAATTATTACATCATTGATATATGGGATGTCTAGATCCCCAAATCAACATGGTTCTAGGTACAATAAAAGTGACACTTGGCCGGGCGCGGTGGCTCACGCTTGTAATCCCAGCACTTTGGGAGGCCGAGGCGGGTGGATCACGAGGTCAGGAGATCGAGACCACGGTGAAACCCCGTCTCTACTAAAATTAAAAAAAAATTAGCCCGGCGTGGTGGCGGGCGCCTGTAGTCCCAGCTACTCGGAGAGGCTGAGGCAGGAGAACGGCGTGAACCCGGGAGGCGGAGCTTGCAGTGAGCCGAGATGGCGCCACTGCATCCAGCCTGGGTGACAGAGCGAGACTCCGTCTCAAAAAAAAAAAAAAAAAAAAAAAAAGTGACACTTATCCTGTTCATTTTAATTTCAAATAATTGGTCTTTGTTTCAGTGCCAGTCCAGACTTGGCACTCACTAGTGGTATGATGCCAAGCAAGTAGCTTCTCAGCTGTAAATTGGTGGCAACATACCTGCCTTAGGGGTGGTTCTGTGAATTAACAAGATTATGTGTTCAAAGGTTTAGTAAGACTATTAATTAAGACTTATTAACTATTAAGTATTAGCTATTAACTATTAAGTATTATTAACTATTAACTATTAAGTAAGACTTATTAATTAATTAATAAGACTATAGGATTTTTTTTTTTCTACTTAAGCTGATTGGTTTCTGTTAAACTGTTCTTGAGTAGGTTGGCTTTTCCATTCTTTCCCTTGTAACGAAACAGATGAATCTTGCTGGCTAGCCAATGAGTAGGAAACTTGCAAAAAATGTGCAATACCAGAGATACTAGTTTCTCTACTGTTTAAAGTGTGTTTAAATGTACCTTTTTTTTTTCCTCATACAGATGGGGGTCTGGCTATGTTGCCCAGACTAGTCTTGAACTCCCAGCCTCAAGTGATTCTCCCACCTCGGCCTCCCAAAGTGTTGAGATCACAAGAATGAGCCGCTGTTCCTGGTCCTAATTTAAATGTAATTAAAATTTTTTTTTTGGCCAGACTCAGTAGCTCACATCTGTAATCCCAACGCTTTGGGAGACCAAGGCAGGAGTTCAAGACTAGCCTGAGAAACATAGCAAGACTGTCTCTACAGAAAATTAAAATACTAGCCAGGCATGGTAGCTGCCCCTGTAGTCCCAGCTACTGGGTATGCTGAGGCAGGAGGATTGCTTGAGCCCACGAGGCCGAGGTTACAGTGAGCTATGATGGTATCACTGTACAACAGCCTGGGTGACAGAGTGAGATCCTGTCTGTAAAACAATTTTTTAAAAGTAAAACTTTTTTAAAAGTGGAATTATTCCAAATGTGGTCTTTGGAACTCTAGGACAGCATTGTTATGGTTTGAATGTTTGTCCCCTCCCAAACTCATGTTGAGTTTTAATTGATGTGGGGTCTTTAAGAGGTGATTAGGGGTCGGGCATGCTATAATCCCAGCACTTTGGGAGGCCGAGGCAGGGGGATAATCTGAGGTCAGGAGTTCGAGACCAATCTGGCCAACATGGCGAAACCCTGTCTCTACTAAAAATACAAAAAATTAGCCAGGCGTAGGGGTGGGTGCCTATATTCCAGCTACTTGGGAGGCTGAGGCAGGAGAATCGCTTGAACCCAGGAGGTGGAGGCTGCAGTGAGTCACGATTGTGCCATTGCACTCCACCCTGGGCAACAAGAGCGAAACTCTATCTTAAAAAAAAGAAGAAGAAATGATTAGGGCCGGGAGCAGTGGCTCACATCTGTAATCTCGACACTTTGGGAGGCTGAGGCAGGAAGATCACTTGAGGTAAGGAGTTCAAGACCAGCCAACTCCAGCCAATATGGTGAAACCCCGTCTCTCCTGAAAATACAAAAATTAGCTAGGTGTGGTGGTGGATGCCTGTAATCCCAGCTACTCAGGAGGCTGAGCCATGAGAATTGCTTGAACCTGGGAGGCGGAGCTTGCAGTGAGCCGAGATCGCACCACTGTACTCCAGCCTGGGTGACAGAGCAAGACTCCATCTCAAAAAAAAAAAAAAAAGAAAAGAAAAGAAAAGAGGTGATTAGGTGATGGCAAATCGATCATAAATGGATTACTGCTGCTGTTATTGCAGGGGTAGGTTAGTTATCACGAGACTGGGTTTATAATAAAAGGGAGTTTTGCCCGATTTCTTCTCTCTGCCTCACCAGTTTGCTTGCACTTGCTGTCCTTCCACCATGGGATGACTCTCATCAGATGATGGCACCATGTTCTTGGACTTCTCAGCCTCCAGAACTGTGAGAAATAAATTTCTTTTCTTTATAAATTACTCAGTTGGTGACAGACTCAATAACACAAAATAGACTAAAACAACAACAACAACAACAACTTTTTAATAAAGTGTTCTGTGCTTTTTTTTTAAACAAACATCATATTCCCTGTGTGGTGGGAAGCAGAAGTATTATTATTCATATTTTTCAGACAGAGAAAAAGGTTTAATAAGACCTGACCAAGTTCACACAGTTTTGGTGCGGCAGACCCACGCCTGAATTCTAAAACTCTAAAACTTCTCAAAGGTCTAAAAGTTCTAAAAGTTAATCCAGTTGCAAAAGGAAGACTCCAAGACAAAGGAGTAGTTTACTTGCTTGCCAAAGGCTTGTTTGGGAGGCTACACCTTAGAAAAACTGGAATAAAAAATACAACCTACTGAAAGAGAAACAAATTAGATTCCTAAAGTCACTAGACTTACTGTTTATCTGTTCGTGGTGGGATTTTTTATTTTTTATTTTTTATTTTTTTGAGACAGAGTCTTACTCTGTGGCCCAGGCTGGGGTGCAGTGGTGTGATCTTGGCTTAGTGCAACCTCCGCCTCCCAGGTTCAAGGGATTCTTACGCTTCAGCCTCCTGAATAGCTGGGATTACAGGCATGCACCGCCACGCCCAGCTCATTGTTTTTGTATTTTGGGGTTTCGTTATTTTGGCCAGGCTGATCTCGAACTCCTGGCCTCAAGTGATCCTCCTGCCTTGGCCTCCCAAAGTGCTAGGATTACAGGCATAAGCCACCACAACCTGTCCGATTTTTTTTTTTTTGTATATGGTTCTCATATCCTCAAAGATTATTACCCACCTTCAGAGATTGCCATTGGCAAAGTCAGAGTGCAGTTGTTTGCATGACAGAGTCAGTAACTTATGGAGGAGACTTGAAGATTTTATTTATTTTGGAAACTAGAACTAGAGGCTATGGCCCTGCTTGTTTTCTTGCTTACCTCAAGGTGTAGAATGCTTTCATGTCCACTGGATGTGAAGTGCTCTCTTATTCAGAACTGAGGCAGAGAAACTTAGTGTGGTGGTTCCTGCCTATAATCCCAGCTACTCCACAGGCTGAAGCAGGAAGACTCCTTGAGCCCAGGAGTTCAAGGCCACCCTGGGCAACAAAAGGTGTGAGAGCCTTGTCTCACAAGCAAACAAACACAAAAACAAACAAGTTGAGTCAGAGCACAGGTGTCTCTTTTGTTTTCACACATCACATACACTCCCCAGGAATTCTGTGGAGACTCAGCCAGTGGCTGTTAGCTATGAATCTGGCCAGAAACAAGAACCTGGAAAAGGCCAAAGAGGTTCCGATTTTTCCTCTTCTCGGAAGGGTAGAGAATCAGTGTGTTTACTGGCTCATCAGTCTTTCTCTTTATCCTGATTTCTTTGACTGACTCCTTCAGGAAGGATAGCCTATGTGTCAGAGCACATACTCTGGAGCTAGACTATATGGGTGCAAATCCTGACTCCACCTCTTCTACGGGGAGGAGGCCTATGCAAACCTACCCCCAAAGGCTGAGGGAGCTGAAAGGCCAGATAAAGAGGCAGACATGCCCAGTTTCTCAGCAAAAAAAACATTTAATAAGAACTTAAAAGCAGAAGCCATGTCCCAGGCATCTGCAAGATGGTGGATCCCCTTGCTGTTACCCCAACCCAGACCCAGGGCTTACATACCATAGGGAAAGGGCATCCGTGCTTCAGAAGGGTTGTGTAGGACAATTGAAGGCCACCCCTCAGGGAAAGGCAAGAATGCTACCTGAATCATAGCCTATAATTTGCTTAAGGGCAGGATTCATAGTAAGTGCCTGTTTATGATAACATCAAGGTTGTTTTAATCTAGGGGCTAGACTTATGGTAAATATGTGTTCTTAACAGTAGATAAAGTAGAGATCTTAGAGGTATTACTGGAACTGGGGGTTAATCAGAAGTCAACGTGGTGTTTTAGCAGCCAAGATGGAGTTACTTTAGCCTCCGCCCCACCATTATGATTCAAACCATTCTATGCCTCACTTTTCTCATCTGTAAAAGAGATCAGTGATACAAAACCCTTAAGGCTACTGCGAGATTAAATGAATTAAGTGGTTTAGGGTAGCACCGGCACATAGGCCCTATGTAAATGTGAGTGAGTCATTATCCTTTAGTCAACAAACAACTTTTGAACACCAAGTGCCCAGGGCAGTGCTGGGATGCAAAGTTAACTAAGACATGGCCTCTGCATTTGAAGATTAAATTAGAGTCACTTCTTTTTTTTTTTTGAGATGCTGTGTCACCCAGGCTGGAGTGCAATGGCACAATCACAGCTCACTGCAACCTCTGCCTCCCGGGTTCAAGCAGTTCTCCTGCCTCAGCCTCCTGAGTAGCTGGGATTACAGGCGTGCACCACCACGCCCGGCTAATTTTTGTATTTTTAGTAGAGACGGGGTTTCACCGTGTTGGTCAGGCTGGTCTTGAAATCCTGACCTCATGATCCTCCCGCCTCAGCCTCCCACAGTGCTGGGATTACAGGCGTGAGCCACCGCGGCCGGCCTAGAGTCACTTTATTGCTCAAGTTGTTTCTTTCTGCTTTTAATAACACCTTTTGCCTCCTACAATGACATTCATTGTCTTGTTTTCTTTTCAGGTTTTTATCATTTTTGATAATAAAAAATAAAGTAATGCTTTAAATTATACTATAAATTTATCATGCTCCTGTTCAGGGAAGGCATACATCTGCTCACTGCCTTTAGTTCTCCTCTACACATCTGCTGCCTAGTTTTGGCCAAGTGAACTTTCCACTGATATCCTGGGCTCTTTCCTCCCATTCCCATATCTGTTCTTTCTTCTCCTCAGTCCCAGAGCACTTATCATTTCTGCACCCCTTATTTATGGACTTTCTCCTCTGATTGTACAAACTAATAGCATCCCTAAAGAGAGAATAGCCCAGTCATTGCTTGTTTCTTTTTTCTGGCTATTCAGTCCCTAGAAGTCTCTGAGTTTAATCAGTTTTTTTTTTTCTTCTGGGGAAAGAGCTTTAATATCCTGGTACACCATGGTGAGCAGAAGCCCAGGCAAAGCATCTACACAGGCAGGTGTGTGTGGTTTTGAGCCCACCAGGTCCCACTTTGTCTCATCACAGTCCCTCCCTAAGGTGCTGCCTAGAATTCTGCACAAACGTTCTTACTCCCAAAGCACAGGGCTTTCTTCCAGCTTGCTTTTCGAAGGAGGCATTTAAACCAGGACAAAGACAGAAGATAAAGGAACAACCAGGCAGAGAGGCAGAGACGCTGACACAGAGTTCGGTTTTTACTATTATGTGTTTGGCTGGGTGCAGAATTGCCCTCACCACCCCTGGCCACCCTGGCCTCCTGGGAGGAACAGGCAGAGATGGCTCCAGATGGCTCTTGGCTGCCACTCTAGGCCTCAGGGCTTATACAATGAGCACAGCGGGTTCCACCTTCCAATAGGAAGTGCAAACTCTAATTCACAGTCAGACTTCACCAGGAGGGAGAGATGGTCTTGGCTGAAGGCACTTTAATCAGGGAGCAAACCCAGTGCCAGGGTTTGTCTTCCTTCTCGTTACTCTGATAAGTCTAGATGCCACTCTGTTGGAAAACCAGCACTGCCCACAGCTAGGGTTAGTGCACTGACTGAGCGAAGCATGAGACCTGCTCACTGGTACAACTTCTCGTTAGGGCTATTAGCATGGTCAGCTAGCAGCTAGCATGGAGTGAACTGTTTTCCATAGGCAGCCTCATACTTCTTGAGCCGGGCCACTATCTTCTGGGGGCCATACAGAGCCACAAAGCAGAAAGGCCCTCCAAAACAAGGCGGGAAGCCAAGCCCAAAGACAGCTGCGATGTCTCCCTCTGCAGGTGTGGCCAAGATCCCCTCTCGCAGGCACATGACTGCCTCATTCACAAATCTTGTCACCAGGCGGAACTGGATGTCTTCACCTGGGGAGACTTCAGACTTAGGAGGCATCTTTAGACTCACTAAGATACTATCCACATCAGAATTCAAATTCTTACTCTTCACACCCTCCTGATAGATGTAAAAGCCCTTCCCAAACTTGCGACCTAGGAAGCCCTTGGACACCATCTGTGTCAGCAGTTCTGGGTTTCCACCTCCAAACCGCTCCCCAAGGGCTTTGCGCAGATCTTCCGCCATATGTTTCGCTACATCCACGCCAACTTCATCCACCAGTGTGGCGGCACCCACAGGAAAGCCAAAGCTTGTGGTCAGGGAATCCAGCTTCTCCAGGTCAACTCCTTCCTGGAGGATTCGGATGACTTCAGACATCATGGGTGCAAGACACCTGGTGGTATAGAAGCCAGGTCCATCCATAACCACAATGATGACCTTCCCCTGCTTGAGACTGACTGCCACAGCTGAAGCACTGAGTGTCTTTGGAAGTTTTCTCGGTTGTGATCATCTCCAGCAGCTGCATCTTGTCCATGGGAGAGAAGTAGTGCATGCCAATCACCTTCTCAGGTCTTTTGCTGACAGCAGCGATTTCACTGATTGGGAAAGCAGATGTGTTACTGGCAAAGACACAGTGATCTGGAATCACCGCTTCTACTTCCTTTAGCACTCTGTGCTTAAGACTAAGGTCCTCAAACACAGCTTCAATCACCATGTCGACCTTTAAAACGTTGCTAATCAAGCTGCCCAGTTGAAGGGGTGGCCTGCCCCTCCACATCTGTGGGTGTTTCTCGTCGGGTGGGACGAGAGACTGAGAAAAGAAAGAGACACAGAGACAAAGTATAGAGAAAGAAAAGTGGGCCCAGGGGACCGGCGCCGGCACCGGTCTCTGAGTTCCCTCAGCATTTATTGATCATTATCTCTGCCCTCTCGGAGAGGGGAATGTGGCAGGACAATAGGGTAATAGTGGGGAGAGGGTCAGCAGGAAAACATGTGAACAAATGTCTCTGCATCATAAACAAGGTAAAGAAAAAGGTGCTGTGCTTTGATGTGCACATACATAAACATCTCAATGCATTAAAGAGCAGTATTGCTGCCAGCATGTCTCATCTCCAGCCCTAAGGCGGTTTTCTCCTATCTCAGTAGATGGAATATACAATCGGGTTTTACACCGAGACATTCCATTGCCCAGGGATGAGCAGAAGACAGATGCCTTCCTCTTATCTCAACTGCAAAGAGGCTTTCCTCTTTTTCTAATCCTCCTCAGCACAGACCCTTTACGGGTGTCGGGTGTCGGGCTGGGGGACGGTCAGGTCTTTCCCTTCCCACGAGGCCATATTTCAGACTATCACATGGGGAGAAACCTTGGACAATACCTGGCTTTCCTAGGCGGAGGTCCCTGCGGCCTTCCGCAGTGTTTGTGTCCCTGTGTACTTGAGATTAGGGAGTGGTGATGACTCTTAATGAGCATGCTGCCTTCAAGCATTTGTTTAACAAAGCACATCCTGCATAGCCCTAAATCCATTAAACCTTGAGTCGACACAGCACATGTTTCCGCAAGCACAGGGTTGGGGGTAGGGTTACAGATTAACAGCATCTCAAGGCGGAAGAATTTTTCTTAGTACAGAACAAAATGGAGTCTCTTATGTCTTCTTCTTTCCGCATAGACACAGTAACCGTCTGATCTCTCTTTTCCCCACACCCAGTCAAGTTGCTGAAGATGGAATCCCTTACAAATGATGTTAGAGCTTTCTTATTCACTTTATCATTCAATCCTTTGAACACTTGTTGCTGTCCTTGGCCTAGCCTAGTGAGTGTGGCATCTTTAAGTATAGTCTTTAGCCTCTTATCCACAGAGACTTGGGTGATGCCTGCTCCCTTCAGCCCTTCACCAAGAATAGCCAGACGCTTAACATCCTTCTGTGGTGCTCCAAATTTATTCTTCTTGCACAAGACCTGACCATGGTAGAGACCCATCAAGGCCTTTGATTCACTGGTCATTGCAAGCTATCCAAATTTCTGAGATTCAGAGAGATAACCAGCATCAATCCCTCGCTCAATTCCAGTCTTTACCACGTCAATTATTTTCAGAGGTGCAGGATAAAGGCCTTTAGTCTCCTTTTGCACTTTTTCTTCCACTTTTTTGTAAACCTGTTGCCTGACAAATGGAATAGTCATGGTGTACGCTGTCAATTTTTCCACCAATCCCTTGTCTCTCTTTGGAGAGATCTTCTTATCAGCTAGTCCTTTGGCAAAAGTAATTGCAACTGCTTCCAGGTATTCGATTGTCCATTCCTCTGGAGGTTTTATTCCCGGTCCCAGGGGTTCTACCAATTGGTCAACCAGTCCCATTTTCTTTGCGCTATCTGCATGAATGTTTCTACTAGTCAGCATCATGTCAAAAACAGCAGGCACACCCACCATTTTGGGCAGCCTTTGTGTGCCTCCTGCTCCTGGTAAGATCCCCAGCAAGACTTCAGGGGCACCTAATATTGTTTTTCCATCTTTTGTTGCTATTCTGTATTGGCATGAAATGGCAAGCTCAAGCCCTCCTCCCAGGCAGGATCCACTGATGGCAGCTATAACAGGCTTTGCGGCCTTTTCAAGTTTCTCAAATGTTCTCTGTGCTTCTTGTGATACCTGTGTTACTTCTTGAGGGGTCTTGCAAGTGGCTAACATATTGATATCAGCACCTGCAATAAAGCGGCCTGGCTTTGGATGAAATAAGGACAGCATTTCTGATTTGATTAGTAGCCCAGACTTCATTCATAACTTCCGTGAACTCTGAATGCAGCTCTTTACTCAGTGTATTTACCTTTGAAGTGGAAGATTTAATTCGAATAACTGCCACATCCCCTTTGACTCCATAGTTAATATGGGTTCTGGTCAGCAAAGCAGAAGACTCTGTAAAATTGCGGCGTATATAACCTTGGGATCAGAGGATCCTGAAGTCAGAGAAGCGGCTGAGGATGCCAATCGCCCGGTAGGCCACCATGTTGAGCTGAAGAGGACAGCAGTGAAGAGCACTTTAGCAGGGCCGCCTGAGCGGAGGACTTTTCCTCTTAATCAGGATTTTTAAAAATTAAGGTGAAATTGACATAACACACTATTAAGCATTTTAAAGTGTACAATTGAGTGGCGTTTGGTACATACAGACTTGTGTAACTACCACCTCTATTTTCTTTTTCTTTTTCTTTTTCTTTTCTTTTTTTTTTTTTTTGAGACGGAGTCTTGCTCTGTCGCGCAGGCTGGAGGGCAATGGCGAGGTCTCGGCTCACTGCAAGCTCCGCCTCCCGGGTTCACGCCATTCTCCTGCCTCAGCCTCCCGAGTAGCTGGGACCACAGGCGCCCGCCACCACGCCCGGCTAATTTTTTTTTGTATTTTTAGTAGAGACGGGGTTTCACCGTGTTAGCTAGGTTGGTCTCGATCTCCTGACCTCGTGATCTGCCCCGCCTCGGCCTCCCAAAGTGCTGGGATTACAGGCGTGAGCCACCGCGCCCGGCCCAACCACCTCTATTTTCAAAACTTTTTCCTATCCCCAAAAGAAAACCTCATATTCCTTAAGTAGCAACTCCCTAGTCTCCTCTCTAGCCCCTGGGCAACTACCAGTCTGCTTTCTGCCTCTAGGGATTTACCTATCCCGGATATATTTTCATATAAATTAAATACTTCCCTATAAATGAAATCATGCACAATGTGACTTTTCTAGTCTGTCTTAATCAAGATTTTAGGATTATTTGCTCGGAGCGTAAATAACTAATTACAGAGCACATCCAGGAAAATCATCTCAATAGGAGAATTTTGATTTTACTTATTTTTTGCTGTAGCCATACCTCCTTTAGGGAACCTATGGATGGAGGTCTAAAGTAACCCGAATGCATGGAGGTAGGGGCAGGCTGAATAAATTACCCAAAGTGCTGGCATGTACCGAGTTAGTAGTGTTGTTTTCTAACCATACTGAGATGGTTGACTCTCCCTTTCCTCCTCTGGTAACAAAGTGAAAAGGCCCTCATTGATTGGTAATTTTAGCCAATGTGTGGATATGGGCGGGGAGTGTGTGGATCGGTGATGGGTGGGTAAGAAGGGTGAGGGGTTGTGGGGAGGGGGAAACCGGCTGCAGTGTGAACTAAAGAATTTGGAGCTGCTGGCCGGGCGCAGTGGCTCACGCCTGTAATCCCAGAACTTTGGGAGGCCGAGGCGGGCAGATCACGAGGTCAGGAGATCGAGACGATCCTGGCTAACACGGTGAAACCCCGTCTCTACTAAAAAATAGAAAAAATTAGCCGGGCGAGGTGGTGGGCGCCTGTAGTCCCAGCTACTCGGGAGGCGGAGGCAGGAGAATGGCGTGAACCTGGGAGGCGGAGCTTGCAGTGAGCCCAGATCGCGCCACTGCACCCCAGCCTGAGCGACAAAGCGAGACTCCGTCTAAAAAAAAAAAAAAAAAAAGAATTTGAGCTGCTGATGTCAATTCGTTTGCTTCTCAAATCTCATTAAGGACACTGATTTTAATGAAATCAAGAGGGGTTGTGATTTGATTAGTAGAAAGGCAATCATCCGTGCAGACCCTAAAAGAAAAAGAGAACCAAGGAGGAAGAATTTACCAACATGGTTCCAGGACTTCGAGACTCTCTAGAAAGAAATATCTTTATAGATGAGAATGGCAATTCTACAGAAAACATGTTGTTTCTAATATGCTATAATTTCCTTAGGAACTGTCCCTCATCCATTTTAGAGCTAATTGGGTCAAGATTTATTCTACTAGTCTTTGGAATCATATCAGTCTTTACATTGCATCTCTGAGCAAACAACTAATATGGAATTTGGTCTTTGGAATGTATCTACCCACAAAGAAAAAAACCCTGTGAAGAGTTCCATGTGATTTGGAGCACCTCTAATTTTCCCTGGCATTTCAATTTGTTGAAAAGCGACCTCCTTTTCCCCATAACCCCATGACAGTTTAAAAATATATATATTGTCGTTTTAGAGCTGGATGAGACTTTGGAGATCTTCTAGGCCAATATCTATCAAAGTTTGGCTCCAAACTGACCACCAGATTTGGAATGAATTATTGGCATGTTTTTCAAAACGGCAGAGCCCTGGGATGCATGAAATCAAAATTTGTAGAATCTGCAATTTTATGCACTCACTCACTCACACCAAAATGTGAGAACCATAAATCTACTCATATTTCATAACTAATCAGAAAACTTGGAACTATGGGTGCAGATAACTTGTTGATGGTGACAACTTATATTTTTGAAATATCTCGTCTTCTACGTTTCTTTAAGGGAAGCTTTGAAGTAGAAAGACGAAATTTTGGTTATTCTTTTTTTTTTTTTTAATTTTACTTTGAGTTCTGGGATACATGTGCAGAACGTGCAGGTTTGTTGCATAGGTATACATGTGCCATGGTGGTTTGCTGCACCTGTCAACCCATCATCTAGGTTTTAAGCCCTGCATGCATTAGGTATTTGTCCTAATGCTCTCTGTCCCCTTGCCCCCCATCCCCCAACAGGCCCTGGTGTGTGATGTTCCCCTCCCTGTGTCCATGTGTTCTCATTGTGCAACTCCCACTTATGAGTGAGAACATGTGGTGTTTGGTTTTCTGTTCCTGTGTTTGGTGAGAATGATGGTTTCCAGCTTCATCCATGTTCCTGCAAAGGACATGAACTCATTCTTTTTATGGCTGCATAGTATTCCATGGCATAAATGTGCCACATTTTCTTTATCCAGTCTATCATTGATGGGCATTTGGGTTGGTTCCAAGTCTTTGCTATTGTCAATAGTGCTGCAATAAACATACATGTGCATGTGTCTTTATAGTAGAATGATTTATAACCCTTTGGGTATATACCCAGTAATGGGATTGCTGGGTCAAGTGGTATTTCTGGTTCTAGATCCTTGAGGAATTGTCACACCGTCTTCCACAATGGTTCAACTAATTTACACTCCCACCAACAGTGTAAAAGCATTCCTATTTCTCCACAGCCTCGCCAGCATCTGTTGTTTCCTGACTTAATAATCACCATTCTAACTGGCATGAGATGGTATCTCATTGTGGTTTTGATTTGGATTTCTCTAATGACCAGTGATGATGAGCTTTTTTTCATGTTTGTTGGCCACAAGAATGTCTTCTTCTGAGAAGTGTCTGTTCATATCCTTTGCCCACTTTTTGCTGGGGTTGTTTGTTTTTTTTCTTGTAAATTTGTTTAAGTTCCTTGTAGATTCTGGATATTAGATCTTTGTCAGATGGTTAGATTGCAAAATTTTTTTCCCATTCTGTAGGTTGCCTGTTCACTCTGATGAGTTTCTTTTGCTGTGCAGAAGCTCTCTAGTTTAATTAGATCCCATTTGTCAATTTTGGCTTTTGTTGCCATTGCTTTTGGTGTTTTAGTCATGAAGTCTTTGCCCATGCCTATGTCCTGAATGGTATTGCCTAGGTTTTCTTCTAGAGTTTTTATGATTTTGCTTTTTACATGTAAGTATTTAATCCCTCTTGAGTTAATTTTTGTATAAGATGTAAGGAAGTGGTCCAGTTTTCTGTTTTCTGCATATGGCTAGCCAGTTTTCCCAGCACCATTTATTAAATAGGGAATCCTTTCCCCATTGCTTGTGTTTGTCAGGTTTGTCAAAGATCAAACGGTTGTAGATGTGTGGTGTTGAAATATCTCATCTTCTAATATACCATTATTAAATATGGCAGTTATCGTAAGATAATATTTTATAAAAACAGTTATTATTTATAGAGTAACTTCTGTGCAACATGCTGAGACACTTGTTTATGTTATTATTATTATTTTTTTCAAGACAAGGTCTCACTATGTAGCCCAGGCTGATCTCAAACTCCTGACCTCAAGTGATCCACCAGCCTCAGCTTCCCAAAGTGCTGGGATTACAGTCGTGAGCCTCCATGCCTGGCCTACGATATCTTTAGCTATCCTGCAAAACACTTGTTTCACCTCTAAGCCACCTCAGTATTTATGCCTGAACATAGGAATAATAATAGTTCCTACCTCTTGGATTTAAATGAGATACTATGTGCAATGTGCTTAGCACAGAATCTTCCATAAAGTAAGTACACAATAAATGTTAGCTATTATCACTATTATTTGATCGCATTTTATACATGGAAGAACTGAAACATATGACATTAGGTAACACATTCAAAGAAATATGGAGCAGGAGGATGGATAGGAAATGGTGGAGACAGAATTCAAATCTCTACGTGCTAGATTACAAAACCTAACTTTTCCCACTACTCTATGTCTTATATGTTCATGATCAGAGGAGGTTCCTTAGTTCATTTTCCCATTAAAAATAATTCTTTTGTTTTAGCCCTTTGCCCAGTCCTAGATTTTTGATGCATTCTTGTTTACTGTTCTCTCATCCTTGAAGAGTCCTGGGCAGCTGCACAGCAGAAGTTGAATGAGTAATTCCTGTATATGCATAAAGGCCTGTCATTCAACTTCTTCATACCCCAGAGAAGTTCTATAATATGGCTGGCAGTAAACTGAGAAAAACAAAAATTGGGGAATGCAGAAGTAGAAGCACTCCAAAAATCACACTTTCACCCACACAGACTCCTTTTTGGGCTCTTTTTAAAAACAACAAAGTATCATATTGAACAATCTAGCTGGTGTCCAAAAATAGTGGCCTGGGGAGTCACTGCCGGAGCATGCTGGCCTCAGACACAGGAATGTACACCCTGGAGACTCCCAGGGGAAGTCCCCATTTTAGCTTCACACGGTGGCCATAATGAAACCTCACCTCGTGCTTCTCATGGTGAGGATTAAGTGGTGAAGTCCAGATGTGCACCAGCAGCACAATTTCCAAGTCATGTTATTTTTGTTAAAAATGAACTAGCCAGGTTGTGCTGTGGTTTTTCAATAGAAGTTGGTGAGGGGAGACAGTAGTTAGTAAGGAAAATAACTAATAGCTGAATGAAACCCCACAAAATTGTTTTTTAGTCTCACTAACTCCAAATCCCCCAAAACAGAAAATGATTCTGTAATTATAAGAGATATAATTTTTCTTCCCTTAGAAGAAGCAAGGTAAACAAGGAATATTGCTTTCTAAGAAATAAAGTATTTTCTTATGCTGGACAAATCATGTTTCCTTAACATAAAGAACTTTATAGTTACATGTAAATTAGTTAACTCTGGATTTTATTAGAGTTTTACTTAAGAAGATTATGTAAAATATGAATAACATCTCAATTTTATGTAATCATAGCTTTACTATGAGCCTTCACTCAAACCAGACTGAGCTCAAACAGTTGCTAAAGTATCAGAAGCAAGCCCTCACAACCCTGCTGTTCCTGTCGCCTGGAGAGAAGATGACAGGAACAGCAAGGTTGTGAGGACAACAAGCTCATGCTGTTCCTGTCACCTGGAGAGATGAGAAATTTTATCAAGCATATTTTACATATCCCAGATGCCACGCTTTCATATTCCCACACAGTAGCTAAGAAAACCATCAGGATGACTTTGTGAGGAAGGAATTCTTTCCCAATGCCATGCATTTCCTAAGTGACAGTGCCAGATCTGCTGGGCGTGGTGGCTCACTCCTGTAATCCCAGCACTTTGGGAGGCCAAGGCAGGCAGATTAATTAAACCCAGGAGTTTGAGACTAGCTTGGGCAAACATGGCGAAACCTTGTCTCTACAAAAAATACAAAAATTAGCTGGGTGTGGTGGCACATGTTAGTAGTCCCAGCTACTCAGGAGGTTGAGGTGGGAGGATTGCTTGAGGAGCTGGAGGCTGCAGTGACCTATGATTGCACCAGTGCACTCCAGCCTAGGTGACAGGGTGAGACCCTGCCTCAAAGAAAAAAAAAAAAAGGGACAGATCTTGGGCCCAAGTCTCTCTGTCTTCAAAGACCATGCTGGTTTCATTACACTATACTCTATTCCCAGAATTCTCTGCCCGATCATCAATGAAGATAAATGAATAGTCAAATATTTTTTATGCATTTCACTATTCAAATGATAAATAAATGTGCAAATCCTATCTATTCATCAAAGTCTCAATCAAGCACTGCCTATCATGAAGCTTTTGATTATTTCAATTATTTTGATTATTATAGCTTCTATCTACCATGATTTTGTTCTTCCTCTGAACTCATGCCACCAAGTGGATGATGCATATCCTGGTACAGCTGTCCTTTGGGAACCACGAGGGATTGATTGGTTCCAGGACCCTCCTCAGATAACAAAATCCGAGGACACTCAAGTCCTTTATACGAAATGGCATAGTATTTACATATAACCTACACACATACTCCTGTATACTTTCAGTCATCTCTAGACTACTTATAATACCTAATACAATGTAAATGCTATGTAAATAGTTGCTATACCATATTGTTTTTAAAATTCATATTATTTTTAATTGTTATTTTGTTTTTCAATTATTTTCAATCCAAGCCTGTGGAACTCACAGATATAGAGGTTCAACTATACTGAGTTTGTACAAGAGAGTAAGAGAGGCCAGGTGCAGTGGCTCATGCCTGTAATCCCAGCATTTTGGGAGGCTGAGGCGGGAGGATTGCCTGAGCCCAGGAGTGCAAGACTAGCCTGGGCAACATAGTGAAATCCTGTCACTATAAAAAATTTAAAAATTAGCCGAGAGTGGTGGCACATGCTTGTGGTCCTAGCTGCTCGGGAGGCTGAGGTGGGAGGATCATTTGAGCCCAGGAGGTTGAGGCTGCAGTGAGCTGAGATTGTGCCACTGCACTCCAGCCTGGGCAACAAAGCAACAAAGCAAGAACTTGTCTAAAAAAAAAAAAAAAAAAAAAAAAAAAAGGTAGGAGACCACAATTGGGAAAGTTTTAGCAAGAATTCATGCTTTTTACAGAGCATTAGAGAATCATTGTTTCTCAGTTTTTTCCCCATTAAACTGTCTATAAAGAAGAGTAAACTAAGAAATGCTGAGCATCTGAGGGTATAATTGCAAATCACTCAGCTTACTTGGAATCTATGTTTTATCTTTAAAAGTTTCATGATGCTATATTAGCAACCACCCTGGTAGGCCTGCTACATGTGGGTTTACTTTGCAGACAGGGGAAAATAAAAATTGTTGAAGTCTTCCGTGTCTTGAGGCCTTTTCCTTTTCTCATGAGAGCAGAAGATAATATGGGGAAAAGAAAGGCCGGGTGTGGTAGCTCACATTTGTAACCCGAGCACTTTGGGAGGCCCAGTCAGGCGGATGTCTTGAGTCCAGGAGTTCGAGACCAGCCTGGACAACGTGGCATAACCCCATCTTTACAAAAAATACAAAAATTAGCCAGGTGTGGTGGCGGGTGCCTGTGGTCCCAGCTACTTGAAAGGCTGAGGTGGGATAGCCCAGGAGATGGTGGTTGCAGTGAGCCAAGATTGTACCACTGCACTCCAGCCTGGGTGGCAGAGTGAGATTCTGTCTCAAAAAAAGAAAAAAAAAATAGGGGAAAAGACATAAGTATAAGGAAATTAATGTGCATATTACATTCTTCTCTAAATAATTTTTTATTTTTTTTATTTTATTTTTTTTTTTTGGGGGGAAGAAAAGTTTTACTAAATGGTCTTTTTTTTTTTTTTTTTTTTTTTTTTTTTTTTTTTATTGATCATTCTTGGGTGTTTCTCGCAGAGGGGGATTTGGCAGGGTCATAGGACAACAGTGGAGGGAAGGTCAGCAGATAAACAAGTGAACAAAGGTCTCTGGTTTTCCTAGGCAGAGGACCCTGCGGCCTTCCGCAGTGTTTGTGTCCCTGGGTACTTAAGATTAGGGAGTGGTGATGACTCTTAACGAGCATGCTGCCTTCAAGCATCTGTTTAACAAAGCACATCTTGCACCGCCCTTAATCCATTTAACCCTGAGTGGACACAGCACATGTTTCAGAGAGCACAGGGTTGGGGATAAGGTCACAGATCAACAGGATCCCAAGGCAGAAGAATTTTTCTTAGTACAGAACAAAATGAAAACTCTCCCATGTCTACTTCTATCCACACAGACCCGGCAACCATCCGATTTCTCAATTTTTTCCCCACCCTTCCCGCCTTTCTATTCCACAAAACCGCCATTGTCATCATGGCCCATCCCCAATGAGCCGCTGGGCACACCTCCCAGACGGGGTCGTGGCCGGGCAGAGGGGCTCCTCACTTCCCAGTAGGGGCGGCCGGGCAGAAGCGCCCCTCACCTCCCGGATGGGGCGGCTGGCCGGGCGGGGGGCTGACCCCCCCACCACCCTCCCGGACGGGGCGGCTGGCCAGGCAGAGGGGCTCCTCACTTCCCAGTAGGGGCGGCCGGGCAGAGGCGCCCCTCACCTCCCGGACGGGGCGGCTGGCCAGGCGGGGGGCTGATCCCCCCACCTCCCTCCCGGACGGGGCGGCTGGCCGGGCGGGGGGCTGACCCCCCCACCTCCCTCCCGGATGGGGCGGCTGGCCAGGCGGGGGGCTGACCCCCCCCACCTCCCTCCCGGACGGGGCGGCTGGCCGGGCAGAGGGGCTCCTCACTTCCCAGTAGGGGCGGCCGGGCAGAGGCGCCCCTCACCTCCCGGACGGGGCGGCTGGCCAGGCGGGGGGCTGATCCCCCCACCTCCCTCCCGGACGGGGCGGCTGGCCAGGCAGGGGGCTGACCCCCCCCACCTCCCTCCCGGACGGGGCGGCTGGCCGGGCAGAGGGGTCCTCACTTCCCAGTAGGGGCAGCCGGGCAGAGGCGCCCCTCACCTCCCGGACGGGGCGGCTGGCCAGGCGGGGGGCTGATCCCCCCACCTCCCTCCCGGACGGGGCGGCTGGCCGGGCGGGGGGCTGACCCCCCACCTCCCTCCCGGACTGGGCGGCTGGCCGGGCGGGGGGCTGACCCCCCACCTCCCTCCCGGACGGGGCGGCTGGCCGGGCAGAGGGGTCCTCACTTCCCGGTAGGGGCGGCCGGGCAGAGGCGCCCCTCACCTCCCGGACGGGGCGGCCGGCCGGGCGGGGGGCTGACCCCCCCACCTCCCTCCCGGACGGGGCGGCTGGCCGGGCAGAGGGGCTCCTCACTTCCCAGTAGGGGCGGCCGGGCAGAGGAGCCCCTCACCTCCCGGACGGGGCGGCTGGCGGGGCGGAGGGCTGACCCCCCCCCCACCTCCCTCCCGGACGGGGCGGCTGCCGGGCGGAGACGCTCCTCACTTCCCAGACGGGGCGGTTGCCAGGCAGAGGGTTTCCTCACTTCTCAGACGGGGCGGCCGGGCAGAGACGCTCCTCACCTCCCAGACAGGGTTGCGGCCCAGCAGAGGCGCTCCTCACATCCCAGACAGGGCGGCGGGGCAGAGGCGCTCCCCACATCTCAGACGATGGGCGGCGGGGAAGAGGCGCTCCTCACCTCCCAGACAGGGTTGCGGCCCAGCAGAGGTGCTCCTCACATCCCAGACAGGGCGGCGGGGCAGAGGCGCTCCCCACATCTCAGACGATGGGCGGCGGGGAAGAGGCGCTCCTCGCCTCCCAGACGGGATGGTGGCCGGGCAGAGACGCTCCTCACTTTCCAGACTGGGCAGCCAGGCAGAGAGGCTCCCCATATCCCAGACGATGGGGGGGCCAGGCAGAGACGCTCCTCACCTCCCAGACGGGGTGGCGGCTGGGCAGAGGCTGCAATCTCGGCACTTTGGGGGGCCAAGGCAGGCGGCTGGGAGGTGGAGGTTGTAGCGAGCCGAGATCACGCCACTGCACTCCAGCCTGGGCACCATTGAGCACCGAGTGAACGAGACTCCGTCTGCAATCCCAGCACCTCGGGAGGCCGAGGCTGGCGGATCACCCGCGGCTAGGAGCTGGAGACCAGCCCGGCCAACACAGCGAAACCCCGTCTCCACCAAAAAAAAAAACGAAAACCAGTCAGGCCTGGCGGCGCGCGCCCGCAATCGCAGGCACTCGGCAGGCTGAGGCAGGAGAACCAGGCAGGGAGGTTGCAGTGAGCCGAGACGGCAGCAGCACCGTCCAGCTTTGGCTCGGCATCAGAGGGAGACCGTGGAAGGAGACCGTGGAGAGAGAGGGAGACGGAGAGGGAGAGGGAGAGGGGGAGGGGGAGGGGGAGAATAATTTTTTAAATAAAAATGTTTTCCTCTAATTTTTGGGAAACCTTTAGGTTCCAGGAAAGCACGGCATATCCATCCTGTGGCTTCGACTTATCCTTGATTGATTGCTGCTCCGTCAAAAAATAAGCATATCTCCAGATATGCATGTCCCATTTTGAAAAGCATAGGGCTAGAGAAACCTAAAGTTCCTTCAACTTTGAGATGTCATGATTCAGTAATTTTTAGATTTGTCTTTTATAGCTATTTATTTTAATATCATCAGTCATTTAAGCATGTTGTCTTTTTTTTTTTTTTTTGGCAGAATCTCGCTCTGTCACCCAGGCTGGAGTGCCATGACACAATCTCGGCTCACTGCAACTTCTGCCTCCTGGGTTCAAAGGATTCTGCTGCCTCATCCTCCCGGGTAGTTGTGATTACAGGCATGCACCACCACACCCGGCTAATTTTTGTGTTTTTAGTAGAGACAAGGTTTCACCATGTTGGCCAGGCTGGTCTCAAACTCCTGACCTCAGGTAATCTGCCCGCCGGGGTCTCCCAAAGTGCTGGGATTATAGGCATGAGCCACCACTCCTGCCTTTAAGTATTATGTCTATTTTTAAAGCTTTTAACAACATTATAAACTGCTTGAAGAACTATAATGCACACCAGTATTCACCTTCGATGTTCCCCTTATGCTCTCTCATAATAGGCCTTTAATAAATATTAATCAGATGAATGAATTTCAGCTTTCAAAGGTAATCTTCATAAATTCGTCATAAAATCACTTTTTTAAATTGCCCCCAAAGGGGTAGAACATCAAAACAAACAGAATATTTGTTTCTCTCCAGGAACTTTATTTTCAAATGCTGAATATCTAAAACCGATTGATATATGTTAGAGAGAATCTTTTTTGCAGTCTATACACTGAAAAGATTTTCAAAACAGAAGGAGACATTATACAGGAATGTAGACTGTATTTTGTGTTGTGTTTATTAGGTTTTGCCAACACTATATCAAATATATTTTATAAAATAGAATAAACAAATATCCACAGATAATTCTGCCAACAGAGCCTCTTTTGATAAAGCAAGGAGCTCCAAGGAAGTACAGGTCCATGTTTCAATTAGATTTAGATTTAATACTTGCTAAGTCAACTGTCTACATTTTTGGGTGGAAGACAAAGTCTTTCTTGCATAAGCCATTTATTGAGTTTGCCTGACATATACCAATTCTAAATGATATAGTTATGTGGCGGCGGCAGGGGGATCTTTCTCTGTAGCTCTGATGAAGATTTCTAAATTGATATGGTCAAATAGATTAAGGTCTGTAGGATTGATTTTACCAGCTTGACAGTATTGCATGGGCTTTGGAGTAAGGCTGATGCTTTCAAATCTCAGTCCCAGCTTTTCTGCTTTCTAGCTGTTGGCTGAACTTGTTAGATAATGACTTTTTGTGTAGAGAATGGGATTACTCCCCAGTCAGACGCTGAGCAGGAAGAAAGAGGGCCCTTGTCAGGGAAGCTATTGGGCTTTAAAAAATAATTTCAGTTTCAGTAAGGATGTGAGTGTGTGTGTTTAAAGGAGGTGCCATTAAGAAATATGTGATAGGCTGGGCGTGCTGGCTCACGCCTTGTTATCCTAGCACTTTGAGAGGTCGAGGTGGGCAGATCACCTGAGGTCAAGAGTTTGAGACCAGGCTGGCCAACATGGTGAAACCCCGTCTCTACTGAAAATACAAAAAAATTGGCTGAGTGTGGTGGTTCGTGCCTGTAATCCCAGCATTTTGGGAGGCTGAGGTGGGTGGATCACTTGAGGTCAGAAGTTGGAGACCAGCCTGACTAACATGGTGAAACCCCATCATTACTAAAATGCAAAAATTAGCCTGGCTTGGTGGCGGGCGCCTGTAATCCCAGCTACTCAGGAGGTTGAGGCAGGAGAATTGCTTGAACCCGGGAGGCAGAGGTTGCAGTGAGCTGAGATCCCGCCATTGCACTCCAGCCTGGGTGACAGAGCAAGACTCTGTTTCAAAAAAAAAAAAAAAGAAAAGAAAAGAAAAAAAAGGAAAAAGAAATATGTGATAGATACAAAAATCCTCAATAAAGTAGTAACAAACCAAATTCAACAACACATCAGAAAGATTCTACACCATAACTAAGTGGGATTTATCCTTTGGAGTGGTTTAACACATACAAATCAATCAATGTGCTATGTCATATTAAAAACCACATGATCATGTCAAGAGATGCAGAAGCATTTGACAAACTTCAATACTCATTCATGGCAGAGAAAAAAAAAACGCATCAAAATAGGTATAGAAGGAAATTCCTTGGCACAATAACAGCCATTTATGAAAAGCACACAGCTAACATCAAAATTAATGGAAAAGCTGAAAACTTTTTCTCTAAGATCTTGTACAAGATGAGGATGCCCACTGTTGCCACTTCTATTCAACATAATGCTGGAAGTGCTAGCAAGAACAATCACACAAGAAAAATAAGAGGCATCCAAATTTGAGAGGAAGAAGTAAAATTATTTCTCTTTGTAGATGACATAATTCTGTATGTAGAAAACTAAGGAGTCCACACACAAAAAAACAATTAGAACTAATAAATTCAGTAAAGTTGCAGGATTAAAAAGCCAACATACAAAAAGTAGTTGCATTTATTTACAAGAACAAATATCTACCCGAAAAGGAAATCAAGAAACTAATTTCATTTATGATAGCATCAAAAAGAATACAATAGTTAAGAATAAACTTAACCAAGGAGGTAAGAGATATATACACTGAAACTTATAAAACATTGATGAAAGAAGTTGAAGAAGACGACAAATAAGTGGAAGGATATCCTGTGTTCATGGATTAGAAGAGTTAATATTGTTAAAATGTCTATATTGGCCTGGCACAGTGGCTCACGCCTATAATCGCAACACTTTGGGAGGCCAAGGCAGACAGATCATATGAGCCCAGGAGTTCGAGACCAGCCTGAGCAACATGGCAAAACCCCATCTCTACAAGAAATACAAAAATTAGCTGGGCATGGTGGCACATACCTGTAGTCCCAGCTACTCAGGAGGCTGAGGTGGGAGGATCACCTGAACCTCGGAAATCGAGGCTGTAGTGAGCCATGATCATGCCACTGCACTCCAGCCTGCACTCCACTCCTTCAAAAAAAAAAAAAAGTTTATACTAAATAAAGGGACATAGAGATTAAATGATTAAACACAATTCCCATCAAAATTCCATTTTTCAAAGAAATAAACAATTCTAAAATTTGTGTGGAACAAAAGACCCTGAATACACAAATCAATCTTGAGAAAGAAGGACAAAGTTACAGGCATACTTTCTGATTTCAAATTATAGCACAAAACTATGGTAGTCAAAACTGTATGGTACTGGCATAAAAACAGACATGTAGACTAAGAGAATAGAAAACTCCCTAATAAACTCCAGCATACAAAGTCAACTAATTTTCTTTGTGTGTGTGTGTGTGTGTATGTGTTTGAGACAGAGTCTCTGTTGCCCGGCCTGGAGTGCAGTGGCATGATCTCAGCTCACTGCAACCTCCACCTCCCAGGTTCAGTGATTCTCCTGCCTCAGCCTCCCAAGTAGCTGGTATTACAGGCATGAGCCACCACACCTGACTAATTTTTGTATTTTTAGTAGAGACAGGGTTTCACCATGTTGGCCAAGCTGGTCTTGAACTCCTGACCTCAAGTGATCCACCCACCTCGGCCTCCCAAAGTGTTGGAAATACAGACGTGAGCCACCACACCCCACAAGTCAACTAATTTTCAACAGGGGTACCAAGAATACACAGTAGGGAAAGGATAGTCTCTTCAATAAATTGTGTTAGGAAAACTGGATATCCACATGCAAAAGAATGAAATTGGACCCTTATCTTACACCATACACAAAAATCAACTAAAATGGATTAAGGACTTAAATAAGGCCTGAAACCGTAAAACTACTAGAAGAAAATGGGAGTGGGAATGGGCAGCTTCTTGACGTTGGCCTTGGCAATGATGTTTTTGGCTATGACACCGAAAGAATAGGCAATAAAAGCATAAATAAAAAGTGGGACTAAATCAAACTGAAAAGCTTCTACACAGCAAAGAAAACAATCATCAACATGAAAAGGCAACCTATAGGTTAGAAGAAAATATTTGCTAATCATATATCTGATGAAGGGGTTAATGTCCGGCCAGGTGCAGTGGCTAATGCCATATAATCCCAGAACTTTGGGAAGCTGAGGCAGGAGGATCACTTGAGCCAAGGAGTTTAAGGTCAGCCTGGGCAACAAAGTGAGGCCTCTATTCCTACAAAAAAAGTATAAAAATCATCTGGGCATGGTGGCTTGTGTCTGTAGTCCCAGCTACTCGGGAGGCTGAGGCAGGAGGATTGTTTGAGCCTGGGAGGTCAAGGCTGCAGTGAGCTGTGATTGCATCACTGGACTCCAGCCTGGGTGACAGAGCGAGACCCTGTTTCAAAAAGGAAAAAAAGGTAGACAGGGGTTTAATATCCAAAATATATAAGGAATTCATACAACTTAGTACCAAAAAAAAATGTCAACCTAAAATAATCAAAAGGGTCAGAATCTAATTTAAATAAAGTTTATTCAAGGACAAAGTTTGAAGACAGTCCATTCAGAAACACCAACTCTAAGGAAATGGAGTCAGTGTTCTGAACTAGGGAAGTTAAAGTATCATTTATATAGGCAGAGACACAGGAGTTTATGCACACTTACAGCATTTTTCATACAAGGTTGGTGCATAGTTATAACAATTTGATTGATTATAGGCAGTGTTTCTTTTTGGGAAGGGTACATATAGCATCTTTTGCAGATGTTGTAATAGTCATATGTTTTCTGTCATCTGGTCTAGGCAAAGCAAGACGACAAAGGAGAAGTTAATCTATGATAAGGGTCATTAATTAACAAGGCAGGAGGTTTTTGTCCTTGAGGTCATTTAATTTTCTCTAGTTACTGTACAGGACAAGAAAAATAAGGAAGTGGGTTAGTCTATAACTTGAGAAGCAGATGTTGCAACCATATGTGACTCAGATCACAGTCACATCTCTCTCAAGGCTTACAGTGTTTCTGGGGTTCCAACAGCTTTTTAAAATTTTTTTGAGATGGAGTTTCACTCTTGTCGCCCAGGCTGGAGTATAATGGTGTGATCTCAGCATACTGCAACCTCCGCCTCCTGGGTTCAAGCAATTCTGCCGCAGCCTCTCGAGTAACTGGGATTACAGGTATGCGCCACCACACCCAGCTAATTTTTGTATGTTTAGTAGAGATGAGGTTTCACCATGTTGGCCAGGCTGGTCTCGAACTCCTGACCTCAAGTGATCTGCCCACCTCAGCCTCCCAAAGTGCTGAGATTATAGGCGTGAGCCACCGCGCCTGGTCCACGAACAGCTTTTAAATCATATTTATTCTCACATAAATAACCCAATTAAAAATGGACAGAGGACCTGAATAGACATTTCTCAAAAGAAGACATACAATTGTCCAACAAGTGTATGAAAATGTGCTTAACACGGTAATCATGAGGGAAATACAAATCAAAATCACAGTGAGATATCATCTCTGTGAAATAATAAGAATAATATATATTTGGTCTCTGCCCCTGGTTCCTGGCACAGATTTCCTAAAGCCCTGAGAATTTCCTGAGTGATAAGAGCATCTGACACAGAGCTTTCGAATAGCTTGGAATTTCTGGATGACAGGAGTTTGTTTTGTTCTAATGAGATGACTCCTGGTAGGCTCTAGGAGAGGTGCCAGTCCCCAGAAAGACCAAGTCATGACTAGAAGCTTGGAATTTTCAGCCCCACTCCCCATTCTCCCGAGAGACGAGAGGGGCTGGGAATAGAGTAAATAATTAATCGTGCCTACATGATCAAGTCTCCATAAAAATCCCTGAAGTATGGAGTTCAAAGAGCTTCTGAGTTGGTAAATATATCTGTGTAGCAGGAGGGTGGCACACCCCAACTCCAGGGGACAGAAGCTTCTGTGCTCAGACCCCTCCCGTTCTTACCCTCTGTACTTTCATCGAGCTGTTCATACGTAACTTTTTTTTTTTTTGAGACAGAATCTCGCTCTGTCACCCAGGCTGGAGTGCAGTGGTGCGATCTCAGCTACTGCAACCTCTGCCTCCTGAGTTCAAGCGATTCTCATGCTTCAGCATCCTGAGTAGCTGGGACTATAGGTGTGAGCCACCATGCCCAACTAATTTTTGTGTTTTTTTAGTAGAGATGGAAGTTTCATCATGCTGGCCAGACTGGTCTCAAACTCCTGGCCCGAAGTGATCTGCCCACCTTGGCCTTCCGGAGTGCTGGGATTACAGGCATGCACCACCACACCTGGCTTGTATGCTTTATTATATCCTTTATTAGCATAATAAACTGCTAAAAGTTAAGTAAGTGTTTCCCCGAGTTTGCTAAGCCAGCTTAGCAAATTAATGGAACCCAAGGCATGGGTTGTAGGAACCCCTAAGCCAGTTGATCAGAAGTACAGGTCACAACCTGAAATTTGAGATTGGCATCTGAAGTGGGGTCCATCTTGTGGGACTGACCCACAATCTGTGAGGTCTGATGCTATCTCCAGGTAGATAATGCCAGAATTGAATTAAATTATAGAACACCCAGTTGATGTCCACTGGAAAACTGCTTGGTGTATGGGAAAAGACCGGCACACATCTGGTGTCAGAAGGGCTGTGTTGAGTGGTATGTGAAGGTGGAAGAAAAAATAGTCAGTTCTTCCTATTATATGCTTTCTTTTTCTTTTTTTTTTTTTTTAAGACGGAGTCTCACTCTGTCTCCCAGGCTGGAGTGCAGTGGCACGATCTCTGCTCACTGCAACCTCCACCTCCCGGGTTCAAGCAATTCTCCTGCCTCAGCCTCCCGAGTAGCTGGGATTACAGTTGCCTGCCACCACAACTGGCTTATTTTTGTATTTTTTTTTTTCAGTAGAGACGGGGTTTCACCATGTTGGCCAGGCTGATCTCGAACTCCTGACCTCAGGTGATCTGCCTGCCTCGGCCTTCCAAAGTGCTGGGATTACAGATGTGAGCCACCACACCTGGCCCCTATTATTGGGTTTGCATTTTACATTTTTATTTTTTCCTATCTCTTAACCTCACACCTGTTAGAATGGCTATTACCATAAAGACAAAAGAAAACAAGCGTTGGTGAGAATGTGGAGCGAAAGGAACCTTTGTACACTGTTGGTGGGAATGTAAATTGGCACAGCCGTTATAGGGAACAGTATGGAGGTTTCTCCAAAAAAAAAAAACTAAAACTAGAACTACTATATGATCCTCAAAAATTTTAATACAGAACTACCATATTGAGCAATCCTGCTTCTGGGTAAATACCCAAAGAAAACAAAATCAGTGCCTTGAAGAGATAACTCCATGTCCACTGCTGCGCTATTCACAATAGCCAAGATATGGAGACAACCTACGTGTCTGTCGACAGATGAATGGATCAAGAAAATGTGGCACGTATATATATATCAGAATAAGAATATCATTCTGCCTTAAGAAAGGAGATCTTGCCATTTGCAACAACATTGATAAATCTGGAGGACATTATGCTTGGTGAAATAAGCCAGACACAGAAAGAAAAATACTGCATAATCTCACTTATATGTGGAATCTTAAAAAGTTGAACACATAGAAGCAGAAAGTAAAATGGTGAGCCAGCCACAGTGGCTCACGCCTGTAATCTCAGCACTTTGGGAGGCCGAGGTGGGTGGATCACTTGAGGCCAGGAGTTCGAGACCAGCCTGGCCAACATGGTGAAACCCCCGTCTCTACTAAAAATACAAAAATCAGCTGGGCGTGGTGGTGCATGCTTGGAATTCCAGCTAATTGGGAGGCTGAGGCAGGAGAATCCTTTGAACCCAGGAGGCGGAGGTTGCAGTGAGCCGAGATCACACCATTGCACTCCAGCCTGGGCAACAGAGTGAGACTCCGTCTCAAAAAAAAAAAAAAAATAAAATAAGAAAGAAAGAAAGTAAAATGGTGGTTAGCAGGCATGGGGAGGTAGGGAAAATGGGAAGATGTTGCTCAAATGGTACAAAGTTGCAGTTATACAGGATTAATAAGTCTAGAGCTCTATTGTACAGCATGATGACTACAGTTAAAAAAGATTGTATTGGGCCAGGCACAGTGGCTCACACCTGTAATCACAGCACTTTGGCTGAGATGGGAGCATTGTTTGAGCCCAGGAGTTCAAGACCTAACTGAGCAACATAGTGAGATCCTGCCTGTACAAAAAAACAAACAAAAAAATTAGCCCAGTGTGGTAGTGTGCAGCTGTGGTCCCAGCTACTCGGGAGGCTGAGGTGGGAGGATTGTTTGAGCCCGGGAGGTCAACGCTGCAGTGAGCCAAGATCATGCCACTGCACACCAGCCTAGGCAACAGAGTGAGACTCTTGTCTCGAAAAAAAAAAAAAATTGTATACTGGAAATTTTCTAAGACAGTAGATTTCAGATGCGGTCACCACACACACATATCCATACAAGGTTACTATGTGAGGAGATGGATAAGTTAATTAGCTTGACTGTAGTAATCATTTCATTACAGATAACAAAACACCATGTTATGCACCTTAAATATGTGCCGTTTTTATTTAAAACAATAAAACAACCCAATTGTGTGTACCTGTGTGTTATTCTCTTGACAAATGGGTGAAAATATGATAAAAGCCCAACTCGCATCTGAGGATACAACTTAAAGGGATTAGATTTCAAATGCCTGCACCTTCCAGTTGACGCTGCAGATGAATTAGGAGTCTCCATTCTGCTCCTTGACCAACTGTCCTATAAAACTGAGAGTGCCAAAGGCAACTACCGTCTACTATCTTGCTGGTGCCCTGAGGAATTTTTTCAGCAATAATAATTTAGACAAGGCCAGGTGCAGTGGCTCACGCCTGTAATCCCAGCACTTTGGAAGGCTGATATGGGCAGATCACTTGACCCCAGGAGTTCGACACCAGCCTGGTCAACATGGAAAGGCCTCGTCTCTAAAGAAAAATACAAAAATGAGCTGGGTGTGGTGGCACATTCCTGTAGTCTCAGCTCCTCGGGAGGCTGAGGCAGGAGTGTCACTTGAGCCCAGGAGGTCAAGGCCTGCAGTGAGCCATGTTCATGTCACTGTAGTGCAGCCTGGGTGACAGAGAGAGACCCTCCTCAAAATAATAATTATTATTATTACATAATTATTAGAAATAATTATAATTATTATTTTGAATCTCATGGCTAATTAAAAAATAATTTAAACAGATTATTTTACTTGTCTTTAGTTTACTTAGGAGTGTATTTTAAGTGATAAGTGCTAAAGAGAAAAATAATTTAGGGGATGGAGGCAAGGGAGTGTCAGAATGGTGAGATTTTGTTGACATTTTAGATATGGTGACTAGGACAAATCTCAAATACCGGACAGTATTTGAATAAGGACATAAAATATATGATGGTGTAAGCCACAACCATACACAAAAAATAACATTTCAGCAGAGGGACCTCAAGGGCAGAGGAAGGAGTGTGCGCTCTTTGCGTGAGCAAGGGAGAGAGTGGAAGGAGATGCAGCCAGAGGGGTGAAGCAGAGCAGACGGTAGAGGGGCTTGTGGGCCATCTCAGGCTGCTGGCCTATACTGAGAGAATGGGAAGCCATGGAGGGTTATGACAGGGGAGTGACATGACCTTAAATATTCCAGAAGGAATACTCTAGTTGCCATGTGGAGAACAGACTGTAATCGAAGAAGGGGGAGGCAGGAAGGCCAGTTGGGAAGCAAAATGCAATAATCCAGGTTGCTTGGACCTGGAGGTAGTGAGAAGTGGTCAGTTTGTGGCTATATTCTGGAAGCAGAGATAACAGGATTTGCTAATGGAGTGTGCATGGAATTTAAAAGAAAGAGAGGAGCTGAGAGACACTCTGCCCAGGTTTTGCCAAGCAATTGGAAGAATACTGCTGTTTATTGAGATGGGAAAGACGGCAAGAAGAGTAGGTAAGGCAGAGAACAGGGGTTCTGTTTTAGACAGGCTGGAGGTGCTCAGACATCCAAATGGAGATTCTGAGAGGGAAGCTGGATACACTTGTCTTGAGTTTCAAGAAGTGGTCTGATAGATTTGCCTGTGTCCCCACCCAAATCTCATCTTGAATTGTAGTTCCCACAATTCCCACATGTCATGGGAGGGACCCAGTGGGAGGTAGTTGAACAATGGGGGTGGGTCTTTCCCATGCTGTTCTCATGATAGTGAATAAGTCTCACAAGATCTGATGGTTTTATAAAGGGATTTCCCCCTGCGTGAGCTCTCTCTTGCCTACCACCATGTAAGATGTCCCTTGCTCTTCTGCCATGATTGTGAGGCCTCCCCAGCCATGTGGAACTGTGAGTCAACTAAACCTCTTTCCTTTATAAATTACCCAGTCTCAGGCATGTCTTTATTAGCAGTGTGAGAACAGACGAATACATGGTCCAAGCTAGGGCTATTGATTTGAAAATCATCAAGGTATAGATGGTATCAAAGGCTTGAGGCAGGAAGAGAGCAGAGACCCTAGCTGCATTGCTTAGCATTGCATCCCTAGCACCTGGCATAGTTTCCATTAACAGTAGGCATGAAGTATCTACTCAGTGAATAAATAGAATGCATATGGGCTACAGTAGGAGAGAGAAATAAAATCTTTAATAGACCAAGTTCTATGAGAGCACAAAATTAAAGTCTTTTATTTGAAGATCTTAGCCTGTTTTCCAAATTCAGTGCAGCCAGTTAGACACTGAATCTGTCTGGTGAAACAAGCATTTTTGTATTTTGGGGGACTGCTGCTGCTTCTGACTCCAAATTAAGGATTTTTTTTTTTTCTAAAAAAGATGGCTCATGCAAAAATCACTCTTTGGTGTAAATATCTAGTCTTCAAGCAATTCTTGTAATGCAATCAGAAAGAAAAAAATCCATGGTTTGGGAGGCAAAATTTTTGTGTTCTAAATTCTATATAACTGAGTTCATTTGCTTAACTGCAAAGCAGGAGCTGCTAGTGCCTGTCTGTACTGAGGTTCAGAGAGACTGTGGGAATATGGGGGAATTAGAGGCTATCTGAGGCTCTTCAACACAATAACCCAAGAAGCTATTTAAATGCTCTTTAAGGTATTTACATAAATATTACTATTCTCATTGTGCTTTTATTTTGTGTTATCATGATTATAATTGAAGTGTCTACTGTTACTGCCTCCTGATCTTTGCTAGCTATGGAGCATGGACTGGGCTTTTAGAGCAGCAGCCCCAAAGGAACCTAAACATTAAAGCAGAGCTGCCCTCAATGGTTTAACCTGTGTGACTCTGCCTATGACAGCCCCACCCACCCATCTTCACTGGATCCAAATCAGGAGCAAGGCCGTTGGGGTACCTGGTGGGGGTGATGCTGTCAGGGGAGGAGCCCAAAAGGGCAAGCTCAAATTTGAATGTGAAGGGCCAATGCACTGTCAGACTAAGACAGAGAACCATCATTAATTGAAGTGAGATTTTTCTGGCCTGAGACTTGCAGGGAGGCAAGAAGACACTCTGGACACCACTATGGACAGGTAAAGAGGCAGTCTTCTCGTGGGTGATTGCACTGGCCTTCCTCTCAGAGCAAATCTGAGTAATGAGACTGGTAGCTATCCCTTTCTCTCATGTAACTGTCTGACTGATAAGATCAGCTTGATCAATATGCATATATATTTTTTGATCTGTCTCCTTTTCTTCTATTCAGATCTTATACGCTGTCAGCCCAATTCTTTCTGTTTCAGACTTCTCTTGATTTCCCTCTTTTTCATGTGGCAAAAGAAGTAGTGCGTACAATGTACTGATTCGTCCTGAGATTTGTACCATGGTTGAAACTAATTTATGGTAATAATATTAACATAGCAAATCTTTAGAGACTCAAATCATGAAAAGGTAATAGCAGTACTGTACTAAAAACGGTAGTGCTAATTTTCGTAATAATTTTGTAAATATTCAACAGTAAAACAACTTGAAGACACACTTTCCTAGGGAGGCGTTACTGAAATAATTTAGCTATAGTAAGAAAATTTGTAATTTTAGAAATGCCAAGCATTCTAAATTAATTGCTTGAAAGTCACTATGATTGTGTCCATTATAAGGAGACAAATTCATTCAAGCAAGTTATTTAATGTTAAAGGCCCAATTGTTAGGCAGTTAATGGCACTTTTACTATTAACTAATCTTTCCATTTGTTCAGACGTAGCTTAACTTACCTCTTAGGTGTGAATTTGGTTAAGGTCCTCATAATGTCTTTATGTGCAGTTTTTGATAGGTTATTGTCATAGAACTTATTCTATTCCTACATTTATGATTACTATGGATGTATGAGAATAACACCTAATCCTTATACTTTACCTCAATTTAACTCCTTTATAAAGAACTTACATTACAGAATAAAGATTTTTTAAAAATATATTTTTTTGTAGAGACAGGGTCTTAGCCCAGCCGAGGCTGGTCTCTAAGTCCTGGCCCAAGCGATCCTCCTGCCTGGGCCTCCTAAAGTGCTGGAATTATAGACATGAGCCATCACATCCAATATACAGAATAAAGATTTTTAATGGAGGATTTAATGTTCTTCAGAAAATTTTCTTGAGGTCAGACAATGTCAAATGTCTCCTCAGTTTACACTGAGATTTTGAAAACAAGTCTGAGCTATAGGTCCTTGTGAAGGGTCCATTGGAAATACTTGTTCAAAGTAAAATGGAAAGCAAAGGTAAAATCAGCAGTTGAAATTCAGAGAAAGACAGAAAAGGAGAAAAGATGAAATTCAACAGGACAGAAGGGAAATATATTATCATTAAGGAGGACAGTATCTGTAGAGCTCATTAGTGATGGCAAAATGACTTGGTCAGGATTATTTTTAACCCGCTTGTTTCTGGTTTGCACGGCTGGGGATGCAGCTAGGGTTCTGCCTCAGGGAGCACAGCTGTCCAGAGCAGCTGTCAGCCTGCAAGCCTGAAACACTCCCTCGGTAAAGTCCTTCCTACTCAGGACAGAAATGACGAGAACAGGGAGCTGGAAACAGGCCCCTAACCAGAGAAGGGAAGTAATGGATCAACAAAGTTAACTAGCAGGTCAGGATCACGCAATTCATTTCACTCTGACTGGTAACATGTGACAGAAACAGTGTAGGCTTATTGTATTTTCATGTAGAGTAGGACCCAAAAATCCACCCAAAGTCCTTTATCTATGCCACATCCTTCTTATCTATACTTCCAGGACACTTTTTCTTCCTTATGATAAGGCTCTCTCTCTCTCCACACACACACACACACACACACACACACACACACACACACACACAAACACACACCCCGCCAACCAAGGTGCATGTAAAAAGATGTAGATTCCTCTGCCTTTCTCATCTACACAGCCCAGGAGGGTAAGTTAATATAAGAGGGATTTATTGGTAAGAGATGATGCTTAATCTGTTTAACACTGGGCCTCAAAGAGAGAATTTCTTTTCTTCTGTACTTATTAAGCACCTATTATGTGTTGAGCTTATATATACAAAGGGTTATTATATGCTAATATAGTAATAGTAATGGTGGTTGGTACTATGGTAATTACCATAAAAATTATTATCCTTTTAAAATAAAGCTAATTATTATTGGATCTTTTTTAGTATTCATTTTATGTTTTTTATGTTTTTGATTTTTTAAAAGACAATCTCACCCTGTTACCCAGGCTGGAGTGCAGTGGTGCAATCATAGCTTTCTGCAGTCTTGAACTCCTGGGCTCAAGCAATCCTCCTGCCTTGGCCTCCCAAAGTGTTGGGATACAGTCATGAGCCACTGCATCTGGCCTAGGATCCATTTAGATTAAAATATGCATTTTAAATTTTAAAATAATATGGCTAATTTTTACCTTATGTAATGTGTATACTGGCAATAAATCTAGTTTGCTGCCTAAAGTTTAAAGTGCTTTCCAGTAAGCTTCATGTACGTGAGGGGAGACATTTAAAGTGAAACAGACAGCCAGGTGTGGTGGCTCACGCCTGTAATCCCAGCACTCTGGGAGGCTGAGGTGGGTGGATCGCTTGAGCCCTGGAGTTCAAGACCAGCCTGAGCAACATGGCAAAACGCTGTTTCTATAACAAAAATTAGCCGGGCATGGTGGCATGTGCCTGTGGTCCCAGCTACTAGGGGGCTGAGGCAGGAGAATCGTTGGAGCCCAGGAGGTCAAGGCTGCACTGAGCAGTGCTTGCGCCACTGCACTCCAGCCTGGGTGACAGGACCAGACCTTGCCTCAAAAAAATAAGAAGAAAAATTAAAAATAAATGGAAACAACTACAAAGAGCTGTTGTCCTAGATGAGCTACTTAGTTAGGCTGATATTTTGGTATTTAACTTTTAAAGTCAGGGTCTGTCACCTGCACTACATTATTAAAATATCAATTCTCAATGTATATCCACACAAAGACTGGTACGTGAATGTTCATAGTACCTTTATTCACAAAACCCCAAAGTAGAGACTATCCAAATATCCATCAACAAGTGAACAAATAAACAAAATGTGCTATATCCATGCAATGGAATACCACCCTGCAGTACAAAGAAGCTACTTGGGGATGAATCCCAAAGTCATGACGCTAAATGAAAGAGTCAGACATGAAGGAGGAGATAATGTATGCCATACGAAATTCTAGAAAATGAAAGTAACTTATAGTTACAGAAAGCAAATCAGGGCAGGCATAGAGGCTCACACCTGTAATCCCAGCACTTTGAGAGGCCACGTGGGAAGATTGCTAGAACTCAGGAGTTCAAGACCAGCCTGGGCAACACAGTGAAACTCCATTCTCCACAAAAATGGGAAAAAAAGAAAGCAAATCAGTGGTTGTCCTGTGGGGAGGGGAAGGACTGCAAAGAGGGAAGAAGCTCTGGTGGGGTGAGGGTGGTGATTCAGGTTCTGTATCCTGACTGTGGTAGCAGTTTGGGGTGTTTACATCCAAAAATATTCGTAGAATTATGCATCTTAAATGGGTGGAGTTTACTGTATGTAAATTATACCTCAATGTAAGAAAAAATAATGTGTAAGAAAACTTTCAATTCTCTTGCCAGCAAACGTTATTCAAATTCCTGAGCCCTTTACTTCGCAAATTCTCTGCACTTCTGCCCCGTACCATTAGGTGACAGCACTAGCTCCACAAATTGGATAAATGCATTTCTGGAAAAGACTAGGGACAAAATCCAGGCATCACTTGTGCTTTCATATCAACCATGCTGTACAGCTTGTGTTGCTGTCTGCAGCTGCAATGGGGACTCTTGATTTCTTTAAGGAAACTTGGGTTACCAGAGTATTTCCACAAATGCTATTCAAATTAGTGCTTATGATATGCAAGACACTGTGCTAGGAGCCAGAAAACAAAGAGGAGGAGAAATCAGTCATTATGTGGGAACAACATAGCAAGATATTTAGATCATTTTGACTAGTTAAAAAAGCAGCAGAGTACAAAATCACACATGCAATCAGTATAATCCAAATCATGTAAATATGTGCCTGTAGAAAGACTAGAGGAATAAACACAAGAATCTTAACAGTCATTGTCATTAGACACTAAGTCTAATTATTATTATTAGACACTATGATATTTGAGATTTAAAAAATCTTTAATATTTTAAAATTTAGAGCTCTTCTATTTTTCCATAGTATTCAAGTTTGACAATGATCAAGTATTACTCTTTCTTTTTTTTTTTTTTTTTTTTTTTTTGAGATGGAGTTTTGGTCTTGTTGCCCATGCTGGAGTGGAATGGCATGACCATAGCTCACTGCAACCTCCACCTCCTGGGTTCAAGCAAAGCTGTCGCCTCAGCCTCCCGGGTAGATGGGATTACAGGCGCCCACCACCACACTCGGCTAATGTTTGTATTTTTAGTAGAGATGGGGTTTCACCATGTTGGCCAGGCTGGTCTCAAACTCCTGACCTCAGAGGATCCACCTGCCTCAGCCTCCCAAAGTGCTGGGATTACAGATGTAGGCCACTGCGCCCGGCCAAGTATTGCTCTTATACATTAAAAAACAGGTGTGAGCCACTGCGCCCAGCCAGGTATTGCTCTTATACATTAAAAAATAGGCCGGTGCAGTGGCTCACGCCTGTAATCCCAGCACTTTGGGAAGCCAAGGCGGGCAGAACACCCGAGGTCAGGAGTCCAAGGCCAGCCTGGCCAAGATGGTGAAACCCCGTCTCTATTAAAAATACAAACATTACCTGGGCATGATGGTGGGCGCCTGTAATCCCAGCTACTCAGGAGGCTGAGGCAGGAGGATCCGCGGAGCCTGGCAGATCTGCCTGAGCCTGGGAGGTTGAGGCTACAGTAAGCCAAGATCATGCCAGTATACTTCAGCCTGGGCGACAAAGTGAGACCGTAACAAAAAAAAAAAAATTTAAAAAAAGAAATTTAGATCAAGATCCAACTGTAAAAAGTGGCCTAAACACCACATTAAAGAGTTTGGAGTTTATTCTGCAGGCAGAAGAGAACCATCAGGGGGTCTTCAGCATGGGAATGGCATGGTGCACCTGGTTTTTGTGAGATCATGGTGGTGACAGTGTGGGGAATGTTATTTTGGAGGGACTGGAGGCAGACAGACCGGTTAAAAGGCCAGCACAACAGATAAGGAGGAAGAAGATGAGGGCTTGGACCGAAGCAGAGAAGAGCAAACAGGGAAGGTACAAATTCAAGAAATATTGGGGGGTTTGAATCAACACATTTAGATGATTAATTAAATATGAGGACTGAGGAATAAGAAATGAGTCAAGGATGGTTCCAGGCTGCTAGGCTGCTTACCTGAGGTGGCAAAGTCGGGAGGAGTGGCAGTTTAGGACAGGGGGCAGTTGAGGAATATTGTTTTGATCATTTTGAGTTTGAGGTACAAGTTGGACACTTAGGTAAAGACTGGAGGGGAAATCTGAATATACAATTATGGGACTGAGGAACAAGTTTATTTTATTTTTTGTTTCGTTTTCTTGTTGAAGAACAAATTTAATTGTAATCCCAAGTCATCAGCATCTAGAAGACAGTGGCAGGAGGTGACTGTCTTGTGGGTAAGGGTTTGGGGTCCTTGATGAGTATCTCTCAATTGGCCTTAAATATAAGCAGGAAAAGGAGTTTATGATGGATTCCAGGCTCAGCAGGGCTCAGGAGGGCTCAGGCAGCCAGCAGAGGAAGTCAGAGCATCTTCTTTGGTTTAGCCCAAGTAATGACTTCCTTAAAAAGCTGAAGGAAAATCCAGAGTGACCAGATTATAAACTGTACTCTTGCATTTTCTCTCCCTCCTCTCACCCACAGCCTCTTGATGAACCGGAGGAAGTTTCTTTACCAATTCAAAAATGTCCGCTGGGCTAAGGGTCGGCGTGAGACCTACCTGTGCTACGTAGTGAAGAGGCGTGACAGTGCTACATCCTTTTCACTGGACTTTGGTTATCTTCGCAATAAGGTATCAATTAAAGTCGGCTTTGCAAGCAGTTTAATGGTCAACTGTGAGTGCTTTTAGAGCCACCTGCTGATGGTATTACTTCCATCCTTTTTTGGCATTTGTGTCTCTATCACATTCCTCAAATCCTTTTTTTTATTTCTTTTTCCATGTCCATGCACCCATATTAGACATGGCCCAAAATATGTGATTTAATTCCTCCCCAGTAATGCTGGGCACCCTAATACCACTCCTTCCTTCAGTGCCAAGAACAACTGCTCCCAAACTGTTTACCAGCTTTCCTCAGCATCTGAATTGCCTTTGAGATTAATTAAGCTAAAAGCATTTTTATATGGGAGAATATTATCAGCTTGTCCAAGCAAAAATTTTAAATGTGAAAAACAAATTGTGTCTTAAGCATTTTTGAAAATTAAGGAAGAAGAATTTGGGAAAAAATTAACGGTGGCTCAATTCTGTCTTCCAAATGATTTCTTTTCCCTCCTACTCACATGGGTCGTAGGCCAGTGAATACATTCAACATGGTGATCCCCAGAAAACTCAGAGAAGCCTCGGCTGATGATTAATTAAATTGATCTTTCGGCTACCCGAGAGAATTACATTTCCAAGAGACTTCTTCACCAAAATCCAGATGGGTTTACATAAACTTCTGCCCACGGGTATCTCCTCTCTCCTAACACGCTGTGACGTCTGGGCTTGGTGGAATCTCAGGGAAGCATCCGTGGGGTGGAAGGTCATCGTCTGGCTCGTTGTTTGATGGTTATATTACCATGCAATTTTCTTTGCCTACATTTGTATTGAATACATCCCAATCTCCTTCCTATTCGGTGACATGACACATTCTATTTCAGAAGGCTTTGATTTTATCAAGCACTTTCATTTACTTCTCATGGCAGTGCCTATTACTTCTCTTACAATACCCATCTGTCTGCTTTACCAAAATCTATTTCCCCTTTTCAGATCCTCCCAAATGGTCCTCATAAACTGTCCTGCCTCCACCTAGTGGTCCAGGTATATTTCCACAATGTTACATCAACAGGCACTTCTAGCCATTTTCCTTCTCAAAAGGTGCAAAAAGCAACTTCATAAACACAAATTAAATCTTCGGTGAGGTAGTGTGATGCTGCTTCCTCCCAACTCAGCGCACTTCGTCTTCCTCATTCCACAAAAACCCATAGCCTTCCTTCACTCTGCAGGACTAGTGCTGCCAAGGGTTCAGCTCTACCTACTGGTGTGCTCTTTTGAGCAAGTTGCTTAGCCTCTCTGTAACACAAGGACAATAGCTGCAAGCATCCCCAAAGATCATTGCAGGAGACAATGACTAAGGCTACCAGAGCCGCAATAAAAGTCAGTGAATTTTAGCGTGGTCCTCTCTGTCTCTCCAGAACGGCTGCCACGTGGAATTGCTCTTCCTCCGCTACATCTCGGACTGGGACCTAGACCCTGGCCGCTGCTACCGCGTCACCTGGTTCACCTCCTGGAGCCCCTGCTACGACTGTGCCCGACATGTGGCCGACTTTCTGCGAGGGAACCCCAACCTCAGTCTGAGGATCTTCACCGCGCGCCTCTACTTCTGTGAGGACCGCAAGGCTGAGCCCGAGGGGCTGCGGCGGCTGCACCGCGCCGGGGTGCAAATAGCCATCATGACCTTCAAAGGTGCGAAAGGGCCTTCCGCGCAGGCGCAGTGCAGCAGCCCGCATTCGGGATTGCGATGCGGAATGAATGAGTTAGTGGGGAAGCTCGAGGGGAAGAAGTGGGCGGGGATTCTGGTTCACCTCTGGAGCCGAAATTAAAGATTAGAAGCAGAGAAAAGAGTGAATGGCTCAGAGACAAGGCCCCGAGGAAATGAGAAAATGGGGCCAGGGTTGCTTCTTTCCCCTCGATTTGGAACCTGAACTGTCTTCTACCCCCATATCCCCGCCTTTTTTTCCTTTTTTTTTTTTTGAAGATTATTTTTACTGCTGGAATACTTTTGTAGAAAACCACGAAAGAACTTTCAAAGCCTGGGAAGGGCTGCATGAAAATTCAGTTCGTCTCTCCAGACAGCTTCGGCGCATCCTTTTGGTAAGGGGCTTCCTCGCTTTTTAAATTTTCTTTCTTTCTCTACAGTCTTTTTTGGAGTTTCGTATATTTCTTATATTTTCTTATTGTTCAATCACTCTCAGTTTTCATCTGATGAAAACTTTATTTCTCCTCCACATCAGCTTTTTCTTCTGCTGTTTCACCATTCAGAGCCCTCTGCTAAGGTTCCTTTTCCCTCCCTTTTCTTTCTTTTGTTGTTTCACATCTTTAAATTTCTGTCTCTCCCCAGGGTTGCGTTTCCTTCCTGGTCAGAATTCTTTTCTCCTTTTTTTTTTTTTTTTTTTTTTTTTTTAAACAAACAAACAAAAAACCCAAAAAAACTCTTTCCCAATTTACTTTCTTCCAACATGTTACAAAGCCATCCACTCAGTTTAGAAGACTCTCCGGCCCCACCGACCCCCAACCTCGTTTTGAAGCCATTCACTCAATTTGCTTCTCTCTTTCTCTACAGCCCCTGTATGAGGTTGATGACTTACGAGACGCATTTCGTACTTTGGGACTTTGATAGCAACTTCCAGGAATGTCACACACGATGAAATATCTCTGCTGAAGACAGTGGATAAAAAACAGTCCTTCAAGTCTTCTCTGTTTTTATTCTTCAACTCTCACTTTCTTAGAGTTTACAGAAAAAATATTTATATACGACTCTTTAAAAAGATCTATGTCTTGAAAATAGAGAAGGAACACAGGTCTGGCCAGGGACGTGCTGCAATTGGTGCAGTTTTGAATGCAACATTGTCCCCTACTGGGAATAACAGAACTGCAGGACCTGGGAGCATCCTAAAGTGTCAACGTTTTTCTATGACTTTTAGGTAGGATGAGAGCAGAAGGTAGATCCTAAAAAGCATGGTGAGAGGATCAAATGTTTTTATATCAACATCCTTTATTATTTGATTCATTTGAGTTAACAGTGGTGTTAGTGATAGATTTTTCTATTCTTTTCCCTTGACGTTTACTTTCAAGTAACACAAACTCTTCCATCAGGCCATGATCTATAGGACCTCCTAATGAGAGTATCTGGGTGATTGTGACCCCAAACCATCTCTCCAAAGCATTAATATCCAATCATGCGCTGTATGTTTTAATCAGCAGAAGCATGTTTTTATGTTTGTACAAAAGAAGATTGTTATGGGTGGGGATGGAGGTATAGACCATGCATGGTCACCTTCAAGCTACTTTAATAAAGGATCTTAAAATGGGCAGGAGGACTGTGAACAAGACACCCTAATAATGGGTTGATGTCTGAAGTAGCAAATCTTCTGGAAACGCAAACTCTTTTAAGGAAGTCCCTAATTTAGAAACACCCACAAACTTCACATATCATAATTAGCAAACAATTGGAAGGAAGTTGCTTGAATGTTGGGGAGAGGAAAATCTATTGGCTCTCGTGGGTCTCTTCATCTCAGAAATGCCAATCAGGTCAAGGTTTGCTACATTTTGTATGTGTGTGATGCTTCTCCCAAAGGTATATTAACTATATAAGAGAGTTGTGACAAAACAGAATGATAAAGCTGCGAACCGTGGCACACGCTCATAGTTCTAGCTGCTTGGGAGGTTGAGGAGGGAGGATGGCTTGAACACAGGTGTTCAAGGCCAGCCTGGGCAACATAACAAGATCCTGTCTCTCAAAAAAAAAAAAAAAAAAAAGAAAGAGAGAGGGCCGGGCGTGGTGGCTCACGCCTGTAATCCCAGCACTTTGGGAGGCCGAGCCGGGCGGATCACCTGTGGTCAGGAGTTTGAGACCAGCCTGGCCAACATGGCAAAACCCCGTCTGTACTCAAAATGCAAAAATTAGCCAGGCGTGGTAGCAGGCACCTGTAATCCCAGCTACTTGGGAGGCTGAGGCAGGAGAATCGCTTGAACCCAGGAGGTGGAGGTTGCAGTAAGCTGAGATCGTGCCGTTGCACTCCAGCCTGGGCGACAAGAGCAAGACTCTGTCTCAGAAAAAAAAAAAAAAAAGAGAGAGAGAGAGAAAGAGAACAATATTTGGGAGAGAAGGATGGGGAAGCATTGCAAGGAAATTGTGCTTTATCCAACAAAATGTAAGGAGCCAATAAGGGATCCCTATTTGTCTCTTTTGGTGTCTATTTGTCCCTAACAACTGTCTTTGACAGTGAGAAAAATATTCAGAATAACCATATCCCTGTGCCGTTATTACCTAGCAACCCTTGCAATGAAGATGAGCAGATCCACAGGAAAACTTGAATGCACAACTGTCTTATTTTAATCTTATTGTACATAAGTTTGTAAAAGAGTTAAAAATTGTTACTTCATGTATTCATTTATATTTTATATTATTTTGCGTCTAATGATTTTTTATTAACATGATTTCCTTTTCTGATATATTGAAATGGAGTCTCAAAGCTTCATAAATTTATAACTTTAGAAATGATTCTAATAACAACGTATGTAATTGTAACATTGCAGTAATGGTGCTACGAAGCCATTTCTCTTGATTTTTAGTAAACTTTTATGACAGCAAATTTGCTTCTGGCTCACTTTCAATCAGTTAAATAAATGATAAATAATTTTGGAAGCTGTGAAGATAAAATACCAAATAAAATAATATAAAAGTGATTTATATGAAGTTAAAATAAAAAATCAGTATGATGGAATAAACTTGAGAGTCCAGAAGTTATCCCATACATCTGTAATCAACTAATTTCTCACAAGGGTGTAAGGACCATTCAATGGAGAAAAAATGATCTTCTCAACAAATGGTGCTGAGCTAATTGGATATTACATGCAAAGGAATGAATTTGAGTCTCTACTACACACCATATATAAAAATTAATTAAAAATTCATCAAATACCTAAATATTAGAGACTAATTTATAAACCGTAGAGAGAAACATAGGTAAAAATGTTTATGGCTTTAGATTAGGCAACAGCTTCTTAATTATGACATCAAAAGCACAAGCAACCAAAGACAAAAATAAATAAGTTGGACTTCATCGAAATTAAAAATCTTTGTGCATCAAAGGACACTTAGTAAGAAAGTGAAAAGACAACCCACAGAAGTGGGAGAAAACACTTGCAAATCATATATCTGATAAGGGTTGTGATATTATGATATATATATAGGTTTTTGTCCATAGTTCCTGGCTTATAAACCCCCTCACCCTTGTTACAGTCATTTGTTATAAGGTTGGATGGTTTAGGCCTCAGAAGCAAAACTCTCTCTCTCACCTTCTCCAGCCCTCCTGTCTCTGGCACCTCATTCTTCCCTGAGGCCACATAGAAACTAGAATCTCTCTTCCACAAGGCGGTCAAAGAAACCAGCACCTCCTTTCCCCCAAACCAGTCATAAAACCTAAAAATATTACTCTAATTCCCCCTCCTTTCCATATAAGCACTGGCTATAAGGAAATAATCTGACTGGGCATGATGGTTACGCCTGTAATCCCAGCATTATGGGAGGCCGAGGCAGGCAGGTGCCCTGAGCCTTGGAGTTCAAGACCAGCCTGGGCAACACAGTGAGACCCCATCTCTAAAAAACTTAGCCAGGCATGGTAGCACACATCTGTAGTCCCAGCTACTCTTAAGGCTGTCTCAAAAACAAAAAATAAACAAAAAACTGACCTATCTTGTTGGATTGTAGATCACGAGACCCTCATTCCAGACAGGGTCCTGCCCATATCCTGGGTGAAGGAATGCTGCACAGAGAGGCCAAGAAGAATCTGAACAGACACGCCTTACTGGGTTTCCCCAGTCTATCAGCATTAGATCATATCCTTTTTTCTTTTTCTTTTTTGAGACAGAGTCTAGCTCTGTCACCCAGGCTGGAGTGCACTGGCGCGGTTTCAGCTCACTACAACCTTCGCCTCCTGGGCTCAAGCAATTCTACTGCCTCAGCCTCCCGAGTAGCTGGGACTACAGGTGCCTGCCACCACGCCTGGCTAATTTTTGTATTTTTAGTAGAGATGGGGATTCACCAAATTGGTTAGGCTGGTCTCGAACTCCTGACCTCGGGTGATCTGCCCACCTTGGCCTCCCAAAGTGCTGGGGTTACAGGCGTGAGCCACTGTGGCCGGCCTTGATCATATCCTTTTTTCTAATCACAATTTTACAGGTTGTCCACGCTTCAGTTATGCCTATCCAATGAAGTCTCCATAAAGCCCAAGAAGACAGGGTTTAGGGAGCTTTCAGAGAGCTAAACACAAGAAGGTAAACAAAAACTCACCCATGTCTACAGTGCAGGTCTACAGAAAAATACAAAAACAAAAACAAAAAAAATCCAAACTCATCTGTGTCCTGGGAGGGTGGCATACCAGAACTCGGGGGGGATAGAAGTTTCTGTGCTCAGGACCCTTCCAGACCTTGCCCTATGTATCTCTTCATCTGGCTGTTTATTTGTGTCATTATCCTTTGTAATAAACCAGTAAACATAAGTATTTCCCTGAGTTCTGTGGGCAGTCCTAATGAATTAATCAAACCCAACAAAGGTCATGGGAACCCCAACTTGAAGTAACTGGTCAGCAGTTCCAGAGGCCTGGACTTGTGACTGGTGGGAGGGTGGGGATGATCTTGTGGGACTGAACCCTCAACCTGTGGGATCTGAAACTATGTCCAGGTAGATAGTATCTGAATTGAACTGGAAGATACCCAGCTTGTGCCTGCTGCAGAATAGATTGCTTGCATTGATTACAGAAGTGTTCTGTGTTGACTGTTGCTGTGGTATGAGAACAGAGGGAAAAACAGTTTGTGTATTTTTTCTGCTCAAGAGTCTAGTATCCAGAACATATAAAGAACTCTTAGGTTGGACACGGTGGCTAATGTCTGTAATCCCAGAACTTTGGGAGGCTGAGGAGGGAGGATTGCTTGAGCCCAGGAGTTCAAGACTAGCCTGGGAAACATGGTGAGACCCAATCTCTACAAAAAATTTAAAGAAATTAGCTGGACGGGGTGCTGTGAGCCTGTGGTGCCAGATACATAGAAGGCAGAGGCAGATGATCTCTTGAGCCCAGCAAGCCGAGGCTACAGCGAGCCGTGTGCACACCACTGTACTCTATTGTGGGTGACAGAGCAAGATTCTGTCTCAAAAAAAAAAAAAAAAAAAAAAAAAAGAGAGTGAGAGAGAAGAAAACTCTTATAATTCAACAACAACAGACAAACAACCTCATTTAAGAATGGCCAAATGGCCACTTAAAAACCTTAAGTAGACATTTCTTCAAATATTTACAAATGGCCAATAAGCACATGAAAAGATGCTCAATATCATTAGTCACTAGGGACATGCAAATTAAAACCACAATGAAATACTATTTTATACCCACTAGCGTGGCTATAAACAAAGAAACAAACAAAAAAAAACCCAATAACGAGTACTGTAGAAATCGGAACCCTCATATATTGGCTGGTGAAAATATAAAATGGTGCCGCAGTTGTGGAAAACAGTTTGGCAGTTCCTCTAAAGTTAAACATAGAATTACCGTATGACCCAGCAACTCTACTCCTGGGTATATATCTAAGAGAATTAGAGACATGTGTTCAAACAAAAACTTGTACAGGAATGTTAAAAAAACATATTCATAATGGCCAAAGAGTAGACACACTATCAACTAATGAACAAATAAACAAAAGGTGGTATATCTATACAATGGAATTTTATTCAGCCATAAAAATGAATGAAGTGCTGATGCATGCTACAACATGGATAAACCTTGCAGACATTGTGCTATGTGAAAGAATTTAGACACAAAAAGTCACTCATTGTATGATTCCACTTATATAAAATGTCCAGAATAGGAAAATCCATAGAGACAGAAAGATCTGTGGTTGTCATGGACTGGAGGGAGGGGGAAATGAGGAGTGTCTACTTAATGGGTATGAGATTTTTCTTTTGAGGGTGATGAAAGTAGCCTGAATTAGATAGTAGAATTATATACATTTTTTAAGTCAGTATGACTTTTTGTTTTTTTTTTGAGATAGAGTCTTACTCTGTCACCTAGGCTAGAGTACAGTGGCATGATCTTGGCTCACTGCAACCTCTGCCTCCTGGGCTCAGGTGATTCTTGTGCCTCAGACTCCTGAGTAGCTTAAATTACAGGTATGTGCCACCACACCTGGCTAATTTTTGTATTTTCAGAGAGACAGGGTTTCATGATGTTGGCCAGGCTGGTCTCAAACTCTTGGCCTCAAGTGATCTGCCTGCCTCAGCCTCCCAAAGTGCTGGGATTACAGGAGTGAGCTACCGTGCCGGGCCTGTCAGTATGACTTCGAAGTCAAGTAAACCTAAACTAGAGTTCTGGTTCCATGTGACAATGGGTTAGATGTTTAATCTCTGTAAAGCCTTAATTTCTTTCCTCTCTGTAAAATGGGTCCATTAATATTAACATTTCACGTATCTTTGGCTTTTGCCTGTATCTCAGCACTTTGGGAGGCTGAGGAGGGTGGATCGCTTGAGCCCAGGAGTTCGAGACCAACCTGGGCAACAGAGCGAAACCTCATCTGTACAAAAATTACAAAAATTAGCTGGGCTTGGTAGCGTGGACTTGTAGTCCCAGCTACTCAGGAGGGCTAAGGTGGGAGGATTGCTTGAGCCCAGGGGGCGGAGGTTGCAGTGAGCCATGATCACACCACTGCACACCAGCCTGGATGACAGAGTGAGATCCTGTCTCAAAATAATAATAATATTATTATTATTATTATTTTTGGTAAGTATTAAATTAGACAATAATAGAAAGTTGATGCTGTCTCCCTGAATGGCACTGCCATCCTTTCTGTTTGCAAGCCAGAAACTTAGAAATTACCCCTGACCTCAACCTCTGCCCCCATGGCTAGTTGTATAAATTTTGTTTTCTAACTGTCTCTTGAATTTACGTTTCTCTATCTCCTCTACTATCCCCTGAGAAAGATGAAAAGAAAGCAGCCCCTGACAGTTGAAAGCTGGCTTGATACTCACAGCTAAGACAAATTATTTTCCTATTGGACGTAACAGTCTCCCAACCTCAGAAAAAGTTACTCTAAGACTATGATAAAATAAGAGAAAGCAAAGCCTCTTCATAATTTTTTCTAAATACACAAAACGAACAAACAAATATGTTCACTGTGCCACCCACAAAATATCAAACACAAAATATCAAACATCCCTCTCTTGGCTAAAAAGGAATGACTGCTACATTTTCTTTCTTCTTTTTTAATCTTAAATTGTCCTTTCCTGCCAGCCCTATTCTTAGGAGACGGCCCTCCTAAACTGAGAGGGAGATTGCTGTGCGTCCTGCCAGACTACTCTGCTAGGACTGAGCGCGGGGGAGCAGAAATGGCCTAGGCCAGGACAAGTGACTGCTACTTCTTTACCAATTACAGCTTTATCCTTGTTCTAACCTGCCCTCCCTGAGATAATATCTATTCACATCCCCAATTACAGAATTGACCCGATTCCCTAACAACATCTAATCCAGAGCAAATCTTCATTTTATTTGACCTTCCCTCCAAATCACCCGACTGTCATGAGTGGTGTAAGGTTAGAAATAACCAAGTCTATGTATTTTTGTGTGTTTTTACAATGTTAGGATTTTATCGATGTTATTTTAATCACAAAAGTTACAGATTATATGGAGTTCTTAAGGAGGCCATTTTTTTAAAGTACTTTTTGTTTCTTTGGTAGTCAGAGCCCCAGAGACACGGGCTCAAGTCACTTTATAAGTCAGTCAATATTGTAAACCATACATTATTATAGTATATTAAATTAATATATAAATATTATAGGTTAAGTATTTTACGATAAACAAAGTAACATTTAACATTAAAAAAAGAGAGAGAGAGAGAGCTAGGAGAAAGGGTTAATGAACTAGTTTAGTAGGAGTGAAGATGATAAAAGGAGTCCGGGTCTGGGGTGGGTGGTTTGCTGGTCATGTAAGGAAAACTGGGAGGTGGTAGAGCCTTTGGTGGCAGATGCCAGGTTTTTATCATGAGTGACTGCAAGAAAGTGTCACTTAGGATGGCTGTTTTGAGTTGTTGAAGGGCTAATCTGTTTCATATTCATAGAGTATTTGGTGAGAACTGATAGTGGAAGAGTGTGTTTGTGTTTTTATCTGGTTGTATGCAGCCTTTAAAAAAAATTAATTTATTAAACAGAACGTGTTATTCTTATTGGCAAAGTGCCCTATGAAATGTAAAATGGCGTCTTTTTTAATAAGATGGAGTTAGTTATGTCTTTTTGTTGTTTTATTTTGAGCTGGAGTCTCACTCTGTTGGAGTGCAATGGCGTGATCTCTGCTCACTGCAACATCTGGCTTCTGGGTTCAAGTGATTCTCCCGCCTCAGCCTCCTGAGTAGCTGGGATTACAGGCATGCATCACCACACCCAGCTAGTTGTTTTTTTTAGTAGAGATGGGGTTTCTCCATATTGGCCAGGCTGGTCTCGAACTTCTGACTTCCAGGGATCCTCCTGCCTTGGCCTCCCAAAGTGCTGGGATTACAGGCATGAGCCACCACGCCCGGCTGGAGTTAGTTACATGAAGGGTGCTCTATACGCTTACCAAAGTCCAACTTCTATTACTCGTTCTTTCTAACAACCTCTCACTGAGACAACTCATAGCTCATGTCTCCCCATGATGTGTGCTCTCCCCTCACTGCAATGAGTAATAGACCCAATTTGTTCAACGCTAGGTGTGCTCCTGGTGCCTTTAGGCTGGAAGCCATTGACACGCTTTAGTTCAAGCCATCAATAACTTTTGCTTAGTCTATTGCAATAGTCTGTAATGTTCACTGTTTCTTATACATTACTGAGAATCACTTTGTAATAGAGACAATGACTATTATTATTATTATTATTTTTTGAGACAGACTCTTGCTTTGTCGCTCAGGTTGGAGTGCGGTGGCGTGATCTCAGCTCACTGCAACTTCTGCCTCCTGGGTTCAAGTGATTCTCCTGTCTTGGCCTCCTGAGTAGCTGGAACTACAGGCATGTACCACAATGCCCCGGTAATTTTTTGTATTTTTCATAGAGATGGGGGTTAGCTATGTTGGCCAGGCTGGTCTCGAACTCCTGATCTCAAGTGATCCACCCACCTTGGCCTCTCAAAGTGCTGGGATTACGGGCATGAGCCACCGTGCCCAGCCAACAATAATTATTTTTAAGATTTCATGAGAAATAGAGTTTGTTAATTATTTATTTATTCTTCCAAATATTTGCTGATTACTCTACTATGTGCATAGCATTGTGACATCATGAAGATATATAAAGAAAACTTTTAATTCAAAAAAGTCTCTGCCTTCAATAAGCTTTGGCAATCCATGTACATGGATAAAATATTATATGAAGTTTTAAAATGAAAGTTGGCAGCTGGGCACAGTGGCTCACACCTGTAATCCCAGCGCTTTGGGAGGCCGAGGTGGGTGCATCACCTGAGGTCAGGAGTTCGAGACCAGCCTGGCCAATATGGTGAAACCCTGTCTCTACTAAAAATACAAAAATTAGCTGGGGTTGGTGGCGGGCGCCTGTAATCCCAGCTACTTGGGAGGCTGAGGCAGGAGAATCGTTTGAACCCAGGAGGCGGAGGTTGTAGTGAGCCAAGATCGTGCCACTGCACTCCAGCCTGGACAACAAGAGCGAAACTCCATCTCAAAACAAAAAACAAAACCAAAAAAAAACAAAAAAACACTTTTCATCACAGAAAGCATTATTCATAGTATTTTGGAATTTTAAGCCTTTATTTCAAACTTTTTTTTTTCTTTTTTGAGATGGAGGCTTGCTCTGTTGCTCAGGCTGGAGTGCAGTGGCATGATCTTGGCTCACTGCAACCTCTGCCTCCCCGCTGGTCAAGCAACTCTCTTGCCTCCTGAGTAGCTGGGATTACAGGCATGCACCACCATGCCTGGCTAATTTTTGTATTTTTGGTAGACACCGGGTTTTGCCATGTTGGCCAGGCTGGTCTCGAACTCCTGACCTCAAGTGATCCGCCTGCCTTGGCCTCCCAAAGTGCTGGGATTACAGGTGTGAGCCACCATGCCTGGTCCTATTTCCAACTGAAAAATTGTGTTATATGACTTACAAATCTAATTTTTTGCATTAGATGACAACCACTTTCACTTGTTCTTTAATATTGGAGCAACCCAAGATAGAGATTATATTTTTAAAAACAGAATTATTATTTTTTTTGAGACTGAATCTTGCTTTGTTGTGGGGGATAGGTCAGAGTGGTGGAAGAAGCTATAGGGAAAGAAGCAGACCTTTTGAAATGTCAGAAGGCTCTGCAAAGCTTCTGGGGAGAATAAGCTGGAGGCACCTGTTTTCTTACCCTGAGGCAGAGGGCAAGAAATAGGTACAAGGAAGTATAGCGGAATTTATCTAAATAGGCTTGTTTACCCATGTTGTCCAGAAACTATCTTTGGCCAACCCCGAGTGACTGCTCCAGGTAAGGGGGAACAATAATGTTAATTACCTGCAGATTGTGTTTGCTCCAGACTTTCGCATTATGTCTGTACTAAATAAATGCAAGCAGCTCCAGCTGCTCGAGACTGCTTACTCTGCCAGCAGTCCCCTAGCGGCTCTGACACTGCATACCTGTGTCTGAGTATTCCTTTCATCCATCGCTCGGCCAGGGTCTGTGGGACAGATCCGGCATTCTATCACCAAGGCTAGAATGCAATGGTATGATCATAGCTCACTGTGCAGTCCCAAACTCCTAGGGTCAAGCAATCCTCCTACCTCAGTCTTTCAAGTAGCTGGGACTACAAGCATATATCACCATGCCCGACTACTTTTTTAAAAAATATTATTTGTAGAGGCCGGGCGTAGTGGCTCATGCCTGTAATCCCAGCACTTTGGGAGGCCGAGGCAGGAGGATGGCTTGAGCTCAGGAGTTCAAGACCAGCCTGGGCAACATGGTAAAACCCCATCTCTACTAAAAATACAAAAAATTAGCCAGGTGTGGTGGCGCGCATCTGTATTGCCAGCTACTGGGGAGCCTGAGATGGGAGGAGCGCTTGAGCCCAGGAGGCAGAGGTTGCAGTGAGCCGAGGTCGTACCACTGTACTCCAGCCCCAGTGACAGAGCGAGCCCCTGTCTCAAAATAAGTAAATAAGTAAATAAATAATTTGTAGAGGGCCGGGCACTGTGATGCTTGCCTATAATCCCAGCACTTTGGGAGGCCGAGGCGGGAGGATCACTTGAGCCCAGAAGTTTGAGGCCAGCCTGGGCAACACAGTGACACCTCGTCTCTATATAGAAAAAAAAATTAATTAATTAAAAAATAATAAAATAAATAAAATATTATTTGTAGAGATGGACACTTGCTATGTTGACCAAACTGGTCTCAAACTCCTGGCCTCAAAGGATCCTCTTGCCTCAGCCTCCCAGAACACTGGGATTACGGGCCTGAGCTGCCACAACTGGCTAAAAAATCCTATTGGCAAATTTGATTACACTGTTTCCTTCCTTCCTTCCTTCCTTCCTTCCTTCCTTCCTTCCTTCCTTCCCTCCCTCCCTCCTTTCTCCCTTCCCCTCCCTTCCCTTCCCTCCCTTCCCTTCCCTTCCCTTCCCCTCCCCTCCCCTCCCCTCCCCTCCCCTCCCCTCCCCTCCCCTCCCCCATCCTCTCCTCTCCTCTCCTTTCCTTTCCTGGAGTCTTGCTATGTTGCCCAGGCTGGACTCAAACCACTAGGCTCAAGTGATCCTCCTGCCACAGCCTCCCCTGTAGCAGGAACTACAGGCACGCACAACAGCACCCAGCTTACACTAATTTTAATGTTTTAAATTACATCGTGCATATTAACATAAACTCTTTTAACCAGCTTAAATGCTTTACATGGCAGATTTGCAAGTAAATCTAATAAATTAAACCTACAAAACGGCAAAACAAGTTTTCTTAAATATCCTAAATATCGCAATGATGTTAACAGCTCTAATCAAATTTTCTCAGCTCTTTCGTCATTTTTGTTCATTTTATTTTATTTTTTGAGACGGAGATTTGCTCTCGTCGCCCAGGATGGAGTGCAATGGCACAATCTAGGTTCACTGCAACCTCCGCCTCCTGGGTTCAAGCAATTCTCCTGCCTCAGCCTCCCTAGTAGCTGGGATTACCGGCACCCGCCAGCATGCCCGGCTAATTTTTGTATTTTTAGTAGAGAGAGGGTTTCACCATGTTGGCCAGGCTGGTCTCGAACTCCTGACCTTAGGTGATCCTCCCACTTCAGCCTCCCAAAGTGCTGGGATTACAGGCGTGAGCCACCAAGCCTGGCCCATTTTAAGGACTTCTTTTTAAAGACTAGTCAAGTGCAGCAGTGGGAAGGTAGGGAAAGAATAGAACAAGGAGTTTCATCTGCAACTGTGAACAGTCAATTGAGGTAACTTGCTACCTTTGGATCAGCCAAACTTTTCATCTTAAAATGCCAACATCTAAAAGATCAGAGTCAGCCAGATGCAGTGACTCATGCCTGTAATATCAGCCCTTTGGGAGGCTGAGGCGGGAGGATCACTTGAGGTCTGGAGTTTAAGAACAGCCTGGCCAACATGGTGAAACTCTGTCTCTACTAAAAATACAAAAATTAGCCAGGTTTGGTGATGGGTGCCTATAATCCCAGCTACTCAGGAGGCTGAGGCATGAGAATTGCTTGAACCCAAGAGGCGGAGGTTGCTGTGAGCCAAGATCTCACCACAGACCTCCAGGCTGGGCAACAGAGTGAGACTCCGTCTTTGAAAAAAAAAAAAAAAAAAAAAAGCAGCCGGGTGTGCTGACTTGTGCTTGTAGTCCTAGCTACTCAGGCTGATGGAGGAGGATTACCTTAGCCTGAGAAATTGAGGCTGCAATGAGCTGTGATGGCGCCACTGTACTCAGCCTGGGTGACACAGTGACACCCTGTCTCAAAAAAAAAACAAAAACAAAAAACTGGACAAATAATTTGCATAGCTTGATCTCATTTATGTTTTAACGTGTGTGTGTGTGTGTGTGTGTGTAGATAGATAACACACACAGACACATATAGCCTTCTTTTCAAACATATCCATACATATATACATATGCTTAGCAAAAGGGCTAAAGAGAAACTCCAACCTACTAGCTGTGGTTATCTCCAGGAAGACAGAGTAGATGAGAGAAAGAAGCATTGGCTATCTTTAATAATTAAAATTGAAGAAAAGAAATACTATTTTAAACTTAGGAAGCAATATAAAATTTCATTATTCTATATTCTCCAGCATTTTCTTATTACCCTATAGGATATTTCACAGCTTTAAGGAGTTAAGAAAATTTCAGTAAAATTGAAATCTAGCAGAGGAGAGGGCATGGTTCTCTGAGTGTCTAAAAACTGTCCTTCCACATGTAATAGCCTGGGACAGTGATCATAAAGCTACGTCTGTGGGACCCCTGTGCTGTAACATTCCACAGCAATGGGATCAACCTGGATAGGATGGCCTCGAGCGCTCAAGTCCGTGGTCCAACAATGACTTACAAAACATTTTGTGAGGGTTGAGCAATCTGTAGGAAAGAGTTTAACAGTCAGGGTTAAACCGGAGAAAGAGGACTGTAGGTGGAGCTATATTGGCCTGGGTGGTTATGGGGGATGGCAGGGGAAGTCCCAGATCTGCAGGGGAGGCTGTCAAGAAGGGCAGGCTAGAACTCTAGTACGTGAACAATGCTATATTCCGTAGGTGGAATTTCTTCTTCAGGGAAGCCTCGCTTCTGTTCTTAACTTCTTTCAGCTAATTCAATCAGGCACACCCAATGATCTAGAATCATCTTCCACACCTAAAATCAATGGATTATGAACTTTAGACGTATCTACAAAATACCTCAGAGCAACACCTACATTTGGGTTGCATTGAATAACTGAGATGGCTGTAGTGATTGGCTACTTTTTCTGTCTGTTTTTCAGGGACCACACGGCCTCTGTCTCTCTGAATATCTCCTTTTCTCTCTCAGGGTTTCCTCTGCTCATCTCCCTTGTCAGCTGAATTCCTGGCTTACTCAGTTTATGTTCTATAAGATTTTAACTTGCATGCAACCCATCATACCTGCCCCTTTCTTCACTTTCTATTTTATATTCTTAATCCTATACCTACTGGGCATTTTTTTTCCTCAAATTCCCCAAAGAGTGTCAATATTATTGTCCCTACTCATCTTTTCACCATGAAGAATGTTGATAGTAAGGTGGTAGTGAGAATTAGAATGACAGCTATAAAACAGTTTATGAAGAATCAACTTGAAGAAGTGAATGACTAGATATGAAAGTTGCAAAAGGAAAGCGAATTAAAAGTAAACCACCATTTTCTACACTGACTGGAGCTTTGCTCCTTGTTAACAGTCATACTCAAACAACAAATTGCATCTGAGCCTGGGTCTTACCCAGTGGCTGTAATTCCTTGCCTAACTGGCTGTCTCTCCTGTCCCTGGTCCCATAAGCCAGTATGACTCACAAACATGTACCTAATAGCATTTAAACTCAAAGCCCAAATACTAGCTTATGTTTCTCGCCATCACCCCAGGACACTTTTGGCTTATTTCTGTCCTACCTATGCTCTGATGAGCTCTGCTAGGTCTGTATTCTAAACTCTAGTCTCATGGAAATACCTCAATTCTAGTCTCTGTTGTTCTAGACTTTTGTTTTTGAGACAGGGCCTGGCTCTGTCACCCAGGCTGGAGTGTCATGGCATGATCTCAGCTTACTGCAATCTCCATCTCCCGGGCTCAAGGCTTCCCACCTAAGCCTCCCAAGTAGCTGAGACTACAGGTACGAGCCACCATGCCAAGCTAATTTTTGCATTTTTTTTGTAGAGACAGGATTTCACCATGTTGCCCAGGCTGGTCTTGAACTCCTGAACTCAAACAATCCGCCAACCTTGGCCTGCCAAAGTGCCGGGATTACAGGCACAAGCCACCACGCCCAGCTCTTGTTCTAGACTTTGAATTTCCGTGTTTATTCCTGAAACGTGCATGTTGGTTTTCCTCTACTCAGGCTTAGCTCAGCCCTACAGTTTCTGATAAAGTTGTTGTTTTGGGTAGGAACAGAACTCTACAGCACAAAGGCTACAGAATTTAATCTCACTTTCTGGTGACTGTGACTGGCTAGGTTGGCCATATCTTCCTCAAGCAAGGGAGATCATTTGTTTCTGTATCACATATCTTTTGAGCGCCTGCTGTTTGTCAAACCCCATTGTAGGTGCTACGAAGTTAGTGAAACACAGCCTTTCCCTTTAAAAATGCTCCTAGAGGAAGGAGAGACCAACACTACCCAATTTCAAACACAAAATTTGACACCAGCATGCACAGAAAGCACATGGAGGATATCATCTTAAATCAGCTTAAAGGTTCAAAGGTGGCTTACTGGAGCTTATAGCACACTACGGCCTTAAACTCCTGGGCTCAAGCAATCCTCCTGACTTAATCTCCCAAGTAGCTGGGACTACAACCCCATGCCCCCATGCCTGGCTAATCTAAAATAATTTTTTGAAAGGGGAAGTATGAGTTTGGTGCAAAAGTAATTGCAGTTTTGGCAAAACAGCAATTACTTTTGCACCAACTTAATAACTAAAGTTGAGGATGGTTGTGTGTTCCTCTAGTCCCAGCTACTCAAGAGGCTCAGGCAGGAGGATCACTTGAGTTTGAGGCTGTAGTGTGCTATAATCGTGCCTGTGAATAGCCACTACACTCCAGCCTGGCAACATAGGGAGACCATGTCTCTAACAAAAAAGTAGGAGTAACTTCATCAAACTTGCAATTTATTTATTTATTGTTTACGTGGAGATGCTAATGTGACAGAACAAACCTGTTATTTAGAAATATTCTGGCAGCAGTGTGGAGGATGAATTAGAAAGGGTGGACTGGAGACTAAAAGATTTCCTAAATGCTATTGCAGTTAGGTCTGGATAAAAGGGATAAAGCCTTCACGATAAAAGGAGCTAGTGAATACGGTGGGTGGGGGGTAGCATCTACCTTTGGTTGATGAGTTGGCACAGGTGAGGAGGGGGTTAATCCCAGGCACCAAGAGAGAAAATAGAGGAGAAAAGAAAACAGGGTGATAAAAACAATGAGTTTACTTTGGGACATGCTGACAGGTAAATAATTGTATACGGAGGTATGAGTTGGAAATAATAAATCTGGTGATTATCAGCCGCATATTAATTCAATGAATCCATCCATGCACATGAGGTCCCCAACATGGAAAGTCTGTAGAAATGAAAATGATAGAGGAAGGAGAAGCACAGATATGTGAATTATGGGAGAGGAAAGAATGAGTCTTGGAAGAGATACCCAAAGAGAAAAGGGAAACAAAGGGAGTGGTTTATACAGAGACAAAAAATTAGCAAGTTTTCAGAAAGAGGGAGTGCTTACAGAGAGATAAGATAAAAAGTGCTGATTGAATTTAACAGTATAGAAGTAAATAAGGCATTTAGTAGAGTGGTAAACATATTGGATTGAAGACTGAATGAGCAGTAAAAAATTGGGGATGATGAACAACAATCAGATATTGTTCTTTTGTGAAATTTGTGAGTGAGAGAGAATGATAGGATTTGTATTGTTTATTTTGTCCATTATCATCTTAGAAGATTGTCTGAAACATCATAGGCTCTTGATATATGTTGTTCTGATGGACTGATTGAGCATCTTAGACTGAGCTACCAATCAAGCCCATCAACAAATTCTGAATTCTCTCAACATTGCTTGGGACCAGGCCATCCCTTCTTTTGCCCAATCCGCACATGGTAAATAGCTACTTGCTCCATGGAGGGCAGGACAGTTTTACCCAGCCCATAGTGGGTCAGGTGAGTTGGTGCCTGGTATCAGAGCAGGCCAGGGGATTACACAGCCCATTTGTCAACAGCAAATTAGCAAATTAGTCTGGTCTTACCAAGTTGACAGATGCTAAGATACTCATCAAAAGTTGGGGGTTACGTAAGCCATCATTCCTAAACAATGTGAAGGTAGATTCAGGACATCAGGCAATTTGATAGACTAGGTTATGGCCGGGAGTCTGAGATACACTAGGGTCTATGAGTTTTTCAAGGGTCTACATACTATTTGAAACCTAAAATCAAACAAATGCCTCCAAAATACCCATCTCCCCAGTGCCAAATTCCTGCAAAATCAAAGTAAATAAATGTTAGATTAAACGTCAACAAAACACAAGATGCTAATTAGCCAATTGTAATTCAACTCGTATATTAGTTCTTTGTTTTTAATTTTTTTTTTTTTTTTTTTTAGAGATGAGGTCTCAGTATGTTGCCCAGGTTGGTCTCAAACTCCTGGCCTTAAGTGATCCTTCTGCCTCAGTCTCCCAAGGTGCTAGAATTACAGGTATGAGCCACAGGGCCTGGCCATATATATAAATTTATTTTGCAGGCTGGGCGTCGTGTCTCATGCCTGTGATCCCTGCACTTTGGGAGGCCGAGGTGGCTGGAACACTTGACCTCAGGAGTTCAAGACCAGCCTGGCCAACATAGTGAAACCCTGTCTCTACTAAAAATATAAAAAGTAGCTGGGAGTGATGGCAGAAGCCTGTATTCCCAGCTACTCAGGAGGCTGAAGTAGGAGAATCTCTCGAACAGAGGTGGAGGTTGCAGTGAGCTAAGATCGTGCCACCGCACTCCAGCCTGGGCGATAGAGTGAGATTCCGTCTCAAAAAAATAAAAATAAAGAATAATGTTGCACATGAATATGGGCAATTGATATGATGCACAGGAGGGCCTGTGTAGTGTGTGTGTGTATACACATATAAAATTTTATGTATATCAGCCAGGTGAGGTGGCTCACGCCTGTAATCCAAGCACTTTGGGAGGCTGAGGTAGGGAGATCTCCTGAGGTCAGAAGTTCGAGACCAGCCTGGCCAACATGGCGAAACCCCATCTCTACTAAAAATACAAAAATTTGCCAGGTGTGGTAGCAGGCACCTGTAATCCCAGCTACTCGGGAGGCTGAGGCAGAGAATTGCTTGAACCCAGGAGATGGAGGTTGCAGTAAGCCAGGATTGTGCCACTGCACTCCAGCCTGGGCAACAGAGCGACACTCTGTCTCAAAAACAAAAAAAAAATTATGATGTTTTAACATGTTAAAAAATCTCTCTGGCTAAGTGGAGACTGTCTCTCCTAGGGCCAGCCAATTCTTAGAGATAGCAGTCTCAGCCAGGAGCACATCTTTAATATGCAGACTAATCAGTCGAGAGCCAAACCTCCTCTATCTGGTTCATAAACCCCAAGAGGCACTATTTCTCTATAGTAATCATCCCAGCACTAGACACCAGGCACCATGTATCTAGTATATTCTAGGTGTACTCTAGACTATAGGCGTGGTTCCTAGTTGCCTGGTATCTAGTGCTGGGATATCTAGAGACTAGATATCTAGAGTACACTAGATACCAGGCAACTAGGAACCACGCCTATAGTTTAGAGTATTCAAATTAGCCAATCCTAAACTTACCCCACTCTGTCTTACCTCTTCCCTTTCCCAAAACTGCAAGAAACGCTCTGTCCTAAACCTTCGCTTGCTCCTGTCTTCAGCATCCTGACCACCCTGCTGTTTTCCATGTGGCCCTGCATGCCATGCCATGCCTCTGTGTCTCTAGGATCTAGTATAATAAACTTTTCTCAAGCCTCTCCTCTGACTTCTCTTGTGAACTCACCAGACTAATCATCCCAGAAAAGAATACAAAACACTCCCAAAAGAAGGACCATCGAAGGCCTATAGGTCTTGAAATGGTTTTGCCATCACCTTGATCCATCGCTAGTGATTTTATCTTAAATTCACCTCTTTCCCAAGGACATGAGCATGTCTAGTTAGTGAAAGATACCTTCACCCATCACCTGGGCTATACGCTACACTGGGTATTCCCTTTAACCCCTGATTATAGTCCTTGTTTTATTAGATACATGTAGCAGTCTTTTTCTTTTCTTTCTTTCTTTTTCTTTTCTTTTTTTTTTTTAAGCAGCATAGTGTTGCTCCATTGCCCAGGCTGGAGTGCAGTGGTGTGATCATACCTCACTGCAGCCTCGAATTCCTGGGCTCAAGCAATCCTCCTGCCTCAGCCTCCTGAGCAGTTGGGACTCAAGGGGGGAGCCACTGTGCTTGGCTAATTTTTTTGTTGGTTTATAGAGATGAGGATGTAATTATGTTGCCCAGACTGGTCTCAAACTCCTAGTCTTGAGCAATCCTCCTGCCTCAGCCTCCTAAGTAGTAGGGACTACAGGTATGAACCACCATGCCCATCCCTATAGCAGATTCTTAATCATTCTAAGGTTTAACATTTTCTGGGGTTTTGTTGTTTGTTTGTTTTATTTGAAATAGGGTCTCCCTCTGTTGCCCATGCTGGAGTGCAGTAGTACAATTATAGCTCACTGCAACCTTGATCTCCTAGGCTCAGGTGATTCAACCAGCTCAGCCTCCCGAGTAAGTGGGATTAGAGATGCATGCCACCACACCCAGCTCATTTTTTGTGATTTTTGCACAGACAGGGTTTCACCATGTTGCCCAGACAGATCTCAGACTCCTGGGCTCAAGTGTAGGGGCCAGCCCCACAGGGTCGGTGGGTCTCTCCCTGTGTACGGCAATGAGAGAGTGTAGAAATAAAGACACAAGACAAAGAGACAAGAGAAAAGGCAGCTGGGCCCGGGGGACCACTACCACCAATGCGCGGAGACCGGTAGTGGCCCCGAATGTCTGGCTGCGCTGTTATTTATTGGATACAAGGCAGAAGGGGCAGGGTAAAGAATGTGAGTCATCTCCAATGATAGGTAAGGTCACGTGGGTCACGTGTCCACTGGACAGGGGGCCCTTCCCTGCCTGGCAGCCGAGGCAGAGAGGGAGAGGAGACAGACAGAAAGACAGCTTACACCATTATTTCTGCATATCAGGGACTATTAGTATTTTCACTAATTTACTACTGCTATCTAGAAGGCAGAGCCAGGTGTACAGGATGGAACATGAAGGCAGACCAGAACATGAAGCACAGCATCACAGGGAGACGGTTAGGCCTCTGGATAACTGCGGGCGAGCCTGACTAATTTTAGGCCCTCCACAAGAGGTGGAGGAGCAGAGTCTTCTCTAAACTCCCCCGGGAAAGGGAGACCCCCCCTCCACTTTCCCGGTCTGCTAAGTAGCGGGTGTTGTTCCTTGACACCTTTTGCTACCGCTGGACCACGATCCGCCTGGTAATGGGCATCTTCCCAGACGCTGGCGTCACCGCTAGACCAAGGAGCCCTCTGGTGGCCCTGCCCGGGCATAATAGAAGGCTCGCACTCTTGTCTTCTGGTCACACCTCACTATGTCCCCTCAGCTCCTATCTCTGTATGGCCTGATTTTTCCTAGGCTATGATTATAGAGCAAGGATTATTATAATATTGGAATAAAAAGTAATTGCTACAAACTAAGGATTAATGATATTCATATATAATCATATCTAAGATCTATATCTGGTATAACTGTTCTTGTTTTATATTTTACTATACTGGAACAGCTCGTGTCCTCTGTCTCTTGCCTCGGTGCCTGGGTGGCTTGCCGCCCACACTCAAGCAATCCTCCCGCCTCAGCCTCTTCAAGTGCTGGGATTACAGGCGTGAGCCACCACGCTTGGCCACATTTTCTGGTTTTGTTATTTCCCTAGAGGACTGCTTGAACTTTATTTTAAGACTGGTGTAAAGGAAAACATTACTTAGCTAGTGAGTGAGCCCAGCTGACCGTCCAGAATCTATATTTCAGCATGGCTCTGTTGTTATTTATTTTTTCATCATGGAGGAAGTAACTTCTGTTTCCTTATTTAAAAAACTGCCTTGAAATGATATATTGTGTAAACATTCACTGAAGTTGGCAAAAATGATTACTCTGTGGGATGAGGATATTAATAGGAAGCATATGATTCCATCAAAATGTAACTTTGGATATGACTAAGAAATTGTACATTTACATACTCAGGGATTTGGATATTCAGTAAGGTGTAATGTTCCTTATTACTTTAAGACTCTAGCTTATTTTATGCCTACTGTTTACCTGGTATATTAGGCTGAACTTACATTGCTATAAAGAAATACTTGCCAAACATGGTGGCTCACACCTGTAATCCCAGCATTTTGGGAGGCCAAGGCAGGCACACTGCTTGAGCCAAGGAGTTCAAGACCAGCCTGGGCAATGTAGTGAGACCATGTCTTAATAAAAAAAACCAAGAAGTTAGCCAGGTGTGGTGATGCATACCTGTAGTCCCAGCTACTTGGGAGGCTAAGGTGGGAGGATCACCTGAGCCCAGGAGGTCAAGGTCAAGGTTGCAATGAGCCATGATGGCACCACTGCACTCCAGCCTGGGTGACAGAGTGAGATCCTGTCTCAAAAAAAAAAAAAAAAAAAAAAAAAGAAAGAAAGAAAAGAAAGAAATACCTGAGCCTACGTAATTTAAAAAGAAAAGAGGTTTAATTGGCTTACGGTTCTGCAGGCTGTACAGGAAGCATGACACAGGCATCTGCTTCTGGGGAGTCCTCAGGAAGGTTACAATCATGGTGAAAAGTGAAGAGGGAGCAGGTGTCTCACATGGTGGGAGCAGGAGCAAGAGAAAGAGAGTGAGGTGCCACAGTTTTAAACAGCCAGGTCTCATGAGAAGTCACTCCCTATTGTGAGGACGACACCAAGGGGATAGTGTTAAACCATCACGTGAAATCCACCCACATGATCCAATCACCTCCCACCAGACCCCACCTCCAACAGTGGGAATTACACAATTCAACACGAGATTTGGGTGGAGGGCTTATATCCAAACTATATCACCCAGTTGTATAATCTCTCATATGGCTCTTTATTATTATTATTATTATTTGAAACGGAGTCTTGCTCTGTTGCACAGGCTAAAGTGCATTGGCACAATCTCTGCTCACTGAAACCTCCACCTCCTGGGTTCAAGTGATTCTTGTGCCTCAGCCTTCCTAGTAGGTAGGATTACAGGTGCCTGCCACCATGCCTGGCTAATTTTTGTATTTTTAGTAGAGATGGGGTTTCACCATGTTGGCCAGGCTGGTCTTGAACTCCTGACCTCAAGTGATCTGCCCACCTCGGCCTCCCAAAGTGCTGGGATTACAGGCATGAGCCACTGCGCCTGGCATAGCTCTTACTATTATTATTTTTTTTTAGAGACAGGGTTTTGCTATGTTGCCCAGGCTGGTCTTGAACTCTTGTCCTCAAGCAATCCTTTCGCCTTGGCCTCCCAAAGTGCTGGGTTTACAGGCATGAACCACTGTGCCCAGACCCAAGCTTTCATTTTATATCATCATTACAAAAATCACTGTTCAAATCCTCTACTTAATGGCCAATCAGAACCTGGGAGAAAATATATGTAATTAATCTATCAGAGAATATGATTGGTCCACCAATCTTGCCTTCAGAAATCCCGTAGAGTAATTCATTTGTCTACCACGAGTATGTCATGGTGTAGAAGCTCTGGCTTTATCCTAAGCAACTGGCTCATACTTCTGTCACAAGCACAGCAAGAGCTGCAAACTATCCACTACATTTTTTTTTTTTTTTTTTTGAGACGGAGTTTCACTCTTGTTCCCCAGGCTGGAGGGCAGTGGCGCAATCTCGGCTCACTGCAACCTCCGCCTCCCGGGTTCAAGTAATTCTCCTGCCTCAGCCTCCGGAGTAGCTGTGATTACAAGCGCTTGCCACCACGCTGGGCTAATTTTTGTATTTTTAGTAGAGACGGGGTTTCACCATGTTGGTCAGGCTGGTCTCGAACTCCTGACCTCAGGTGATCCACCCGCCTTGGCATCCCAAAGTGCTGAGATTACAGGTGTGAGCCACCACGCCCGGCCATCCACCAAATCTTATAAGATACTCAGTATACTTAATAAATTGTAGCATAAAGTGAAAGCATCAAGCACCAAGAGACAATCCAAGCCAAATATGTTGACTGATTTGCTTTTTTATTTTTGAGACAGAGTCTTACTCTGTTGCCCAGGCTGGAGTGCAATGGTGCTATCTCGGTTCACTGCAACCTCCGTCTCCAGGGTTCAAGCGATTCTCGTGCCTCAGCCTCCCAAGTAGCTGAGACTACAAGCGACTGCCACCAGGTCCAACTAATTTTTGTATTTTTAGTAGAGATGGGGTTGCATCATGTTGGCCAGGCTGGTCTCAAACTCCTGGCCTCAAGTTATCTGCCTGCCTTGGCCTCCCAAAGTGCTGGGATTACAGGCTTGAGCCACCGTGCCCGGCCGGTTTGCTTCTTATTATGTCTTTCCTACCTATTTCAGCCCAAATGAAGCTGTCCTTACAGAGTTAAGAGGAATTCTGGACAGAAATATAATTATAATTAATCATTAATCAGGCTGCTCTTCGGCCCCCTTCCTTGTAATCGATAGTCAGTAGCATTAGACGCTGACCATTTGAATCCCCATTGTTACTACAGATAGGGTCCCCGACATTAGAATCATAAGGCTTTTGTTCAAGAATTGCTTAAGATGTTTTTCAGACCCCAAATTCCAGCGAAATAGCTGAGCTAACCAGTTTGAAGACCACCCCCCTACCCCCAGAGGAGCCAAATCAGCCTGAGAACGCAGGTTCTTCCTGTGTCCCATGACTTCATCCTGAACTCTGACCTATCAATGATCTCCACACTTTGGCTCACTCCAAAACCTTTAAAATCCTTAGCCCCAAACTACTTGGGGAGAGAGGTTTGAGGTTTCCTCCTATTTCCTTTTCAGGCAGCCCTGCCATTAAACCTCTTTCTTTGTTGCAACTTGGTATCTTGGTGCATTGACTTGCCATGTGCACTGGGGAAAGATCTATTATAGTTCCATGAATTAGAAGACTGGCCCTTTTCTTTCTTTCCTTCTTTATTATTTTTTTCCTACAAAATGACCAATGCGAAAGTATTTATTAATACATTTTATCTGGTTAAAAGGTTAATATCTATTGTTTGGTTAAAGGTTGTTAGGCAGAAAGAAACTTAAATAAGCAGACTAGAAGTCTGTCCCTTTTCTTTCTTTTCTTTTTCCTTTCTTCTTTTTTTTTTTCTACAAAATGACCAATGCAAAAGTATTTATTAATACATTTTACCTGGTTAAAAGGTTAATAACTATTGTCTGGTTAAGGGCTGTTAGGTAGAAAGAAACTTAAATAAGCAGAAAGAAAGATTGTATGATGATTAAAATTATTTTAAAAGTTTAATATTACAAAATAGCTATTTTATGCATATATGTCTAGATATAAGAATGGACAAATTAACAACCTATTATTTTCTCTCTCTCTTTTTTTTTTTTTTTTTTTTTTTTTGAGATGGAGTCTTGCTCTGTTACCCAGGCTGGAGTGCAGTGGCGTGATCTCGGCTCACTGCCACCTCCGTCTCCCAGGTTCAAGCAGTTCTCCTGCCTCAGCCTCCCAAGTAGTTGGGATTACAGGCATATGTCACTACGCCCGGCTAATTTTTACATTTTTAGTAGAGGTGGGATTTCACCATGTTGGCCAGGCTGGTCTCAAACTCCTGACCTCAGGTGATCTGCCCGTCTCGGCCTTCCAAAGTGCTGGAATTACAGGCGTGAGCCACCGCGCCCGGCCTATTTTCTCTCTTTTTTAAAGCTACCTAAAGTGATGGAAGTAATGAACTCCTTAGATTTCCTCTCCAACAATCCCTCTCCATTCAGATACACCCTTCCTGGCTCTTCTAGTCCACAAACCAGCATCCAGCCCCAGTAAAGATGAAAAAAAGAGTAGATACTTGAAGTACTGGCCTTCCTCTGAGTTCTTGGCCGTGTCTAATACTTGATGCAGTGGGAAGGGCATGTGGCCCAAAGACAGGTTCTGGGTACTTGCATACTGTAGTTGAGTGTGCAAGAGATGTGCCTACCTTCTAGTCTATTTAGGTATTCATGTCTGCTTTATTGCTAGTTCTGTAAACTATAGTAACTCATGCATCCACATCCTGGCCCATAAAGACAATCACCAAGTGTTACCAATACCTACAAAATCTGGGGAAAGTAAGGATGTATCTCCTATTGATTTCATAAAAACAGAATCCTGGCAGGAACAGATGGCACACTTTACCTAGGAAACTTGAGAGGTGTTTAATAAAACAATGTTTGCAAAAGTGAAGCTTAAAGGAGCCAAAAAGAAAGAGTGAAGTGTCCTGGGGCTAGCAACAGCTCAGGAGCTGTCCCATTCCTTTGCTTGAGAAGCCTGGGGGAAGGTGTGATTACCAGGATCAGGAGGTGTTGACTGTAGTGAGGGGGCCACCTTGGGAACTTGTCTGAAGTCACATGTCATCAGGGAGATAGGCACAAAGACTGGCTAGCTTGATGCATAGCAAGCTGTTGTAATCTTTGGACCATGAAATCTGCACAGCAGAAGTAACCACCTTTGATTGCTAATAACATCAAATCTGCCCCTAGGGTTTTAAAGTTGTCATGGTCCATGAAATTTGGTTTCTTTTTCCTTCTAATTGAAATCCTGCAGAGGCTTCATGTATCCTTTATCATAGATGAGATCTGGATACGAAATTAAGCCAAAAGAGATAGAGTACATTGAAATCTGTGAATTACGGAAGTTTGCAAAGACATTAACAAAGATCTATGAAGTTGAACCAGTCTTAGGGGAAAAAAATCAATGATAAAATAATAAAATTAGAAGGAACCTGTGGTGATCATCTACTTGTATTACAAACCACCACACTTATTTTTTCCTAAGAAGGTTTCAGTGACTATTTCTAGTAAGATGTGTCACACTGATTCACACAAAGATGAGATTTCATAAATATGTACCACATAATAAATATGGCAGTAACTTATACAGCAATAGAAACCTGAGCTTAAAATTCCATCTTACATTCCAGGATGCCTCAGTTGTTCCATAGTTGTTTTTTTTTTTTTTTTTTTTTTTTTTTTGAGACGGAGTCTCGCTCTGTCACCCAGGCTGGAGTTCAGTGGCCCGATCTCGGCTCACTGCAAGCTCCGCCTCCCAGGTTCACGGCCATTCTCCTGCCTTAGCTTCCCGAGTAGCTGGGACTACAGGCGCTGGCCACCACACCCGGCTAATTTTTTTGTATTTTTAGTAGAGACGGGGTTTCACTGTGTTAACCATGATGGTCTCGATCTCCTGACCTCGTGATCCACCCATCTCGGCCTCCCGAAGTGCTGGGATTACAGGCGTGAGCCACTGCACCTGGCCTGTCCCATAGTTTTAATTTTATGAAGCTACCACGAATCTTTCTTTGACCCCGTGCCAGCGCTCTCATTCAGGCTTCCCTGAACATTGGCAACTATCGGTTATGAAACAGTGATTCCAGATGAACGAGTGTATGAAAGGTTGTAGTGTACGCTGAGAATTTAAGAACCTAAATTTGAGAAACACTGCTTTGGCCAGTTTCAGAAGATGCCAGTTCTCAGCAAGTACAGGGTCTCAGTAAATCTAAGTGATTATCCTTGACACTGGACACAGAAGTAGCACCCTTCTTATTATAGTCTGTAGGAAGTGTAGACTTTCTACAGGCAGATTAAAGTCCAGCATCCAAGTCTGTACACAGATGTGTACATCTGTGTGTTCACTTGCCCTGAGTCCTGGGGACGAGGTAGGTATTCAGGAAATGACTCCAGTTCATCTGTCTCTGGCTTCTATTGTATTTGTTTGCTCTTTAGTAATTAGGCAAGGAGGGAGGATTGTTCAAGCTCAAAGAGCTTATTCTGTTCCAGAAAATTTGTTTTATAATTTAAAGTGAGAAATATATCTTTCATGATGGAGGATCAGATGTTTAAAAATAGTAAATCAGAAAACAAGTCACCACTAGGGTGTCGATTCCAAGTATAGAAAGGATGCATTGCTTTACATTAACTGGCAGAATAGGAGTCCACAGCTTGTTTCCTCCAGGGGATATTTTGAATTGTAAAATCTGAAAAAAAATAGATGTGATATGTAAAGAAAGTTGTAAGAAATGCTCCTTTTGTCACAAAAGACTGCTTCCTCTTTGGTGAGACGGTACAGTGGTGTGACAAGAAACGTAAGCTCTGGAGGCAGAGTGGCTTAAAACTTAGTAGCTATATTCCCTTGGTCAAGTCACTCGAACCTTCTGTGCCTCGGTTTTCTGATCTATAAAGTGAGGATAATAATAGTACTTGCTTGGTGCGGCAGCTGTTAAGATCATATGAGTTCACACATATGAACACTTAGTACCTGGCACATGGTGAGGACCCTATATGTGTTTTCTGTTTTTATTATTTCTACCATCTGACTCAGTACATATAATCAAGTATATATAAAATTTATTGTTCCTGTTTGTTTAGAAGTCTACCTCCACTAATTATACTGAGAGTTCCTTGTAGGAATAAGCACTTAGGGTATATTTGGCGGAATAAACAATCTATAACTTTGCTGCTCAGGAAGAAAAAGATAGGATTAGAGACATAGCTCTGGAATAATAAATAATAACAGCGATCATTTATTGAATACTTATAATATGCCAAGCAGTTCTAAATGCTTCACATGTATTATCTCATTCAATTTTCATAACAACCCTGATGATGACTTTATTATGCTCATTTTGTAGAGGAAGACAACTGGTACACAGACAGGTGAAGTAACTGCCCAAGGTCACACAAGCAGGATGCCACAGAGCTAGAATTTGAGCGGCCCTGTGGCTCCCATCTGCACTCAAAGATGTCATCATATTATCATAATATTGATGTTTTATAGGGTGGGCTGATATTCAGCCAGTACAACAGAGTGTGACGTTGTCTATTTGGTTGATACCCTGTTCTGATTTAGTTGGTGCTTGGATGATATCAGTTGTTAAATAAATTATGACTATTACTCCTGATTATAGGTTGAAGCTGTGAAAATAAATGAACTCTCCTGGGAAGTGTATTTATGAGTAAACTAATATTTAAGCACCAAGAAAGCAAAGATAGTGTTTTTTTCCCTTCCATATTCTCAGTTCCTAGAAAAGACTGTTTTTACTCAATCTATTGAATGAATGAATGATTAACAGAGGATAACCTTGTAAAACATCTCTATTTAGGGCTGGACAGAGTAAAAGAAGCCTAGAGAAGAAAAATAAGAAGACAAGATAGAGGACAATATATGTTATGCATGTCAAGGAGTTTTAAGAATAATGTGGGCCAGGCGTGGTGGCTCATGTCTGTAATCCCAGCACTTTGGGAGGTAAGGCAGGCGGATCACCTGAGGTTAGGAATTCAAGACCAGCCTGGCCAACATAGTGAAACCCCGTCTCTATTAAAAATACAAAATTAGCAGGGAATAGTGGTGCATGCCTGTAATCCCAGCTACTTGGGAGGCTGAGGCAGGAGAATCTTTTGAACCTAGAAGGCGGAGGTTGCAGTGAGCTGAGATCACGCCATTGCACTCCAGCCTGGGTGACAAGAGTGAAACTCCATCTCAAAAAATAAAATAAAATAAAATAAAATAAAAAAGAAAAGAATAGTGTGGTCAAACACGTGGATGCTACAAATAGGTAAAGGAAGATAATGATAGAAAAGAACCCATGAGTGTCCTTAGCAAAGGGTTTCCAAAGGAGTGAGGAGCAGAAGATAAGGACACAGACTAAAGAGTATTACACTATTATTTTTGAGAAACTTGGCAGAGAAGAAAAGAACACATGTGCCAGGCACAGTGGCTCACCCCTGTAATCCCAGCACTTTGGGAGGCTGAGGCAGGCGGATTGCTTGAGCCCAGGAGTTCAAGAACATTCTGGACAACATGGGGGAGACCCTGTCTCTAAAAAAAAAATTTTTTTTAACTAGCTGGGTTTGGTAGTACATTCCTGTGGTCCTAGCTACTCAGGAGGCTGAGGGGGGAGGATCACTTGAGCCCAGGAGGTCGAGGCCACAGTGAACTGTGATCACACCACTGCACTCCAGCCTGGGCAACAGCAAGACTCTCTCAAAAAAACAACAAAACAAAACAATAGAAAAGGACACATGTGAGTACCACATACCTGGAGAATAGAAGGAAGATGATCTTTTTTATCTGGTTTTTAAAGTTCCATTAGTGACAGTTTGAAAATTCTAATAGATCTTAGGAACCCCACAAAATTATTCTAAAGTTAATCTGATAGAAGAAACATGTGGAACACAAAAAAAATTCTGTAACAGAAGACCAATGATGGGGCTTACCTTTTAGTTACTTGGCCTCCTCATTTCTGTGTTTCTCCTCTACCTCAGCTGGGACTCCGTTGGTCACACACTTGCATTGTTACCAATTGTAACTACTTTGCTTTCAAAATAGTTAATCCATCCTGTGTCTGACAATAACATACTTTTTTTTTTTTTTGAGACGGAGTCTTGCTCTGTTTCCCAGGCTGGAGTGCAGTGGCATGATCTTGGCTCACTGCAACCTCCACTTCCTGGGTTCAAGTGATTCTCCTGCCTCAGCCGCCCGAGTAGCTGGGATTACAGGTGTGTGCCATTGTGCCCGGCTAATGTTTTGTATTTTTAGTAGAGACGGAGTTTCACCATGTTAGCCAGGATGGTCTTGAACTCCTGACCTCGTAATCTGCCCGCCTCAACCTCCCAAAATGTTGGGATTACTGTTGTGAGACACCATGACCAGCCTCTAATAACATACTATTCTTTAGCTTGTTTGTTTAAGCACACACACTCCACTTATTTGATGACCTTATCAAGATGGCTGCTTCATTACCTTTCTGGCTTTTCCCAGCCCACCTTTCTCCATTTTCCTTCTTATCCAGCTCAGAGACTCCTTCCTACCCGAAGCTGCTTTCCTGTCAGTCTTTGCATTGATTCCACCTGCCAAAATTCTAAACCTGGTTAGCCCTAACCATCAGTATTCTCCATGCCTGCACCTGAGCAGCTGAGCACTAGAGACAGTCAAACAACAGATCAGAGACTATAAAATTATAACCACTATAGGCTCACTCCTGTAATCCTAACACTTTGGAAGCCAAGACAGGGGGATTGCTTGAGGATAGGAGTTTGAGACCAGCCTGGACAACAACAACAACAACAAATTAGCCAGGTGCATGCCTGTGGTCCCATCTACTTGGGAGCTGAGGCAAGAGGATCCCTTGAGGGGTTGAGGCTGCAGTGAGCCATGATTGCATCACTGCACTCCACCCTGGGCAACAGAGTGAGATCCATCTCTTAAAAAAAAATACAAACTATGACCACTATAAACTTATAACCAAAATTCCAAATGGGCTCTTATAACTCTACAGTATAGTAAATCTGCTCTAGGCCAGGTGCAGTAATCTCAGCACTTTGGGAGGCCAAGGCAGGTGGATCACTTGAGGTTAGGGGTTTGAGACCAGCCTGGCCAATATGGTGAAACTCCGTCTTTACTAAAAATGCAAAAATTAGCTGGGCGTGTGCCTGTAATCCCAGCTACTCGGGAGGCTGAAGAAGGAGAATCGCTTGAACCCAGCAGGCAGAGGTTGCAGTGAGCTGAGATTGCACCACTGGACTCCAGCCTGGACGGGCTCTGTCTCCAAAAAACAAACAAACAAACAAAATCTGCTCTATTTATCTTGTCAACTCACTATCCCCTCCCCAAGTAGCTGGAGATGGAGATGAGTAAGTGTATTTATTTATTTATTATTCATTTATTTATTTTGAGACAGGGTTTGTTCTGTCATCCAGTGGCATGATCAGGGATCACTGCAGCCTCAAACTCTGGGGCTCAAGTGATCCTCTCACCTCAGGATCTCAAGTAGCTGAGACTACAGGCATACGCCACCACAGTTGGCTAATTTTTAAAAAATTTTTTGTAGAGACAGAGTCTCACTATGTTATCCAGGCTAGTGGTCTCAAATTCCCAGGCTCAACTGATCCTTCCAAGGCTGGTCTGGAACTTCTAGATTCAAGCAATCCTCCGGGATTACGGGAATGAGCCATTGTGCCTGGCTGACAACTTCTTAAAGTTTCTTTTTTTTTTTGGAGATGGAGTCTAGCTTTGTCACCCAGGCTGGAGTGCAGTGGTGTGATCTCGGCTCACTGCAACCTCTGCCTCCCAGACTCAAGCGATTCTTCTGCCTCAGCCTCCCGAGTAGCTGGTGTTACAGGCATGCACCACCACACCCGACTAATTTTTTTGTATTTTTAGTAGAGACGGAGTTTCACTATGTTGGCCAGGCTGGTCTCGAACTCCTGACCACAAGTGATCCACTTGCCTCAGCCTCGCAAAGTGCTGGAATTACTGGAGTGAGCCAACTGTATTCCCATTCTTCTCCTGCAACCCCTATGTTCAATTCATTATCTTCCCTACTTTTACATCCTAATAACTCTCTGGATTCCATCCCCTTCTCTGTATATCTACTATCTTACCCTGATACCATTTCTTGCCTGTCCTACAGTGGAGGAAAGGCAGCATGTGAAAAGAAGAGTGAGATTTCTAGGCATCTGTTCTTTGGTTTGAGTGACTGGGTAAATACTGGAGTCATTTTACAAAATCAAGAATATCTCCTTTTAAGCTGGGCGCGGTAGCTCTCGCCTTTAATCCCAGCACTTTGGGGGGCCAAGGTGGGTGGATCACTTGAGGCTAGGAGTTCAAGACCAGCTTGGCCAACATGGAGAAACCCTGTCTCTACTAAAAATGCAAAAATTAGCTGGGTGTGGTGGTGCATGCCTGTAGTCTCAGCTACTAGGAGGCTGGAATTACAGGAGTGAGCCACCTGTAATCCGAGAATTGCTTGAACAGGGGAGGTGGAGGTTGCAGTGAGCCGAGATCACACTACTGCACTCCAGCCTGGGAGACACAGCAAGGTTCTCTCTCTCTCTCTCAAAAAAAAAAAAAAAAAAAAAAAAAGAATATCTACTTTTTAAAAACTGAGTTTGAATTGCTTCTGCCTTCATGCTTACAGATGTTTTGTAGGGAATTCAATATAATTTTCTTAGGAGAGAGGCCTAATTAAACATGCAGATTTAGAAGATGTCAACATAAAGGTGGTTGGAATATAGAGGTATATATGAGAATTCCTATTGCAAGTGTATATTATGAGATAAAGCCACAGATAGACTCTGGAGAATACCATCATTTAAAGACAAGTAGAGGAAAAGCAAGCATAAAGAAATTGAGGAAGAATAGTCAGGGTTAGGTTGTTTCCACTGTCTCTAGACAACCAGGGAGTGGCCCTTCCCACAGGAAACCAAGGTTACGTGCTATTGTTACTGTGTGTGTTTTTTTTTTAATGGCTATCTTCTTCTAAGGAGGTTGCATGAATATTTAAGCAAATACTTGTTGTGTGATGACACACAAGTATCCTATGGAGAGGCCTACACGGCAAGGAACTGAATCCTCCTGCCCATAGCCATGTGAGTGTTGCATCTTGGAAGCAGATCCTCTCACATGAGCCCAGCTTTCAGAAGAGCAAACCCCTGCAGACAGCCTGACTGAAACCAAATGAGAGACCTGAGTACCACGGTAACCTACTCGCAAACTCCTGATCCACAGAAACTGTGAGATAATTAAATGTGCCTTGTGTAAGCCACTAAGTGTTGGTATAATTTGTTCCACTTTAATAGATCATCAATATGACAGAGAGAAATAAGAGTTTCTGGCATTCAAGTTTCTTTCTCCTTAAGCCACATATCGTCTTGATTTGATAGTTGAGGAAATTAAAGCTCAGACAAGTTAATGTATTTGTCCAGGGTTGCAGTGTTGAAGTGACAGAAGTATGAACATTTTTAGGCTTTCTGACATATAGACAGTGCTCCTTGTACCATCTCACATTGCTTTTAATAATTCCCTTTTCATCATTTATTAAGTGATTGCTGTAGACAGGCAGGTCTTACATTAGCCATTAACATAGGTGCTGGCAATATAAAGGTGAAGAAAGCGAGTCTAGTGGATTAGTAAAAAATAGAGCTATGGAATTATGGAATACTGGAGAAATTAGCTTGATAAGAATAGTGGACATGAGGCCAGGTGAGGTGGCTCACGCCTGTAATCCCAGCACTTTGGGAGGCCAAGGTGGGAGAATCACTTGAGGCCAGGAGTTCCAGACCAGCCTGACCAATATGGTGAAACATCAACTCTACCAAAAAAACAAAAATTAGCCATGGCACACACCTGTAGTCCTAGCTACTAGGTAGGCTAAAGCACAAGAATCGCTTGAACCCAGGAGGCAGAGGTTGCAGTGAGCTGAGATCATGCCACTGCACTCCAGCCTGGGCAACAGAGTGAGACCCTGTCTCAAAAAAAAAAAAAAAAAAAAGAAGAAGAAGAAGAATAGTGGACATGAGAAGAGTCAGATAACAAAACCATGGGAGCAAAGGCAACAGAATAGGTGTGTTTGGCAAGAAAGAAATTAAAAAGATTGAGAAAATTTGTATCTATCTCAGCTATCACTCGAATCAACCCAAATTTATCCTTCCAGTATTATTATGATTGGAGGCATGGAATTATTTAATATGTTATCTATTTCAATTTTTAGGTCCTTCCTGTATTGCTTCATAACTTTATTTCTCACATAGTTTTTTTTTTTCAAATATACTTTCCTTAGAGATGGGGTCTTGCTATGTTGCCCAGGCTGGTCCCGAACTCCTGGGCTCAAGCTATCCCTCCTCCTCAGCCTCCCAAAGTGCTGTGATTATAGACAGCCACCACACCTGGCCCTCGTATAGTTCTTATATTGCTTATCACTCATGTTTTTATGACTAATCTATAACAACTTCTCAAATCCCAAATAAATTCCCAAATTTGAATTTATTTATTCAAATTAGCAAAAAATGTTAATGTACAAATAAAATGACAGATGATAAGTAATTGGAGTATGGAGTGTGAAGGAACATATTCACATATATGACAAAACTACAGATTTTTCTTTTTTTTTTATTGAGATGGAGTCTTGCTCGCATCGCGCAGGCTGGAGTGTAGTGGCACGATCTCGGCCCACTGCAACCTCCACCTTCTGGGTTCAAGCGATTCTCCTTCCTCAGCCTCCTGAGTAGCTGGGATTACAGACATGTGCTACCACACCTGGCTCATTTTTGTATTTTTAGTAGAGAGGGGTTTTGCCATGTTGGCCAGGCTGGTCTTGAACTCCTGACCTCAGGTGATCCACCCACCTTGGCATCCCAAAGTGCTAGGATTACAGGTGTGAGCCACCGTGCCTGGCCAAGGTACAGATTTATATAAAATTTAGCTCTCAGCTTCTTCGAAACCAAAACATATGATAATTTTTTTAAAAAAATGCTTTACATTGTTCTTGTATAATGTAAGGAAACATATCAGCTCATGTGAGAGACTGCCTTCTAACTTTGAGGGGATTTTTTCATATATACATTTTTTCACATATATATGTATATATATACACGTGTATATCACGTATACACACACACACACACACACACACACACACACACACACATATATATATATATATATATACATACATTTTTCAGATGGAGTCTTGCTCTGTCACCCAGGATGGAGTGCAGTGGTGTGTTCTTGGCTCACTGCAACCTCACTGCAAGTAACTCTCCTGCCTCAGCCTCCTGAGTAGCTGGGATTACATGCATGCGCCACCTCACCCAGCTACTTTTTATATTTTTAGTAGAGACGGGGTTTCACCATGTTAGCCAGGCTGGTCTCTAACTCCTTACCTCAGGTGATCTGCCCACTTCAGCCTCCCTGAAGTGTTAGGATTACAGGTGTGAGCCACTGCACCCGGGTCACCCACTATAAATATTTTCGTAAGAACAATTTATAAACAATATCTGTCACAGCAGTTAAAAAATGTATAATCTTCATATGGACAGCTAGCAAGTTCCCAGCTCTTTTCATGCCCCCAAAAGAGACTGCCTTATTGCCACACCAACCCAGGAAGGGCAAGCCAGAAAAATGACCGAGCCAATCTGACTCCATTATGCTGATATATTGATTCCTGGCAGATCTTGAATGCTTCAGGAGAAGAAAAAAAACCACATTAAGTTTTAGTACCATTTCTGCCACGGTATTTTCTCTCTGACCCTGGCCAAGTTGCATGTTTATTTCCTAGTTTTCTCATTGTGATAGGGACGCTATATCTCTATGTGTTCTCCTTTGCTTTCTTTCTTCTTTTTAACTTTTAATTAATATATAATAGATGAAGATGTTTTCAGGGTAAATGTGATTTTTTTGTTGTTTTTGTTTTGTTATTTTTGAGATAGGGTCTCACTCTGTTGCCAAGGCTGAAATGCAGTGGTGAGATCATAGCTCACTGCAGCCTCAAACTCCTGGACTCAAGTGATCTTCCTTTCTTGGCCTCCCAAGTAGCTAGGACCGCAGGCACATGCTACCATGTCTTTTGTGGAGACGGAGTCTTGCTATATTGCCCAGGTCAGTCTGAAACTCCTGGGCTCAAGCCATCCTCCTGCCTCAGCCTCCTAAAATGCTGGGTTACAGGCATGAGCCAACATGCCCGGCCCACATGTGATATTTTGATACAGTCATATAATGTGTAAAGATAAAACAGGGTAATTGGGATATCACCATCTTAAATAATTATTTTTTCTTTATGCTAGGAACATTTGAATTATTCTCTGCCAGCTATTTTAAAATGTACAATAGAGTATTGTTAACTATAGTCACCGGATTGATCTATCAAACACTAGATCTTATTTCTATCTAACTATATATTTGTACCCATTAATTAGCCTCTCTTCATCTCATCCTCCTTCCTACCCCTCCCAACCTCCAGTAACCATCATTCTACTCTCAATCTTCATCAGAACCACTTTTTTAGCTCCCACATATGAGCAACAACATGTGATATTTGTCCTTCTGTCCTTGGCTTATTTTATGTAACATAATGACCTCCAGTTCTATCCATGTTGCTTCAATTGCAGGATTTTATTCTGTTTCATGGCTTAATAATATTCCATTGTATATGTATACCACATTTTTACTTTTCTAATTTCAAATTTTTTAATTTTTTAGAGACAGGGCCTTGCTATGTTGCCCAGGCTGGTTTCAAACTCCCGGCCTCAAGCAATTTTCCCACCTTGGCCTCCCAAACTGCTGAGATTACAGGTGTGAGCCACTGAGCCAGCCCATATACCCCATTTTCTTGATCTATTGATGGATGCTGTGTCCAAACTCCATTTTCATTTTTCCCTAGACATGCAGCTGGACTGTTTCTTAGTCTTCTTCTTAGTCTTAGTTAGTTGGAGCCACATGACTGATTTTTGGTTAGCAGTGATGGCAGTAGCTGCTGCCATCACACTGCCTGCAGGAGGGGCTGCACACTCCAAGGAGCCCGTGGGAGCTGCGCCCCCTTCTGAGTTGAGGCCAGAGTTCCCTGGGTGTTGCTGCAGCTGCCAGAATGGTGGCTGCAGACCCAGGTCTCCTGCACGAAGGAGCCCCACCTCCTGGGCAAGGCTGCAGCTGTCCAAACTGCCACTGTGGATCTGAGCCTCCCTGTGCTCTTGGAGGGGGCCTGGAGCAGACAGGATCTGCCCTCCCAGGTGCAGCTGCAGCTGCCCCACCCATGGCTACAGACCTGGGCCTCCTAATCCACAGAACAGGCAGGAGCTGGGGACAAGTGGGACCCCCACCCCTTCTGAGTTGGTAGTGTGGGAGCTCCCCGGATGCCTCTGCAGCCACCCTCCCAGGTACAGGGCCAGGCATCTCTGCAGCCTTCACCTTCAGGCCTTGGGAAGGCCCCCCAGTCCCTGCAGGCTTGAGGGGATATGCTTCCACTGCCTGGCCTCTCTTCTCTCCCACCACCTGCTTCAATCTCGGGGTGGGGTTGCAGCTGAGCCAGGGACCAAAAATGGCAGTGGGGAGGTGCACAGATTCCTGGGTGGAAGGGGGCGGTCCCCAGTAAGGCCTCTCCTTCAGGCCAGGGAAGCCTTGAAGGCTGGGGGCCCAGCTGCCAGTCCCACAGACTGGAGCGGGGACATGTGGTATCTCCTCTAGGCCCACCCATGGCCAGTCATGGACCAATCGGCAGGCACTTCCTCCCATCTGAGGTCCATAAAAGCCTAGGGCTCAGCCAGAGTAAAGTAGAGGGCAGAGAAAAGCCCTGGGCTCAGCCAGAGAAGGGCAGAGGACAGAGGACTGAGAGAGGACTGGACAACCAGCTGCAAAGAGGAGCTACCTTCTCTGTGAGAGCTTCAGAGACCTGCAGAGACATTGAATGAACTGCCTGCAGAGAGGAGTCACCCTCTCCAAGGTCTTCGCTCTGCTAAGAACAGCAGACAATGGGGCAACCAGTGGGCAGAGAGGAGCTACCCTCTTCAGAGCCTCCTCTCTGCTGAGAGCTGGACACTTGATTGGATGATCTGCCTACAGAGAGGAGCAACCCACTGTGGATTTTCTCTGAGCTGTAACACTCAATAAAGCTCTTCTTTGTCTTGTTCACCTTCCACTTGTCTGCATAGGCAGGATTTGGCACCACTGGCAGTGACACTGTAACATTTTGGGGGCTCATCTGGGATCTCCAAAAGGGTAAGTAAAAGTGGATCTACTTTCTGTCCTTTCTTTTGGAGTCTCTAAACTCCACAATAGTCAAAATGAAAGAAAAATACCAGGCTTCTGTCAACCAGTTAAAAGCAACTAGTGCAGCTGCAGAACTTAAGACATGAAGGACAGGCTTGCTGGGGAGGGACACTGTCAATCCCCCATCAACCTCAGGTGTTGGGAATGTTGGCTTTGTTCTAACCCAATTTCCCTTCATGGAGGTCTAGCCATCTCATGGGACTGGAAGGAGGTCCTGGGGCAACTGAGGGTATCTGGCCAAGGCTACACTTTGGTGTTATTCAAAGGCTCCTGGACTAACTCCAGTCCCCAACTGCCCATTAGGGTGTCCGCACTAGGACCTTCAGCCTTTCCTATTGTTCTTTTCTTTCTTTCATGGCTATCATGGTTCCTATCTCTTTTATATACGATGTTAAATGTAAAGGATGTTGTTGCAAGCCAGAGATATTACTGGGTGGAATGAGCATTTGGCTTGGTCACCAAAGTGTAAGAGTAGCACAGATGTAGCAAAGTGTGTCTTGGTATCTGTATGTAAATTTGTGGTGAAAATGTTCTTGTAATTTACTTGGTTGCCAACTTAGTGCCAAGCACCTTGAGGCACAGAAGAGAAGCCTTGCCTCAGGAAGGAAGCTTTTCTGTAAACATGAGGGCAAAGGGTCCTAGGTCCCTTATGTGCAGGCCTTCTTTGCCTTGCATGTTAACCTGGATCTTTGCCAACATTGTAGGATTGATTCAGCCCTCCTAGTGGCCATCTCAGGAGAGGTTACAAGGGGCAATCCCAAGGAAATAGGGAAGCAAGCCCCAGAGATACCTCTAGGTACCTCTAGAAATCCTCATTTTAGGCAGGTGCCAGTCTCACTCCTGCCCCTACAACAGATGCCTGATGAATATGGCCCTGTTAAGATCCAGGTGCCCTTTTCTCTTCAGGATTTATTGCAAACTAAGGGGGATCTTGGCAGGTTTTCAGATGGCCCTAATAGGTATGTAGAAGCTTTCCAGAAATTAACCCAAGTAACATGGCATCCTGCCATGAGTTCAGTTGGCTATGAGAGTGCAGAGGTGAGCTCCATATTGTCAAGGAAAAACTGGGGGATGAGTTATGCCTTGAAGAAACTAGAGACATTTGGTCCAACAAAACGAAACAACATTTAAAAAAAACTCTCCTATTTCCCCATGGCCAGCCTATTTGTGTTGATGCTTACCATTTCATAATTTCCTCATTTTGTTGTTGCATGGAGTGAAGAGAACTGACATGCTGTCCAATAAACTTCCTTGTCCTCCTTATGCAAGAAAGGAAATCCTGACTTAATGCGTAGCCACAGAACAAGTTAAAAGTGAAATATCTACACAAATTATTTGGAATCCTTCTGTATGAGAAAGGAGATTTGTCTATTTTCCCACATTTATTCATTTATTGACATCAGTATAGACTCATGGATATTTGTTTTATGGTTGGTTTGTAATCCAATGCTACATTATTTATTTTGTTGTTCAAGTTGTTCCAGCTTTGGACTGGGAGCTCTTTCGATTGGCTTCTGTTTTCTACAGCTAAAATTAGTGAAGAGATAATCTTCTGTTATTTCATTTAACCTTCAACCCAACCTTATAAAAATGTCTTTTTGTTATTCTTGTTTTACAAATAAGGGAGCTGAGGTCGAGAGTTTAATTTATGCAGCTGTTGATTGGCAAAGCCAGGATTCGAATAAAAACAGTCTTTAACCAGCATGCTATGTTACTTTCTGTCAATGTCTTCATTCAAAGACCACCAGGAACACACCTGTAGTTAAACAAGTTGTGTTTTTTTTGCAGTGAGGGAAAATGCATGTACATCTCCCCCTTTTCTGTTTTTTGCATCAGGTTTTGTTGATTGAAGAGTACAAATGTGTGCAACAACGGATTTGTCAAGTGTGGTGGTCACTGCTCGCATTCTGGCTTTGCATCCTAGAATTAGTAAATAACATAAGACAAACATGAGTATAATTAGCAACATTCTTTTTCAATCAAGGAGTGACCCCTCCCCCAGGAGTGGGGGTCTGTCTATCCAGGAGAAATGATCTCGCACACCCTTCCATCCTAATATATGAATCTATTGTGAGTACACCATTTCACATTAAGCTCCAAATCGCTGTCAGATTTTTCTTTCATTTGGACAGAGCTATTAATGAGTCACGTAGTTACGCTATTCTTTATGGAGGAAAAGAGTGAATAACCCCTTTTCAGAATATCCTGATGAAGAGAACTTGAAACAACAGAGAATATCAGAGAGGATATGTCCGGTTCATTCTTTTAAGCTACAAATATTTTATTCTATATCAGGATAATCATGAGCATTGAACCCTGACTTCCTGGACTCAAATCCTGGCTTCCCCAAATACTACTTGTGTGACCTTAACTAAATTACTTAATCTGTCTATGCTGCAGTTTCCTTATCTGATTCTGCCACTTACTAGATGTGTGATTTTCAGCAAATCACTCAGTGTCTTGGAACGTTCCTCATCCTTGGGCGCTCCCCTTCGTCTTTGCAGCGCTTGCTTTCGTTGCCTGGCAACGGGACGCGACACCAGGATTGAGCGTTAAGTGCGTGCTTTGGACGAGCGCATTACTGAGGCGGTTTTGACCGTTGGGCCTTGTCATTTGCTAGACTCACCTGGGTCCCCAGTCAGTGCCCGGCTCCTCCTCCTCCACCTCCTCGGGGCGGCACCTGCGGGGCAGGGGGAGCCCCTTCCACAAACCCGGGTAGGAAAACCAAGGTGGAGCGTTGCCAGATTCAATACAGTACCACATGCGCCGTCAACTTTGAATTTCAGATAAACGAGTTACTTTTGAGTACAAATATAGTATCACACAAAGTTATTCGTTGGTTATCTGAAATTCAGAGTTACCTGGGCATGCTGTGTTTATTTGCTGAGTCTGGCACCCCGGCCCGGGCCGCCTCCCTGTCCACTCTGGCTGGGTCTCCCAGGCATGGGCAAGGGACCTCCTTCTACCTCCTGTGGCAACTTCTTCAGGCTGGAGGCAGCTGTCTCTGTGGAAAGGGGCTTTCGTATGTTGAGCCAAGATGCCTATTGATGTATATGACAAATCACACTTAAAACAGGAGAGATGGGTTATTCTCATCGTTCAAGGAAACAGGTGCTGAGCGAGATGGCAATCCTTGCCCGTGTCCTACCGATATGTCCACAATTCCCAGACAGGTCCTGGACTTGGGCCGACCCTTAGGAGGGAAATTTCATACGGAAAATTTTTATTTCTATAATCTATAGCTTTTAAAATTAATAAAATGTCGTTTAATGTCTCTTTGAATATGTTACTTATACTTATTTTCTATATTTTGTCTGTTTTTTTAAAAATAGTTTTTGAGTGTAAAGTATTTCATTTGTTGTATTTATTGTCTCATTTTCATGGTCTTGCAAACCAAAAATGAAGATTTCTTCCCAGGGCAATCAAGGAAGAAGACTTTCACTCAATTATCAGCTCCCAAAGTTGAACTTCGATTTAAGCTATTCCCTGCATTTTCTACATGAGAAAACATTAGAGATAATGGTCCCTTTCTCATGTTCATCTTTCTGGAGCAGCAGCAGGAGTCTGTTCCCATTTTTATGTTATTTCACTTCAAGTGACATTGAGATGTCTATGCAGTATTTGTGTCTTTGGATTATATCATACTGAAGAAATACAGTGAAGATACTGTGCTCTGAAGTCAGTTACTTTCCTCTGTGTGGTTAAGGCAGCAATGCCAACTCGATAGGGAATTAGGTTTATTTGTGCCACTTTGTTTTCAGTTTTAATGACTGTATTTACATATACATGCATACACATTCCTTTCCCCGCTGCTTTGTATTCCTTTCCCCAGTACAAAAGATGGCATACTGTGTGCAATTTCTGCACCTTGCTTTCTTCACTTCACCCTGTGTCCTGGAGTTCACACCCTACTTTACAGAGCTTCCGCATTCTCTTGTATATCTGCATAATAATCCATTGTGTTGCTCTGCCTCATCAGTCCTGAATTTGATGAATATTCAGATGGTGCTCCAGTTTGACTTTTGAAAATAATGGTGCAAATAACCATGTGCATCTGCCATTTCATATTTTTGCAAGCATATCTTTGTTTTGTTTTTGTTTCTGTTTGATACAGAGTCTTGCTCTGTCGCCCAGGCTGGAGTGCAGTGGCATTTTGTATCTTAAAGGTATTTTCTGACTTTCTTGTACCTGGAAGTCTACTTCTCTAGTAAGATTAGATAATTTTTTCTGAATTATTCTTTTAAATATGCTTTCCAGGTTGCTTATCTTTTCTTCTCTTCCAAGAATGCCTGTAAGTCATAGGTTTGGTCACTTTACATAATCCCATATTTCTTGAATTTTCATTTTTTAAAAATTCTTTTTTTCTTTATTTTTATTTGACTGAGTTAATTTGAAAGAGCAGTCTTCAGGCTCTGAAATTCCTTCTTCTGCTTGACCTAATCTATTATTAAAGCTTTCAAATATATTTTGAAAATCTTTAAGTGAATTTTTCATTTTTAGAACTTCTGTTTTTTAGATATCTATCTCTTCATCTCCTGGATTGCTTTCATGGTTTCTTTGTGTTGGTTTTCAAGCTTCTCTTGGATCTCATTGAGCTTCCTTGCAATCCATACTTTGTATTTTTCATCTGTCATTTCTGAGTGTTCATCTTGGTTAAGGTCTATTGATCCTTAGGTGGTGTCACAGCATTCAGATTTTTCATGGTGCAATAATCCTTACTCTGGTTTCTTCTCATTTGGGGAAGCTGACACTTCTTATTTTTAAATTTATTTTCATTTTGATGGGTTTTTTTCCCACTATTATTCCCCTTCCCCTGGGGGCGTGACTGTGGAAATGTTGGGTAGGGTCTTTTGGTTTTGCTTCTATAGATAGCCAGGTGCACTTTACTCTGCAGGTTTTACATTGAGCTGTGCAGTTTGACCTCCAGGCCAGTAGGCGGTGCCACCAGCCCATTTACGAGAGGGTTAATTGCGGTCACTCTGCAGACCTCTTTCTAATAATGGCCATTGTTGTTATCTCTCCCCTGCCCCTGACGTGGCTCTCTCAAAATCCTATTTGGGTAGAACAGTGACCTTTAAAGGGAGAGAAATTGCAAAGAGCCCATGAATTAGTTGAGGAGCAATTAAAAGCCGGCCATACAGAACCGTCAAACAACCCTTGGAATTCGCCCATTTTCGTCATCCCCAAAAAGTCTGGTAAATGGAGACTTTTGCATGCCTTGCGTGCTATCAATGCTAATTTGCAACCTATGGGGCCCCTTCAGTAGGGGCTCCCCTCCCCTGCAGCGATTCCTTGAGATTGGCCTATAATCGTTATTCACTTAAAAGACTGTTTTTATACTATTCCCCTTGCAGAACAGGACAGAGAAAAATTTGTGTTTACAATACCAGCTATCAATAATGAAAGGCCAGCTCACCGATTTCATTGGAAAGTGCTACCCCAAGGAATGCTGAGCAGTCCTACCATGTGTCAGTATCATGTAAATCAGGCTTTGCTCCCCAGTAGAAAAGAATTTCCTAATTGCAAGATTATTCATTTTATGGATGATATTTTACTAGCAGCCCCAACAGAGCCAGTACTTTTAAAGTTACGTGCCTCTGTCATAAGGAATACACAGTTAAGAGGTTTAATCGTAGCACCTGAAAAAGTACAAATTTCCTCTCCTTGGAAATACCTTGAGTATATACTAACTACCCGGTCAGTAAGACCCCAAAATGTTAAATTAAATACTGGCAACTTACATACCTTGAATGATTATCAGAAATGACTAGGTGATATTAACTGGCTTCGCCCAACCTTGGGCATAACTACTGATAAGTTACAGAACCTGTTGTCTATCTTAAAAGACAATGCTGCCCTAGACTCTCTAGGTATTTAACTCCTGCAGCACAAAGGGAAATTGAAGAGATAGAGCAAGCTATTTCTTAGAGGCAACTAGATTGCATTGATCCATGGTATTCAGTTCAATTATTTGTTTTTCCCACTAAACACACCTCTACAGGGCTAATAGGACAGATGACCCCAGGGCTGTCCTAGGATGGGTTTTTTGCTCACATACTGGGACTAAAACAGTCTCTCCCTATATCCAGTTAGTTAGTAAAGTCATCTATTTAGGCTGCAGACAAGGCAATCTATTACTAGGTTATGACCCTAATATCATCAGAATTCCTTTAAGTAAAAAGCAATTTGAAGCAGTATTGCCCTTATCTATGGACCTGCAAATAGCACTCTCTGATTACACAGGCCGTATAAAGCACGCCCTTCCTGCTGACAAACTCCTTCAGTTCTTATCTCGTACTTCTGTGCTTTCGCCTACAAAAATAGTTCAATCCCCCATACCTAATGCTTTAACACTGTTTATTGATGGCTCTGGTAAAGATGGAAAAGCAGCTGTCTGGTGGAGATGGCATAATTCCCTCACTTGTTCTGGATTTATTAGCACTCAAAAAGTTGAGGTTGGAGCCTTAATATTGGCCTTGGAAACTTTTTCTGCTCAGCCCATCAATATTGTTAGTGACTCTGCTTACTCTGTTTAATTTATTGCAGAACCTTTACACAGCCCTTATTAAGTCCACTCTGGAGCCCACCCTGTGTGCACTTTTTCTCTGACTTCAGCATTTCCTAGGTCAACGTACACATCCTATTTTTATCACACATATTCGAGCCCACAGCTCACTGCCTGGCCCATTGGCATATGGCAATGATCAATCAGACCTACAGGTTAAGACATCATTGCTTGACCAAGCCCCCCAATCACATCAATTTTTTCACCAAAACTGGAGAAACTTATCTAAACAATTTCGACTTTACCCAGAGACTAGCTAAACAAATTATCCTACGATGCCCAGATTGCCAGCTCACAGGTACATCCTCTCCTTCAACAGGTATTAACCCTAGAGGACTAGAACTTAATCAGTTATGGCAAACAGATGTTACACATATCCCTGAAGTTGGAAAACTTAGATATGTACATGTATCCATTGATACCAATTCTCAATTAACGCTCATGCCTTTCCTGTAGAGTCCACCCGATATGTCATTAAACATCTTCTTTTAACTTTTGCATTTACGGGGTGGCCCACAACAAAGAAAACTGACAATGGTCTGGCTTATGCCAGCTCACAATTTCAACAATTTTGTCACACGCGGAACATCCAACATTCCACAGGCATCCCGTATAACCCCCAAGGACAGGCCATAGTAAAATGTATCCATTCCATCCTTAAAAATATGCTCAGAAAACAAAAAAGTGGGAATATGAGTAAGGACCCTGCAACACTACTAGCACAAGCCTTATTTACCCTTAACTTTTAAAATTTAGATGATAAATTTTAATCAGCTGTAGAAAAGCACTTTGCTAAAACCTCTCAAGATGTAAAACCTGCAGTTTTATGGAAAGACGTAAACAGTAATATATGGTGTGGTCCAAATGAATTGTTAACGTTGAGGAGAGGATATGCTTGTGTTCACATTCCCTCGGGTCCTCTCTGGATTCCAGCACGACACATCAAAGCATACCGTGGCGTGGCTAGGACCCAACCCAGTACCAGAAATGAAGAAAATGACCCTACAGGACCAACAGCCCTGGATGATGCAGCTTCCTCGGATGACACACGCCTCAGATATTACCTAGGGGATCCTGAAGAGGATAACTCAGGAGGCCGAGCAAATCCTGCTCTGGACACAGACACCATTCACTCCAGATAATTTGTTGCTTACTATGCTCTCTGTTGTACATCACAACTCGCGTAGTGTATTGATTCTTTTTATGCTCTCACTTTGTCTTTAACCTGTACCTGCTACACTCTGTTGGGCTCATATCTTAGATACGGCTTTCTTTTGCCCTGCCACCTGGGCAGACACCTGCTTCCCAGCCTCTAATAACATAATTGCTTGGCTGGGAGGGATAGATTTACCCGCAGTGGGGGTCCCTCATTAATAGCACACATGGGACTAAGGTGCCAGGTAACACTACATATCACTCTGCTATCCTCCCACTGCATGCAAATGATAAAAGTTCTAACCCTTACTGTGTACCTGCCCAAACACAATTATGGCTACATCATGGCAAAGGAAATGCCTTAACAGCCTTAGTTCCAGGTAGCCTCAAACTGGCAATGCAATCAATACCACTCTCCCAAACATTCCTGCCTGTGCTAAAGAACAAAGCCAGGAAAATAATGGATTCCACTTTAGCTGGGAGGTCTGTCATGGGGAACAGGCTCGTAGCCTCCAGTTAGGCAATTATAACATTTTAGACTGGAACCCCCACAGCCATTTGCAGGGCGATCGTACTGATGTCTGCGTCTATCATGGCATCATGATAGTTTCATAGCCAAGTCCCATTCCCCTATAATTTGGGCTGAAGGGGGGATGGGATATCTCAGACCCCAAGTAGAGTCCGTCCCACCTCAAGACACTTTATGGCACCTGGGACATCTCAGCACACCCCTTACCATCTGGTGTGGGACGTATCATAATTCTAGTCACAACTATACTATGACCGTTTTCCATAATGACACTGATCAGTGCCTGATTTGCACTACCCATCCATATGTTTTCCTTATGGGAGCCAATATTTCTATTACACCCCAAAACTCCACGTTTGTGACCTGAGTGCAGGGACAGGCTTGGTTTGCCTCTTGTATCTCTAATTATATCTAATTTAAATATTCCTAATGTCATGGTATTGAGGAGACAATCTGAGGCTTTCCTACTAGTCAGTTTAACACATGATTGGCAAGGTTCCTCTGCCCTTGACACCTTAGAACGTGCCCTGTTCCAGGTCAGACACAAGAGATTCACAGTTACACTTGTAGCCTTTATAAGTCTCAGCCATAGTCATCCTAGCAACTGCTAGTGTTGCTGTAGCATCTATTACTGAACCAGTACAAACAGCTACTTTTGTAGATGGTTTGGCCAGAAATGTGTCTAATGAACTTCTTTTACAGCAGGGTATAGATAAAAAGATTCTTCACATCTGCAAGCCCTCAAGGCTGGAGTGCAGTGGCACAATCTCGGCTCACTGCATCTCCACCTCCTGGGTTCAAGTGATTCTCATGGCTCAGCCTCCAGGGTAGCTGGGATTACAGGCGTGCACCACCAGGCCCAGCTAATTTTTGTATTTTTAGTAGAGATGGGGTTCACCATGTTGGGCAGGCTGGTCTCGAACTCTCAATCTCAAGTGATCTGCCTGCCTCAGCCTCCCCAAATGCTGGGATTGCAGGTGTGAGCCACCGCATCCGGTCTCGAACAGAAATTCCTTTTTTTTTTTTTTTGAGATGGAGTCTCACTCTGTCACCCAGGCTGAAGTGCAGTGGTGCGATCTTGGCTCACTGCAAGCTCTGCCTCCCAGGTTCACGCCATTCTCCTGCCTCAGCCTCCCAAGTAGCTGAGACTACAGGCGCCCACCACGACACTCGGCTAATTTTTTGTATTTTTAGTAGAGAAGGGGTTTCACCGTTTTAGCCAGGATTGTCTCGATCTTCTGACCTCATGATCTGCCCACCTCAGCCTCCCAAAGTGCTAGGATTACCGGCATGAGCCACTGAGCCTCAAACAGAGATTTCTTAAAGTGGATCCATTACCTACAGTAGCATGCTCCAACTTCATAACTGTTTTTAATCTTACAAACTCCATGAACTTTGTCTATGGTCTCTAATCAAGCATAATGTTAAATTTAGATGTAATTGGCCTTACAGTTTTCATGTTCACAGTGGATTAGATACAGCAGGTCTAAAGAGGTTGAAGGGAAAAAAATATAAAAACCAAAAAGTGACATTAGTGAAAAGAAAGCCGAAAATAGTGAGAAATCAAAATATACAACTAAGTCTGGAATTAAATAGTCAAGGAAAAAACAATCATATACATGTCAGTATCCATTGCACTGTATTTCTAAACTGTGTTCAGAAAACATCTTTTTACAACAATGACCCTACGTGATTAAGAAATCTCAAATTATTTTCAGCATATTCCGATTAAGAAAGTATGAAAATGAATATCATTGTTAGGAAGATGTTTGCTACACGTATTAAAAGTACCAATGCAAAGCAAAATTTTAAAACATCTTAAAATGGTATTTAAAAAACTCACCTTAAGAAAAAAACTTCAGTTTCTGAAAATGGATAAACAAGAACGAGAAAAGCATCCCTTGACATCTGGGAGCTAACGTGACACTCAGAGGACCTCTCCATGGCCTTGTCCTGTGCAGCAGAAAACTGTCACAGAACACCAACTTCAGACAAGGAGCAAGATGAAAACAAGACTACTTCGCAATCATGGACACACAATAAAAGCAGAAAAGCATAAACATTTTTCAAACCACCAAAATGACCACACATCTTCCTATTCTGACTACTATGGGTTAGTGTTGTTTCTTTACCAAATAAAGCTTCAGACTTCTTGTAGTTATTCTTCCTTCTAGAAAAGATTTATCAAGATACTCAATGGTAGAATTAGTCTCATTTCCTGACAGCAACTGCATTAGTCAAGGCCCTCCAGAGAAGCAGAGTCAATAGAATATAAAGAGATATAGAAAAGGAAACTTTTTAGGGGAATTGACTCACATAATTATGGAGGCTGAAAAGTCCCATCAGCTGCCATCAGCAAGCTGAAGAATGAGGAAAGCCAGGGGTGTGATTCAGCCTGAGTTTGAAGGCCTAAGAACAAGGGGAGCTGATGCTGTACTCTCAGTCCGAGGCTAAAGGTCTGAGAGCCCCAGGGCTGGGAGGTAGGAAAGTCTGGTCTAAGCCTCCAAGTCCAAAGGCCCAAGAAACCAAAGCTCCATGTCCAAGGCCAGGAGAAGATGGAGCCCCAGCTCAAGGAGAAAGAGAGAGTAAATTCCTCCTTTTTCCACCTTTTTGTTCTACCTGGGCCCTCAGCAGATTGGGTGATGCCCACTCACGTTGGTGAGGGTAATCTTCTCCACTCAGTCTACTGATTGAAAAGGTCATCTCCTCCAGAAACACCCGCACAGACACACCAAAAATAATGTTTACCAGCTGTCTGGGCATGTAATTCAGTCAAGTTGACACATAATATTAACCATCACGGCATCCAATCCAGAACAAAACCCTGCTTGTTTAAACCCTCTCCAAACTACCTAACATCAGCCCAAATCCTATAATAAATTATTTCTAACACCCTCTTATGAAGCACCACAAGGTCCTCCATGGCATGCATTTTCCCTCACTGCAAAAAAACACAACTTGTTTAACTACAGGTGTGTTCCTGGTGGTCTTTGAATGAAGACATTGACAGAAAGTAGCACAGCATGCTGGTTAAAGACTGTTTTTATTCGAATCCTGGCTTTGCCAATCAACAGCTGCATAAATTAAACTCTTGACCTCAACTCCCTTATTTGTAAAACAAGGATAACAAAAATACATTTTTTGTAAGGTTGGGTTGAGGATTAAATAACAGAAGATGATCTCTTAACTAATTTTAGCTGTAGAAAACAGAATATCTAACCAAATTGGCTTTAAAAATAAATGTTAAAAACCTGTTAACATTTATCTCACATTACGTTAGTTTAAGATGGCCTGAGAGTTTGATGGGTGGTTCGTTGATGTCAAATGAATCCAAGTGCTTCACATCTTTCCACTGTAACCTCATCCTGTGTCCCGAGTGCTGCCACGTGCATGGTTGCAGGATGCTGTGGCCTCAAGTGTCACACCTGCAACACTTCAGTCTTAAAAACTAGGAAGTAAGGAGGACAGCAGCCTTCTCTTACATCTTTCTGTTTTGGGCAGAGAGAAAACCCTTTTCCAGAATTCCTACCAACAAATCTTCCCCTTTTGTCTCCTTCCTGAGAGTCAACATTGTGCTAGCTCCAAGCTGGGATTCTAGAGCTGCATTGTCTGAAATAGAATCCTGGCTCCACCGCTGACTGACTATGTGACCAGGGCAAGTTACTTAAGCCTCACTATATGTTAATTTTTCACTTATAAAATGGGAATAATAGTATCCACATCAAGAGCTGATATGAAGATTGATTACATATGTATGTATATATGTGACAGAGCGCTTAGAACAGTGCCAGACACATGTTAAGTGTGAGTGCTAATTCTTATGATGTGCTATGTCACATGGTCATTCATACAAAGGAGGCTGTGAATGGATGTACGTGGCCTTTTTAGCCTCTTTCTTAGAAGGGAGGCTGTGCTAACAAAGAAGAAATGGAAATGAAAAAGGTTCTTGCATAGGCCAACCGTGTATGCCACTACCTGTAGAGTATTTTGAAGAGTGCTTAGCACAGAGTAAGTTCTAATAAATAATCTTCATTATTTGTCATAATAGTCTTTCCTCATCAAGTGACAAAATACTCTGGAACAAGTGAGCATTTAATAAATAGATCTCCAAATCCAGCAACATTAATGTACTCCTCCTTTATGTGGCCAGCCACATTCCTGCACCGCCCTGCAGACTCCGTGGACACAAGTGGCTATGACTCAGTGGCAGGAAATGATGCCACATGATGCCTAAGGATGCAGGGAGGTCATTAGGCTCAAAGAAAGTGTTTTTGCAGGGACTTGTCCCCATCTGTGGAGATGTGCTGAAGGCCTTACTCCTCCTGCTCAGGCACCTGCCTGCTCAGGCGAGGCACCTGCTATACTTACTCTGCCTCTATGGGGGCCGCCACATTGCTATAGCAAATGGTCCCCAAAAATATCCACTGAGGGAAGAAGCAGGGCAGCTTTCTCTCTCAGTCATCAGTGTTGGTCTGTTTACTCAATTTAATTTCTGAATTTTCTTTATCTCACTATTTAGGTTGCTTGCTCAGCAAATTCCTGATCTATGACTCAGACTCCAGGACCTCAGACCATTGTCTTGAGCTTCAGGCTCTGATTAGTTCATCTCATAGAACTATTTTATTGGTTAAAAAAAAATAGCACACTACGGTGGAAAGCACACTTGACCATCTAGAGTTATGGATTCTAGCTATATCTGGACCACAAATTAAATGTGTGATTAGGTTAAATTAGTTATTCTTTTTTTTTTTTGAGATGGGGTTTTGCTTTTGTTGCCCAGGCTGCAGTGCAGTGATGCGATCTCGGCTCACTGCAACCTCCGCCTCCCAGTTTCAAGCAATTCTCTGGCCTCAGTCTCCCAAGTAGCCAGGATTACAGGTGCCCGCCACGATGCCTGGCTAATTTTTATATTTTTAGTAGAGATGAAGTTTCACCATGTTGGCCAGGCTGGTCTTGAACTCCTGACCTCAGGTGACCCACCCACCTCGGCCTCTCAAAGTGCTGGGATTACAGGTGTGAGCCATCACACCTGGCCAAATCAGTTATTTTTTATTTTATATTTATTTTATATTTTATTTTATATTTATATTATTATTAAAATGATGAGTTCAAACCTGATGAACAAAAGTTTTCTTATTTCTCTATAATTGTAACCTTTGGAGTATATTGCACTCAGTTTTCTAAGGGTCTAAAAAGTCCAGAAACTCTCCGCAGAACTGCGTGTCTCTTGGTTACTTATTAGATAATTTATCTTAAAACATCTGGTCCTCTATTTTTTAAGTACTGAAAAACATAAATTAGGAATATCTGGGCAATATTAACAACTACAACCAAATCTTTGGATTTCTGAGTAATTATAAATTATGCAAAATCTACTTAACTTCATGTTTACTGAACAAAACATTTCGGAAGGTCCGCTCAGCAGGTAAGTCATTAGGCTCATCTTCAGGTAATCAATGACAAACTTATAAATATAGGACATTCAAATTCTTGCATTCCTGGGATAGACATCCACAGAATAAAAAATTTCTGGGTGCAGTTGCCTCAATCCACCTGTCAGAGTGAATTTAATCCTACCACTAATCCACTTCTCTTGGTCTGAAAGACTTCTCTAAAATATAATAGCTGAAAATATAAAAGGAAGTCTTCGTTAATTTCTAACAAAATCATGCCTCATATGAGGTCATGGAGGTAGGTTAGTAGGAAGGACAGATGTTACATAGTAACAAGAAACAGTTCTCTCTTAAGGTGAGCTAACTGTGGTGATCCACCAGAGGCGGTGCTAGAGGGTGCCTGGCAAACAAATGGACACGGTATGATAGAGGGTCTTGGTTGAAGCATCAGATGTGGACCACGAGAACAGTGACAGGGAGCAGGTGCTACTCTAACAAACTTTAGCAACTTTCTGATTGTGCTGAGCAACAGGTCTCCTAACACCCCATTGAGACCAGATGCCAAAGTTGGCATCTCCTAAAGGCAATATTGTTTTTATTGCTATGATAAAAAGTTCACGTTCATTCATTAATATTGTTATTACTTTTCTCTCCTTTCACTCGCAAACAGAAATTACAGGCCTTGAGAAGTTAATGGCCTCTGGCTGTGCACCTGCCTCCAATTAGTACCGAGGCAATAGGTGAAAAATATGTTTGGAAGCATGCAAACCTCCAGGGGCTGGTTAATGCCCTATTAAACCTGATATTTTAGAAAAGTTCTGAGCCATGGAGTTGTATTCTGTTTTTGGATTGTCAACAAGATCAACACCTCTGGCAGTTCAAATAATTGCCTGGCCCAAGAGGCTGAATAAATTAGAAAAGTTAAAAAGAAGTAAAAAGTAACGCTGACAAGTTCCTGCAAACAAAATAGCCTTTCAGGCTCACTGATATGACAAACTGAGCCTATGAAGAGCAGCAAAATTAAAAATCAAACTGCAGATTTAAAACAGAATATTTTGTTTTAAAAGTCTCCACAATAAGCTTTTTAGAAAAGATAACTTTAGAGTTATAAAAGAGTTGCAAAAATAGCACAGACTTCCCTTCTGCCCTTTATGCAGTTTTCCCTTATGTTAATATCGTACATAATAATAAAATAATAATATTTTACATATTGTACATAATAATAAAATAAACGAAGGAATTATCCTTGGTATGATACTCCTAGTAAATATAGAACTTTTTTTGAATGTCACCAATTTTCCCATCAGTTCTCAGCTTCAGGATCCAATCCAGGATTGCACTTTGGATTTAGTTGTCCTGTCTCCTTTGTCTCCTCCAACCTGTGATGGTTCCTTAGCTCTTCCTTGTCTTTGTGACTCTGACACTTTTGAAAGGTGCTCATCAGTTATTTTGCAGAATGCCCCCTCAATATGGGTTTGTCTGAGGTTTTCTCATCAATAGATTGAGCTCAAGCACTGTTGGGAAGGATGCCACAGATTGTGTGCTCTTTCCAGTGCACCCTATCAGGACGTTCTTGATGTGGATATATATGTACTTTGGTTATTTTAATCTTGATCACTTTACTAAGGTCATGAAAAACGTTTTATCGTTATTTTTGTAGGTGAAGAAAGAGAGGATTAATGAGAAAAACAAATTAGACGGCATAGCCTAGATGCAGAAAGTCTAACTCCAAAATTCATGAACCTTCCAAAATTTACCATGTTGTCCCTCTTCACTTGGAACTCTAGTGACACACAAAGATGTATGTTTTTTCATTTGTACTTCCTCTGCTAAGATCTCTAAGTGAGGGGAAAGGACTAAGCCGTTGTCTATTATTTGTTTCCGTGTTCTTTCAAAGCTCTAGAAAATACGTGAGCATAATTCAAGTAAAAATGTTGGAAGCTTAAAATTTGTGGTCTGTTGGTGTATTAAATATTAAATATCAATGTCATGTGCTTTCTCCTGAGCCAGACATACGTTTTCTGAAGGTCTTGGACAAATATAATTTTGAGTAATGGTTAACAAAAAAATAACAATGCTATGAATGTGGGTATTAATATCTTCATTATTGAGATATCTGGACATTGACAGACTGAGAAACAAGATTTTCTAGAAAAAATTTCCAACAAAAATTTCCAGAGAAAGTTCAAAAATTTCCAGAGAAAATCACTCATAATCTTGAGATAATGATTGTGTTAGGCTCTAATAGTGGAAAAATGGAATAAATTTTCCTTACTCTGTCTCACTCCCCTTTCTCTCCACATCAATTCTATACTTGAGATAACTATGTCCTTAGAAATGTGTCACATATAATGGACCTTATATTTTGTTGGAAAGAATTTTAGTCAGTATTGTAAAAATATCATCCAGAATAATCTAAATATCTGGTATTTGGGGCTGGGGGCGGGGGTAGGGTTGAACTCTTTTTATTATTGTTATTAAAGAATCCACTTCTCTGCTTGTCATGATGCCCAGGTTGAGTTGACAGCAATGAGTTCTGGAGGTTGCTACATCCACTCTAAATTTTCTGATTACCATCCCTGTCTTCTCTCTCGACCTCAGCCGAAAGCCCGGACTCATGAGGCCTCACTCCCTGCCCTCCTATTCCTAGAAAATCACAAGGCAACTATGTAGGAGGCTTTCTCAGAGGAGAAAATGACTTTGTCCTCCCGGAAGTCAAACCCTCCACTTTGCATCATGAGGCAGATAGCAACCCCAAAACATAGAGAGTTTGAGGCCTGAGCACTCCTCAATGAAAAGCTAACTGTTTGGTATGCTAAACATAAAATTGCTTTCAATTAATTTGTATCTGCTTTTATATTTACCCATACCTAGAATAGATTTATTTGAATGAGCTAATATATGAATCTATTGTGAGCACACCATTTCACATTAAGCTCCAAATTGCTCTCAGATTTTTCTTTCATTTGGACAGAGCTATTAATGAGTCATGTAGTTACGCTATTCTTTATGGAGGAAAAGAGTGAATAACCCGTTTTCAGAATAACCTGATAGAGAGAACTTAAAACAACAGAGAATATCAGAGAGGATATGTCTGGTTCATTCTTTTCAGCTACAAATATTTTATTCTATATCAGGATAATCATGAGCACTGAACCCTGACTTCCTGGACTCAAATCCTGGCTTCCCCAAATACTGCTTGTGTGACCTTAACTAAATTATTTAATCTGTCTATGCTGCAGTTTCCTTATCTGTCAAATGGGAATAACAACAGTAACTACCTCAAGTGTTGTAATGAAGATTAAATGAGGAAATACATGTAAAACATCTAGAATAGTTACACACAGAGTGGCCATGCATCCTAGCTGGCTTGGAACAGTCTTCATTATTTCCATCATTCTGGCATAATTATTAATAGAGCCTTCTCTTTACTCTCAAAAGTGCCCCACTTAGAAATATAAATTACATAATCATCCTAGTTACAAAGCACATAGTAAATGCTGTACAAACACTAGTTATTATTGTAACTTTGTTCTAGGCATTGGAACTAGAGCAGAGTAAGTGACCACAACAATAAAACAATCCTGCCTTCATGGAGTTTGCATTCTTTTTTTTTTTTTTTTTGAGACGGAGTCTCGCTCCGTCGCCCAGGCGGGAGTGCAGTGGGGCAATCTTGGCTCACTGCAACCTCCGCCTACCCAGGTTCACGGCATTCTCCTGCCTCAGCCTCCTGATTAGCTGGGATCACAGGCGCTCGCCACTACGCCCAGCTAATTTTTTTGTATTTTTAGTAGACATGGGGTTTCTCCATGTTGGCCAGGATGGTCTTGATCTCTTGACCTTGTGATCCACCCGCCTCAGCCTCCCAAAGTGCTGGGATTACAGGCTTGAGCCACCGCGCCTGGCCCAGAGTTTGCATTCTAGTTGGAAGAGACAATCAATAATCAAAATCAGTTGGTAAAATATGTATTAGATGATGATAAACACTGTGGGGTGCAATAGCAACTAAATTCCTGGAAACTGCTTCAAAGCCTATTGTCTTGGATGTGTCAGTATGATCGTTCAACTTTTCTGAACAGAGAAATATAATAGGGTTCGCGATTAAACAAAAATGTTATTCTCAGGACCTGACTGCTAGATTGAGTGAGAGAAGGAGCCAAGAAAGTTGTGAATAGAACCAGTGTGAAGTCATCACAGTAAAAGATTCCTTCCAGATGGGAGACTTCTCACAATGTGTAATCTGACCCTGCCCCCCCGCCCCCCACCCCACCAATGACCAATTCTGTGGTAGACTGTTGGTTATATTCCAAAATCCATTTTTCCTTCTTCTTGACAGTCGGCCACCCAGGTATAGACCCCATTTTATGATTGAGTGCTTTACAATATCTTAGTAGAGAAACAAATATAATCTTTTCCTAAAAGGAAAGAGTTTGTCCTGCTTTCTTCTATTTCAGTTTCCTGTGGGCTGGACATGGCAATGACTGTGCTTTGACCAGTAAGACAAAATGCATTAAGGTGGCCTTTCTCAACATGGCTCCCAAAGAATTCCCTTAGGAAAATTATCTGAGTGACCATTTTCTCAATTCTCTCAAGAACAGTACATAGTTGCTACTACTTTATGTGCATGGAAAATAAGTTAATGCATCACATCACATAAAATAAATGCATGGGACATTAGGGCTTAATTCTTTCCCAGAATAGATTAAGGAGAGATGGCAGAACTACAAGGTGGAGGGAACCTGAATCCCTGAATTACCTTGTGGAGCAAAGCTACCTAGCCAGTCTAGACCTGCTACACATATCATTAGTCTTAAGGAAAAATAACATTTTTATCTTAATTAGTCCTCTGTATTGATGTATATTTTTGTTATAACAGTATAGCATTTATTTTCACTTCTATATATCCCTTCTTATCTCTTTTAAGGAGAATACACCTTATTGCACTGAAGTACATTGGGCTAGGGTAGATTGATTGTTAGCTCATAAGTGGTTTGGATACTTAGGTATTTTTACTCTCAATCAATGATTGATTTTGAATGATGACTGAGTATGGACTCTGAATCTAACTTGTTCTCTAATAAATCACAGCAAGATGGAGAAAGTAACTTACTTGTTTCTCTTACCCATCTTCTTCTTCAGCAACACCTCCACATTTGCCCCCAGTGATAGGCCTTGGTAGCTTAACTGGTTGTGATATCATAGGAAATGACTGCATGCATGTAGAAGGATGACAAAGATGGAGAATAACCAGAGTGCATAAGAGGGTAAGATGGAAGGTATGAGGAAGTGGTGATTACCAGAACAGAAAAGAGAGAAAAAGTCAAAAGGGAGAAAGGGGAGGAAAGCAAACTAAATCTCAGGAAACATTGTGAAAAAATAGTGAGAAGTGAGAAACTCTTCCAGCATAGTAACTGTATTCAACAGGTATGTCTATGCTGTGGCAACAAATAACTTCAAAGTCTCAGTGGCTTAAAACCATAGGAAATGTATTTCTTGCTCACACTACATATCCAACATGAGTTAGGGGTAGGAGGTGGCATAAAGCTGTGTTCCATAAAGTCATCCAAGGACTTGGATTAACGAATGTTCTATTATCCCTCGGCACCAATATCTCAACAGGATGCTTCATATTTTGCTGCAGTTAGGTAAGTAAGTATTAGAGGGCATATCACCAGAAATGAAATTATCTTTTTGGGGGGTAAATACCCAGGAATGAAAGGAATGGGTCATGTGTATATATAATTTTAGGTGTATGTTTAACTTTTTAAGAGACCATCAGATGGTTTTGCAAAGTGGTTGTACCATTTTACACTCCCAGCAACAACATGTGAGAGTTCAGTTGCTCTACATCCTTTCCAACACTTGGAATGGCCAAACTTTTAAATTACGCATTCTAATAGATACATGGTGAAATCTCATTATTGTTTTGATTTGCTTTCCCTGGCAACTAATGATGTAGAGCTTCTTTTCATGTACTTATTTGTCAGCAGTATATCTTTCTTGAAGTGTCTAGTTCAAGTCTTTTTCTCATTTTAAAAATGGCATTGTTTACATTCTTCTTATTGAGTTCTAAGAGTTCTTTATATATTCTAGGTACAAGTTCTTTATTAAATATGTAATTTGCAAATATTTTCTCCCTGTGTGGCGCTTATCTTTTCATTTTCTTTTTTTAATAGTGCCATTTGAAAAGCAAATATTAACGGAAATACTTTTTTTGAGGCTGCTGAAATGTTAAAAATGTGAGAAATTTTGGAGTCCTTATATAATTATGCTAAGCTTTTTCATAACTCTATGCCCCACCCTCCCCACCCAGGTGATAACTGATGCTGTGATAAAAGTGCTTTTGCTGCTTGGGCACCTTATTTGATTTATTGTTGGAAAGACCCCGTGATGTAGGGGAAGCTGTCAGGGATCTCCTTGCTCAGCTCCTGAGAATGAGCTTAATGATAGGGAGGTTTCAATTATTAAGAAGAAAGGGAACAATAAGAGTAAACAAAGTGGAAAAATATGGGGACAGTTATATTGAGTGAAGTGTGCAGATGGTTGATTTCAAATGGCATGAAATACTTAGCACTGAGATCTTTGTTTCTAATACTAGTCTCCAAAAAGATACCAGAGATCCTTGACAAAATGGATGATTCTAGGACTGGAACAGAACATATATGAGAAGAGACTGAAGCATCTTATAGTGGCAGAAAGTAAGAAAATGCTCAAATGCAATGATGGGCATATGTCAAAGGGACACAGAAGCCAATCAAAAGAGCTCCCAGTCCAAAGCTGGAACAACTTGAACAACAAAATAAATAATGTAGCATTGGATTACAAACCAACTGTAAAACAAATATCCATGAGTCTATACTGATGTCAATAAATGAATAAATGAGTAAATGTGGGAAAATAGACAAATCTCCTTTCTCATACAGAAGAATTCCAAATAATTTGTGTAGCTATTTCACTTTTAAGGAAGTAGAGCATAACTCCCCACACCCTAAATATGAGCCATGTATAGTGACTTCCTGCTAAAGAGCACAATTTAAAAAGAGAGACAAGAGTGAGGAAACCTGACAGATACTGCCTCAGTCGAGTGTTCAAGGTTCACATTAACCATGATGTCGTATTGATAGTAGGTACCCTTGATACTCTGCGATGAGAATGGCACTTGCTTTTGTGGTCTTCCTTCCCAAACCCATAAACCTAGCCTAATCATGAAAAACCATCAGACCAACCCCAATCGAGGAACATTTTACAAAATACCTGACCCAACCAGTACTCCTGAAAACTGTCAAAGTCATCAGAAACAAGGAAAGTCTGGGAAACTGTCATAGCCAAGGATCCTGGATGGAATCCTGGAACAGAAAAAAAAATAGGCAAAAACTAAGAAAATTTGAATAAAGGACTTTAGTTAATAATAATACACCAATGCTAGTTCACTAATTATGACAAATGTGCCATATTAAAGTAAGATGTTAATAATTGGGAAACTGGATGTGGGCCATATAGGGACTTTCTGTACAGTGTATTATAGTGACAATTTTTCTATGTATCTGAAACTATTCCAAAATTTAAAATGTAGTTTAAAAGTTATTTCTAATATTTTTTAAGTGGCGTGAAAGGGGAGGAGATAGATGGGGGAAGTACTAAAATGTTAATGGATCACTGTGAGAGATTAGGTTGTTCGGCTGTCCCACCAGCTCCTCAAACTTTAAGAGGTTACACAACAGACTTGTTCAATTTGTCCTAACCTGAATTTTAAAATCTGATGATTACACACACACACACATGCTCTCTCTATATATGTATATGTGTGTATATATATGTATGTATGTATATATATACATACATAATCTCTTCAGAGTCAGTGCAGACTAAAACAGTACAAAGTAAAGGAGAGGATTATGAGGAAGGTGAGTGACATGTGGTCCAATGTCTCTTGGCACAATCCCCAGCAGAAGACATAAGGCCATACGCATCAGTATGAGTAAAATGGTAAGGGATGATGAAGAAACATTATTGGATTGCTGGACATTGGTACTTAATCTACTGTCACACCTAAACCTGCCAATGAAAAGTGAAAGGGAAATATAATTAAATACAGAAAACTTGCAGGTGATAGTATGGCCAGAAGTAGATACAATCATCCCTTGGTATCAGTGGGGGATTGGTTTGAGGACCCTGCTTTGAATACCAAAACCTGTGGATTCTCAAGTCCCTCATATTAGTACGGTATTTATGAATGAAATTAATGTATGATTTTGTCTCAGTCCAACTAGAATATATTTTAAAAATGAGCATGATGTCTGAATGGCGGACTCTTTCCTTACCCAAACCATTGGAAAAGACTGCCAATCTTCTCTTCATCCTGTTTTTAATTGGACCTGCTAGATGGGAACCCTTAGAATTGCTTAAGCACATTCAAATGATTATTTTAAAACAATATAGGATGGGGGGTTCAGTTTTAATTAAGAATAGGCTGGAGGAAGAATTTCAGCTTTAATTAAGAATAAGTTAGACACAGTCATGTTAATGCCCACAGATTCCCTGTTTAATAATCCAGTATGGCCTAGAAGAAAACTTGGTGGATCCTGGAGATGAATTGTATGTTAGAGAGGACTGAATAAAATCATGCTTCCAACAGCATCAGCTGTACCCAAGATGGCATCACAATTCAAGCTTTGCTAAAAGCTAAAAGACAGTAATATTCTGTTATCTATTTGCCTAAAACCTTATTTTCTATCTCTATTTAGGGAGAAAATCAAAGCTAATACACATTCATGTGGGATGGATTCCAGTATACATTTGCTATGTTCCCATAAGGTTATTTAAATTCTCCTTTTTATCACGGCACTTGGCAAGAAGATACTTAGATGTGATCAATTAGAAAGTAATATTATTAACTGCATTAATGTCATATTAACTCAATTTGAAGATCTAGCAAAGATTGAATTACTGTATAATGCTTGTTAATCATATGAGGCTGATTAACCCAACTAAAGAACAGGGTCCAGGGGAAATGGTAAAATTCTTAGGCATCACCTGGACAGGGGAGATGAGAGGCATCCCTCAGACAACCAAAAATAAGTAATTGTCTCTGCCAGCTCCAAAATGAAAGCAAGAGGTGCAAAGATGTTGGCTTGTTAATGTGGTGGAGAAATGGCATACCCCTGTTAATAAAGTTATCAAGAAAAAAGCTAAATTTGACTGAAGTTTTGAGCAAGATAATACATTTGTATTTTTTTTTGTTTTATGTTTTTGGAAATTAAAAAGCCCTTGTAAAGCCCTGTGGGGCCCCACGAGTCCCAAACACAGACGATTTAAGAAGTTTCTGCAGCACACAGTCAAGCCATGCTGACTGGAGCCGCTGGCAAAAGCCTGTTACTGCCACCTAGTGGCTGCCTGTGGGATTTTTGTAATAAAAAGCTACCTGGCTGCAGCTTGAAGTAGCACCATTTAAAAGGAATTGCTAGCTTGTTACTGGGTTTTAGTTGAAACTGCTTTTTGTACTGAAGGACATAAAATTATTTGAAAACTCATAACATCCTATTTATATCATATCATCATTCCAACAAGAAATGAAATGCACAGAATTCCCTCCTTGAATAGAAAGGAGATACTCAAGAATGTGAAATGGGGTTACCCAATGCATGCACAGTCAGGTGGCTGACAGGTCACCATAAATTTGGTTCCCCTGAGGAGTTGGCTAAACCTATAGCTGAATAGGCCCCTCTCTCTGGTCAGCTGTCAAGGCAGCAGTGTGGCTTACAGATAGATGGCAGTTCAAGGGTAAAGGGCTGGCCGTCAACCTGGGAAGCAGCAGCCCTGGGATCAGTTAGTGATTGCATGTTAGATGAAAAGACAAAAAATAAATCTGCCCCAAGGCTAAAATTGAGTGATGTTTCTCTTGGCATCAAAGAAAAGTAGATACTAACAATACTCGTATGGCATAGATGTTTACAGCTTTTACTGATTCTTTTTCAGTTGCCTGAAATATTGACAGGCAATATAGTTTAGAAAAGGGACTTAGACGATAAGTTCCTGGATGATATTTAAAAAGGGAAATCAAAGAATCTATTGCTGAACAACAGGTGCTGGAGAGGATGTGGAGAAATAGGAATGCTTTTACACTGTTGGTGGGACGTAAACTAGTTCAACCATTGTGGAAGTCAGTGTGGAGATTCCTCAGGGATCTAGAACTAGAAATACAATTTGACCCAGCCACCCCATTACTGGGTATATACCCAAAGGATTATAAATCATGCTGCTATAAAGACACATGCACACGTATGTTTATTGTGGCACTATTCACAATAGCAAAGACTTGGAACCAACCCAAATGTCCATCAATGATAGACTGGATTAAGAAAATGTGGCACATATACACCATGGAATACTATGCAGCCATAAAAAATGATGAGTTCATGTCCTTTGTAGGCACATGGATGAAGCTGGAAACCATCATTCTCAGCAAACTATCGCAAGAACAAAAAACCAAACACCGCATGTTCTCACTCATAGGTGGGAATTGAACAATGAGAACACTTGGACCCAGGAAGGGGAACATCACACTCTGGGGACTGTTGTGGGGTGGGGGGAGGGGGGAGGGATAGCATTAGGAGATATACCTAATGCTAAATGACGAGTTAATGGGTGCAGCACACCAGCATGGCACATGTATGCATATGTAACAAACCTGCACGTTGTGCACACGTACCCTAAAGCTTAAAGTGTAATAAAAGATAAATAAAAATAAATAAAAATTAATCCCCCCCCCCAAAAAAGAAATCATTAAGCATGGTCAACTTTAGAAGAATGCACTAAGGATAGTTAAGAAGGCTTTTACTTGTCACATGCTTTTCATAGTATTAATCATAAAACATATTACTCGTATAATTTGGGGAAAATCAATGAAACAAAAGATATAAAAACATTTTGGCTGGAAAAAATATTAATTTATTGATTTCTGTTTAATTGTATATTGATAAAAATTAACATACAATTGTTTAGTAATATTGATGGTTGCTGGTTGATTGTAATTAATAAAAGATGGACTGTGGTAATTATGTTCATCATTTTATAATTCATATAGCTCATCCACTAGATAGTTTCTCTTTTTTTACTGATCAAAAGCTATTTGCTGAGAATACACATATTAAATATGGGTATATTCTATAATATACACATATATAATTTAAAGATATTTTTAAAATTGTATTACTATAAAACAGAGAATGCAGAGAAAATTGACCAGTACCTTGAAATAATAAAAAGTCCCTTTGAGAACAAGAATATTTTCTCACACATGGAAAATTCGTGAGTCACTGGATGTGGGGATTTACCAAGTCATGTACATCATACTTATGCCTCCTGACTCGTGAACTTAAATAAACTGAGACCAGTGTGATCTTATTCTTAAGTATCTTTAAGTAAGGAGAAGGCACATATCTAACTATTCTTCCAGAGAAGCATTAATTCTTTTTTTTTTTTTTTTTTGAGACAGAGTCTCACTCTATCGCCCAGGCTGGAGTGCAGTGGTGCAATTTTGGCTCACTGCAACCTCTGCCTCCCAGGATCAAGCTATTCTCCTGTCTCAGCCTCTCAAGTATCTGGAATTACAGATGCGTGCCACCACACTTGGCTAATTTTTGTATTTTTAGTAGAGGTGGGGTTTCACCATGTTGGCCAGGCTGGTCTCAAACTCCTGACCTCAAATGATCCACCCACCTTGGCCTCCCAAAGTGTTGGAATTACAGGCATGAGCCACTGCTCCCGGCCCAGAGAACCATTAAATTCTAATATCTAATTGAAATTGCTTTTTCTGACCTTCAAATACATTTCTCCTACTGTAGGCTGTAACATAGAACTAAAATCCCCAAATAATTGAGAACAGGAGAATTAAACTGCCTGCTGGGTCTCTGAGACTTCAGAAGCTGCGTTATGTTGTGAAAAACTAAGCTGAGTTTCAAAGTGGTCTAATCACATGAGGCTGTCCTGCTGAGGGGGACTCTAGTAGTCAGCCTAGTAGTAGCAGCCTAGTAGTCAGCATAAGATAAGAGGGACATAAATCCACAACATTAGAATATTCAAGAGCTGCAAATGAAGAAGAAAGAAAAACCATAAAAGATGAAAAAGAGGACGGGCGCGGTGGCTCACGCCTGTAATCTCAGGACTTTGGGAGGCTGAGGCGGGCGGATCACGAGGTCAGGAAATTGAAACCATCCTGACGACCACAGTGAAACCCCGTCTCTGCTAAAAATACAAAAAATTAGCCAGGCGTGGTGGCGAGCGCCTGTAGTCCCAGCTACTCGGGAGGCTGAGGCAGGAGAATGGCTTGAACCCGGGAGGCGGAGCTTGCAGTGAGCGGAGATCATGCCACTGCACTCCAGCCTGGACGACAGAGCGAGACTCTGTCTCAAAAAAAAAAAAAAAAAAAAAGATGAAAAAATTCAGGTTGCCATGTCCTAAATACATACACTATATGCCCAGCTTTGTGCTATGTTGTCTAAGTCTTCTTTTCAGTTACCAAATGTGTGGATGGTACAGATCCAAAGTGAAATTCAGAGTGCAGAGGTGAGCTCCATATTGTCAAGGAAAAACTGGGGGATGAGTTATGCCTTGAAGAAACTAGAGACATTTGGTCCAACGAAACGAAACAACATTTAAAAAAAAAACTCTCCTGTTTCCCCATGGCTAGCCTATTTGTGTTGATGCTTACCATTTCATAATTTCCTCATTTTGTTGTTACATGGAGTGAAGAGAACTGACATGCTGTCCAATAAACTTCCTTGTCCTCCTTATGCAAGAAAGGAAATCCTGACTTAATGCGTAGCCACAGAACAAGTTAATATTCTACATCTATCGGAGCTGAACTTCCTAAAAGACAAAGTGTTTATCTTTCAAGATTCATTCTCCCTGAATCTTACCAACAAAACACTCCTGAGGAGAAAGAAAGAGAGGGAGGGAGAGAAAAAGAGAGAGAGAGAAACAAAAAACCAAAGAGAGAGAAAAAATGAATTCATCTAAATCATCTGAAACACAATGCACAGGTAAAATCTGCAACTCTTCCTTTCCTTCCATAGATCTCTTTTTGGAACAAGTGATAAATATGGTGAAAGACAGGACAATAGAAAAGTATTCACTGAAGTTAAAAAAAAAAGTGGGGGGACAGAGGAAGAGAGAGAGAGAGATTTAAAGACTATTTCTTATACCAGAAAGCCTGCTGGCCTCTAGCTAAGGGAGAGCTATCAGTTTCCACCCTTTCTGCAATACATTGTGTCCCTTTTGGCAAGTCACTTCACTTCTCTGGAACTCTCTTTGTCTGTAAAATGTTTAATGGGAGGAAGAGAGGAACTATTAGATGACTGTTAACATTTTACCTAATTTACAAAGCGCTTGAAAAGTGAGACACAGAAAAAAAAAAAAGATCAGGAGAAGGACAAGAAAAGCAAAGACGAGAAAAGGGAAAAGAAAGAAAAAGAAAGAAGGGGGGCCTTAGAAAATACTGAAAAAAATTTAACTGAGAGACTTAGAAAGGAAAAATTGTATATCTGAGTTCATGAGTCAGAGTCTTACTCCAGGGGTGCTAAACGTGTGGTCCTCAGACCAGCAGCAGCAGTAGCCCCTGGGAACTTGTTGGTTCCATACAAACTCTACTGAGTTGCTAACTCTGGGGGTAAGGGTCAGCAATCTGTGTTTCCATAAACCCTCCAAGTGATTCTGAAGCATGCTGAAATTTGGGAATTACTCAGTACAAACAATGGAAGTAGAAGGAAATAAGTAAGGATGAATAAGAATCTCTTCTATCTCTTTTGTACCTTGCTTAGGGAAGATTGATCATGTTTGTGTCTTTCTTTCTACAGAGAGAGGATGCTTCTCTTCCCAAATGTTCTTATGGACTGTTGCTGGGATCCCCATCCTATTTCTCAGTGCCTGTTTCATCACCAGATGTGTTGGTGGGTTCTGAAGGTCAAATTCAATTTAATTCTTCCTGGTGCATATTAGGAGAAAACTCTTCCATGCTGCCTGTAGACTCTCTTTGCCCTCAAAGGGTCTTTCTATTTCACCCTTTTTTTTTTCCCTATTAATCTCTAGGTTATTTCTCAAACCAGAAACCTCAACAAGCAGGGAACTGTTTCTGAATTTTAATCACCTGTGACTTACTTTTCATGATAGACATTTTTCACTTCCTTGGCAGTCCTGAATCCTCCTCTTTCAGCCTCTATCATTAGTGTAACCTTCTCTAGGAGAGTCTGCCTTAGAGCTTGAACTACTGGTCGGCACCAGAGATATGACTAATTACTTTTGGAAGGAAGGGTAGAGAGAGTTGGACTTGGCATAAGAGGTAGTGCAAACATATCTATTTTCTCTGGGTCGTAAGAAAAAGCAGATTGTAAGAAAAAACATGATAATTATTGGCACTTTTGTTATAAATACAAAACTGAGGGAACTGACATTTTTAACCGAAATAAGACTAACAAACATTATGCCCTTTCTTTTACAGTGACATTTCGCATCTTTCAAACCTGTGATGAGAAAAAGTTTCAGCTACCTGAGAATTTCACAGAGCTCTCCTGCTACAATTATGGATCAGGTATAATAGTCCCAAAGGTGAACATCAAAATTTACAAAGCAACATTTTCTGGCTTCTAGATTGACTTTGGGACAGGTGAGATATAGCTGGATTAGGTCTTATTTTTCAAAAGCAAAATGTAAAATCCTAGAAATTTGGTGATGCAATTAGCATTGGGGCAGAAAGTCTTGGGGACATTATAGTAAACTTTTAGAATAAATTTGAGGGGTATGTCTGAACAGTAAATCTGGAAGTGGAAGGTATTATTCCCAGGAGTGTACCTTTTTTTTCATTCACCTACTTCCAAAATGAGATGGAGAAAAAACGTATGGAGTAGAGAATTTATAAATATCTCACAAATATACTCTCTATGCTCTTCTATGTCATCCTGTTGCAAGTCCTAGCAAAATGCTACATGACACTAAAAAAGTGACTTCCTTCTCTGAGCTATAATTTTCTCACCATTAAATTGAGAGAAGTTAGAAGAATTATTTATAATAGACCTCAAAGGCAAAAGTTCTGTAATTCTAAGAAATCTAACTGTAGGGACCAGCCCCACAGGGTTGGTGGGTCTCTCCCTGTGTCCAGAGACGAGAGCATGTAGAAATAAAGACACAAGACAAAGAGATAAAAGAAAAGGCAGCTGGGCCCAAGGGACCACTACCACCAATGCGCGGAGACCGGTAGTGGCTCCGAATGTCTGGCTGCGCTGTTATTTATTGGATACAAGGTGAAAGGGGCAGGGTAGAGAGTGTGAGTCATCTCCAATGATAGGTAAGGTCATGTGGGTCACGTGTCCACTGGACAGGGGGACCTTCCCTGCCTGGCAGCCGAGGCAGAGAGGGAGAGGAGACAGAGAGAAAGACAGCTTACGCTATTATTTCTGCATATCAGGGACTATTAGTACTTTCGCTAATTTACTACTGCTATCTAGAAGGCAGAGCCAGGTGTACAGGATGGAACATGAAGGCAGACTAGGAGTGTGACCACTGAAGCACAGCATCACAGGGAGACGGTTAGGCCTCCGGATAACTGCGGGCAAGCCTGACTAATGTCAGGCCCTCCACAAGAGGTGGAGGAGCAGAGTCTTCTCTAAACTCCCCCAGGGAAAGGAAGACTCCCTTTTCCTGTCTGCTAAGTAGCGGGTGTTTTCCCTTGACACTTAACGCTACCGCTAGACCACAGTCTGTCTGCCTGGCCACGGGCGTCTTCCCAGACGCTGGCGTCACCGCTAGACCAAGGAGCCCTCTGGTGGCCCTGTCCGGGCATAACGGAAGGCTCGCACTCTTGTCTTCTGGTCACACCTCACTATGTCCCCTCAGCTCGTAGCTCTGTACGGCCTGGTTTTTCCTTGGCTATGATTATAGAGCGAGGATTATTATAATATTGGAATAAAAAGTAATTGCTACAAACTAATGATTAATGATATTCATATATAATCATATCTAAGATCTATATCTGGTATAACTATTCTTGTTTTATATTTTATTATACTGGAACAGCTCGTGTCCTCTGTCTCTTGCCTCAGCGCCTGGGTGGCTTGCCGCCCACATCTAACCCATCTATATACTACAGTATGGAGATTTGATTGAGGATACATTGTTTAGGTAACATAAGAGATGGCTCTTTGGGGGTCACCCAAATAAAATGCATAAATTTCTCTGACATTAGTAGTCTAAGAACAGATAATAAGGTTCTATATCAATAGCATAACTAAGATAGTTTGCATATATAGTTGCATTTCCTGGCACTGACATCCAGAGAATGAGAATTACGTTCAAAAGACCAAAAACATTCTGTTTATGTTTCTTGACATTGGAATTATCTAAAGTCTTAGATACTAAGATGTAGGGTATGAACAAGTGATTCCAAGGCTTCTGACTTAAATGAGGACTCCATGGGGCCAGATGAAGCTTTGGGTTTTCTTATTCGGTTCACCTGGGACACTCACTGAAACATCTCTCATCCTAGGTTCAGTCAAGAATTGTTGTCCATTGAACTGGGAATATTTTCAATCCAGCTGCTACTTCTTTTCTACTGACACCATTTCCTGGGCGTTAAGTTTAAAGAACTGCTCAGCCATGGGGGCTCACCTGGTGGTTATCAACTCACAGGAGGAGCAGGTAGCTGGAGTCCTCCGATGCCAATGTAACATTCCCGACATGGTCCACCTCTCTTTTCATACATATGCACAGTGCTTGACCCCCAATGACTATTGTTAATGAATGTACTAAAATGCATGCTGTTCTTACTATTTCGGTAAAGTCACTGCCTACCTTAATTTATTTTCCTTCCTAGAAGAACCTAAGAAAAAGGGAATTTCCATGTGGAGTTCCTTTAGTTAGGCAAGGGGAAAAAGAGGGTTGGAAGTGTTAATTTTAGACGAATCGTTATGTTTATGAACATATTATATGAAAGAAGAGAAGCAAATATTGTCCGTTTTCTTTAAGCTGTGATTAATAATATTTTGCGCTAGATATATTCAATAAATTTGGCCACCAATAATAGTAGATAAACTTTGAAAGAATTATTGAGGATCTCCTTTTCTGTTGAAGGTTATTTTTTCAGTTTAATTTTATGTTATGTATATTTTACCACAAAAAAAAATCAGTAGATAATCCTCATGATCTTACAGTTTCACTTATCTGTTATTTCTCATCCAGATTCTTTTTTACTTTTTGAGATGGAGTCTTGCTGTGTTGCCCAGGCTGGAGTGCAGTGGCGCAATCTCGGCTCACTGCAACCTCTGCCTCCCAGGTTCAAGCGATTCTCCTGCCTCAGCCTCCCAAGTAGCTGGGACTACAGGCACCCGCCACCATGCCTGGCAAATTTTTTTATACTTTTAGTAGAGACAGGGTTTCGCCATGTTGGTCAAGCTGGTCTTGAACTCCTGACCTCAGGTGATCCACCCGCCTCGGCCTCCCAAAGTGCTAGGATCTCATCCAGATTCTTACCTCTTTGAATAATAATTACTAGCAACGTTTATTCAAAACTAAAATAACTGATCTCCTTTTATTTTGTATCTTCCATAGGAATTCCTTTCCTACAAGAAACCTAAAATGAGAGAGTTTTTTATTGGACTGTCAGACCAGGTTGTCGAGGGTCAGTGGCAATGGGTGGACGGCACACCTTTGACAAAGTCTCTGAGGTAATTACCCTCCTATTGAGAGGAGTTCTTGAAACCTCCTTCTGTTACCTGCAATAGATCAGGTCCATTATTGGTGGTGGTATTAAATGCAGGAAAGAGAAGAGCTAAGGTAGAAAAGATGAAGGAGAAGTACAAGCACCCACTTCTCTCCTTTCCTGGAATTGTCTCAAGAATAAAGGGGAAATAATAAATGAAAATGAACTGAAGAATCATTCACTGAGAATGCAAAAGAGACGAGAGGTGGAATTAAGAGTCTTATTCCCCAAAACTGAAGGAAATGAGGAAAAAAATAGTAAGTTGAGAAAGACAGCAGGTTCTTATGCAGTGAAAAATGAGAATCTCTTGATAATGTCTCTTTTCTCCTTAATAATAGCCTCACGTCATTAGAACATAGCATTTTTTATTGTGGATATGCTTTTTTTGTTAGATTGGTTAATTGATATATAAAATATTTTGCTATATATGTTGATTCTCATGATTTGTTAGGGAGTGAGTTTTTTCTTTTTTCTTTTCTTCAACTTTTATTTTAAGTTCCAGGGTACATGTGCAGGATGTGCAGGTTACATAGGTAAACGTGTGCCGTGGTGGTTTGGTTTGCTGCAGAAATCATAACATGACCCGGGTATTAAGTCCAGCATCCATTAGGTATTCTTCCTGATAGAGCATAGCATTTTTAATTTTTTTTCTCATTTATTATTTCATTTTACCTAAATTACACTTTCTTGGAATGTATCAGTATTATTAATCTTTATTTAGCATTTGAGGAAACTAAAACTCAGCAGAGTTAAGTGACTTAGCTAATGAGCAGTTCTAAGAGTACAACAGAGATACTCTGACATGTTAGAAATGCTGCTTCACTACCACACTGTAACATCACTGCAGGATGCACCTAAGTTAATACACACTCTGTGCAGAATAAAGAGAGCTAAGCCGATATGAGGTATGAGTGTGAAGAAAACAAATCTATCAGAATATCAATCTTCCCCATAACTTCTCATTCTATAGCTAAGGAACAGGACAGAATAGAAAAGGAACAAAGGAACAGGACAGAATAGAAAGTCAGAAAGATCCGGTTCAGCTTCAGTACTCACAAACTGTGACTTCGACAACTAGTTTAGCTTCCTGAGGTTCCTTTTCTTCTTCAATAAAATGGACATTATAATACCTACCTCGCAAAATTGTTGTGAGGTTAAATAACACAAATGTAATTTGCCTAGTATATTAGGTTACTTTACCTCTTTTTGCTGGGATTTTAAGTCTCCTATGTCATTCTTTTTCAGCTTCTGGGATGTAGGGGAGCCCAACAACATAGCTACCCTGGAGGACTGTGCCACCATGAGAGACTCTTCAAACCCAAGGCAAAATTGGAATGATGTAACCTGTTTCCTCAATTATTTTCGGATTTGTGAAATGGTAGGAATAAATCCTTTGAACAAAGGAAAATCTCTTTAAGAACAGAAGGCACAACTCAAATGTGTAAAGAAGGAAGAGCAAGAACATGGCCACACCCACCGCCCCACACGAGAAATTTGTGCGCTGAACTTCAAAGGACTTCATAAGTATTTGTTACTCTGATATAAATAAAAATAAGTAGTTTTAAATGTTATAATTCATGTTACTGGCTGAAGTGCATTTTCTCTCTACGTTAGTCTCAGGTCCTCTTCCCAGAATTTACAAAGCAATTCACTACCTTTTGCTACATTTGCCTCATTTTTTAGTGTTCGTATGAAAGTACAGGGACACGGAGCCAAGACAGAGTCTAGCAAAGAAGGGGATTTTGGAAGGTGCCTTCCAAAAATCTCCTGAATCCGGGCTCTGTAGCAGGTCCTCTTCTTTCTAGCTTCTGACAAGTCTGTCTTCTCTTCTTGGTTTCATACCGTTCTTATCTCCTGCCCAAGCATATATCGTCTCTTTACTCCCCTGTATAATGAGTAAGAAGCTTCTTCAAGTCATGAAACTTATTCCTGCTCAGAATACCGGTGTGGCCTTTCTGGCTACAGGCCTCCACTGCACCTTCTTAGGGAAGGGCATGCCAGCCATCAGCTCCAAACAGGCTGTAACCAAGTCCACCCATCCCTGGGGCTTCCTTTGCTCTGCCTTATTTTCAATTGACTGAATGGATCTCACCAGATTTTGTATCTATTGCTCAGCTAGGACCCGAGTCCAATAGTCAATTTATTCTAAGCGAACATTCATCTCCACACTTTCCTGTCTCAAGCCCATCCATTATTTCTTAACTTTTATTTTAGCTTTCGGGGGTACATGTTAAAGGCTTTTTATATAGGTAAACTCATGTCGTGGAGGTTTGTTGTACAGATTATTTCATCACCCAGGTATTAAGCCCAGTGCCTAATATTGTTTTTTTCGGCTCCTCTCCCTCCTCCTACCTTCCGCCCTCAAGTAGACTCCAGTGTCTGTTATTCCCTTCTTTGTGTTTATGAATTCTCATCATTTAGCTCCCACTTATAAGTGAGGACATGCAGTATTTGGTTTTCTGTTCCCATGTTTGCTAAGGATAATGGTCTCCAGTTCTACCGATGTTCCCACAAAAGACATAATCTTCTTTTTTAAGGCTGCTTAGTATTCCATGGTATCTATGTATCACATTTTCTCTATCCAATCTATTGTTGACTCACATTTAGATTGATTCCATGTTTTTGCTATTGTGAATAGTGCTGCAATGAACATTCGTGTGCATGTGTCTTTATGGTAGAAAGATTTATATTTCTCTGAGTATGTATCCAGTAATAGCCCATTCATTTATTGCATAAAATTCTACCAATACTGATGACGTTATTAAAGAGTACATCAATAACGTGGCAGCTTTCATAACCATGTTTCTTGCACAAAGTGCCATGAGGAGACCCTCAAAATTCAATCACTGGACACCACGTGTAATCACTGAATGAGAAAATTCAACTGGACAAGTGAATATAACACATCAGCTTTCATTGCAAAAGTTTATTTCTCTTAGGCATTGTGACAATCTGGTTTTCAAATCAACACATCTTTAAGCCAATTATTTAACCTAAAAGTAATTTTAAACATACTTTCAACTTTCTAATTCCCTTTTTTAAAATCATGAACATCAATAAGGAGATGCTGAAAGACTTTTTTTTTGTTCATTGGTGTTTCCCTGAAGGTGGCTATAATTTAAGTTTTATTTCTAGATTGAAAGACATATGGAAATATTATTCCATATTATTTCTCCATATATATTTAGAATTTAAGTTTAAAGACAAGTTTTAAAGACAGGTTTATAAAACTAAACTTGTCTTTACAGTTTGCCAAGAAAAGAAAGAATTGCTAAGGGTTTAGTGGTTAAAGATTATTGGAACATAAATTATCTATTAGGAAAATTATTTTTTGAGAAGTAGATCATCCAATTGAAATTGTTTTAAAGTATAATATCTTATAAGTGGGGTTACACAAACACTTTACCACCTTCGGCACCAGAAAACCCAGACATTTTCAAAGAATAGTAGATTAATTCATGATACATATTCTTAAAAGCATATTCCCAAAATAAACTACTGTTAAGATTTACATATTACTATATGGGTCCCCAATTTTTTTAAAGAAAAATTACTATTTTTTGTAAAAATGATACATGTTCATTACCAAAAATTCCTACAGATCACAATTATAGAAAGATGAAAATTTTTAAAATTCCAATTCCACGTTGCAGTAATAATTATCATGAACGTCACTCCAGGAAACTTTTTATGCCTTTAATGGGGTGCAGGAAATGCTACCTCAAAATATGGCACCTTGGGAACTGAGAAAACCGCAAAAACGGGAAGTCCACTCTCATCTTTCTCTTGCCTTTCTTACCGGAAGCAGGCCATAGCATCTAGGAAGGTCATCTCTGACCTTCTTCCTCCTTTCTCCTCTGAACACTCTCCTATGACAGGTGTCCTGCTCTATACCCAAAAGGAAAGAATGTCGTACAGGGAAGCCAAGAAGAACCTGAACAAACAGGCCTTGCTAAGTCTCATTAGGTTATTATCATTAGATCATATCGCTTTTTGTCTAACCATGTTTTTTTTTTCACAACTATCCACTTCATGAGGCTTAGCACAAAATTTACATAGATTTCTCTGTTTTTTGAGTGTTCATTTCTGAAGGCTCTCATGTCATGTAAAACTTACGTTAAATACATCTGTATGGTTTTCTCTTGTTAATTTGTGTTTTGTTATAAGGGCCTCAGCCATGAACCTTGCAATTGGTGAGAAAAAGATGTTACTTTTTCTCCCCTATGACTTCAAGAGTTAGATGAAAAGATGGAAAAACAAAGAGTTAAAAAAACCCAAATATATATATATATTTACATGTATACACACATACACACATGCATTGACACACTTTTAGAAAGGAATTATACAACAGATAATACTTTAATTTTTTAAATTTTATTTTGGTTTTGATTGACACATAATAATTGTACACATTTGTGGGATACAATGCGATGTTTCAATACATGTGTATGCTCTATATTAATCAAATCAGGGTAATTAGCACATTCATTACCTCAAACGTTTAAAAAATTGAAGTGAAATTGAAGAATTACTGAGTTCAAGAATGTTACAGCCTTTATAGATTATGAAAAAGAGTTATTTCCCAGAAGGTCCCTCTGAAGTAAAAAACAAAACAAAACAAACAAAAAATTATAAACAATCAACAATTAAGTCAAATGTTTTTGCTCTCCTGTTTCCCAATCCCCTTTTCTACCTTTCCGTTTCCTGATAATGACTCCTAAAATCATTGCACGTGGGTGGAGCAGAGCAAGGTGGTCTTTATACGTGTGTGCATGTATATGCGGGAGGGGGAGAGGGACGCATGACTACCCCTCAGAGAGTTAGATCCCAGACAGTGTAAAGGGGAGATTGTGGGGGAAGCAGGAGACAGTAAGGATGTCAGAACGCCAGTGGGTTCAGCAGGGCATCCTGGTGGGGGTTGGACTGTCCCAAAGTCTCAAAGCCTGAGCTAGAGTGAGGAGGACGCCCATACGTGGGGGTGGTTGAGCAAAGGTGTCTGAGCCGAAGCAGGAGGACTATCTAGGAGGGCCACAGGGCACCGGGCAGGGTGAGGTGGATGTCCACACAGGTCATTCAGCACAGGATGGAGAGGTAGAGCCTGAGCGGGTCAGCATATATGTCGTGCAACCAACTTTAAAATTTCGCACGGTTTACTCTTGGGTATCTTAGAATTGTATTGCCATTGTAAGTGTAATATTATTTTGTACATTTTGCAGAGTATTATATTGTTGATTTTTGTATAATAATAATTTATCCAGAAACACTGTTTAACTTTCCTAATTTTTTAAAACATTTTGTCCATACATTCCCTTTTATTTTCTGTGTAGATAATTATACTGTCTAAAACACTGAGCTATCCAGTACAGTAGCCACCAGCCACAGTAGACTATTAAGCACTATCCTAATTGAGATATTCTGTAAGTGTAAAATACACACTAGTTTTTTTGATAATTTGAAAAAAGAATATAAAATATGTCACTAAGAATTTTATATGGATTACATGTCAAAATGATAATATTCTAGATATGTTTGTTCAAATAAAATAAGTTATTAGAATTAATTTCACTTCTTCGGGCTTTTTTTTTTTTTTTTGCTTTCTTGATATAATTACTGGAAAATTTAGACATATGCAACTCACATTTTTGCCTTTCACTATATTTCCCTGGGACAGTTCTGGTCTAGAAATAATGATAGTTGTGGGTTTTTAAAACTCCCTTCCAGTTCTTTTGGTCATATTGAGCTGGCTAGGAATGCCAACATATTGTTGCATAAAGCTGCTATAGTTTTGTTCTTAAACTTAAAGAAAATGCTTCTAATGGCTTACCATTAAATCTAATAGTTGCTACAGGTTTGGGGTAGACATCCTGCAGAAAATTCCTTTCATTTCTTCTTTGTTAAATGTTTTAACACTAAGTGGTTTATTGATTTTACTAGATGATGCTTTAGCAGCTCTTTTAAAATGTTGATAAGATTAATTACATTAATAGATTTGCACACTATGTACATATATGCACATTGTTTAAAAAAACAAATTCTTCTAGAGGATTGTAATTAAAAATAGCTGTTTCCTGCCCACTTCTGATTCCCACACCTAAGTGGCAATCGTATTCAACCGTTTAGATGCTTCTTTTCTATTGAGTTCCATGTTTCTATTTCTATCAAAAGTTTATACTATAATTCCTTGATTTTTTTCAGTTTTAGATAATTTCTATGAGCTCCACACTAATGAAAACAAGAATAGTCTTCTTTCTCTCTCTCTTTCCCATCCCCCTGCTATCACTATATAATCATTTATTTAAAAATCAGTATTCAACATTTGCACTGGTATGAATATGTAAATATTATTCACAGCTGAACCATTTGCTGTATTCTTACTACATATTTTTAATTACATTTTGCTTTTTATGGAGTTAATATTGACATCTTTTCTTTTTTTGGAGACAGGATCTCACTCCGTCCCCAGGCCAGGGTACAGTGGCACAATCATGGCTTCATTGGAGCCTCGACTTCCTGGGCTCAAGCAATCCTCCCATATCGGCTTCCCAAGTAGTTAGGACTACAGGTGCACACCACCAAACACAGCTAATTTTTTAATTTTTTGTAGAGACAGGGTCTCACTTTGTTGCCCAGGCTGGTCTCAAACTGCTGGCCTCAAGTAATCCTCCCACCTTGGCCTCCCAAAGTGCTGGGATTACAAGCTTGAGCCACCATACAGGACCCATTTTTTTATATTTATCTAGCTTTCTGCGTACTGACATAATTCACCTTTTAACTCTTCAGAAATGTATATCACCTCTCAATTCATTCAAATGCATTCCATCTATCCCATAATTTTGTAGGGAAAAAAATCTTCCTTGGAAAATTTCCTTCCTTTCCCAATCTGAACGGAGATTGCTCTGGTGATTTGCTTCACAGCCATTACTTTGCTAAGTGTTATTAAAAAAGAAAATATTTTGTAATTTTAAGGTTATTTCAAATTATGTTGCAACAATGCAATATAAATGCTATTCACTTATAAGAACAAGATATAAATCAAAACTATATTGTTAAGTAAAAAATGCAAATGTTTAAGAATATGTAGATTATATTTCTATTCATATTTAAAATGTGGATTATATATCTATATATGTTTAGTATATAACATGTATGTAATTATATGTTTATTATGTATAGTACATAGTTTATATATAGTATATATTCTTATACACTTTATATGTAGTACATATAGTATAACCATTTATGGAAATGTAAATAAGAAACTGATAATCATAGTTACTCTGAAGAGGCATTTCAGTAACTAGAGTTCAGGTTAGAAGATTTATTTATCTTCTACGTTTACTAATGTTTTTACAGTTTGCCTTTTTAACACACATATATTACTGTTTCAAAAATGAAAACACTGCTTGAAATTTTTAAGAATTTTAAGCTTCTAGGACTACCATAATGTACTAAAATAATTAGAACCTATTTTTATGAAATTACTGTCTTTGTCTTGAAGAGATTGTGATGAGGTGCCATGAGAGTTCAGAATAGACTAAAAGAGACTATGGATGTGTATTAGTTCATTTTCTGCTGCTTATAACAGGATATCTGAGACTAGAAATTTATAAAGAAAAGAAATTTATTTCTTATAGTGATGGAGGCTGAGAAGTCCAAGGTCAAAAAGCTGTGTCTGGTGAGGGCCTTCTTGCTGGTAGGGACTCTCTAAAGAGCCTCAAGGTGGTACAGGGATCACACAGTGAGGGTGCTGCGTGTGCTAACATGCTAGCTCAGGTCCCTCTTCCTCTTTTTATAATGCCACCAGTTTTCTGCCTATGATAACCCATTAATACATCAACCCATTAATCCACTATTCTATAACTGGGAGTTAATTCATTCATGAGGATAGAACCCTCATTATCTGATTGCTTCTTAAATGCCCCACCTCTCAGTCAGTGGTGTTTTGAGGCTCCCACGGAAAAAAACCGCAATAAGTGAGTGGATCCTTCACCCGCAACCAAGATACCCAGGCTGTCTCATCATAATTGACTGGAAGGCTGGTGTGACCCACGGAGAGAAGAAAGAGCAGAGCGGTGCAGCGGCCCACCTGAGAGCCACATGGGGGAAAGGGAACCCCCTCCCCCGAGCCAAGGGAGGCAGTCGGTGAGCACACTACCCAGCCAGGGAAACTGTGCTTTTTCCACGGAACTGTGTAACTTACGGATTGGAAGATCCCACTCACAAACGCACGCCACCGGGGCCTAGCATCCCAACCCTGGAACGCGCGACTCTCACCGGCTCTCAGCTGGAATGTGCCAAGGCCTACTGAACTCCTGGGGGTGGGGGAGCGCGGGCGGAGGGCGACCAGCACTGGCTGTGGCTGCCTGCTGTCTAAGCCGTTTGCGCTCTTTGAGGGAGGGGCAGTAGCCAGCACTGGGACTCACAGCTGCTTAACATGCAAAGCTCCCTGGGCGGCGGAAGGGAAGCACCCATTTCTGTAGCTTCAGGCTGTGCTTTTCCCCTGCGGAGCCAGGGAGGCTGGAGAGCTTGGTCCCAAGATTTGTCCCCACAGCCCAACACACTGGCTGTGGCAGTCTGCGGCCAGAGTGCCTCTTCAGGCCTAACCTTGACACAGCCTTCCTCAGGGGGCAGGGCTTCCCTGCAGGATCTCCAAAAACTCCAGCCAGAGGCTCGGGGACAGAATTTGGTTCTCCGTGGGCCTGGGCCCCTAGGGAGAGGGGTGGCTACAGTCTCTGCAGATCAGCAGACTTAGCCTCTCCTCCTGGTAGTTCTGAGGAATCCGGGCAGCCCAGATGAGTGGGTTTAACCCCAGCAAAACACACCCTCTCCACCAAGGGACAAAGGGCTTCATTAATCAGGTCCTACTCCCTGTGCCACCCAACTGGGTGAGACCCTTCAACAGGGGTTGTCAGACACCCTATACAGGAGTGATCCTACTAGCATCAGGTTGGTGCTCCTGAAGGTCAGAGGTCCCAGAAAAAGGAGCAGGCACCCGTCTTTGCTGCTCTCCAGCCTCCTTGAGTGACATCTGCAAGCACGGGAGTGAATTGGATTAACAGAGCCTGAAGTGAACCCCCAGCAAACTGCAGCAGCCCTACAGAAGAGGGACCTGACCATTGAAAGAAAAAAAACCAGAAAGTGACAACAACAGCATCAACAACAACAACAAAAGGGCCCCCACAAAAGCCCCATCTAAGGGTCAGCAGCCTCAAAGACTGAAACTAGACAAACTCACAAAGATGAAAAAGAATCATTGAAAAAATGCTGAAAACCCAAAAGACAAGAGTGCCTCTTCTCCTCCAAATGATCACAGCATCTCTCCATCAAGAGTGCAGAACTGGACAGAGGATCAGATGGATGAATTGATAGAAGTAATCTATAGAAGATGGATAATAAAAAACTATGATGAGCTAAAGGAGCATGTTCTAACCCAATGCAAAGAAGCTAAGAACCTTGATAAACGGTTAGATGAATTGCTAATTAGAATAACCAGTTTAGAGAGGAAGATAAATGACCTGATGGAGCTGAAAAACACAGCATGAAAACTTCATGAAGTATAAAGTATCAACAGCCAAATTGACCAAGTGGAAGAAAGGATATCAGAGTTAGAAGGCCACTTTACTGAAATAAGACATGCAGACAAGAATAGAGAAAAAAGAATGAAAAGGAATAAACAAATCCTCCAAGAAATATGGGACTTCATAAAAAAACCAAACCTATGATTGACTGGGGTACCAGAAATAGACAGGAAGAATGGAAACAAGCTGGAAAACACACTTCAGGATATTATCAAAGACAACTTCCCCAACCTAGCAACACAGGCCAACATGCAAATTCACAAAATACAGAGAACACCATTAAGGTACTCCACAAGAAGATCAACTCCAAGACACATAATCATCAGATTCTCCAATGTCAAAATGAAGGAAAAACTGTTAAAGGCAGCCAGAGAGAAAGGCCAGGTACCTACAAAAAGAAGCCTATCAGATTAACAGCAGACCTCTCAGCAGAAACTGTACCAGCCAGAAGAGATTGGGGGCCAATATTCAACATTCTTAAATAAAAGAATTTTCAACCTGGAATTTCATATCCAGTCAAACTAAGCTTCATAAGCAAAGGAGAAATAAAATCCTTTCCAGACAAGCAAATGCTGAGGGATTTCGTTACCGCCAGGCCTGCCTTGCAAGAGCTTCTGAAAGAATCACTAAATATGGAAAGTAAAAACTGGTACCAGCCACTGCAAAAACAGACCAAAATATAAAGACCAATGACACTATGAAGAAACTGCATCAACTAAAGTGCAAAAAAACCAAATAGCATCATGATGATGGGATCAAATTCACACATAACAATACTAACCTTAAACGTAAATGGGCAAATACCCCAATTAAAAGACACAGACTGGCAAATTGGATAAGGACTCAAGACCCATCGGTGTGCTGTATTCAGGCGACCCATCTTACATGCAAAGACACACAAAGGCTCAAAATAAAGGGATGGAGGAAAATTTACCAAGCAAATGGAAAGAAACGAAAAAGTAGGAGTTGCAATCTTAGTCTCTGACAAAACAGACTAAAGGTTAAAAAAGACAAAGAATGGCATTACATAACGGTAAACAAAACGATTCAACAAGAGATAACTACTCTAAATGTATATGCACCCAATACAGGAGCACCCAGATTCATAAAGCAAGTCCTTAGAGACCTACAAAGAGACTTAGACTCCCACATAATAATAGTGGGAGACTTTAACACCCCACTGTCAATATTAAACAGATCAACAAGACAGAAAATTAACAAGGATATTCAGAACTTGAACTCAGCTCTGGATCAAGTGGACCTAGTAGATGTCTACAGAACTCTCTACCCCAAATCAGCAGAATATACATTCTTCTCAGTGTCACATGGCACTTATTCTAAAATTGACCTCATAATTGGAAGTAAAGCACTTCTCAGCAAATGCGAAAGAACTGAAATCATAAAAAACAGTCTCTCAGATCACACTGCAATCAAATTAGAATTCAAGATTAAGAAAATCACTCAAAAACACACAATTTCAAGAAAATTGAACAAACTGCTCCTGAATGGCAGCTGAGTAAATAACGAAATTAAGGCAGAAATCAAGAAGTTCTTGGAAACCAATGAGAACAAAGATACAATGTACCAGAATCTCTGGGACACAGCTAAAGCAGTATTAAGAGGGAAATTTATAGCACTAAATGCCCACATCAGAAAGCTGGAAAGAGCTCAAATTGACACTGTAACATCACAATTAAAAGGACTAAAGAAGCAATAGCAAACTAATCCAAAAGCTAGCAGAAGACAAGAAATAACTAAGATCAGAGAAGAGCCGAAGGAGAATAGAGACATGAAAAACCCTCCAAAAAATCAGTGAATCCTGGAGCTGGTTTTTTGAAAAAATTAACAAAGTAGATAGACGACTAGCTAGACTAATAAAGAAGAGAGAGAAGAATCAAACAGACACAGTAAAAAATGATAAAGGGGATATCACCACTGATCCCACAGAAATACAAACCCCCATCAGAGAATACTATAAATACCTCTAAGCAAATAAACTAGAAAATCTACAAGAAATGGATAAATTCCTGGATGCATACACCCTACCGGGACTAAACCAGGAAGAAGTTGAATCCCTGAATAGACAATTACGAGCTCTGAAATAGAGGCAGCAATTAATAGACTACCAAACAAAAAAAAAAAGCCAAGGACCAGATGGATTTACAGCTGAATTCTACCAGAAATACAAAGAAGAACTGGTACCATTCCTTCTGAAACTATTCCAAACAATTGAAAAGGAGGGACTCCTCCCTAACTCATTTTATGAAGCCAGCATCATCCTGATACCAAAACTGGGAAGAGACACAACCAAAAAAAAAACTTCAGGCCAATATCCCTGATGAACATTGATGCGAAAATCCTCAATAAAATACTGGCAAACTGAATCCAGCAGCACATCAAAAACTTGCCCACCACAATCAAGTCAGCTTCATCCCTGGGATGCAAGGTTGGTTCAACATACGCAAATCAATAAACATAATCCATCACATAAACAGAACCAAAGACAAAAACCACATGGTTATCTCAATAGACGCAGAAAAGGCCTTTGATGAAATTAAACATCCTTTCATGTTAAAAACTCTCAATAAACTAAGTATTGATGGAACGTATCTCAAATAATAAGAGCTATTTATGACGAACGCACAGCCAATATATCATATTGAATGGGCAAAAGCTGGAAGAATTTTCTTTGAAAACTGGTACAAGACAAGGATGTCCTCTCTCACCACTCCTATTCAACATAGTACTGAAAGTTCTGGCCAGGGCAATCAGTCAAGAGAAAGAAATAAAGCATATTCAAATAGTAAGAGAGGAAGTCAAGTTGTCTCTGTTTGCAGACAACATTATTTTATATTTAGAAAACCCCATCATCTCAGCCCAAAAACTTCTTGAACTGATAAGCAACTTCACCAAAGTCTCAGGATACAAAATCAATGTGAAAAAATCGTAAGCATTCCTTTACACCAACAATAGGCAAGCAGAGAGCCAAATTATAAATGAACTCCCATTCACCATTGCTACAATGAGAATAGAATACCTAGGAATACAGCTAACAAGGGATGTGAAGGACCTCTTCAAGGAAAACTACAAACCACTGCTCAAAGAAATAAGACAGGACACAAACAAATGGAAAAACATTCCATCTTCATGGATAGGAAGAATCAATATTGTGAAAATGGTCATACTGCCCAGAGCAATTTATAGATTCAATGCTATTCCCATCAAACTACTGTTGATATTCTTCACAGAATTAGAAAAAACTATTTTAAATTTCATATAGAGTCAAAGAAGAGCTTGTATAGCCAAGACAATCCTAAGCAAAAAGAACAAAGCTGGGGGCATCATGCTACCTGACTTCAAACTATACTATAAGGCTACAGTAACCAAAACAGTATGGTACTGGTCCCAAAACAGACATATAGACCAATGAAGCACAACAGAGACTTCAGCAATAACACCATACATCTACAACCATCTGATATTCAACAAGTCTGGCAAAAACAAGCAATGGGGAAAGGATCTCCTATTCAGTAAATGGTTCTGGGAAAACTGGCTAGCCATATGCAGAAAACTGAAACTGGGCTCTTTCCTTACACCTTATACAAAAATTAACTCAAGATGGATTAAAGACTTAAATGTAAAACCCAAAACCGTAAAAACCCTAGAAGAAAACCTAGGTAATACCATTCAGGACACAGGCATGGGCAAAACTTCATGACTTATTGACAACTGAAGCTCAACCTATATATAGTTCTTTACAAATTAAAAATGGATAATATTAACTATACGAAGCCCACTAGCATTTACATAAAGTTACTTCAACAAGTTTCATAGGTTTCATGCTACATAATTTAGTGAATATGGCAAACACAGTCAAATTTATTTAGCACCATTTCAGCTAAAAGTATCAGCTTTTAACACAGCTACACGCATCCATCACCACCACCACCACCACACAATCAAACACCAGTATTTCAAACCCAAAAAATCAGTAGCTAATTTACAAAATAAATACTGCTTTTAAAAGCAGTAGTAGGAAAGTTAGGTTAAAAAGCTGTTGCTTGGAATTTTTCAGCTTAGATCCAGGAAAAATTAGCAAATTGAAAATTTTAAGAAAGACCACCATATTTTATTAAAGTTGGATGTGACTGCCCTTTGCAATTAATGTTTCATGCACCAGAAAAGCATAATTTCTGGTTGTCAAAACAATAACTTCCTTGCTAGTTCAAACTATAGTTATACAGCTCTAAAGAAACATTAACAATTTGTATAAATGGGTTGAAAATGTGATTATTTTCTATTCAAATTAATAATGCAAACACGAATACAATGTTACTTCAAACAATTAAGAAATTTTATCCAGTCGTTAGCTAAGTAATGAGGTCGAGTAATCCCCAGTAACTTCCTGTGATACCAAAGGGAATGTATGTTATCTCTAATGAAGCACACCTGGGTCTGTCATGAACTAACAATGTGAAGGTGAGCCCTTTGGCTTCTGGGGGATTTTATTTCCTCTGCTGTAGAATTGAAGGACTTTGTTTAAGGTGTCTTACAAAGACTTCTTGCTTTGCAAAAACGTGTTGGGTGGAGTAAGAAGTAAATTTTTAAAGGCATTTGGACTTTTTTTCTATCTGTAGAACAGCATAATTCAGAACTATTCCACACTGTTGTTCTGGAAAAATTTTCCTCATGCAATGTAATTGTAATGACTGACATTAAAAAGTCTGAAAATGAAACATCAAACAATAAAAATGTGGTTTCAAATCTTTAAAGTGCTTGCAATATTTGGGTTAAAAATGATGCACCACTACCAGTTAGAATATCCCATCTTTGAATTTTAAGAGCTAAGAGTCTGAGAAGGGGAAAAATGACAAAGAGATTGCATTATTCACGCTATTCTTCCATACATGCATTCAGTGCACACCAATTGAAAAGTAAACACCTTGAAATACTACTAAGAAAGCAAAGAAAGATTATTCCTTCCATCAAACACCATACAAAAACCACATTATCTACACACACACACACACACATACACACATGTTGTCTCGAATGAATCAAACAAAATAAAAAAGACCATTATGACTAAAAACGCTGTATGAACCAGCATGTTTTCTGTGTTCCAATGACGCACGTACATTCTGCCTTATTCTAATTGGTTTTTCTTTTCTCTTTCCATCACAAGGACCACTTTCTGAGTTTCTAGTTCAATGTTGTTCCAGGTATTTTACAAATCCTACTTGCTTCAAAGTTACAAGGAACATCATTCCAGGCCCATTTATCTTGGTTATAAACAAGAACAACACAGTTTTCTCCCTGAGAGTTGTCGGGTTCATTCTTATGCCAGAATCTGAAAGAACAACAACATAGATAGAGATTTATAGGTATATATAGACAATGTAGATTATAGGTGTAGATTAGATATAGATATATTAGGAGACAATTCAGAGAAATGTCCCTAGTGAACAGTTTAGAACTGCACTAATACTATACTCACTAGACACATGTAGCTACTGAGCACTTGAAATGTGGCTTCTCTGAATTGAAATGTGCTTTAAGTCTTAAGTGCTGTATTTTGAAGACTTAGTGCCAATGAAGAATGTCAAAGACCTCAGTAATAATTTTATAATGATCACATGTTGAAATGATAAGATTTGGATATATTGGGTTAAATACATTATTAATACGTTATTAAAATACATTTCACTTGCTTCTTTTTACTTTCTTAATATAACTAACAAAAAATTTTAAATTGCACATGTGGCTTTGCATTATATTTTTACTAAACGATACTGGCTTCAAGAAAGAAAATGACAAGATTTTGATTCTCTTTCAAAGAAAATTTTTATCGCTTATATTGTTTATTTAAATGTCAAGCCTAAAACAAATTTTATATCACTTCTATGCTATTCATTCTTTCATTATTGACATTGTGCAAATAAGAATACTGAAAATTGCATGCAAATTATAGGACCATTCTGGAACTGGGACATAGCATATGGAGATTACTCAACCTACAGTGGTCTCTCTTAACATTTTTATATCAATGTACTCCACTTCAAAATGAATGTTTCTTGCTACCATCTTCTAACCTTTGCTTATAAATCCCCTTAGCCCACTCAATATACTTACACTCTGCGTGGGTTAAATGGCGTCTGGTCCACCCAACGCCACTGACCTTTGGCATTCTCATCTCTAAGTCCAAGGAAATAGGAAAGCCGTCTATCCAGAAACTGAATAATAAAGTTCTGCATAAAAATGTAAATTTTAATATAGTTGCATGAATCAGGTGATGGCTATGATGTTGGAAAAAGAGGAAATATGTCAACTAGATTACTGGTTAAGCACAAAAGCTCTGGCATCAGATAGATCTGTTTTCAAATCCTGCCTGTAATGTTAGTAAGTGCTTCAATCTTACCAAACCCCCAGTGCTCTTGTCTTCAAAAGGGACAACTCCACTACTTTATAGAGTTACTAGGAAGATTAAGTGAGGTCAGACTTGCAACCCTTTTAGCACAATGCTTAATAAGATTAGATTTTTTAGGAGGTTTTGTTTTTAATATCTTCTTTAATTGCGTGCATATTTCATTAAATTCCATTTTATTCAGAATTACCGAACCTATACATTGTAAACCTATGGAGACAAAATCCTTGAGGAAACTATTAACCAAGAAAAAGTTAGAATCTGAGTCATGGTACATAAATGGAAACATATTACATGAGGAAATAAATTTTAGCCTTTAAAGAATTTACCCTAAGATTTCTTTACTTATCATTAGATCCATACATCTGAATTAGTTTTCCTGTACTTTATCCTGAGAAGCTAGTTCAGTCCTGATTAACCATTCATTTATTCACCTACTAACCAAACATTTATCAAGACCTATCCAGTGTGCCTCACACTGCACGGGACATTGGAAGCGCAAAGGTGAGTAGAGCATGGATCCAGCCCTCCACGTAGTAAAAGTCACTGGAAGAGATGGAGCAGTGAACAGACAATTATAGTGGAGTGAAGTAAATGCCATGATCTCGTTGTGCACAAAGTCCTACAGAAGTACTTCCCACTTAGAACAGGGAGGGGTAGAATGAGGAAGGTAGTTAGGGTAGCTTTCTGGAGGAAATAACATATGAATCAAATATAGAAAGACCAAAAGAAGTTGGCCATATGACAAAAAGTTGAAGAGGAAGAAAGGGCTTTCCAGGCAGATGGAGCAGATGAAAACAGACAGAGGCATAACAGGACAGAGAAATTCCTCTTTTTCTGGAAAGAGATTCAAAGCAGCAGAGAAACTGATGTGATCCTCCCAACACACCTGCTCAGCTTCCGTGCTGATGGTCATCAGATGGGCCCCCATCCCTGAACAGTTCCTTTCACTCTCAGCCCACGTCTTGTTGTCAGTAAGAGGAAAATAGCAGTTGGACTGGAAGGCTCTCCAGTCAATAGGACAACAGTTCCAGGTGCTCCCTCAAGTGAAAATTAAAACGGAAATTGGTAACAAAAGAGCATTTCATCTGTAACAGATTGCATAACTATTCTACTACCTATATCCAATTAATATTTGTGAGAATAATATCAAGATCACCAAAATTATTCTGTTCTCCTACCAAAAGATCCTGAAAATTACATTCCTAAATATCTTCTAAACATAAGTACTGGACACCACATAATGACTACGAGAAAATCACAAAATATTGCCTTAGAAGGCATGACTGTTATTCATTGTTCCTACATCTGTTGACTTGCACATTTAAAGTGTTTCCATTACGAAGCTTTTGCAGGATATTTTACCTAAAGTGGGTAAAGAACCTACTAAAACTTAAGCACTGCCCCATTCTCCCAAATGAGATGACAAATTCCACAATAATAAAAGAAATAAAGACATGTCAGCAAAGCTGTATATTCTAGGAGGAAACTGTCTTTATCATATGTCTGAATCAAGGGAAAATTGAATCTGATTAATGTTATGTTTTGGATGTCAAAAATAACCCATCCATCTGTAAAGCTATATTCTCCGGTTATTAACTGGATTACAGTAATGAGAAATAATTCTATCTTAAGGTATTCTTATTTACTCCGATGCCAGATTCTCATCTTATGCTATTTTAATCTTTCCTGGTTCACTACTGACATTCCTTCAGTCAGACTATGAATTTGAACGAAAATGGAAATTAAAAAAGAAATTATCTTACACTCTGTACCTTCAGCACTTTTCAGTTCTGATTTCTCTTTGATGCATTTGAGCTTTGCATGGTGCTCTAACTTGTGCACTCCTGTGCCTCTCTTACAGCGTGAAAAGTTGTGATGAGTCACTGTCAAGGATAAAAGCAAGTTAGGTTTCTTTTTCTATATAACCACTAATTAGGGAAATAGGGGCTGACCTTCCTAAATTTTCTCTTATCCTAATAATTAAGGCCCTCATATTCTCTTTTCTTTCTATGCAGCTTGTTTGTTTCAGCTCCAGGTGAATTGGTTGAAAGCAATTGTTGAAAATTAATATTTTTATTATCATATTGTCCTTTTTTTTTCTGAGACGGAGTCTCGCTCTGTCACCCAGGCTGGAGTGCAGTGGCGCGATTTCGGCTCACTGCAAGCTCCGCCTCCCGGGTTCACATCATTCTCCTGCCTCAGCCTCCCGAGTAGCTGGGACTACAGGCGCCCGCCACCACGTCCGGCTAATTTTTTCTGTTTTTAGTAGAGACGGGGTTTCACCTTGTTAGCCAGGATGGTCTTGATCTCCTGACCTCGAGATCCGCCTGCCTCGGCCTCCCAAAGTGCTGGGATTACAGGCGTGAGCCACCGCGTCCGGCCCGTTTTGTTCTTTACGGGAGAAGTTTTGCAAACTTTTATGTGCACATGCTTGCAAGCATGTTTTTCTATCAAAATTTGTGTTAGAATAGGGGTTTTTGGTGCGCGCTGGGTTGTATGAACCTTATGCATTTCTAAAATACTTTCACCTTGAAATATATAAACAAATGTACCCTTCCTGGACAGCACACACCGGGGCCTGTTGTGGGGTGGGGGGAGGGGGGAGGGATAGCATTTGGAGATATGCCTAATGTTAACTGATGAGTTACTGGGTGCAGCACACCAACATGGCACATGTATGCATATGTAACTAACCTGCACGTTGTGCACATGTACCCTAAAACTTAAAGTATAATAAAATAAATATAAATAAATAATAAAAAATAAACAAATGTAAAAAAGTGGAAAACAGTTTAGCAAATTATTGTAAGGTGAACACTCCAGGTAACAACTACTCAGCTCAAGAAACAGAATATTGCCAAAACCCCAGATAGCCTTCACATCTCAAAGGCAGCTCACTCCCTCGCCTTTATAGGTAACCACTCTCCTTTACAGGTAACCACTCTTGGCTTTTAAAGTAACCGCTGTGCTTTGCTTCACAATTTTGTCACTTACTAACATGTCCCTATAGATCAGATTTGCCTGTTTTTGAACGGCAATCACACAGTATGTATTCTGATTCTGTCTTTTGTTGAGAATTGTTTCTGAAATTTGTCTATTTTGTTACGTGCCCGCTATAATTCATCCATTGTCATTGCTGTAAAGTGAACTATTGTCTTCCTGAAACAAAATATATTTATCTATTCTACTCCTATTAGATGTGTGCCTTGTTTCCAGTGTTTGGCTACTGTGAACTATGCTCTTCTGAGCATTTTCAACCATGCATTTGGAGCACATAAGCATGCGTTTCTGTAGGGCACATACGTAGGAGTGGAACTGCAGGCAATAGCGTACGAATATTGTAAACTATGATAGCGGTAAACTTTTCCAGAGTGACTGTAATGCTTAAACTCCACCAGAAGCAATTCACTAGAGGTCCATTTGCTCCATGGCATCATCAATATTTAGTAGTGCCAGACTTTTTATTGTTGCCATCCTGTTATGTTTGCAAAGGTGTCTCACTGTGAGTTGCATTTGCATTTCCCTGATAATTAATTAATGAGGCTGGCACTTTTGTGTGTTTATTAGACATTTCATTTTTCTCTTTGTTTTAGTACCTATTTAAGACTTTGCCCAGTTTTTTTATTGTAAGTATTTTTCCTACTGGTTTGAAAAAATTTGTATATAATCTACATGTGAATTATTTATTAATTATATGCATTACAAGTATCTTCTCCTATGGCTTTTTATTTTCACTGTTACTGGTATGTTTTGTTGTACAGTAACTCATTTTAATGTAGTATAATTTGTCAATGTTTATTTTCTAGTGCATTTTGTGGCTTGTTTAAGAAATCGTTCTCTACCTCCAGGTCATGAGGATATTCTCCATTTATCTTCTTAAAACTTTATTGATTTACTTTTCACATTTTGGACAATAATCTGCTCTAGATTTGTTTTTGTATACAGTGTGATGCAGGAGACCAATTTCATCTTTTAAATATAAATAATCAATGGGCTCTGCAACATTAATTGAACAAAATTGTCCTTTTCCCATATGTCTGAGATATCTTCTTTTGTTTTATATAAAGAGTCTTATATACATGCAGGATCTGTAACCAAGCTCTCCTTTATTTTCCTCTAGTCTATTTGTCTTGCACCTATATCATATTACTTTAATTATAATTATTTTATGTTTGATATCAGAAAGAATTTTTTTAATGGTGGTGATGGTTTCAAGGGTGTATACTAATCCCCCAAATTGAGATGTATACATTAAATATGTACAGGTTTTCATATGTCAATCGTACATCAATAAAGAGGTTGAAAGAAAGGAAAAAAGAAAGAAAGAGAGGGAAAGAGAGAGAGAGAACAATTCTTCCAACCTTGTTCTTTTCAAAGCCAGTCTATCTGAAAGTTATTTTTCTTCTGCTTACTCTTTTCTCATAAGATGTATCCCTTTGTGATCCCAGTCCAAAATGGGGGGAAATTTGCTATAGTAACCAACTTTTACATGTACAGAAAATGGTCTAAATTCCATCAATCAATCTCTATCACAAGGTACCACCATTGAAAGACAGAAGGTCAAGAATGTAGCTCTGAATATTCAGTGCAAGACCCTGAAGATATTATAGATAGGTTATGCTAGGAAAAATCAAGATACCAAAAGGCTTAGAGCAACTTCAGAAAAGTTGTTTGGAAATAATAATTCAAGAAGAGTTCTACTTTGGCTAATAACTTACCCAAACAACTTGCAATAAAACAGACACTGAGAAGTAAGATGAAAACTACAGCAATAACCGAAGGTATCAGCTGGGGATGCATGCCTCCTTCCACTAGGACCAAAAGAAAAATAGAGATTAACCTCCTCTCAGCTACAAGCTAGGAAAGCTAATTCTACCAAGGAGCAATCTAAAAGTGACAGCAAACCAAATATTTCAGATCTAGAGAAGAGCATAAATATTTTCTCCAAATAAATCAATTTTAGAGCTTATTGATGAATAAATAAATAAGAAAGAAAAATGTAAAATTTCTTGGTAATTTTGAAATGAAAAGAATTTTATAAGTAAGATACAAAACCCAAGAGCCATTAGAATAGATAATTTGAGTACATAAAAATTAAAACTTCTATATAACACAAGCAATGTTAGAGTCAAGGAACGTATGAAAGGAAAGTCTTCTCATAATATTAATATCCGCACTGGATAAAGTATTTCAAAATCAACTAGAAAACTGAGCAAAACTCTGAGCAGGAAATTTGCTGAAATTTTAATTTGCTGAAGTTATAAATAGCCACTAATCAAACAAAAATATGCCCAATCAGGGAACTGTAAACGAAAAGATTGTGGTATAACTTTTCACACATCAGATTTTTTAAGTAAATTAAGTACATGCAGTGTTGGCAAGGCTGAGGGGAAATAAGCACTCTTAGTGAGAAAATAAATGCTGCTGCCTGGACTGGAAAATTAGGAATGCCTTTTAGAAGGATCAATTTAGTGGCATTTATCCATTTTTAAATGCATTTCATTTGCCACAATAATTTCAATTACAGGTGTCTATTCTATAGAAATAATTGAGCTTGTTTATGTTAAAAGATATTCATTGCAGTACTTCTCAAAATAGAAAACACATACTGTAATCTAATATTTACATGTATATTATCAATAGTGGAAATTCTAAATTATGGTCCCTTCACACAATGATATTCTGTATAGTAATTAAATAAGCATGTAATCAGTATATATTGATGCAAAAAATCTCTAAGAAATATTGTTACCTAAAAAGGTAATTCAATAGGATCACACTGTGATTACAGTTTGCCATGGTAGGGTGATGAGATAAAGTAAAACTTTAATTTTAATTTAAACATTTCCACACTTGTTCTATATATCTATCAAAAATATTATTTAATATTATCACAATACAAATCCACTGGTGTCACTTAAGTCAAACATAAAATGGGACAGTTAGAGCCTCTGATACAGCATAAGCCTAAATGCTTTTTCTACATCTTCCTTTTCTCTTTTTTCTTTAAAAGAATCTTCTCATATTACTCTCTTTCTTTTCATCTTATTTCTCTTTTATATATTTTATCTCCCCTCTTGGTCCAATATACATTTTATAAAGAAGTTTCTGTTATCCAACTTATTTGACTCTATGTCCTTCCTCTTCACCAACGTCATTTTTATTTCCTTCCACCTCCTTCTCCCCGTCATCATCAACAATCTTTAAAACTACCATCAATTCATATGTTTTAAATTAGTATAATTCCATCTGCTTCTTTGAAATGGAAAGGAGAGAAAGTACTCACGTTTACTTTGAGGTTTTTCTAGCCCCATTGTCTAATTAGTCTCTTGTTCAATGGTCAGGACGGCAAGAATTTGTTCTATTTTTTTTCCCCCAGAGTATATTTCTGTGGATAGGGGAATATATTCAGAAATACTTGAGATCGAACACCAATGTTACATATTGTAGTGAGATTAGAAAGGTACCAGTATAAGAAAGTTAGCTCAAAAGAAGTCTTTTTCAAAGACAGGGGTTTCCTTTGATACATTCCGGGAGATGAGGCGAAAAAAAAAAAAAAAGGAAATTGAGAAAGCAATACCAAACAACAGTTAGTAGAAACCCACAAGTATGTTGAGATCACTAGATCAGTGTGAAATGTGGAATTTCTCAATTTGTTTTTTTTTTCATTTAGACAAAAAATTTAGCAACGCCCTAAAAGAAATAATTGTTATGCCCAATAAAAATTTAGTAAATGTCCCCTCTTTTTAAATTCTTTTTGTGAATATTATATTTTCAAAGGCAGTTATATTCTTGGGGTGAGTTCTATACTAAAAAGTTCTCTGGACTGAATAAAAAGTTGAGTCTAAGAGAGCAAAAGACAATGTGAACAATGAACAAAAACTTTTAAAGTATACCTTGTGTGTACATGGCATGTGAAGACACAGCAACCTTTGTTTTCGAGTTGAGGAAGAGATGATAGAGCAGTTAATTAAATCCCAAGAACTTTCTAGGTGAGCAAAAAGAGTTGTGTTAAGGCAAAGACAAAGAAAATGTAAGATTCTGTGATAAAGACACCATCAGGGTCCCTGACTTCATTTATAGCACTGTTAGGGAGTGAATGTCTGTATCTCCTCAAAATTCATTGGTGGAAGCACTACCCTCCAACGTAATGGCATTTGGAGGTCAAAAGTTTGGGAGGTAATTAGGTTTAATATGAGGTCATGAGAATGGGGTCCTCATGATGGAATTATAAGAAGAGACCCGGCTAACGAGCTGTTTACTTCCTGCGGGTGCTCAGGCTGTGGCCATCTTCCTTGCTGTTGCTCTTCTCATTGGAGAAGATGGCCCTGGAGACGGTGCTGAAGGACCTGTGGCATCTGTGGGCCTGTTTGCTGTGTTCACTGGTCAAGGTACTATAGACCAGTTTGAATATGATGGTTGTGACTATTGAGATGCATATCTACAGATGAAGGGTAACTGAGAGATGCTATATGGCTGCACCAGCTCCTCCTTTGATGGAATCATTGCGATGATGAGTCCAGAGGACAGCTGGGTCTCCAACTGGCAGCGAGTCAATAACTTTAAGCCAGGTGTATATGCGGTGTCAACCACTGGTCGCTTGCCCTAAGGAATCGTGCGGGAGCTGAAAAGTTGAGGAGTGGCCTACAAATCCAAAGACACAGCTATAAAGACCAGACGCAGGGCTGCCAGCGTCTTTGCTCTCCACCTCCTGCCTCTGCTTATTTTTTGTTCTGGAACTAAATGGGCAGAGCTTCAAATGCTTCCTACCCTCCAATTCAGACTCAGCCAACTGTTGAGAGAACAGCACATCATTTTATCATTTTACCTTATTTGGACTTCAGGTGGGGGTGGGAGGGATTTGGGTTGGTGGATTAACAGATGGAATTGAGGAGAGAGTAGGATGCTGACTTTCCTACCTGTAGCCCAAGGCTGCGCCTTGCTCATGAAGAGGTCTAGGTCAAATGTCAATAAATAGAAACCTCTAGAAAGTTCTTAAGGCCATGACACCTGCCTCGCTTCCCTCTTCCTTTCTCTTAGGCACACAGTAAGAGCTTATTTGCCCTATAAGATACCTTCCCAGAGCAGCAGAGGCCCTTCCACTCCCTCTTGACTGTCTCAGCCTCCAGGATTGCAGCCTTTGTAGTGTGCTTCCTTGCTTCCTATCAGAAGGTGCTGTCCAGAGGCTCAGTAACCCCATCAGCTTGGTGGCCCTGGTGTCTTGTGCTTGTATCCTTCTGCCCTTGAGACCTGGCACAGCAGTATCCCTTGAAGAAATCCTGAGGCTTTGTCGTGCTCCTTGCTCCTTGACCATGTTTAATAATTCTTTTCCCCCTCTGCTCGTCAGTTTTCTTCTCTTTACTGCTCTTCCTATATCTTAGGCCAGTCTCACACACTCACATTTTACATTTTCCTTACTGGAGACCCTTGGGCCTTGGCCGACTGCTGGGTCCTAGTCTGCCTTGTTTGTGCCCCTGTAGGAGGCAGGTCCTTTTCTCCGCCGGCCCAGTAGGGGACCTTGGGTAACATCCCATTTTTCGGCCAAAGTGAGTTATTTGTTTTAGGATAAAAAATTTACTACAAATTCTCATTTACTTAAATTTCCACAGAAATCCTGTTAGTGTCCCCATTTTGATTTCCCTAAGTTCCTTGTTCTCCCTCTGTAAAAAAAGAATGATTACACCTTGCCTGTTTACCTCAGGAATGTTGTGATTGTAGAAACGAAGCTATGTGAAAATTATGCAGCCATAAAAAATGATGAGTTCATGTCCTTTGTAGGGACATGGATGAAGCTGGAAACCATCATTCTCAGCAAACTATCACAAGGACAGAAAACCAAACACCACATGTTCTCACTCATAGGTGGGAATTGAACAGTGAGAACACTTGGACACAGGAAGGGGAACATCACACACCGGGGCCTGTTGTGGGGTGGGGGGAGGGAGGAGAGATAGCACTGGGAGAATGAGGAGTTAATGGGTGCAGCACACCAACATGTCACATGTATACATATGTAACAAACCTGCACGTTGTGCACATGTACCCTAGAACTTAAAGTATAATAAAAAAATTTAAAAAAAAATTTAAAAAAAGAGAGAGAGAGGAAAAAAAAAGAGAGATGAGTTCTCCAGAAGGCAGTCATCTGCAAGGCTAGTAGAAAGCCCTCACTGGTAAAGTGGTTAATTTGACAGGACTCCAAGAACAAATTTACATGACCTGAAGGAGGACACTTTGGGATTCATCACAGAAGCCACATAACCTACAGAGAGCAAAGAAGAGCGACACAGAGCAGCTGCCCATCCAGGATTGCCATGGAGCCAAGGGAGGCTCCCCACAATGGGGAAATGATGAGTGACAGTCCCTAGGGACCCACACTTCTGCCATGCTGGCACTCTGATCTGAGACTTCCAGCTATTAGAACGGTGAGAAATAAATGTCTCTCTTTCATACCACCGGTCTATGGTATTCTGTTATAGTGGCCCAAGCTCACTAAGACAAGTACATAACAGCTTAGAGATCCTTTAAGAAAGATCTCTACAATTTCCAGAATATAGCCCTTTCCCTGAACTCTTCCCTAAGCTACAATATTACTTTAATGATATGTGTGTATATATATTCTGTGATCTTCAGTGAAATATTACTTTACTATGTTAAATTGGGGATGGGAGGAGGTAAAATTATAGATTTGGCAATCCATATATTTTCCGGCACCGCCAGTCACTACAAGAAGTATTCCAATAGCAACAATAGCACTAACCCACAAACTCGGATATGCAACCCTGGAAACTAGATTTTTGGTTAAAGTAATATTTATTTCTATCAAAAGGACCTGGGACTCCTAGAGAATACATAAATCCTGCTTAGAACAGGAAAAAAATAGAATAGGTCTGGTACATTCTGTTGTTCTCAGAAAGTGACTATAATTTCAAAAATATGAGGGAAACCCTACTCTAGAAACTTCTCAGAGCTGAATGAAAAGCTGTGTCCAAGACAGTTAAGATTACAAAAAGACAATATGAACAATAAGCAAAACCTCCATTAACCTTTATTTTTGAGTTGAAGAAGACGTGACAGAGCTGTTAATTAAATCCTAACATCTTCCTAGATAATAGAAATCAGGCTTGTTAAGGCAAAAAAAAGAAAAAAAAAAAGGAGAGAGAGATTCTGTAGTAAAGACACAATCTTTATCACAGGTAAAAGGTAAAGTGGTTAATTTGACAGGACTGCAAGAACAAATTCACATAATTTGAAGGAGGACACTTTGGGATTCATCACAGAAGTAACATAACCCACAGAGAGCAAAGAAGAGTGAGACAGGACAGCTGCCCACCCGGGATTGGCATGGAGCCAAGGGAGGCTCCCCACAACGAGGAAATGATGAGTGAGTGACAGTCCCTAGGGACCCACACTTCTGCCATGAACCCGTACAATCCTGGGCACAGGGGATGCCCCTGACAACCCCCCGAGTCCTGTCCTCCACCAGGCCTGCACTTACATGGAGAGCTGCATGGAGTCGAATTCATGGTGCTGAGGAGCAGACAGACTGCAGGCCTCCGCTAAACCTTGCCAGGCAAAGCCCACTGGCCTGGGCCCCCAGCACAGCCACTCCACCCCCGCCTGAGGACTTGGGCTGGTAGCAGCTCTGCATTTCTATGGGATGGAGCTCGCAGAGGTAACACAACAGGAACACCGTTTTTTTTTTTGCCACTTCCATAGCCCCCGCCCCTACTGCCTTCAGGCTGGGAAGAGGGTGAAGAGCCTAAGGACTATCACAGACCTCCAGCATAGAACAACTGCCTTACAGAAAAGTGGCCACACTGTTTTCCATGCAAGTTCATGTGCCTGCTACTCCTCACTAGGCAGGCCTCCCCACCTGAGCCCCCAGCACAGCTGCCCTGCCTTGACCTAGGCACTTCAGGTGGTGGCAGCTCTGCATTTCTCTGGGGAGGAAATCCCAGAGACAAACCACAGGTTCTCTACATTGCCATGACAGCATACTAGTCTTGCTGCTCTCGGGCTGGGGAAGGAACAAAGAGACTGATTGCTTTCCTGGCACCTCCAGCATGCTACAGCCACCACATGAGGAGGAGCCGAGTCTTTCTTCCCTGTGAATCCCTTGCCCCCTACTCTCTACCAGGCAGGGCCCCCATCTTGGGCCCGCTGCATGGTATCCCCACCCCCAGCTGAGCATTCCCATTAGCTGTGGCTCTGTATCTGTCTGGGGCGGAGTTCCCAGAGACCACTGACAGCCACTTTGCCGCTGTCACTGCAGTGGTACTGCCCTTGCTGCCCTTGGGCTAGGGAACGAACACGGAACACAGACTCTGATTGCTTTGCTGGCACCTCGAGCATACACAGCCACCATACAGAGGGGAGCCAGCCTCTCCTTCCTGTGAGCCCCTGACCCCCTGCTCTTCACTAGGCAGGGCCCTGGGCTTGGGCTCATAGCGTAGCCACCCCATCTCCAGCTGAACATTCCCACTGGCAGCAGCCCTGTGTCTCTCTGGGGTGGAGTTCCCAAAAGCAACTGACAGCCCCTCTGCCACTACCACTGCAGTGGTATCTACCCATGCTGCCACTAGGCTGCGGAAGGAACAAAGAGCCTGAATGCTTACACCTTCAGAATGCCACAGTCACACTACAGAGGAGAGACCAGACTGTCTTCCCCATGAGCCTCATGCCCCTGCTGCTCTTCACCAGGCAGGGCCCCCTGGCTTGGGTTCACAATACAGCCACCTCACCTCATGCTGATCTTTCTGATTGGCAGCAGCTATGCTTTTCTCTGAGTGGAGCCCATGGAGACGAGTGACAGGCCCTCTGCCATTGCCATTGCCAAGGTTCCTGGCCCTGCTGCCCCCAAGCAGGGGAGGGGACAAAATGCCTGAGCTCACCCCAGAGCTGTGCTGAGCAGCCTGGAAATGCCAAGCCAAGATCTGCGGCCACTAATCTCAAGTATGAGAGAAGCCCACAATAACAGAGCACTGAGAGAGAGCACAGCTACAAATGTGAGGAAATACAGAGAAGCCACATGGATGATCAACAGCCTGCCTGCCAGTCATTATGCTTAGGCACCATCTATTAGATCCCAGCCCAAACTTCAACAACAAAAATACTTTGCTAACACACCTCCCTGTGAAACCAAGAGCAAGAATTCAGCCACAAATAAAGATCCCGTGCAAAGCCTCAGTCCTCTGAAAACATCCAGAAATGAAGCCAACTGACTATACTCCAATTACACCACAGTTAAAGGAACATCAGCCCACACAGATGAGAAAAAAACTGGCGCAAGAAGTCTGGCAACTCTAAAAGCCAGAGTGTCTCCTTACCTCCAAACAACCGCACTACCTCTCCAGCAATGGTTCTTAACCAGAAGGAATGACAGGTGTAGAAATCAGAATCTAGGTGGCAATGAAGATCATTGAGACTCAGGAGAAAGTTGAAAACCATTCCAAGGAACCTAAGAAATCCAGTAAAACGATTCAAGAGATGAAAGACAAATTAGCTATTTTAAGAAGGAACCAAGTTGAGCTGATATGGATGAAAAACTCAATTCAAGAATTTCATAACACAATTAGAACTATTAACAGCAGACTAGATCAAGTTGAGGAAAGAATTTTGGAGCACGAAGACCAATTCTTTGAATTAATTCAGTTAGACAAAAATAAAGAAAAAAGAATTTACAAAATGAACAAAACCTCTGGGAAATATGGGATTATGTAAAGGTACCAAATCTATAACTCATTGGTGTCTCAGAAAGAGAAGGAAAAAGAGCATGCAACTGGGAAAAAATATTTGAGAATATTGCCCATGAAAATTCTAACTAGAGAGGTTGACATTCAAATCCAGGAAATTCAGAGAACCCCTGCAAGATACTATACAAGACAACTATCCCCAAGACACATAGTCATCAGATTCTCCCAGGTCAACATAAAAGAAAAAAATATTAAAGGCAGCTAGAGAGAAGGTGCAGGTAACATACAAAGGGAAACACTTCATGCTAAAAGTGAACCTTTCAGCAGAAACCCTACAAGCCAGAAGAGATTGGGGGCCTATATTCAACATTCCTAAAGTAGATAATTTTTAACCAAGAATTTCATATTCAGCCAAACTAAACTTCATAAGTGAAGGAAAAATAGAATCTTTTCAGACATGCAAATGCTAAGGGAATTTGTTACCATCAGCCCTTGTACAAAAATCAGTAGCATTTCTACACACCATTAATACCCAAGATGAGAGTCAGGTCATGAACATAATCCAATTCACAATAGCCAGAAAAAGAATAAAATACCTGGGAATACAGCTTCCCCACTGCAGAAGTGAAAGTTCTCTACAAAAATCACAAACCACTGCTCAAGGAAATCAGAGATGACACAAACGAATGGAAAAACATTCCATGCTCACGGATAGAAAGAACCAATATTGTTAAAGTGGCCACACTGCCCAAAGCAATTTACACATTAAATACTATTCCTATCAAGCTACCAATGATATTCTTCACAAAATTAGAAAAAAAAACTATTTAAAAAGTCATATGGAACAAAAAATGAGCCTGAATAGCCAAAGCAATCTTAACAAAAAGAACAGGTCTGGAGACTGGAGACATTGTGCTACCTGACTTCAAGCTATATTACAAGGCTACAGTAACCAAAAAGAGTGTGGTACTTGTACAGAAACAGACAGATAGACCAGCGGAACAGGTTCGAGAACCAAGAAATAAAGCTGCACACCTACAACTATCTGATCTTCAACAAAGCTGACAGTAACAAGCAATAGGGAAAGGATTCCCTATTCAATAAATGGTGCTGGGATAACTGGCTAGCCATATGCAAAAGATTGAAACTGGACCCTTACCTTTCACTACATACAAAAATCAACCCAAGATGAATTAAAGTCTTAAATGTAAAATCTAAAACTATAAAAACCCTAGGAGAAAACTTAGGAAATACCATTCTGGACATCAGCCCTGGCAAAGGTATGACAAAGTCTCCAGGAGCAATTGCAACAAAAACAAAAATTGAAAAGTGGGAACTAATTAAACTAAAGAGTTTCTGAACAGCAAAAGAAACTAACAGAGTAAACAGACAACCTACAGAATGGGAGAAAATGTTTGCAAACTATGCATCTGACAAAGCTCTAATATCCAGAATCTGTAAGGAACTTAAACAAATCAACCAGCAAAAACACAAACAATCCCATTTAATAAATGGGCAAAGGACATGAACAGATACGTCTCAAGAGAAGACATAAATGGCCAACAGGCATATGAAAAAATGCTCAATATTACTAATCATTAGGGAAATGCAAATCAAAACCATAATGAGATATCTCACACCAGTCAGAATGGCTTTTTATAGCCAAAAATAACAGATGGTGAGGTTGCTGAGAAAAGGGACTGCTGATACACTGTTGGTGGGAATATAAATTGGTTCGGGCATTAAGGAAAGAAGTCTGGCAATTTCTCAAAGAACTTAAAATAGAACTGCCATTTGATCTAGCAATCCCATTACTGGGTATATACCCAAAAGAATATAAATTATTCCACCATAAAGACACATGCATATATATGTTAATCACAACAGTTTTCATAATTGCAAGGACAAGGAATAAGCCTAGATGCCCATCAATAGTGGACTGAATAAATAACATGTGGTACATATACACCATGGAATACTATGCACCCATAAAGAAGAATGGAATTATGTCCTTTGCTACAATATGGATGGAGCTGAAGTTCATTACGCTACGCAAATTAACACAGGAATGGAAAAACAAATATCAAATATTCTCACTTATAAGTGGAAGCTAAACATTGAGTACACATGGACACAAAAAAGGACGCAATAGACACTGGAGCCTACTTGAGGGTGGAGGATGGGAGGAGGGTGAGGATTCAAAAACCATCTGTCAAGTATTATGTTGCTTATCTGGATGGCAAAATTATCTGCACACCAAATCCCTATGACATGCAATTTACCCATGTAACTAACCTTCACATGTACCCCTTGAACCTAAAATAAAAGTTGTAAGGAAAAAAATTTTTTGATTAAAAATAAATAATTTAGGCAGAAAAACTGTTTATTTCATTATGATGATTAATTGGAACTGCTTGAATGTATAAAAATTCATGAATTTATAATGATCCAAAAAGGGAAATAATTTTTATAATATAAAATATTAATAAATATTATGTTTTATTTTTAAGTGATTTTAGTAAAAAAAGCATGTTGATATGTACATTACATTAATATATGCAAATGTTAGTTTCCTCTAGTAAGATTGTATAAAATTCCAAGCTTAAGTATTTATTTGCTTTGTTTTGTTTTGTAAAATTATATAATAGGTACCAGAAATGATATCTAATCCTGGGGAAAAAGTCAATTCTGTACCAACAACAGGGAAAACCAATATGCGTCTGTTGTTACACTTAATGACCAAGTGGAAAGGGGAGCCAAGAGTCCATACTCTGAGTAACTGAGTGGAAAGAGGGCTCACAATGTATGACTAAATGATGAATTGGTCAGAAAAACTAAGCAAAAGAGCTGACAACATAGATTTACTCATGTCCTGGAAGACAAATCCAAACATGGCCTTACTGATTATGATAAAATAAGAAATACATCATTTTGGAATGGTGTTAACAGGTTAAGCCAATGAGTTATATAACATTTACCAAGCAACATATTAGAAGTACATTTCTCAGAGAGATATCTGGTTATAAAAAAAATCTAAATTATATGAAAAGTATGATTCAAATAGACTGTTTCATGTCACAAGTGAAGTTTAAGAATAGAAATAATTATGAGTCTTATTTCATGTCCAAAAATCAATTGGTGGGTAAACAGATCACTTAATCTCGCCTCGAAGCAATGAATGGTTACAATCTTGGAAAGGAATCAAAATAATGTGACTGAAACATAATAAGATACAAAAGTACGTATTGCAATACCCACCAAGAATGCACTGAAAAGTTATGCTTCAGTGTAGGTATGTTGCCAAAATTTACTGTGTGGTTTCAGCTTACGGAGTATCAAAGATCTGAATGTCAACTTGAACTTTTTTCTAGCACCCGTGAACTTGACTGATCACTGATCATAGGATCACATTAACAATGGTAGTAACGTAAGAACAGCATATTTTTCCAATTCCTTATTAATACCTGAGTATTTTATTTTAAATATTCATAAATATTCTAACTTTTGGTGAAAATTCTGTTGTGTATTTACATTTTGAATTATATTAATTCTATTATATTTTGAATTCTATTAAGCAGTTAAAGTTAAAATGCACATTCATTTTTGCCAGAATAAACTGCCACCATAATAACAACTGTGAGAATTTCTAATTTTATATTAAAAATTATTGAGACTTTGAATATTTAAATAAGGAAATGAAACAGCAGTGAACTTAAAGTATAGTAATTTAAAAAAATTATACAGAACCATAGTGTAAATTAAAATATGTGCATATCTTTTTGGTTGTTTTAAAAATAAACAAAAACAGAAATCAAACACACAACAAAAAAGAAACAGCAGTGAATATAAACACTAAAAGAGAGTGTAGTATACTTTAGGAAGACAATGATCTTTTTGCAAATGGTTTTAAACTTTATAGAATACAACAAAGTAGAAAAATAGGAATTAGATTATTTCATAATTCTATTATTTGTAGAATTGTTTGGTAAGCTAGAATTTCTAATAGTAGTCATATATTCCATTTAAGGTGTGTTTCTTTCCCACTTTGTAGATTCTTCACATCTTTTAAGGATTAAATCACACCCCACAATTCATAAGGAAAAATCATGTACAAGAATTATGATAAATTGTACAATCTAAGACATATTTAAGGCCAAGTAATATCAAGGAAAAAAGAAAGTGTTAGAGGAAAATGAGGTACCCGATAGATATTTTGGTCCTCCATAAATCTCTTTGAAAGTAAATATTTGTTGCAATCCAGAAGCTGAGAGTGTTATGTAATTATTGCTGCACTATATACTCAAGTTCTTGTGACTTAACTACTGAAAACTTAGCTGCAATAATTTTTGATAAGTTTATATTTATTCTTTTATCCCAAATAACTCATTCTATGATGTGAGATTTATTTTAGCTCGGCTTTCTCCAAATGTTTATTTTAACATTTAGCCATTCAGCATTCATTTATTCAACAATTTACCGATCACTGCTGTGGTTTAATTGTGCCCCCAAAGTTCACGTATTGGAAACTTAATCCCCAACACAACACTATTGGGAGCTGAGGCCTAATGGTAGGTGATTAGGTCCTAAGGGCTCTGCCTTTATGAATGGATTAATGCTACCATACAGTCAGTTTGTTATCATCAGAGTGGGCTTCTTAGAAAAGTGAGTTTGGCCCCTTTTGCTCTCTCTCTCTTTCATGCATGTGCTCTCTTGCCCTCCCACCTTTTTCCACGGGATATTGCAGCAAGAAGATCCTCAACAGTTGTGGGCCCCTAGACCTTGGACTTCTCAGCTTCAGAATTGTAAGAAAGAAAGAAATCTCTGTTTTCTATAAATTACTTAATCTGTGGTATTCTGTTATAGCAGCATAAAGAAACTAGGCCAATTACCTGTTTTGTGACAGGCAGTGCTCTAGCCCTTCACAGTTTGATAGAACTGGCCGTGATGATAGATCAATATGGTAGCCATTAGCCTCAGGAGACTACTGAGCATTTGAAATGTGGCTAGAAAGACTGAGGAAATAGCTTTTTATTGTATTTAACTTTGTTTAACTTCAATTGAAATAGCCAGAAGTGAACAGAGGCTACACTATAAAACGGCACAGCTCTAGACTCTTATGAAACAGGGAACAAAAGAGGCAAAAATCACCACCCACATAAAACTTAAATCCTAGTAGGATGAGATAAAGTAATTAAAGATAATCATATATTAAGTAAATTACATAGTATGTTAAAAGACGATACGTGTAGTAGGATAAAATAGAACAGGACAAATGGGATTGGAACTACTGAGAGTGGGACAGGTATAATTTGGATCTATTCATCTGGGAAAGTCTCACTGAGGTCACATTCAAGTAAGCACTTAAAGATGGTGAGAGTTAGTCGTGTGGATTTCAGAGAGAAGAACCTTCCTGGGAGAGGGAGAGGAAACAGCTTGTGTAAAACCCTAAGGTGAAACCTTATCTGACATTTTCAGGAAGAGGAAGTAGGCCAGTATGACCACATAACTATATATTTGAGGCACCTTAGACAGTTAGAAAAGTAAGTACATGTGTTTTGGAAAAAATAATGAAGAATATGGCATTGATATTTTACAATACCTTTAAACATAGCACCAATTTCTGTAATCATTGCATTCATATCTGCTGGAAGTTTTTGAAGTGTTCAAAAAATCAACCATATGAAATGGCTATTGTTGTTTAAGTATTTTTTTAAGAAATTAATTTTCAAATATGTAGCTCATGTTTCTAAGCTCAGGAAACACTGTGTTTTAAATTTTTGTTTGTTAACTATACACTGCGCACCAAATTGTGCCCAAGGCCCCACAGGTATTAGAGATATTGTCAATAATATCTATGTTATAATATGATTTCATTAGTGGATGCTGAAAGATACAACAATTTTTTCTTCTTACTCTCTTATTAACCAATGACTTCAATTTTTCTTTTTTTATACCTCTTCCCAGGTACTTGCTATTCAATTATTTTTGTTCATATCAGTATTTATATTTTCAACCCTAGATTCTAAATTCTTGACATCTTGCTATAGTGCTTTATTCCTAATAATTCATTCCTGGGTTGGCTATGATAGTAGGAATGTAAATGAAAACCCTTGATATGCTTATTGGGTTCTGTTTTCTAGCTCTATATTAATACTCTAGCTCTCTATACTGTACCTAATACTTGTGTACTTGACTTTTATTTAAAACTATATAATTTTCTCTTTTTATCAGGTAGAAACAGCCCTAGCAATTAACTCCTAGTAGCTACCTATAAACCTGGCATATGTATACAATTGTTTAGTGAAGATATAAGTAGGAAAAGATTAAACTTTTGAACAAAAAGTATATATACCCAAGCACCGTCACTTGTAACAAGTAACAGTCCATCTATTCAACTTTATCAGGAAATCCAATGTTAAATGCATTTTTGTGGAAACTTAACAGTTTGTGAAAGTTCAACAGTTTGCAGGAACTGAAGTAGATACACTTCAATTTAATCCCTCTTTGATAAAAAGCTGTCTTAAAGCACAAAACAGAGTCCACAAAATCATAAACAGAATTATTGATCTGGAGCATGTCACTTGGCTTCTCTGAAACAAGTTGCCCCATCTGTAAAATGATGCTTGCCTCCTGATCTCATAAAGTTGCTGCGAAAAGGTAGGTCTGTGTGAAAACATGCATTTTCTTAAATATTTTAACTTTTATTTTAAGTTCAGGGATACATGTGCAGGTTTGTTATATAAGCAAACTGGGTGTCACTGGGGTTTGGTGTACAGATTATTTCATCACTCAGGTAATAAGCATACTGCCCAATAAGTAGTATTTGATCCTCTCCATCCTCCCACCTTCCACCCTCAAGTAGGCCCTGGCGTCTGTCATTCCCTTCTTTGTGTCCGTGTGTCCTCAATGGAACACATGTTCTAAAACTGTAAAGAACTGCGTAAATAAGACACTATCATCTTTGTTAATGAAGATCCTTTAAACTTTACTCTTCTACATCCTCAGTTTGAAGATCAGTGATTATACTGGATGCTCATGCCCTTACAACCAACTTCTGCTACATTACATAAGGCTCCCCAACTATACTTATAGCATTTTTTAGTTTCCTTCTGTTCTTCACTGTCAGGCCATTAGTGTCACTTTTTGTCATTCTCAAGAAGAATCCACATGTCCACCTCTTGCAGTCAGCAGTTGATACCTCCTAATGCAATGGTTGTTAACAATTTCAGTCAACACGCTCTTTGTGAGTATTGCTCCTTTTATCATTCTTCCTCCAAAAAAATTAAACATACATTGATTTTGTGGGCATTTTATCAAATCTGGGAGAATTCCATAACAACTCTGCATGGCCCTTGTCAGAATTAATTTAACTAGAAGATGGTCCTCTTTTTCTTTATCTGTCTTTTTTTACAACTCCAAAATAGGATGACAAATAAATAAAATGTTTCATTTTTTAAAGCTTATAATTTAGAGGAGAAACAAGATGAATTTAACTGCAGAGGAAGAAGGGAGAAGTTGCCCTCCTGTGGCTGCTACAGGTAAAACGACATTCAAGCTTCCCTCTGCACCACTTCTTTTGCAGGTTAAAATAAAGGAATCTCCTCTGAATAAGCCAGAATTGAAACACAAGACCCACAGAGAAGAAAACGTCACGTTAGGGTACAGAATACAAGTTCTAACAAGCTCCCAAAAATGGAGAGATCTACCCGAAACCCATGTTGAACAATGGGACAATCAGTGGTGATCCTGATACACTGCAGATTAAAAGCCCTCCTTCCTTTGTCCTGTCCTCCTGGACAACACATAACCTTCCTGGATTCTCATGCAATTGCAATGAGGAGAAAAGAGCTCCAAAATAACTGAGATTGAACTTCCTATGAGGCTGGCATAACAGGATATTAGAACCAGATTTCCTTGCACACTCAGGTGTGTTGACAGTTATACCCAACACAACAAAGAGAAAGGCATAGTGTACAAGAAACAGTAGATGTAAACCAAACGAGCCGGGAAGGGAAGTCCTTGAATAACAACCATGAACAGGACTAAAGGATAGTGAGTCTAGTGTGGAGTAGCAGAAGGAGGATGCTGAGAAGAACAGATCAAAGCACAATGCTGTATAATAGAAAGATTGGGAGGATTGAAGATCAAGGGTATAACAGATAATTCAAGGAAAGGTGACTAGCAATATCGGAAAAAAATTAAAGTTGTACAAGAAAGGAGGATTTAAATAGGAATCAAATTGAAGTGTGGCTTGAGTTGAAATAATAGATGGAGTCTAAGTAAATAGAGGCCATGTGATCTGAGTGATGGAAGCAATCTCCTCTGGATAAATCAGAATTGAAACACAGTACCCACAGAGAAGAAAACATAATGTTAGCCCATATCTTGGCCCAAAAGAAATGTGATTATGTAAAAATTTATTGATTAGAGTTAGCCTTTGGACAAAGCACGGACATTCGGCCATGGTGTAGTATAGAATGTAAATGTCAACAACCTTGACAAGGTACAATTTAAAATGTGGCTGAAGTAAGAAGGAAAGGGATGAAGGAATATGAGGGGAGTATGGGAACAACTGTTCTCATTTTAATGAGATGAAACAAAAAATAGATGGCCAAGGATACTATTTAGACTTACAAAAGTAACCAACAAATTAATGAAAAGTAATAATATCATTACTTAATTATCAAAAGTCAAAGTAGAAAATGTAAAAATGAAAAGGAAAGTGGAAAAGAATTAGAGGAGCAGGGAGTACTGGATTGCAATTTGCAGAAATAGAAATATGAGTTTTATTTAGAATCATGGAAAAAATCACTAGAAGAACTTAAAAAAAAAAAGCTGACCAGGCATGGTGGCTCACACTTGTAATCTCAGCATTTTGGGAGGCTGAGGCGGGCAGATCATGAGGTCAAGAGATCAAGACCATGCTGACCAACATGGTAAAACCCCGTCTGCACTAAAAACACAAAAATTAGCTGGGCATGGTGGTGCTTGCCTGTAGTCCCAGCTACTCAGGGGGCTGAGGCAGGAGAATCACTTGAACCCAGGAGGCAGAGGTTGCAGTGAGCCAAGATCAAGCCACTGCACTCCAGCCTGGTGACAGAGCGAGACTCCGTCTCAAAATTTAATTAAAAAAAAGCTTAAATAACTTGCATCTGCACAGTAGTGCCAGGAAAGATTGGTTGCTTTTCATAATAAACTCTTTGGAACAATTTGAATTATCACCACGTGCATATTTTATTTTGGTGTTAATTTTTAAAATTTATTATTGACCTGTATGATGTCAGAGTTTGCATTCTTTTTATTATTTCATGCTGCCCAAACTGGTGATATAGGAATATACATTATTGCAAGTAATTAAAGCATTACAACGGCAACAACGAATCCCCCTGAGTGTATCAGAGCACAGGAATAAGAATGGGGAATCTTTTATACAATGTCCAGAAATCATGTCTAACTCAGCCATGGTTGAAGATATTGTCAGTCTCTGAGGTAGTCTAACTCAGCTGCAGGAGAAAGTTCAAACCACTGCTCACACTTGAAATCAGAGAAGTAACAGCACTCAAAGTTTTAACAGATGCTTATGGGTACAGAGAATATGAAGGTGGGGTTAGAAAAGAGGATTGAGAGTTGATCGAGTAGTTTTTGGCAGAGATTCCAAAATTCATCAAGAAACAGGAGTCATGAACAAACTGAAGCAGACATCAAATCAATGGGTTAAAAATGGTTGTATTTTGGGAACGGTCTGAGGATAAAGTAAAGAATTTCTAAATTCATAAACCATGCTGGGTGGGGTGGCCCATGCTTGTAATCCCAGCGCTTTGGGAGGCCAAGGTGGGAAGATTTCTTAAGCTCAGGAATTGAGTCTAGCCTGGGCAACATAGTAAGACCTTGTCTTAATAATAAATAAATAAATAAAAATTATAGGCAATGTAAGTGTCTCACTATAGATATCAGATCCTATCAGGTACAATATTAATATCAGTCCTACTAATTAGAGGAACTGATGTCCTTTTTGAGTTCTCAGGTTAAACAGCAAAGCTGAGTTTGCAAAAAGACGATATTGGTGAATACAGCCAGAAGAGGCTGGAGTAAAGGGAGTGACTGACAGATATGGATGCTTTGGAAACAGATTCCTAATAAAGTGGTCTTACGGGTTGTGTCTGTGATTCATTATTTAGATCTTTTGTTGGATCTTTAATGTGTTTGTCCCCTGCCCTCCGACCATTGGCATTATATGTCAAGAGTTTATAACCCCTAAGGACATAATTGTGGCCTTTCTCTGCCCCATCTTCAATGAAAGGGGTTATAAAAATAAACTTATGTAAATTATTTTAAGGAATTTGGGCCACGCCAGTGTAGGTTCGGTACTGTATGAGTAGTCACGTCATTTTGTTATTACGGTACAAGAAAATAGTTTTCTAGCTCAAATGTTCTTAAACTGAAATCATGTAAATGAGACCAGAAAGTCCTTGATGGTAGTGGTGAAGGCAAATTCAGTCAAATTTTTTTGAAGCAAAAAGCCAACCAAGAGTAAAGTTTGAAAATCATGAATTGAGGCAATGCCAAAATTGTCAAATTAGCATGTCAATAGTACACGTCACTGGGTGGCTCAGTACATCTTCTAGAAAGAAGAAATAGGCTCCCCAGGGATTGGAAAAGGAGCAGAAATGTACATCGTGGGAAGGAGGACAACAGTTATTCACTGCAGACTGATGAGCTTCATTTTAATAATTGCCAATAAAGCAAAACAAAGCATAAGATATTTTGAAACTGGCTTTTAAATAACATTCATCTTGGCTTAGAAAATTTAAATGAAGGCATCTTACTCGATCCTCTCTATTGATGAAAATAGCCACTATTAACAAGACAGTGAAGCTGCACCCACAGCCGCCCCTTCCCCCAGATGCTCTGTCCCAGGAAGATGGGAGTTTTATCTACAAGCCCCTGACTGGGGCTGCTGCCTTTCTTTCAGAGATGCCCTGCCCAGAGAGGAGGAATCTAGAGAAGCAGTCTGGCTACAGTGGCTTTGCCGTGCTGCAGTGGGCTCCACCCAGTCCGAACTTCCCAGGGGGCTTTGTTTACACTATGAGAGGAAAACCACCTACTCAAGCTTCAGTAATGGAGGAAGTCCCTCCCCCTACCAAGCTCGTCCCACGTCGACTTCAGGCTGCTGTGCTGGCAGCGATAATTTCAAGCCAGTGGATCTTAGCTTGCTGGGCTCTGTGAGGGTGGGATGCACTGAGCAAGACCACTTGGCTCCCTGGCTTCAGCCCCCTTTCCAGAGGAGTGAACAGCTCCGTCTCACTGGCGTTCCAAGCACCACTGGGGTATGATAAAAAAACTCCTGCAGCTAGCTCGGTGTCTGCCCAAACAGCCACCCAGTTTTGTGCTTGAAACCCAGGGCCCTTGTGTGGTATAGGCATCACAGGGAATCTCCTGGTCTGTGGGTTGCAAAGACCGTGGGAGAAAAGCTTAGTATCTAGGCTGGATAGCACCATGCCTCACAGCAGGGTCTCTCATGGCTTTCCTTGGCTAGGGGAGGGAGTTCCCTGACTCCTTGCACTTCCTGGGTGAGGCAACACCCCACCCTGCTTCTGCTCACCCTCTGTGGGCTGCATCCACTGTCTAACCAGTTCCAATGAGATGAACCAGGTACCTCAGTTGGAAATGCAGAAATCACCCACCTGTGTTGGTCTCACTGGGAGCTGCAGACCAGAGCTGTTCCTATTCAGCCATCCCGCTTATTACAAAAATTGACTCAAGATGGATTAAAGATTTAAATGTAAGACGTAAAACCATAAAAACCCTAGAAGAAAACCTAGGCAATACCATTCAGGACATAGGCATGGGCAACGACTTCATGACTAAAACACCAAAAGCAATGGCAACAAAAGACAAAATTGACAAATGGGATCTAATTAAACTAAAGAGCTTCTGCACAGCAAAAGAAACTATCATCAGAGTGAATGGGCAACCTACAGAATGGGAGAAAATTTTTGCAATCTATCCATCTGACAAAGGGCTAATTTCATGCATGTCCATGTGAAGAGACCACCAAACAGGCTTTGTGTGAGCAACAAGGCTGTTTATTTCACCTGGGTGCAGGTGGGCTGAGTCCGAAAAGAAAGTCAGCAAAGGGTGGTGGGATTATCATTAGTTCTTATAGGTTTGGGATAGGTGTACAAAGTACATTCTTAAGGGCGGGGAAGAATATTACAAAGTACCTTCTTAAAGGTTGGGGAGAATATTACAAAGTACCTTCTTAAGAGCGGGGGAGAATATATGTATCAGTTAGGGTGGGACAGGAACAAATCACAATGGTGGAATGTCATCAGTTAAGGCTATTTTCACTTCTTTTGTGGATCTTCAATTGCTTCAGGCCATCTGGATGTATATGTGCAGGTCACAGGGGATATGATGGCTTAGCTTAAGCTCAGAGGCCTGACAGCTAATATCCAGAATCTACAAGGAACTTAAACAAGTTTACAAGAAAAAAACAAATCACCCCATCAAAAAGTAGGTGAAGGATATTAACAGACCCTTTTCAAAAGAAGACTTTTATGTGGCCAAAAAACATATGAAAAAAAGCTCATCATCACTGGTCATTAGAGAAATGCAAATCAAAATCACAGTAAGATACCATCTCACACCAGTTAGAATGGCAATTGTTAAAAAGTCAGGAAACAACAGATGCTGGGGAGAATGTGGAGAAATAGAAATGCTTTTACATTGTTGGTAGGAGTGTAAATTAGTTCAACCATTGTGAAAGACAGTGTTGCAATTCCTCAAGGATCTAGAACAAGAAATACCATTTGACCCAACAATCCCATTACTGGGTATATATTCAAAAGATTATAAATCATTCTGCTATAAAGACACATGCACATGTATGTTTATTGTGGCACTATTCACAATAGCAAAGACTTGGAACCAACCCAAATGCCCGTCAATGTTAGACTGAATAAAGAAAATGTGGCACATATACACCATGGAATACTATGCAACCATAAAAAAGAATGGGTTCATGTTCTTTGCAGGGATATGGATGAAGCTGGAAACCATCATTGTCAGCAAACTAACATGGTAACAGAAAACCAGACACCGCATGTTCTCACTCATAAGTGGGAGTTGAACAATGAGAACATATGGACATAGGGAGGGGAAAAACACTTACTGGGGCCTGTCAGGGGAGGATAGGGAGGGGGTAGACCTTTGGGGAAAAGAGCTAATGCGTGCTGGGCTAATACCTAGGTGATGGGTTGATAGGTGCAACAAACTACCGTGGTACACATTTACCTATGCAACAAACCTGCATGTCCTGCACATGTACTCCAGAACTTAAAGTATAAAAAATAAAAATAGCAAAGATTTAGTCTGCTAGAGAAAATCTCTGAGCATTTTTTAATTTAAATATTGGTGTTTTCACAGAGAATTCATGGAGAAGGACAAAAAAAGAATTTCCTTGATTAAAAAAAAAAAACAACTTAATACAAGTATCCTAAGTAATATACCAGTAAAAAGATGAGTTCCAGCTGACGCTAGCTCTAATTTTGGAGCATTATGAAAGATGTACCTCTAAAGCAATGATAGGTAACATATGTTGATATGTCAGGCACTGCTCTAAGCCCTGAATGGTAATTAACTTGTTTAATTTTCACAAAATGAGGAAAATGCTATTACTGCCATTTTACAAATAACATACCCAACACTTTAAAAGTTAAAAACTTGCCTGAGCTCCTGAAGAGTGCTGGAATATGCCAGAACCAGAATTCAGATTTAGGCTTCATAACACTCAAGCCCATATTGGTAACCTCTAGGTTAAAATCCTCTGAGAAAAAAAGGACATCTTACGAGTTAAAAAACCACCAATAAACACTAACAGATAAATTAAAAACATCAGAAAATATCTAGCAATCAAATGTTGGGATTCATGACTAGAGTAACTAGAAAAGGAGACTGCGTAAGAAGCAGAGGAAGGAACAGATGTATACCAAGGGTCGTGGTGATGAAACTGGTATCAGCAAGCCAGATGGAAACCACAGCAGCAATTCAGTGACTCAAAAGGGACCCACAGCTTCCTCTTTGGGTGGAAAATGTAAAGAATAGTGATCTGGGGTAATAAGCTTCTCAGCCAGGGTAACTCAGAAATGTTTACAAGTGAGTATGTCTAGACTTACAGTAAAGATCCATTTTTCTTTCCAAAAGTACTTCTGACACATTCTAGAGGGCAGACTGCAGTCAGAGACATTTTAAATAGAAGAAATGTCTTCAAGTAGTGAGACAGCATCCATACTTCCAGGCTACTGATGGGGTATATATGTAGGAGATGAACTCCTTAGGAAACACAGATTACACATTTACATCTCTAGTTCTTTTATAGTCAGGGACATACTTAACTTTCCTTTCAAGGTTACAGTCGTTTCCCCAAACCACTATAACTTTATATTTCATTCTAATCCATCTCAGGTTATCATTTCCCTACTTCTTGTTATTTAGATAATTTGTGTATTGTGTTATATTTTCATTTGTAAGTGATAGAAATAAGCTTGTGGGCCAGGCATGGTAGCTCAGTGCTGTAATCTCAGCACTTTGGGAAGCCCAGGTAAGCAAATTGTTTGAGCCCAGGAGTTCCAGACCAGCCTGGAAAACATGGCAAAATCTCATTTCTGCTGAAGATACAAAAAATTAGTTGGGCGTAGTGGTGCTTGCCTGTAATTCCAACTACTCGGGAGGCTGAGGTGAAAGGATCACCTGAGCCCAGGAGGTTGTGCTGCGATCCATGGTCATGCCGCTTCACTTCAGCCTGGGCAACGGTGAGATCCTGTCTCAAAAAAAAAAAAAAAGAAAAGAAAAGAAAAGAAAGAAGCTTGCTAAAAGCTGCTAATGAAAAATGAATGTATAGGAAGGCTGCTTGTGCATTTCCCAGAATCCGTAGAGCAGAACAACCAGGCCCCACAAGCATAGGGTTGATGTAGCTTGGGGAATCTCAGACACAAAAGCATTTGTGGATCTTAAACCTAGAGCTCTGCCATCAGCAAGATTTGGTTCCCCAAATCGTGGACTCATATTTCTCAGCTTTCATTCGGAATCTATGTGAGGGAGAATTTAATTTTGATAGCCTAGAGCAAGTGTAGCCAAAAGATGGACTCATGTAACTACAAACATGGTTACTAAGCTCTCTGGGGACAAACCTCAAAGGAAATAAAATTGTCAAAAAGTGGAAATGATAGCCCCAAACCTCCTACTTCATCCCAGTGTTTCTGCTTATGCAAAAATTTTTCTTAGAAAATGTGTACACATTACAACCAGCTCATTTACTTAGATACAGGGCACATTGGTCAGAGCTCTGAGATGACATACAATGGAGTGGAATGATCTCCTATGATCAGAATCAGTAGTCAAAATCTCAAAAGGTTAGATAGGTTGAGCAAAAGTAATAAGAAACAACTGAACATGCATAAACATTAAGAGTCATGCTTGTGTCCAGAGATGTAATTGTATGGTCAGTAGTGGTTCGGGGAAAAACCCTCCACACACTGGAAGATCTGCTGTTATTTCCTACCCACAATTGAGCAGACTCCATTACATTTCGGAAGTACTCTGGAGATGGAGTTTATGTGTAAAGATTGTTTCATACAAAAATTACAAAACAGAAAGTTGTTTTCACTATTCAATAAACATGTTATATTTACATTTTCAAAGTATATTCCTTACTATAAAAGGGGAAGCTGGTTGGATCACTGAGAAGCCTTACCTTAAACTTATCACAGCCTTGTTATTAGCCAGTTGGGCAAAGGATAACATGAAGTGTTTTAGGCATTAACTAGATACCAGGTCATACATTTCCTTAATTTATTACAATTCCAATAAATTCCAAGAGAAATGGTCAGCAGAGAATGATTTATGACAGGCAGTATTTATGACAGGAGTTTGAGACCAGCGTAGGCAACATGGTGAAACCCTGTTTCTACTTACAAATACAAAAATTACCTGGGTGTGGTTGTGCATGCCTGTAGTCCCAGTTACTTGAGGAGCTGAGGTGGGAGAATTGCTTGAAGGTCGAAGATGTAGTGAGTCAAGATTGCACCAATCCCAGAAAGTAATGACTTTTAACTCTTGAAATAGGGAAAATGAGGGTGGATGCACCCTTTTTGCTGCCCCACCTCTCCTCTCCCTATATGTACTATTGACGATTATTTGCCCACTCACTGGAATAAATTTTCAGTGTCAGATTACATTAGCAGTTGAATGCATGACTGAGAACTTCTATAGTTCCCACTGCCTCTCAGACCATTAATATGAAATACTAGAAAATAAATTGATTATATATTTGTAGCTGGGAATGGTAACAGGGTTGAGGTGCAAATCAATTTTAGCCTTTTGTAAAATGTATTAATTTTGCATGAGGAAATGTATGTTTGTAGTTGTTGACTTTAAAATAATTTAAAATAATCAAAAACAAGGTAAAATTTCATTGTGATTAAATTCTGATCTTATCACAGATTAAATAAGCGGATTATTTGAAGAAGCCAATATGCTGCCTTTTTTAATTTGTAATTTTTTTTGAGAAAAGGTTTCATCAGTTGCCCAAGCTGGAGTGCAGTGGTGCAATCTTGACTCATTACATCCTCGACCTTCTGAGTTCAAGCAATTCTCCCACCTCAGCTCCTCAAGTAACTGGGACTACAGGCATGCACCACCACACCCAGGTAATTTTTGTATTTTTAAGTAGAAACAGGGTTTCACCATGTTGCCTACGCTGGTCTCAAACTCCTAGATTCAAGTGACCTGCCTGCCTCAGCTTCCCAAAATGCTGGGATTACAGACGTGAGCCACTATGCCAGGCTTCAATTTTTAATTTTTAAAAATTTCATTTTATTGTGGTAAGAACATTTAACATGAGATCTACCATCTTAATAAATTTTTAAGTATACAATACAGTGTCATTGACTACAGGGACAATGTTGTACAACAGATCGCTAGAACTTATGTATCGTGCTTAACTGAAATTTTATGTTTGTTGATTAACAATGACCAATTTTTCCATACTGACAGTCCCTGGCAACCATCATTCCACTCATTCTATTCTTTGATGTTGTGAATTTGACTATTTTAGATTGCTTATAAAGGTAAAATTATGCAATCTTTGTCTTTCTGTCACTAGCTCATTTCACTTAAAATAATGTCCTCAAGGCCCATCCATGTTGTCACATCGGATTGTCTTCTTTTTGTTGTAATATTCCGTTGTATGTACCACAAACCACATTTTCTTTAGCCTTTCATCTGTCCAAGTATACTTGGGCTGTTTCTGTGTCTTGCGTATTGTAAATAATGCTGTAATGAACATAGAAGTGCTAATATCTCTTTAAGATCCTGATTTTGATTCTTTTGGATAAATACCCAGAAATGAAATTTCTGGATCACATTATAGTTCTACATTTAATTTTTAAAGGAATCTCCATACTGTTTGTCATAGCATCTGCACCATGTCGTTATTTCATTTTGTTTCATTTGGCTTCACTATTTTGCGTTCCCACCAACAGTATACAAGCATTCCAATTTCTCCACATCATCAATACTTGGAGTCATTTGTTTCTGTGAGAATAGCCATCCTGACAAATCTGAGAGGATTCCTTACTGTGATTTTGATTTGCATTTCCCTGATGATTAGTGATGTTCAGCATTTTTTCATAAAGCTATTGTTATTTGTGTGTCTTCTTTGTAGAAATGTCTACTCAAGTACTTTGTCCACTTTTTATTATTATTATTTTTTGACACAAGATCTTGCTCTGTTGCCCAGGCTGGAGTTCAGTGGCACAATCACGGCTCACTGTATCCTCTACCTCTCTGGCTCAAGTAATCCTCCAGCCTCAACCCCCAGGTAACCATGCCTGGCTAACTTTTGTATTTTTTGTAGAGACAGTGCTCCACTATGTTGCCTAGGCTGGTCTGCAACTCCTGAGCTCAAACAATCCATCTGCCTTGGCCTCCCAGAGTGCTGGGATTATAGGCATGAGCCACCGTGCCTGGCCCTTTCTCCATTTTTTAAATCAAGTTATTAGCTTTTCTGCTATTGAGTTGTAGGAGCTCCCTATATATTTTGGATATTAATCTCTTATCATATACATGGTTTGCAAAAGAATCTGTAGATTGCCTTTTCACTCTGTGATTGATTGTCTCATTTACTAGGCTGAAACTTTTGGTTTGATGTAGTTTCATTTGCTTATTTTTGGTTTTGTTGCTGGTGCTTTCAGTGTTGTGTCCATGAAATCACCTCCAAGACCAATGTCACGAAACTTTTCCTTGAAATTTTCTTTTAGAAGTTTTACAGTTTCTGGTCATACATTTAATCCTTTTCTATTTTTGTGTTTGGTGTAAGATAAGCGTCCAATTTCATTCTTTTGCCTGTGGATATTCAGTATTTCCTACACCATTTGTTGAAGATATTATCTTTTCCCCATTGTGTATTCTTGGCACCATTGTTAAAGGTCAGTTGACCATGTATATGAGGGTTTATTTCTAGACACTCAATTCTATTCTATTTGTCTATATGTCTATCTTTATACAAGTACCAAATTGATTACTGTAGCTTTGTAATATATGTTGAAATTATGAAGTGTGATGCCTCCAGCTTTGTTTTTCTTGTTCAAGAATTATTTGACTATTTGAAGTCATATAAATTGTGGAATTGTTTCATATAAATTGTAGAATTGTTTTTAATATTTCTGTAAAAATGTCATTAGGATTTTGTTAGGGAGAGGGTGAATCTGTAGGCCACTTTGGCAGCATGGACATTGTAATAACATTAATTCTTCCAATCCATGAACACAGGATGTCTTTCCATTTATCTCCACCAGCTTTAATTTCTTTCTTCAGTGTTTTATGCCTTTCAGCACATAAGTCTTTCACCTCCTTGGTTAGGTTTATTCATAAGTATTGTATTCTTTTTGATGCTACTGTAAATGGGGTAGTTTTCTTAATTTCCTTTTCAGATAATTTGTTGTTAGTGCATAGAAATACAACTGAATTCTGTGTGTTTATTTTGCATCCTGCAACTATGCTGAAATTGTTCATTAGTTCTAATAGTCTTTGTGAAGTTTTTAGGATTTTCTATATGTAAGGTCATTTTATCTGTAAACAGATAAATTAACTTATTCCTCCTGTATTTGGATGCTTTTTATTTATTTTTCTTGCCTAATTGCTCAGGCTGGAACATTCAATACTATGTTGAAATGATGAGAGAGGCATCCTTGTCTTGATCCAGATTTTAGAGAAAAATCTTTCAGTTTTTCACCATTGAATATGATAGTAGATATGATGCTTTTCAAATATGGTCTTTATTGATTAAGTTAAATTCTTTCTACACCTAATTTGTTGAGGATTTTATAATAAAAGGGTATGAAATTTTGTCAAATACTCTTCTTCATCTATTTAGATGATCATATAATTTTTATGCTTCATTTTGTTGATATACTGTATCACATTGATTAATTATATTGAATGATACTTGCATACTAGGGCTAAATGTCACTTGTTCATGTTGTATTATACTTTTTATGTGCTTTTTAAGTTCATTAGTTGCAAACTAAGTTAATTAGGGATATTGAGCTATACTTTTCTTTTTTTGCAGTGTCTTTATGTGGCTTTGGTATCAGGGTGATACTGATTTCATAGAATGAGTTGATAACTTTCTTTGCCTCCATGATCCAATCACCTCCCACCATGCACCACCTCCAACATTAGAGATTACATTTCAACATGAGGTTTGGAGGAAACATCCAAACTATATCAGATGCCACAGAAATAAAAAGAACCATAAGGAACTATTATAAAAAATTTTATGCCAACAAATTAGATAACTTAGAGGAAATGGATAAATCCCCAGAAACATACAAACTACCAAGACTGAATCAAGAAGAAACAGCCTAAACATTCTAATAACAAATAAGGAGATTGACTCATAATCAAACTATCCAAAAAAGAAAACTCTAGGATCAGACAGCTTCACTGGAGAACTCTAATAAATATCTAAAAAATAACTAACATCAATTCCCATCAAAGTATTACAAACAACAGAAGAGGGAACACTTATCAATTTTGCCTTTCGTGACAGATATTGACTTAAAGTCTGTTTTGTCTAATGTAATTATAAACACAACTACTCTAAATTTTTGTTTGTTTGTTTATGTGATGATTTTTTTTTGTTATACTTTAAGTTCTAGGGTACATGGGCATAACATGCAGGTTTCTTACATACGTATACATGCGCCATGCTGGTGTGCTGCACCCATTAACTCATCATTTATATTAGGTATATCTCCTAATGCTATCCCTCCCCACTCCCGCAACCCCACAACAGTTCTCAGTGTGTGGTGTTCCCTACCCTGTGTCCAAGTGTTCTCATTGTTCAATTCCCACCTATGAGTGAGAACATGCGGTGTTTCATTTTCTGTCCTTGTGACAGTTTGCTCAGAATGATGGTTTCCAGCCTCATCCATGTCCCTACAAAGGACATGAACTCATCCTTTTTTATGGCTGCATAGTATTCCATGGTGAATATGTGCCACATTTTCTTAATCCATTGTATCACTGATGGACATTTGGGTTGGTTCCAAGACTTTGCTATTGTGAATAGTGCTGCACGTGTGCCTTTATCTTTATAGCAGCATGATTTATAATCCTTTGGGTATACACCCAGTAATGGGATGACTGGGTCAAATGATATTTCTAGTTCTAAATCCTTGAGGAATCACCACACTGTCTTCCACAATGGTTGAACTACTTTACAGTCCCATCAACAGTGTAAAAGTGTTCCTATTTCTCCACATCCTCTCCAGCACCTGTTGTTTCCTGACTTTTTAATGATTGCCATTCTAACTGGTGTGAGATGGTATCTCATTGTGGTTTTGATTTGCATTTCTCTGATGGCCAGTGATGATGAACTGCTCTAAATTATTGATATACTTCAATTTCAAAGAGAAAAAATCAGAATTTTGCCTCATTAATGGAAATCCAATAAAAGGGGTCGATTTCAGAGAACATTAAGTGTTTTGAAGATTCAAAAGCACAAATTTTTGTGCTTTTGAAATAATTAATTCATTACTTAGAAAAAATTGTAGTCCCAGTAATAGGACAGATGTTGGGAATATGAAGATTAATACCATATGTCTTAGTCCATTTAGGACTAAGTCTATTAAGACTTTTTATTCCATAGCAATCCATCACTGTAAAGAAATACATGAGGCTGGGTAATTTATAAAGATGTAAGGTTTATTAGGTTCCTGATACTGGATGGCTTGAAAGTTCGAGATTAGGCATCTGCATTTGATGACGGCCTCAGGCTACTCCCACTCCTAGCAGAAAGTGAAGGGAAATTGGCTTATGCAAAGATCGTATGGCAAGAGAGGAGGCAAAAGGGAAAAGGGAGTTGCCAGGCTGTGTTTATCAACCAGATCTTGAGGGAACTAATGAGTGAGAACTCACTCACTTTTGAGAGAAAGCACTAATCTATTTATGAGGGATTCACCCCATGACCCAAACACCTCTCATTAGGCCCCACGTCTAACATTCAGATGAAATTTCAACATATGGTTTGGAGAAGACACATATCCAAATCATAGCACCATAAAATCATTATCATCAAGGGTCTACCATCTACCGTCTGATAGACAAAAAAAATGGGATTCCACTTGGAATTACTGCATTCCAATGTCTCTGATCAGGAACAGAGGCAGGCTTCAACTAATTGTCAATAATGGCCATATTTTTTACTCCAAAATGTTTATATCCACACCATTCCTCCCCTTGAGCAAAGTGCCATATATGCTATGATTTAAAATAACTTTAATATTTTAAAGACAGAAATAATATTTGCCTATCCATTCATTCTAGAAAAACAGATTGAGTTGTTATTTTCCAAGGCAGAGGATTGTCTTAATTTTCTAAGAATAGTGTCTTCACATCCCTCTCAAAAGCATCACAGAGATTTCAAACTTGGAATGTGTAAAAACAACAACAAAAAAGAAAACAAAAACCTCTGAGTTCCCCTCCCCCACCCCATGTAAAACATTCTCATGCCCCAGGATTCTGTGTCTGTGGAATTTCTTTATTTTAAAGTGAATTGAAATCATGTCATTCTTCACCTCAAAGCCTACAAAGGCTCCTTATCTTGCTCAGAATAAAATTTAAAACTCTTTATCATGACCTAGAAAGCACTATGTGACCAAATTTCTCTGCTTCACTGAGCTTCTCTTCCAAAACACACCTCCATTCACGCTTATTTTTCTTTTAAGGATTGGCAAGTTTTGGAGCCTTGGAACTCGTAATTCAACCGAAAACTTTTCCTCAGCTATCTCTCTGGTATAATTTTTCTCTTCCTTGAAGCAATTGCTCAAATGTCACCTTAACAGAGAGGCTTCCCTAAATACCTTAAGTAAATTAGTACCCCACTGTCACTCCCTTTTCCTCCATTCTGCTTCTGTGCATTAAAAATTTGTTTTGTTTTTTGTATGGAATATTTCATAAATTTGCATATTATTCTTGCACAGCAGCCATGCTAATCTTCTCTGTATCGTTCTAATTTTAATATATGTGCTGCTGAAGAAAGCACTGCTTCTATGCATCTTTAAAGCACATATATTATATATGATGTATTTTTTATTTATTTGTTGCATCTTTCCACTAGAACACTAGCATGCAATCTATATAAGAACAAGAACTCTTTTTTTTACTTCCTTATTCCTATCTAGGAAATATCTTGTCACAAAATAAACCTGCTGTATATATTTTCTGAATAAATAGAAAATAAGTCATTGGGTCTACATAGTCTGTATTGACAATATTTGTTTTATGAATTACACACTATATTATGCATTGCCATATGTGCCTAGACCTCTAAATTCTACAGCCTACAGCACTGATTCCCCAACAGATATGTCACAGAATACTATTTGGTGACATATTTATAAGTATTCCATAAAAAATTAATTGAAAAACCCTTTGGGCTGGGTGTGGTGGCTCACGCCTGTAATCCCAGCACTTTGGGAGGCTGAGGCAGGTGGATGGCTTGAGCTCAGGAGTTTGAGACCGGCAGGCAAAATGGTGAAACCTGTCTCTATCAAAAATACAAAAATTAGCTGAGTGTGGTAGTGGGTGCCTGTAATCCTAACTATTATGATGGCTGAGGCATGAGAAACGCTTGAACTCAGGAGGTGGAGGTTGTAGTGAGCCGAGGTCACATCTCTGCATTCCAGCCTGGGTGACAAAGCAAGACCCTGTCTCAAAAAAAAAAAAAAAAGAAAAGAAAAACCCTTTATATCTCTGCATCCTACTTTGAAGATTTATGATGCATATTGTCATGTAAAAAAATATTCTGAAACTCCTACAAAAATAAATCTACTTAAATTTGCTTAAGACAAGGGAGTGATGTCAGCAAAATAGCAGAGTAGGAGATACCATCCCTCATCCCCCCCCTCAACCTACACACAAAAACACACACAACTGGACAGATATCGAACACTGAAGAGAGCGTTGGGAGGGTTGAAGGTTTCAATCAAGAACCTGAAGCAACACAGTGGAGTAAAAAAAAAAAAAAAAGGAGAATAATCACAAACAGAAAAGGTCACTGAGGAGACTGGCATACCCAAGACATCTGGAGATGGCTAGGAAAAAAGAAGAAAGCAGGGGCTATCAGTATCAGACACATGGTGGACGTCAATGCAGTCCTTTGCGGAGGATGCTGGTAGCTTTCACCACTGAGGCAACACACAGACATTGTCCCCATGCAAATGCCCTGAATAGGAAGACACTGCTGTGCCCTTAATCCCAAAATGGAGCCACTCTTGTGCCATCGCTGGACTAGGGCCAAAACCCATTCCTGTGGGGACCCCAGACCCTGAAGCTGCAGCTACTCCATGCCTATGCTGTAGACCTCAACTCCATGGCCACATCATGTACACCCACACTTCAGACATGGGAGCCACCATCACTGAAGGCTGACTCCACAACACACCCTGAGCCATGACCAGTCTGAGCACATCCATGTGACCCAGGCTCTGCCACCACCCCATGAATGCCCATATTTGGGCATCTAAGCCACTGCCATAGTAAGTCAGCCCACATCCTGGAGTGGAGCAACTATCACTTTGTAGATTTCTGTACTCCAGACCCTGACTCCATGGCCACACTATGTGTACCTATGCCTCAGTCACCAGACCCACCACTGCTGCAGGCTAGCCCCACTCCTGGCCTTGAAGCTATAGTCACTCTTCACACACCTAAGCTTTGGACCCTGGCTCCATCATAACTTTATGAGTGCCATGCCTCAGACATCAAAGCCACTGCCGCAGCAAATTAGCCCACATGTCAGCTCCTGGAGTCACTGTGGCTCTCAGGCCACTCCACCAGCACCTGCACTGCAAACACCAGAGCCAATGCTGCAGCAGGTGTGCCCATGCCCCAGTCTGAGTTTGACAGAGCTGCACAGAGACTACACTGCTGTGCCCTCACCAAAGCAGGAAGGGCAACATCCCACCCAGCCAGTGTTTTTGCACTCACTCATAGTTGAAAGTTTTCCCCCTCTAAAACCAGTCTATAAAGTCTGTAACATGTAACTGTTTCATCAGATGCACAGACGTCAATGCACAGCAACAAGAAACATCAAAAACAAAGGAAACATGTTGCCAGCAAAAGAACACAATAAGCTCTGCAAGGCCTGCTGCCTCTGTAGATCCCAGCTCTGTGGGCAGGGCATAGCTGAACAAAAGGCAGCAGAAACTTCTGCAGACTTAAATATCCCTGTCTGACAGCTCTGAAGAGACCAGTGGTTCTCCCAGCACAGTGCTTGAGCTCTGAGAACAGACAGACTGCCTCCTCAAGTGGGTCCCTGACCCCTGAGTAGCCTGACTGGGAGATATCTCCCAGTAGGGGCTGACTGACACCTCATACGGGTGTGTGCCCCTCTGGGACGAAGCTTCCAGAGGAAGGATCAGACAGCAATATTTGCTGTTCTGCAATATTTGCTGTTCTGCAGCCTCTGCTGGTGATACCCAGGCAAACAGGGTCTGGAGTGAACCTCCAGCAAACACCAACAGACCTGCAGCTGAGGGATCTGACTCTTAGAACGAAAACTAACAAACAGAAAGGAATAGCATCAACATCAACAAAAAGGACATCCACACCAAAACTCCATCTGTAGGTCACCAACATCAAAGACCAAAGGTAGATAAAACCACAAAGATGGGGAGAAACCAGACCAGAAAAGCTGAAAATTCTAAAAACCAGAGTTCCTCTTCTCCTCCAAAGGATTGCAGCTCCACGCCAGCAATGGAACAAAGCTGGATGGAGAATGACTCTGACGAGCTGACAGAGTAGGCTTCAGAAGGTCAGTAATAACAAACTTCTCTGAGCTAAAGAGGATGTTCAAACCCATTGCAAAGAAGCTAAAAACTTTGAAAAAAGATAAGAAAAATGGTTAACTAGAACAGTGTAAAGAAGACCTTATATGACCTGGTGGAGCTGAAAACCATGACACAAAAACTACGTAAGCATGCACAAGCTTCAATAGCCGATTTGATCAAGTGGAAGAAAGGGTATCAGTGATTGAAGATCAAATTAATGAAATAAAGTAAGAGGAGAAGTTTAGAGAAAAAAGAGTAAAAAGAAAGGAACAAAGCCTCCAAGAAATATGAGACTATGTGAAAAGACCAAATCTACATTTAATTGGTGTACCCAAAAGTGACGGGGAGAATGGAACCAAGTTGGAAAACACTCTTCAGGATATTATCCAGGAGAACTTCCCCAACCTAGCAAGCCAGGCCAACATTCAAATTCAGGAAATACAGAGAACACCACAAAGATACTCCTTGAGAAGAGCAATCCCAAGACACATAATTGTCAGATTCACCAAGGTTGAAACGAAGGAAAAAATGTTAAGGGCAGCCAGAGAGAAAGGTTGGGTTACCCATAAAGGGAAGCCCATCAGACTAACAGTGGATCTCAGCAGAAACCCAATAAGCTAGAAGAGAGTGGGGGCCCATATTCAAAATTCTTACAGAAAACAATTTTCAACCCAGAATTTCAAATCCAGCCAAACTAAACTTCATAAGTGAAGGAGAAATAAAATCCTTTACAGACAAACAAATGCTGAGAGATTTTGTCACCACCAGGCCTGCCTTATTAGAGCACCTGAAGGAAGCACTAAACATGGAAAGGAACAACCAGTACCAGGCACCGCAAAAACATGACAAATTGTAAAGACCATCAAGGCTAGGAAGAAACTTCATCAACTAACGGGCAAAATAACCATCTAACATCATAATGACAGGATCAAATTCACACATTAACAATATTAACCTTAAATGTAAATGGGCTAAATTCCCCTGTTAAAACACACAGACTGGCAAATTGTATATAGAGTCAAGACCCATCAGTGTGCTCTATTCAGGAGACCCATCTCATGTGCAGAGACACATATTGGCTCAAAATAAGGGGATGGAGGAAGATCTACCAGACAAAAGGAAAGCAAAAAAAAAAAAAAAAAGCAGGGGTTGCAATCCTAGTCTCTGATGAAACAGACTTAAAACCAACAAAGATTAAAAGAGACAAAGAAGGCCATCGCATAGTGGCAAAGGGATCAGTTCAACAAGAAGAGCTAAGTATCCTAAATATATATGCACCCAATACAGGAGCACCCAGATTCATAAAGCAAGTCCTTAGAGACCTACAAAGAGACTTAGACTCCCACATAATAATAATGGGAGACTTTAACACCCAACTGTCAACATTAGACAGATCAACGAGACAGAAAGTTAACAAGGATATCCAGGAATTGAACTCAGCTCTGCGCCAAGCAGACCTAATAGACATCTACAGAACTCTCCACCCCAAATCAACAGAATATACATTTTTTTCAGCACCACACCACACCTATTCCAAAATTGACCACATAGTTGGAAGTAAAGCTCTCCTCAGCAAATGTAAAATAACAGAAATTATAACAAACTGTCTCTCAGACCACAGTGCAATCAAACTAGAACTCAGGGTTAAGAAACTCACTCAAAACCGCTCAACTACATGGAAACTGAACAACCTGCTCCTGAATGAATACTGGGTACAAAATGAAATGAAGGCAGAAATAAAGATGTTCTTTGAAACCAATGAGAACAAAGACACAACATACCGGAATCTCTGGGACACATTCAAAGCAGTGATAAGTGTGATGAGCAGAAATAGGCTTCATTAGAGTAGAGTGACTATTAAAAATTATAACTTTCTAGGAGCTATAAATCAAAGCTTTAAAAAGATGTTTGGATATATTTGAGTATTCAGATCATGAAAATAGAAATTGCCCTGCCTACTGTAAGAAGAGACTGATGGGAAATTATACACCTGGTCAACTTAACCTTTAAACAGACAATGCTGTAAAAGCTAATGGTTTCTCTGATATTTATTTTAAGTTTTAGTACTGATCTCCTTTTCCAGTGCTGCACACTCCTGTGTTTGGAACTTTAACAGATTTGCAACAAAATCCTATATCCAGCTTCCTATAATTTAATTAAAGAAAAACACATCCAGATAAAGGCTTTGCTATGTTTTATTATTATTATACTTTAAGTTCTGGGGTATATGTGTAGAACATGGAGATTTGTTACATAGGTATTCATGTGTGAAATCTTTGTTATTAACAGAGCAGATAGCATCAGAAATCATGTGACTATTATGATTCTCAGAATATGTCTTAACTTTTAGGGCAAAGTTAACACTGAAAGCTCTAGCTTAAGTGTTGGCACCTTTGTGGGAAAAAAATCACTTTTGAAACTCAGACTTCAATAATTTAAAATTATTGAAGACAATAATTTAAAATTACGTGAAATGTTTTAAATTTGTGAACTCCTAATTACTGTCTTAATGATTCATTTTCTTGAGAGCGATAATTGTATAAAAAGCTATTGCAGCTTTATTTTCAATATGACATGCCTGTAAACCATGGAGTTTTCCCTGTTTGTAAATAGACATTGTAGATAATTGAATGTTTGATTTTAGAAAGGTCATTAGTTTCTTGTTACACATTTTGTTAGTCTGGTTTTTGTTGCTTATTGGGTTCTTGAAAATAGTTGATGCTGTGTTATGTATAACTTTTCTAATAAAAGTTGTGTTATAAGCTGTAAAAAAAATATTTTGGAGCAGAGGAAATGGAAACCACCTAGTAAGATGATAGATTTAGAACCATATATATGTCGAATTGTCACAAATGTAAATGGATTAAATTTTTAACCTAAAAGGTGATTGCCATATTGGATTTTTTAAAATTTAACTATATGCTACTTATTAAGAGCACATGTGGAATAAAAATGGTCAAAAATAGAAGATGGAAAAAAAAATTTTACAGCACTAACATAATGAAAGTTACTGTATCTATTTTAATATCAGGAGAAAAATTAAAGCCAAAGGCATTACTAAATTTAAAGAAAGTGACTCCACAATGATAAAAAAATTAATTTGCCATGTACAAGTAATAATTATAACATTGTATATACCTCATCATGGCTTAAATATACAGGTATCTCTTTCTATAAGAAGCTTTAATATCCAAATATTTGCTAAATTAATTTAAAAAATTGTTGTGCCAAATTTCTATTCAAGGGGGAAAAATGTGTTAGAATCTACATATGCATCACAGTTACAACTATTCAAGTTGCTCATGAGTCCAGGTGAGAAGATGTTCAGTACTACCAACTTCCCAATCCTTTCCCAATTGCTTATCCCTTTATAGGCTCCTACTGCCAGATTCTTCTGAGTATCAATCAATATAGGCTCAATTTGGATGATGGGATTCTTCTTTATATTATGGTATTTTCAGTGCAATGGAAAAGAATAACATAATTTGTATCATATATCATGCAACTGTTGCATATAGTCATGCCCACCAATAAGTTTAATATGCACTAAATAATTAGGTAATTTGTTTTAAAGTATGTTATGCAGAAATCCTTTGTGGATACAGATTAATGACCATTTTGGTAGTTGTTTGGAAAATTTGTTGAGGTTTTTATATAACATAAAAATAAACTGTCATTATCATTGCCATTTAAAATGATGGATTACAGGCTCTAGTTATCTCAAACTTTGCTAACCATCATATTTTCAGGAATAGATTAGATTTGGGTAACAAGAAATGCTTGCAAGCAAAGAAAGATTTGACAAAATTTAAATGAGAAATAGACAAATTCCCAATCAGCGAGAGATCTTAACACATATTTCTCAGAAATAAAACAAATAAACCAAGAATACAGGATATAGCAGTATCGAACACCCTGCTTGCCAAACTTGATTGAATCAACATATATAAAATGCCAAATCCCTAACTGCAGAATAAAATTTATTTCCAGGTTACATTAATAGCCAACACCAAGTTGCCAGCCATGTGAGTGAGCCATCTAGAAAACATGTCTTTCAACTCTTGTCAGGCCTTCAGATGATTGTAGTTCCAACTACCATCTTGACCAAAAAGATTTCTTTATGGTATATTGAGGAAGGAAAGTCATAATTTTCAAAAGATACTGCCTTATAAATCTTCTAACAAACAAAATAGTACAGTCTCTGAAACAATAAATATTTGTGTAATGAAGTGTGAAGAAAGAAAAAAATGAATAACAAGTGAAAGAATGGAACAAAGAGAGGAAGGGTGCATTCTATCATTAATGGAAAAGAGGAAACGAGAAGATTGATTAAAGGGAAACAGGTATCTTTCCATTTCTGTGAACCTCTATAACATAAGGATTATGTGTAAATTCAGGAAGAAATTATCATTTCATGATAGGGTTCAATTTTAAAGACGTCAGGGAAAAAATTACGTCAGTAATTCTTCTCTTCTTTCCAATTAAGCTTCTACTCATAGGTAAATCTTATTCATCTCACATATTGAATTCCTTCTAGTTTCACAGATAACATCATTCCAGCCCCATCCTGTAGGTTTCCAGAAGACTATTGAAGCACATTGCTCTGCAGAATGATTGGGCTCACCTAGGTGCCAAAATCTAAAGGAAAACAAAAAGGTAGTACACATCTTCAAAGAATGCATGGTGAATGATTAGAAAGTATAAAAGTCTGGGGTGAACAAAGTGGGATTTAGGAAGAGAGAACATTCCAATGATTGTTCCTTCTTCTCATACTACTCTCCTCAAATCCTCAAGTATGGACACATACTTTTACACTTGCTCCTTTAACATTCTGCTGGCAAAATTTTATGAGATGGTTTATTCCTAGATCTTTCCGCTGCAATCATCTTCCTCTTTACAGAGCCTTTATGCTGGCGGGGTTATTAAATAATTTCCTTCTTACTGACATGAAATAAAGAGGCTATCTCCTTACATCTATGTATTCTTATCACCTTCCTAAGCTTCTTTATTCTCATGGATCTGCCTTAAGTGAATCTTAGGATGCCTGAATCTGGATGTAAAAGTTACCCTGCCTCCAGGGAATACGTTCTGGGTAAAGACTGGGAGGTTGGACATAACTTTTGGAATTACAAGACCTGGTTTTGATACTCACTCATTTTGATCATGGGGAAGTAATTCAATCTCCCCAGGTATTAGATTCCTCATCTTTAAAAATGGGAATTATAATAAGGTCCCTAACTAACTCACAAGATTTTGGAAGAATCAAATAAGATAATGTATAACTGAATTCTATTTTAAAGCCACAAGTAAATAGTATTATTATGTAATTTTTCTACTAAAATTGTACATAGTTCTGACCCAGATATTTTAAGTTTTATTAATTAGAGATCAGTTTAAGTGTCTACTTGTGTTTAGAAACAGCAAAATATAATAGTTTAGAGCACCATCTCTGGAATCAGATAGACATGGAGTTGACATCCAGTTTCTCATCTTATTAGTTTATTGATTTGGGGCAAGTTATTTAATTTTTTATCTGTAAAATTAGTTCATAAAAAGAGAAGTTTTCATGAAGTTTAAGTGAGATAATGCATATCCTTAGTAATGCTTAATAATTGTTAGATCCTGTTATCATAATTACCAATATTAACATTATTAGTAACTCCTAACAAAATTTCCCTAGATTTTCTATGTAAACAAGGCCCCAGAACTGCACTCACCTGACATTTTTCTCATAAGGTGTCTTATCAATCCATTGCCAATTATTATTACCTTGTGGGTCTGAAAGCCCCAGAAAATAAGAAAATGACTCATTCAGCTGCTGGACAATGAAATTCTGCATGAAGGAAAAAAAAGGAGTCAAAGACTTTGGTATTTCCAGATTGAACAGAGTAAAGGTTGCTTATAGCCTTCAGAGCTATTCTTTAGAAGAAAACACAAGGTGCAAGGAGCAGTCACATGATGGCCTTCTGACCAGGAGTACAGGCCAAAAGTAACAATATCATTACAGGGAAGAAACAGTCCTAATACAGGAATTCTTGTCTCAGAATTTCATTCTTTTCTTTACCAAGAAACAGAATTGTCTTTAAATGTACATAAATTTAGTTTTGTGTTTTCAATCTTTTTTTTTATTTTATATGTTGAGATGGTGTAATGGCTAATTCTATGCATCAATCTGACTGGGCCAAGGGGTGACCAGATGAGAGTTAGGGTGTTTTCAGATGAGATTAGCATTTGAATTGGTAAGCTCAGTAGTAGATTGCCCTCCCCAGTGTGGGTATGCATTAGCCAATCTGTTCAGGACCTGAATAGAACAAAAGGCAGAGGAAGGAGGAATTCATCCATATTTTTATTTCTTCCTGCCTGCCTGCTGCTTGACCTAAGACATCAATCTTTTACTAGCCTTGGACTAGATTTACACCATTGGTTCCCCTGGATTTCAGGCCTTTGAACTCAAACTGGACCTACACCACCAGCTTTTCTAGGTCTCCTACTTCCAGATGGCAGACTGCAGGACTTCTTAGCCTACGTAATCATGTGAGCCTATTTTTTCATATAAATCTTTTCATATATACATATGAGTGTGTGTATAGACACACACACACACACACACACATACATATATATATATATAGAGAGAGTTTTTCTGGAGCACGTTGACTGCTAAGATGTGTTCCATATTAATTTCCTACTGTTTTTCAGTGAAATTGCATTGGGGTTCTTAAAATACAAATTTGTTTCTCTACTCCCCTGAGTACTTCTTCCCTAGAAAGTAGCAAATTACTAACCATCATTCTCAGTAAACTATCACAAGGACAGAAAATCAAACACCACATGTTCTCACTCATAGGTAGGAACTGAACAATGAGAACACTTAGACACAGGGCGGGGAACATCACACACTGGGGCCTGCGTAGGGTAGGGGGCTAGGGGAGGGAAAGCATTAGGAGAAATACCTAATATAAATGATGAGTTAATGGGTGCAGCAAACCAACATGGCACATGTATACCTATGTAACAAACCTGCACGTTGTGCACATGTACCCTAGAACTTAAAGTATAATTTTAAAAAAAAGAAAGAAAGTAGCAAATTACTTGGAAAAGTTAAACATAATAGAGAGCTCACTAGGTTTTAACTATAGTCGATTTATTTATTTCATAAAAAATAATTCTTCTCATCTTTCCAATTAAGCTTCTAAAATACCTTTAGCTATGTCCAGATTGTTTTCCTATAAGTAACTTTATCAAGGCAAATGGAAATTAATTTTGAATTGAACCTGAAGGCTTAACAAGTATTTGTTGTGTATTGCCCCGAGGCTTCCTGACATAACCTAATATTCCAGGGTGGGGAGTAGTGCTTCTCAGCCAAAAATGTTACATACTAAATAAGAAAGTTTTCCTGGTATTAATTTGTATTTTTAAAAGTACCTGCTCAAAAGAACAAAGCCAGACACATCACATTACCCAACTTCAAACTATACTATAAGGCTACAGTAACCAAAACATTAGAGTACTGCTACAAATATAGACACATAGACCAATGGGACAAAATAGAGAATCTAGAAATCAAGCCAAACATCTGTAGCCATCTGATCTTTGACAAAGTTGACAATAGAAAGCAGTAGAGAAAGAATTCCCTATTCAATAAATGGTGCTGGATAGCTGGGTAATCATATGCCGAAGAATAAATCTGAACCCCTACCTTTCACCATAGACAAAAATTAACTCAAAATGGATTAAAAGTTTAAGTATATGACCTCAAATATAAGAATCCTAGAAGAAACCCTAGGAACCACCATGCCGGACATCAGCCTCAGGAAAGAATTTATGACTAAGTCCTCAAAAGCATTTGCAATGAAAACAAAAATTCTCAAGTGGGACCTAATTAAACTAAAATGCTTCTTAGCAAAAGAAACTATCAATGGAGCAAACAGGCAACCTACAAAATATGAGAAATATTCACAAATTACACATCCAGCAAAGGTCTAACATCCAGAATCTATCTGGAACTTGAACAATTGAACAAACAAGAAACAAACAACCCCATTAAAAAATGGGCAAAAGACATAAACAGACACTTCTCAAAAGAAGATATATAAGCAGCCAACAAACATAAGAAAAAATGCACATCTCTAATCATGAAAAAAATGCAAACAAAAAGCACAATGAGATACCATCTCACAGCAGTCAGTATGGCTATTACTTAAAAGTCAAAAACAGCACATGCTGGAGAGGCTGTAGAGAAAAGGGAACACTTACATACATTGCTGGTGGGAATGCGAATTAGTTCAGCCTCCATGGAAAGCAATTTGGAGATTTCTCAAAAAACATAAAACAGAAGTACCATTCAACCCAGAAATCCCATTACTAGGTATATATCCAGCAGCAAATGAACCATTTCACCAAAAAAAGTATGTACTCATATGTTCATTGCAATGGTATTTCCAATAGTAAAAACATGGAATCGACCTAGGTGCCTATCAATGGTGAATTGGATAAAGAAAATATAATACATATACACCATGGAATACTATATAGTCATTAAAATGATTTAAATCATGTCCTTTGCAGCAACATGGATGCAGCTGGAGGCCATTATCCTAAGTGAATTCACACAGGAACAGAAAACCAAATACCACATGTTCTCACTTATAAGAAGTAGGAGCTGGCCGGGCGCGGTGGCTCACGCCTGTAATCCCAGCACTTTGGGAGGCCGAGACGGGCGGATCACGAGGTCAGGAGATCGAGACCATCCTGGCTAACACGGTGAAACCCCGTCTCTACTAAAAATACAAAAATTAGCCGGGCATGGTGGCGCGTGCCTGTAGTCCCAGCTACACAGGAGGCTGAGGCAGGAGAATGGCGTGAACCCGGGAGGCGGAGCTTGCAGTGAGTCGAGATCGCGCCACTGCACTCCAGCCTGGGCGACAGAGCGAAACTCCGTCTCAAAAAAAAAAAAAAAAAAAGAAGTAGGAGCTAAACACTGAGTACTCATGGATATAAACTTAGCAAAAATAGATACTGGGGACTAGTAGAGGAGGAAGGGAGAGGGAATGGAATGGGGTAATGGTTGAAATACTAACTATTGAGTACTACACTTAGGACCTGGGTAACAGGATCAGTTGTACCCCAAACCTCAGCATTGTGCAATATACCCATATAACAAACATGAACATGTACTTTCTAAATCTGAGACAGAAGTTGAAATTAATTTTTAAAAGTACATGTTCCACTGATGTCAGTAAGATGGCAGAATATAAAGCCCCATGCCCTAGTTCCCCCATGAAGACACTGACTTAATATATGAACCAAATTGCCTTTGTAAACTTCAGAAAATAGTTAAAAGTTTACAGCACCACTGGTAAGACCAAAGCCAAGAAAACTGGCATTGAAGCAGGTAAGAAAGTTTGCTGCATTTACTTGCCATAATCCTTCCTCATACTGGGGCACAATGCAATAGAGAAAAAACTCCCATCTCTAAGCATCTCTCTTGGAAGGGAAAGAGAAGAGTGAAACATGCATCAGTTTTCTGGCTTTCCAGGGGACTGCCTTAGGGACTGGTTTCTGTCACACCTAATTCAGACTGCTAATAGGAAACACAACATATTTGGGATACTTGGTGGTGGCTGAGAACGAAAGCAAGCATGGCAGCTTATTACTGCTCTAAAGAGACTGGTACTGCATATAGACACCAGGTAAAGCAAGAGAATACAAGCTCCTAAAAATGAAACCTGTGTAAATTACTTTATCTGGAAAAGTACACACACAGATCCAGAGAAGATGCATCACCAGAAAAAGTTTGAGAGACTCCTGGAATCTATACCCAGGCTGATTGGTGAAGGTCTGTATGAAGCCAGACAATAAACACTAGAATAGGTGTTTTTTTGATGCCTAAATGTAAACAAAAGATCTCAAGATGTACAATGAAACAACAAAAAAGGCTAAATTAAAGGAACAAAATAAATCTCTAGACACTGTCTTAATCAAACTGTCAAAAGTCAGAGAGAAAGAATGTTAAAAGCAGCAAGAGAAAAGTGCTCATCATGTACAACCAAGCTCCTATAACTGTCAGCAGATTTCTCAGTGAAACCTTGCAGGACAGAAGGGACTGTTATGATACATTCAAAATACTGAAAAAAATAAAATCAGCCAACTAAGAAAATTGTATCTGGGAAAACTATCATTCAAAAGTGAAGAAGAGAAAGGGAGAAATAGACACCACCATAATAAGTGGGAGCTAAGCTATGAGTAGGAGACATTGACAAATGCTTATCTAGACTAAGTAAGAAAAAGGAAAGAAGATTCAAATGACTAAAATGAGATGTGAAATAGAAGATATTACAAAATATCTGCAGAAATAAAAGGGATTATAAGAGACTACTGAGAACAATTATATGCCAATAAATTAGGTAACAGAAGAAATTCATAGAATTCTAGAAACATACCACCTGCCAAGACTGAATGATAAAGAAATAAAAATCTGAATAGATCAATAACTAGTAGGGAAATTAATCTGTAATCAAAACCTCCCAACAAAAAAAAGCCCAGAATCAGAAGGCTTCACTGGTGAATTCTACCATACATTTAAAGAAGAATTAACACTAATCCTCCTGAAACAATATCAAAAAATCGAAGAGGAGGAAATATTTCTGAACTCATTTGATGAGATCAGCATTTTCCTGGTATCAAAACTAGAAAAAGATACTATGAAAAAACAACAGACTAATGTGTCTGATGAATACTGATATAAAAACTCTCAGCAGAATACTACAAACCACTCCAATAATATACTAAAAGGGTTACACACAATGACAAACTGGGATTTATTTCTGGAATGTAAAAATTGTTCAACACATGAAAATCAATGTAATAAACCACATTATGAAAATTAAGAACAAAAACCACCTGATTACCTCAATTGGTGCATAAAACCCATTTGACAAAATACAACATCCTTTACTAATAAAAACACTCAGCAAACAAGGAACAGAAGGAAAGTATCTCAACATGATAAAAGTCATATATATAAATCCCATGACTAACATCATACTCAATTTTTTTTATTTCAATATGTTTTGGGGGAACATATGGTGTTTGGTTACATGAATAAGTTCTTTAGTGGTGATTTCTGATATTTTGGTGCACCCATACCTAAGCAGTGTACACTGTACCCAATGTGTAGTCTTTTATCCCTCACCCATTTCTCACACTTTCCCCTGACTCCCCAAAGTCCATTATATTATTCTTATGCCTTTGCATCCTCATAGCTTAGCTCCCACTTATGAGTGAGAATATACGATGTTTGGTTTTCCATTCCTGAGTTACTTCACTTAGAATAATGGTCTTTAATTCCATCCAAGTTGCTGCCAATGCCATTATTTCATTTCTTTTTATGGCTGAGTAGTATTATAGACAAATGACAGGCATTTGGGCTGGTTTCACATTTTTTCAATTGTGAATTGTGCTGCTATAAACATGCATGTACAAGTATCTTTTTCATATAATGACTTATTTTCCTCTGGGTAGATACCCAGTAGTGGGATTGCTGGATCAAAGGTAATTCTGCTTTTAGTTCTTTAAGGAATCCCCACAATGCTTTCCACAGTGGTTGTACTAGTTTACATTCCCACCAACAGTAAAAGTATTCCCTTTTCAGCACCTCTACACCAACATCTATTATATTTTGATGTTTTGATTATGGCCATTCTTGCAGGAGTAAGGTGGTATCACATTGTGGTTTTGATTTACATTTCCCTGATCATTAGTGATGTTGAGCATTTTTTCATAAGTTTGTTGGTCATTTGTATATCTTCTTTAGAGAATTGTCTATTCATGTCCTTAGCCCACTTTTTGATGGGATTGTTTGTATTTTTCTTGCTGATTTGTTCAAGTTCATTGAAGATTCTGGATATTAGTCTTTTGTTGAATGTAGAGATTGCAAAGATTTTCTCCTACTTTGTGTGTTGTCTGTTTACTCTGCTGATTATTTCTTTTGCTGTGCAAAGCTTTTTAGTTTAATTAAGTCTCAGCTATTTATCTTTGTTTAGGTTGCATTTGCTTTTGGGTTCTTGGTCATGAAGTCTTTGCCTAAGCCAATGTCTAGAAGGGTTTTTCCAATGTTATCTTCTAGAATTTTTATGGTTCCAGGTCTTAGATTTAAGTCCTTGATCCACCTTGAGTTGATTTTTGTATAAGATGAGAAATCAGGAGCCAGTTTCATTCTTCTACATGTGGCTTGCCAATTATCCCACCACGGTTTGTTGAATAGGGTGTCCTTTTCCCACTTTACGTTTTTGTTTGCTTTGTTGAAGATGTTGACTGTAAATATTTGGCTTTATTTCTGGGTTCTCTATTCTGTTCCATTGGTCCATGTGTCTCTTTTTATACCAGTACCATGTTGTTTTGGTGAATACGGCCTTATAGTATAGTTTAGAGTTAGGTAATGTAATGCCTCCAGATCTGTTCTTTTTGCTTAGTCTTACTTTGGCTATGCAGCATCTTTTTTGATTCCATATGAATTTTAGGGTTTTTTTTTTCTAGTTCTGAGAGGAATGATGGTGGTACTTTTATGGAAATTACATTGAATTTGTAGACTGCTTTTGGCAATATGGTCATTTTAACAATATTGATTCTAATCATCCATGAGCATAGGATGTGTTTCCATTTGCTTGTGTCATCTGTGATTTCTTTCAGCAGTGTTTTGTAGTTTTCCTTAGAGAGGTCTTTCACCTCCTTGGTTAAGTAAATTCCTAAATATTTTTGTTTTGCAGCTACTGTAAAAGGGGTTGAGTTCTTGATTTGATTCTCCACATGGCCACTGATAGTATATAGCAGAGCTACTGATTTGTGTACATTAATTTTGTATCCTGAAACTTTGCTGAACTCATTTATCAGTTTTAGGAACTTTTTGGATGAGTCTTTAGGGTTTTCTAGGTATAACCATGTCATCAGCAAACAGCAATTGTTCAACTTCCTTATTACCAATTTGGATGCCCTTTGGTTTTTTTCTCTTGTCTGATTGCTCTGGCTAGGACTTCCAGTACTATGTTGAATAAAAATGGTAAGAGTGGGCATCCTTGTCTTGTTTCAGTTCTCAGGGGGAATGATTTTAACTTTTCCCTGTTGAGTATAATGTTGGCTGTAGGTTTGTCATAGATGACTTTTATTACCTCAAGCTATGTCCCGTCTATGCTGATTTTACTGAGGGTTTTAATAATAAAGATATGCTGGATTTTGTCAAATGGTTTTTCTGGGTCTATCGAGATGATCATATAATTTTTGTTTTTAATTCTGTTTATATGGTGTATCACGTTAATTGACTTGCAGATATTAAACCATCCTTGCATCCCTGGATCATACTAAATTTTGAGAAATTAAAAGCTTTTCCTCTAAGATTCAGAACAAGGCAAGAATGCCTAATCTCATCACTTCTTTTCAACATAGTACTGGAAGTCCTAGCCAGAGCAACTTGGCAAGGAAGAGAAAAAAATTATCCAAATAAGAAAGGAAGAAGTAAAATTGTCTCTGTTCACAGATGACATAATCTTATATGTAACAAACCCTAAATATTCAACAAAAAATCTGTTAGAACTCATAAGCAAATTCAGCAGTTTCAGAATGCAAAATCAATGTAGAAAAAATAGTATCATTTCTAAACACTAAAAATAAACAATCTAAAAAGAAAATTGAGAAAATAATCCCATTTAAAGTAGCATCAAGGCCACATGTGGTGGCTCACGCCTGTAATCCCAGCCCTTTGGGAGGCCGAGGTGGGTGGATCACTTGAAGTCAGGAGTTCAAGACCAGCCTGGCCAACATGGTGAAACCCTATCTCTACTAAAAATACAAAACATTAGCTGGGCATAGTGGCTCATGCCTGTAATCCTAGCTACTTGGGAGGCTGAGGCTGGAGAATCATTTGAACCTGGGAGGCAGAGGTCACAGTGAGCCAAGATCACACCACTGCACTCCAGCCTGGTGACAGAGCAAAACTCCGTCTTGGGGAAAAAAAAAAAGCAAAATAAATAAAGTAGCATCAAAAATAATAAAATACTTAGAAATAATCTTAACCAAGGAGGCAAAGCACTTGCACTATAAAAACTACAAAACATTGATAAAGGAAACCAAAGAGGACACAAATCAATGGAAATACATCTCATGTTTAATGATTGGTAGGCTTAATATAGTTAAAATGCAATCTAAAGAGTCAATGTGATCCCTACCAAAATCCCAATGTTATTTTTTGCAGAAAGAAAGAAAATTCTAAAGTTCATATGGAATATCAAGAAATCCCTAATAGCCAAAATAACCTTGAAAAAGAACAAAGTTGGATGCCTCACACTTCCTGATTTCAAAATATCTTCCAAAGCTACAGTAATCGAAGCAGTGTGGTGCTGGCATAAAGACAGACATAGAGACCAATGGAACAGAATAGAGAGTCCAGAAATAAACACTCACATATATGGTCAAATAGTCTCCAACAAGGTGCCAATACCACACAATGGGGAAAGACAATCTCTCTTTAACAAATGGAGCTAGAAATACTGGATATCCATAGGCAAAATAATCAAGTTGAATCCTTACCTTACGTCATATAAGAAATTAACTCAAAATGTTTTAAAGACCTAAACAAAGGCCTAAAACTGTAAAACTCCAGGAAGAAAACATAAGCAAAAAGATTCATGACATTGAAATTAGCAATGTATTGGATATGAAACCAAAATCATGGGGAGCAAAAGCAAAAAAATAGACAAATGGAACTCCACCAAACTAAAAACTTCTACAAAGCAAAGGAAACAATCAACTAAGGAAAAGACAGCCTAAGGAATAAAAGAAAATACTTGCAAACCATATATCTGGTAAGGGGTTAATATCAAGAATATATAAGGAACACCTCCAACTCAACAACAATAAAACAAATAACACAGTTAAAAAGAGGGCAAAGGACTTGAATAGACATTTCTCCAAAGAAGATATACACATTGTCAACAGTACGTTTTAAAAGTTGCCAGTCGGGTGAGGTGGCTCACGCCTGTAACCCCAGCACTTTGGGAGGCCAAGGCAGGTGGATCACGAGGTCAGGAGTTCAAGACCAGCCTGACCAAGATGGTGAAACCCATCTTTACTAAAAATACAAAAATTAGCCAATCGTGGTGGCAGGCACCTGTAAGCCCAGCTACTCGGGAGGTTGAGGCAGAGAATTGCTTGAACCCGGGAGGCAGATGTTGCAGTGAGCTGAGATTGCGCCACTGCACTCCAGCCTGGGCAACAGAGCGACACTCTGTCTCAAAAAAAAAAACAAAACAACACTTGCTCAACATCACTAATCATTAAAGGAATACAAATCAAAATCACAATGAGATATTACCTCACATCCATTAGGATTGTCACTATTCAAAAAGCAAAACAGAAAATAACAAGTGTTGACCAGAATGTGAAGTGAGACCCTTGGATACTCTTGCTGGTGATGTTAAATGGCACAGTCATCATGAAAACAGTATGAAGGTTCCTCAAAAAATTAAAAATAGAACTAACTTGTGATCCAGCAATCCCACTTGTGGGTATATATCCAAAGAATTAAAAGCAAAAACTCTAAAAGATTATTTGCCCACCCACATTCATTGCACAATTATTCACAATAGCTGCAAAGTGGAAGCAACCTAAGTGACAATTGACAAGTAAATGAATGGAAATGTAGCATCTTATGTGTTCTCACCACAAAAAAGGAGAAAAAGAAGGCTAAATATATGAGGTAATAGATATATTAATTAGCTTGATTGTGGTAACCATTTCACAATATATTTGTATATCAAATCATCACAGTGTACACCTTAAATATATACTACTTTTGGTGGTCAGTCACACTTCAATAAACCTGGAAAATAAGAAATCAAATAAAACAAAGAAACAAAAAACAAGTGTTAGATACACATACAATGGAATGTTATTCAGCCCTAAAGTGAAAGAAAGTCCTGTCATATATGAGAACATGGACGAATCTTGTGGATATTATACTAAATGAAGTAGGTTATTCAAAAAATGACAAATACTATATAATTTCACTTATATTAAGTATTTAAAATAGTCAAACTCATAGAAACAGAAAGCAGAGGAGTGATTGCCAGGGCTTTCAGGGATGGGGAAATGGGTAGTTGTTGTTCAATGGGTGGGGAGTTCCAGTTTTGCAAGATGAAAAAGTTCTAGAGATCTGTTACCCAGTAATGTGAAAATAGTAAATGCTACTGAACAGTACACTGAAAAATGGTTATGACAGTAAATTTTATATTGTGTGTTTTCTCTACAATTAAATAAATTTTAAATGGAAACAGTACCTGCTCTGCTTCTGTGTTGAACACAACCAAATGTGCTCCCATCTCAACACAGTTCTGCTCACTCTTAGACCAAACCTTCTCTTCACTGGAAATGAAGTAGCAACTGGAACCAAATGACTTCCAAGAAGCTGGGCAACATCCCCAGGCTATTTTTGTGTTACATGAAAAAAAAGAGTGAGTGCAAGATAAGATAAATGAGATTAATGATCTGCAATTGCTTTGTAGAGACAGTTTCTTAATTCACGTTTTTACTGTTTCCTGAATTATAGAATTTGGGTTCCTAGAATTGATTTCACATAAACATTCTTTAGCATTAAGTCCTCAATATTTACTAAAGTTTACCTGCAGAATTTCTCCCAATTTTCTTTTTTGCAAAAAAAAAAAAAGTCACTATTGAGTTTTGTTTTTCATGTCCCTTATACATTATCAGCACCAAGTCCTCTTAGAATTTTAAACGACTAACACAGACGAACCTAGAAACCCAGTTCTGCTCAGTAATCTTGGGCAAGCCACAGAGCCTTAGGTTTTCAAAATGGTAACTATTCACAAGTTGGTTATGAGAATTAGAATTGTGCCTCATTAGAATTCCATTTATCATGTATGTCTTTGAGCAAATTCATAACCTTCTTGAGCCTCAATGATTCCATCTCTAAAATGGAAATAATAATAGTGCCAACCTCACAGGGGGACTTAATCACATAAAATGTATAAAGCATTTTAAAAGGTGCTTAACATAGAATAATTGCTCAATAAATGTTACCTATTACTAATTTTCACACAGTATTAAATGCTTTAAGCATCTTAAACAATTAGCAGTTCTCTTCCCTTACAAGTACCAGTTTGCCACTCTTCTAGGATTAAAGAAATCCATAGCTAGCCATATACAAATCCACTGATATATTTTATATCAATATGATTTTGATTAAGTATAATTTAAACAAATATATATGTATGCCTAAATAGTAAATTGTTTAGATTTGTTTTGTTATGAAATTTTAGGCCAGGCGCAGTGGCTCATGCCTGTAATCCCAGCACTTTGGGAGGCCGAGGCGGGCGGATCACGAGGTCAGGAGATCAAGACCATCCTGGCTAACAAGATGAAACCCCGATCTCTACTAAAAATACAAAAAGAAATTAGCCAGGTGTGGTGGCGGACGCCTTTAGTCCCAGCACTCTGGAGGCTGAGGCAGGAGAATGGCGTGAACCCAGGAGGCGGAGCTTACAGTGAGCCGAGATTGCACCACCGCACTCCAGCCTGGGCGACAGAGAGAGACTCCGTCTCAAAAAAAAAAAAAAGAAAAAGAAAGAAATTTTAAACAGCAATGATAAGATATGTGATCTTCTTGGGCTTATTTTTTTATTTTGCATTACTAATATTCATCCATGTTATTACATATAGTTCTATTTTATTCATTTTTTTACATAACTATATCATTACATATTAAGTGATTAAAAACCAAAAATCTTATTCTTCCTTTTATAATGTTATAAAATGAATAAAATAGATTAACCATACCTATATTATTTGCATATTGGCTGCTTTTAGAAATATACCTTCATTGTGCATTCTGCTCATTATTAATGATTGCTTTAATATGTCTCAAAGTATGTATTAACATACGATTTGAATTTTGAAAGTCAAATTTGACTGACTTTGCCAGTTGAGCTATGTACACCAAACATTTTTTGTAAGTTGAACATGTGAAATTGCCAGCTCCAAGGCTGACAAAAAATATTGACAGCTGTGATCAATAAAAGCATCTGTCAAAAGGGTATGCTAACGTTAATAGTATTTTATTTTCTCAATTTATGCTGAGAATAATGAGCTGATCACGTTACTTTGCAAGTGTAGAAAGTAGCAGGTGTAAATCATAATCATTTGATAAGCCTTATTAGAACACTTTTTGGTATACCTTTGAGAAAGCAAATAACTACTGACTGAGAAATAAATCTTTTGCAAAATTATTCTATAATATTTCTTTTTCTTTACTTTCAATAACATTGGGAGTAACCTGATCAAATTCTCAGTTTACAAACCATTATAAATAATTTTTGACAACAGATCACTATATCGTCATAAGCAGATAATGCTGAAAGAATATCCAAAATTGAGTGACATTCAAACAAAGCCTTTTTCATTCTAATTTACTGACTTAGTGAGCAAGATTTTTCAGTTAATGTCATTAAATTGGAAAATAGGAGATGAATTGGTGTTGAATATGTTAGCAACAATATTATAATTACATTCGATAGCATTTTTTCAAAGTTCCACTCATCTCATTAAGATTTAGACTTCCAAGTTTTACTTAATTATTAATGATTTATCAAAATCTATAATAACTTTGTGATGTTTTGATATTGTGTCCTGATAATAATTATGATAGTAAATCAATGCAGAACACATTTTATACCACTCGAAGCCTAATGGGCCACAGGAAATTAAAATATTAGGCATGTTTATCTACATATTTTGACAGATGAGAAAAGTATCATGTAAATTTTAGTTCAAGGGGATAGAAAAATGATGTAAAACATCCAACTGTTAAACAATACATGTTTCTGATTGTTTTAATGGGTGATGGGGGTTAACACTTTGTAATAGTATTTACACCCAAGTAAATACATTTTAAAAGAGAAATAACATTTTTGTTTTTTAAAGTCAATATTTACAATGTTCCAGAAATTAAAGCTTTTGCTTCTATAGCATGATAAAAATCTGATGTCAAATTATGAAGGGGTGGGTTGCCCCTCCACACCTGTGGGTGTTTCTCGTTAGGTGGAACGAGAGACTTGGAAAAGAAAAAGACACAGAGACAAAGTATAGAGAAAGAAATAAGGGGACCCAGGGAACCAGCGTTCAGCATATGGAGGATCCCGCCAGCCTCTGAGTTCCCTTAGTATTTATTGATCATTTTTGGGTGTTTCTCAGAGAGGGGGATGTGGCAGGGTCATAAGATAATAGTGGAGAGAAGGTCAGCAGATAAACACGTGAACAAAGGTATCTGCATCATAGACAAGGTAAAGAATTAAGTGCTGTGCTTTAGATATGCATACACATAAACATCTCAATGACTTACAGAGCAGTATTGTTGCCCGCATGTCCCACCTCCAGCCCTAAGGCGGTTTTCCCCTATCTCAGTAGATGGAACATACAATCGGGTTTTATACCGAGACATTCCATTGCCCATGGACGGGCAGGAGACAGATGCCTTCCTCTTGTCTCAACTGCAAAGAGGCATGCCTTCCTCTTATACTAATCCTCCTCAGCACAGACCCTTTACGGGTGTCAGGCTGGGGGACGGTCAGGTGTTTCCCTTCCCACGAGGCCATATTTCAGACTATCACATGGGGAGAAACCTTGGACAATACCTGGCTTTCCTAGGCAGAGGTCCCTGCGGCCTTCCGCAGTGTTTGTGTCCCTGGGTACTTGAGATTAGGGAGTGGTGATGACTCTTAAGGAGCATGCTGCCTTCAAGCATCTGTTTAACAAAGCACATCCTGCACAGCCCTTAATCCATTTAACCCTGAGTTGACACAGCACGTGTTTCAGAGAGCACGGGGTTGGGGGTAAGGCTACAGATTAACAGCATCTCAAGGCAGAAGAATTTTTCTTAGTACGGAACAAAATGGAGTCTCCTATGTCTACTTCTTTCTACACAGACACAGTAACAATCTGATCGCTCTTTCTTTTCCCCACAAAATTAAACTGTATTGGAGGGCATATATGTTTTCAAAATCCTTTTTGGGGGTTGACAAGCAAAACAGTCAAAACTGGCCTAGGTCGAGTGCAGGTGGATTGAAGGAACTCTAGCTCTTCGTATGCAGCTGAAAGTCTCCACACTCTGACTAAAACTGAGTGGGAAACAAACTGAAGAAGATACAATGTGGATTTCAATTATTTTTTAACGTTAATCAAAATGGAAATTTTGTGTATGGACTTTTATTTTTATTTTTCATTGTAATGATCATTTGAAAGGATGTTGTTAAAATTGGAGCACTTTTATTTGCTGACATGGTATTATACAAAATAATTGTATTTTATCACATAAGCTTTTCTGTAACTTTAAGTAGTTGTATTGAACAGCTTGGCTGGTCATTTACATTGGATATACTTAGGGGGCAAATGAACAGTCTCTTATGCCAGATGGATATGGAGTTAATTTAATTAATATCCATCTCTGTCCCATTTCAGGGCATTCTGAAGGCAAAAGCTAAGGTGCCCATTGTTGTTTCCAGGAAAATATTCATTCAAATGCTAGTTGTTGAAACAGTGTTCCACATAGGTGAGAAGAAAACTATGCACTTTACTTCTCTTTCCCTTTTTCTTTTCTTTTCTTGTTTTTTTTTGACTGTCCTAAATTGCTTATTAGGTATGAATTTTACAAACTTTACTTATGTTAGCGGTAACGGTGGAGCTGGAGAGTATTGCACATTCTCCAATCTGCCAGATGAGAACCACAAATAGTGTGGTGGAACTTATGGCCCTTTCCAAGGCCACGGCTCTTTCAGCCTGCAGATGTCAGCCCACACATCTCCCTGTGCTTGTGGACTGGTTTGGTGATCCACTGGGTGTCAGGATTTCTTCTGATAGCTTTATAGAATGGATCAATGAGGATAACCCCCAAAAATTTTTATGTGGAATCTTCACCAACGCAGTAAGAATTTGGGACTCTTAGAGCCCCACAGTGGCATCCAGCTCGCTCCTCTGCAACAGACTGAAGGTTTGGAGCAAACTTTGGCTGGTTAACACCGTGATAGACAGGCTTGCGGTAAGTTGTACCCTTAGGAACTGGGCGTTTTTGGCCACCAGGGCTAACACGAATCCTATATATAAGGTAACCTTGTTTGGCCTTGTAGCCCAGTCGGCCCGCTTTATCAGGCCAGGTGGGGTGGGGAGCCCTGTGGAGAGCAGAGAGCTGGCGGTACTGCCAGCAGCGGACCCTCAGAAGAAAGCTCATGACATCAGACTGCTTCTTTCTCCATAGCTCCTGGATATACTTGTATGCACCCATCTTGACTTATGTGATGGCTTCCGCCAGACAGAAAGGCTCTTCCCCTTTTCCATGAAGCTGACTGATATGGTTTGGTTCTCTGTCTCCACCCAAATCTCACCTTGAATTGTACTCCCATAATTCCCACGTGCTGTGAGAGGGACCCTGTGGGAGATAATTGAATCTTGGGGGTGGTTTCCCCCTTACTGTTCTCCCGGTAGTGAATAAGTCTCACAAGATCTGATGGTTTGATAAGAGGAAACCCATCTCACTTGGCTCTCATTCTCTCTTCTCTTGTCTGCTGCCATGTGAGATGTGACTTTCACCTTCCACCATGATTGTGAGGTCTCCCCAGCCACGTGGAACTGTGAGTCCAATAAACCTCTTTCTTTTGTAAATTGCCCAGTCTCGGGTATGTCTTTACCAGCAGCATGAAAACTGACTAATACACCAACCATAATCCTAAATTCAACTCTGCCAACTCTCCGCATATGAAGTTAACAACAGTATATTTTGGACAGGCATCAGTCTCATCCTGAACCAATTTGACCAGGAATAAAGCTAGTATTTGGGATGGAGATGGGTAGTATTAATTGGAAACCTTAAATGTCAAAGAAATTATTTTATGATGGAGGGTGAGGGGAATGTAAGAACTGTAAGAATTGTTATAAATAATTTCCAGGGTTGGCCTGAGCAAATTACATGCATGTAGGTTTATAATATTTACCAAGCTCAAGAAGTGTGATGAAGAAATTATTCTGGAGGCATGTCTAGAGCCTGATATGAACATGTATGTTTAGAGAAATTATGAAAATATCCAAGCAGAGGCTTTAATAAAACATACACACACAAATGCACAATAGAATACACCAATCTTGAGCTCAACCCTGATCTCTCCCTGAGAAAAAAGAAAGTCTATTTCAGTATTTTAAAGATTTACCTGGCACCTTTGTCCCTTCACTGAAGCAGGTGAGACTTGAATGATATGAGTGTAGTTCAGACAGCCTTTTGCCAGTTTCACCATATGTAAAATGGTAAGTTACTGTAAAGGAAGAAGAAGGATTAGTGTCCATCTATTATTTTGCTATAAAGCCTTAGGCTCTATATCTGTACAGTGCTGGCTTACCTCTGACCCCCACTGCTGTTTCTCTAGGCAAGCCCCATAAAAACCATGCCAAATTATTATTTGCTTGTATTCACTTATCTTATTTTTTTATATATATCCCTCATTTAATTTTTTGGTCTTTTCACCACTAGAATTTAGGCTCCATGCTCTTGGACAGAGATTCTGCCTGTTTCCCACAACAATTAATCACAAACACAACTTAAAGGTATCAAAACATCTCATGTACCCCGTAAATATATACACCTACTATGTACCCACAATTTTAAATAATAATTTAAAAATATTTTATTATAAAAAAAGAAGGAAGTCTGAAGGTGAAAACTGATAATTTTTTTTAATCACAAACACCTACAAGGGTAACTGTCACAAAGTCATCAATAAATATTTATGGACTCACTGGATGTCTGCTTCTCCTTAGCCTTAATAACCTTGATGCAAGCACACAGGTTATTTTGATGTTTTCTAGATAATTCTAGCTGCAGGTAGCCACACATAAACATATGGGCTAAGTAACCACCAAGGGGAAACTTTAAACGTTTATAAAAATATTTTTAATGTCTCAAATGAACATTAACTTTTATGTTAATGTTCACTTTCAGCAAGACCTTTTATCTCTCAGGATCTGATCTGATTCTTCACTCATTTCTTTTTTGTCCTTCTATAACTAGAGCTCAATACAACCAAATCTTTCTGCCCCGCTCTTAGTTCATGTTTTGAGATCCTGAATTTGTGTTTCTTTTTATGAAATAACTATTCTTAAACCCCCTTCTCTCTTGCACTTGATTATGAAAAGTAAAACAGATTCTAACTTTGGTGATAATTATTTGTATTTTACTAAATATTGTGAGATTTATTTAAATCTCTGAGGGAACTATAGCTACAACCTGATTGACAGGGGAAGTCACTTTCACTCCCTCCCAGACTATTCAATACCCATTTTTAATCACCTTATCAATGAATAGAAATCCAAATTGTGAATCGGAGAGGAAAAAGGTCTTTAAGACTTCTCACACAATGAACTTGAGACATGTATTTGGAGGCAAGCAGAACAGGGAAGAAATATTTTATCCTCTTTATCTCCATCATTTCATTTGAATACTTTTTCCTCTCACATTGGAAAGGATCTGCACATGAATCAAAGAATCTAATATAGAATATGACAATTATGACAGCAATTAGAGTTGCACTCCCAATACAAGAGTTTTGTCACCAGGGAACACACAATTACTAGTGAATCCAGTCCTGAAAGATGGTGTCTTAGATGATGGCTACAATGGACAACATGGATATGTGAGGCCATGATTCAGAAAATGCTAATAAAACCAGGTAAAGTACATCTACAAGAATTCAGTTTTCAAAAGATAGAGGGAGAAAAACAAAGGGAAAAGGAGAAATCAAGGAAAGTGTGGCATTCCAAGTAAGAGCTGACGTATTAATGGGGCAAAGGAGAATATATCCTAGGAAACCTGTATGGAATATTCAAGGGAAAGGAAGCAAGGAAAATGCACCTCAGTGAAGAACTTACCTACACAGCTCACAATGAAGCAAGCACTGAGGAGTGCAATGGAAATCCCAGCCACAGACCAGAGTCTCAGGGACAACCAGCCTCTTTTCTCTGTCCAATCAGGAAGACAACAAATGCAGTTACCAGGGGGCCAGGGAGCCAAAATCCCCAGGAAGCTTACAACAATGAACAAACTAGATGAAGAACCTCAGAGCAGTTAAAAACTTAAAGCAAGAAGACAGCTTACAAACTCCCTCAGAATAAATAACCAGGTAGTAGCTCTGTGGTCCAAAAGAATACAGGTAAAACATACACTCAACCAACTGGAATTTCCATGTCTTTATTCTTTCTTCTAAACTATTACATGTTTCCATTGATTTCGTTTCTCAAAACATCACTTTTGTCTCCCATTTCTCATATCTCTGTATTGATATTTGGTTTCTTCAGTATATCCAAGAGATATCTGCACTCCCATGTTTATTGTAGCACTATTCACAGTAGCCAAGATATGAAAGCAACCTAAGTGTCCATCAACAGATGAATGGATAAAGAAAATGTAGTATAATATATACAATGGCATATTATTCCACCATAAAAAAGAATAAAATCCTGCCATTTGCAACAGCACAGATGGAACCAGAGGACATCGTGTTAAGTGAAATGAGCCAGGCACAGAAAGACAAACATTGCATATTCTGACTCATATGTGGGAGTTAAAAAAATTGATCTCATGGAGGTAGTGAATAGAATGGTGGTTACCAGAGGCCAGGAAGGTTAACTGGGAAGAGAAGATAGAGAAGGGTTGTTTCGTACCTACAAAAATACAATTAGCTAGAAGAAATAAAATCTAGTGTCCCTTAGCACAGCAGGATAACTGTAGTTAACTTTTTTTTTTTTTTGACATGGAGTCTCACTCTGTCACCCAGGCTGAAGCACAATGAGGCAATCTTGGCACCCTGCAACCTCCACCTCCTGGGTTCAAGTGATTCTCCTGCCTCAGCCTCCTGAGTGGCTAGGATTACAGGTGCATGCCACCATGCCCAGCTAAGTTTTGTCTTTTTATTAGAGACGGGATTTCACCATGTTGGCCAGGCTGGTCTCTAACTCCTGACCTCAAGTGATCCACCCACCTCAGCCTCCCAAAGTGCTGAGATTACAGGTGTGAGCCACTGAGCCTAACCCAACAATAATTTATTGCATATGTCAAAATAGCTAGAAGAGTAGATTTGGAATGTTCCAAACACAAAGACATGATAAATATTTGAGGTGATGGATAATGTAATTTTCCAGACTTTACCATTACGCATCATATTCTTGTGTCAAAATATGACATGGAGCCCATAAACATGCACAACTATTTTGTATCCATAAAAAATTTTAATAAAAATTTTTTTAAAACATTATTGATGGACATGCAAAGGGTTGAAGCTAAAGTCAAATTTTCATGCATTAAAAATGGGAAGCTTTTCTCTTACAAAAAAATTAGAAAAGCAAGTACAAAAAAACTTAGGGTAATTGGAAAGAGTACTGCTTCCTGGATTTCAAAATTAGTCAAAAGACTTTGAAGAGCAGACATCCAATAATCAGTTATTTCCCTGTTTACCTTCTATCATGTAAATCTTTTCTGTCTCCCTAAACTATCAATAAAATCTGGTACAAACCTCCCAAAAAATATTTGCTTTCTTATTCTTTCAAGTGCTTATGGCTCTGGCTCTGAAGAATTACTCTTTCTTTCAAATTCCTTTGAGTCTACTATATTGGTCCAATCACTAGCTCTTCAATCTGTTCTTTGGCTACTTCTTCTCTCCAGGTGATCTCATTTCACCATACACTTCCACTTTCCTCTGAAACTGAGGAAATACTCACCTGTACTTTGAGGTTGCTGCTCTTGCATCATTATGCAGGCTCCCTGTGTTGAGAAGGTCCAGGAACCTTTTGTACCTCTCTCCCTAAAGATGTTGCCCAGAGACTCAGCTTCATTTAAAGAAGCTAGAGCTCAGGGACAAACTGCTACACACTCTTATAGGACTAAGAGACTTCCAACATTAAGTGTACCTCAAAAGAAGAAGTCACAATTACAACTAAAGTTTCCAGTGATTTCGATACGTGGGGTTAAAAAAAACAAAAGAGGAATTGAGAAACATTGAAAACCATTCATGAGAACTTTGACAAGAATACTTAGATCATTTCTTCAGTTTCTAACATAAAATTTCTCTGTCTGATTCCTATTCATTCTGGCATGCAAAATAGAAAATTTTTTATCTCCTAAAAGACATCTATTTAGAGAACTTGGTTAAATTAAGTGCTCCCTAACTAACCTTTACATTGGCTGCTTATTTTATGCAAGCCTTAATCCATGTGTTGAACAGTGTCCTAGGTAGTAAGCAAAAGTTTGATTGGATGGATATGGTTTAGATATGAAGGGTAACATAGTAAATAACAAAACCCATGAACATTGTTAAGGAATGTGACTGCAAAATGAAACATTCTGAAATCAGTCTGCAAAGGTGATGAAACATTCTTACTGCATCCAGACTAATATTGGGCAGATGTCAGTGATATTTTGTAATCTCCCTGATTAGGCAAAAGGGAGCCTGAAGTGATATAAAATCAGAAACAGGCTTCATGAATTTTATATTGTAGCACAGAAAATATATGATGTTTTCTTGTCCTCATAGATTCTTAGTAGAGACACTGTCCTGAAAACAAAAGGCAGAGAAACAAGAGAAAAAGCAGCAGTTTATCAATGTGTGTTATACCCATCACTCAGGAGAGAACTCAGTTCAAATGTATTTATCTCTTTCATGGCAGTGGCTTACAGGCCTTGCTTAAATAGTATGTTAACAAACAGCCATAAATCTATGGAGTGCTGAGAACGAAAAAAAAAAAAAACTGTTATTTGAGGAATGTGAGTGCCTTGAAACTATCAAGTCCAGAGTGGACTCATGAGAGAGATATGACAGGAGTCATGCCTCACTGCCACCTTGCACGAAATTTACCTCTTGAAGCCATTTGCTATGTAGGTTCTAGACTAACTGAACCCTAAAATTTAACAGTATACAGCTAATTACTAATCAATGTGGTTTCTGTAAACCAATGATAATTTACTGATGAGTAACTTTTTAATTCACTCCCTCTCCTGATTCATTCTTTTTTTAATTTTTATTTTTCCATAAGTTATTGAGGTACAGGTGGTATTTGGTTACATGAGTAAGGTTTTTAGTGGTGATTTGTGAGATTTTTGTGCACCCATCACCCAAGCAGCATACCCTGCACCATATTTGTAATATTTTATCCCTCATCCCCCTCCCACTCTTCCCCCCAAGTCCCCAAAGTCCATTGTACCATTCTTATACATTTTGTGTCATCGTAGCTTAGCTCCCCATATCATTGAGAACATATGATGTTTGGTTTTCCATTCCTGAGTTACTTCACTTAGGATAATAGTCTCCAATCTCATCCAGGTCAGTGCAAGTGCTATTAATACATTGCTTCTTATGACTGAGTAGTGGTCCATTGTATATCTATACCACAGTTTCTTTATCCACTCATTGATTGATGAGCATTTGGGATGGTTCCATGATTTTTCAGATTCATTCTTTTTTCTTTAAAATCTTCAGTCTTTCCTTTGCTCTCTAGACCACTTCCCAAGGCAACCTACAAGTGTTTTCCTGGGTAGCTGTCCTCATCCTTTGCCCAAATAAACTCTCTATATTAATGTGGCTTCAGCTACTTCCTTTAGGATGATAGTGAAAAGACAAAGAAGAGAGTATCTTCACGATTCCAAAAGGAAATGAAATACAGGAAGGTATTTTAACAGGAAGAGTAAAATCTGCTTCTAAATCCTTTTACAAGTATCGTAAAGGAGCTAATCCTTAGCTGGGAAAAGTAGAAAGGAAGACAGGAAGACCTTTGTCTTTGTAAATTGTTGTTCTGCCAACAGGCAAGAAGAAGGAGGGGAAGAATGTTCTCCTACATTGCCACCTTTTTCAGCTCAACAATTTGCAGTTATCTTAGAGAAGGTTATTTTGGTTTCCTCCAATCATTACCTAAGGGCTTTGAAATACTTAATCATTCACATGCAGTCTCTAAAATGTAGATCATTCTATTAACATCACAAACAGCTCCACATTCTCAAGTGAGCAATCTTGTATACAAGAAAATCTACTAGAATATTGAACTTGTGATATTATAAGAAACATGTATATTTCATTTTTGTTTATCACAGAGCTTCTGAAACCCTAAAACTTCCTGGTTGATAGAAATGATTTGGTTACAATGTTTGGGTTTTGTCCTCAGCTTCTCAACCATGTTCTAGAGTAATAAAGGTGTAAGAAAAATCTTATGTTATCTATTTGTTTTTTGTTCCAAGTTTCTGAAATAGCTCCAGGGCAATAAAAGATGAAAGAAAAAAATTAACAATAGTTACCTAACTGAACATTAAAAAAAAAATTTTAAGATGAAAAGAGAGTCTTTTATGATTCATAACAAGTTTAACCAAGCCTGGTGTCTATGCTCGTGAGGTAACTCTTGATGTTCCCCAAGACTGCTTCAGGATGGGGGCTGGTTGCCAGAGGAACCAACCATGTGACTAGAGGATGGAAACTTTCAGCCCCACTCCTCCGGGGAAGAAAAAGGCCTGGAGATTGAGTTCAGTCACTAATGGCTAATGATGTAACCAACCATGCCTTCATAATAGAGCCTCCATAAAAACCTCTCAACAATGGTTTTAAACTGAACAGGGATTTTTAAAGTGACAAGATAGTTACAGCTATAGCGAATGATGAAATAGACATTGAGTAACAGGATAAAAGCTCAGAAAACTTCCCCAATGGTTAATTTGAGATGCATTTGATCATAAAAGGACAAGAGAGAAGAAGTGGTTATAAGATGTCAACATTTGTTTCCAGTTCCCGTCAGAGACAAAGAAACACAAACCCAAGGATTGAATCACTTGGTGGTCCAGTAAAAGAATGCATTCTCCTCAGCTATCTGGAGGTAAAGTAGTTTAAACACTTCTTTGGTTCTCATCTGTCTCCTATTATGCTCCCCTAATCACGTTCTGGTCTTGACCATTAGCAACCCTATGCTCCATTCTCTTTGCTTCTTTCTATTTATTTGTCCTGTATAAATTTCTAGATTACAGTGACATGCCTTTGAATCAAGAGCGCTGAAATGGTAGGAGCAAAGGCAAAAAGAAGAGATGCACCAATATAAAATATAATATAATATAAAACAAAATCAAGAGAGAGAATGCTAAATCAGAGCAAAAGCAGAATTGTGGGCAGGCTCAGGCCACATCTCCAAACAAACATTAAGTTCTTTGAGCCTGTCCAGGGAGTAATGCAAAAACAAGCAATGGAGAAGATGGGAACTACTAGAGATTGAAAATAAAAGCATATACTAGTATACCAGTAGACAAAGTGAAAATTGTTGTTTTGGCTTGATCTCTTTTAAATGAGATGTGAGAGGTGAACTAACAATATGAACTAAATCCTTTTCCTAAAAGGAGTATTGGGTTGTTCTTTTGAAAACTGGTATCCATGATTGGATCTATCCATGATTGAACTAAGCAGGCACAACTTGATTCTCTTGTATCTGAATTAAGATAAAAACAATTACATCGATTGCTGGTGACAAACATTGCCCCTGGGAGATATTTAGACTCAGATATGAGGTCCACACAAATTAATATAAAATATCCTCAAATACCTGCCCGGCCGCCGCACCGTCTGGGAAGTGAGGAGCACCTCTGCCCGGCCGACCCACTGTCTGGGAAGTGAGGGGCGGAGGTGAGGAGAGCCTCTGCCCCGCGGCCGTGCAACCCTCCAGATGTGAAGTGGCAGCCTTGTTTGTGATCTTTCCGCCCTCCCCAAGTTTGCATTTTTGACAGTAAAGTTTATTTTTAAATTTAAATATACATATATCCTCAAATACACAAGACATATAACATCTCATTATTTTCAATGTATTAGGTTTTTTGTTATTGTTGATTCCTATTACCACTGGATAATAAGAAATTCTTTGGAAGTCATTCTTGGGACTATCCTCTGTCCCTGGGATTATATCAAGATTCTAGAGATTATGTAGATCCAGAAATTGAAGGAGGGAAAAGTGGCAGTTTATTGTTCATGGATCCACACTGGTCACACCTGTACCCTCATGTGCCCCATCCCTCAGTGCCATGATACCTCCCCAATGCTTTGAAGCCGACTTTGTTCTGTTAGTTGTTCTTCGTGCAAGAGTTGGTCTACAACAAGCTAGTTCACCATTACTGGAATTGGGACAGCTCATTTCGGTAACCCTAAATGATTTTGTTTTCCCTTAACCCTTATCAGGGGTTTGGAGTAGTGGAGTTGAGTTGTTGGGAAGTTGAAACCAATCTAGATGAATAATGATTAAACTCTTATGGGCCAATGACCCATGTGAGATTCTGATTAAAGCTTTGACTCTATAACAGGTTATTATTTTCATAAATACATAACAAAAATTATATATATTTTTATCAAAAATTAACTTCATTAACATCAACAGCATAAGCTATTTTTACCAAAAAAAGTGTCTCGTTTTAATTTTTATATAACTATTAAGGTCCTTTCTTTTTACTGTATATCTTGGCTTTTATTTTAGATACAGGGGGTACATGTGTAGGATTGCTCATTGAGTATATTGGACCCAGCTAGTGAGCACAGTACCCAAAAGATAGTTTTTCAAACCTTGCCCCATCCTCCCTCTCCCAACTAGTAATCCACCATGTCTATTGTTTTCATATTTATATCCATGTGTGCTCAGTGTTTAACTCCCACTCATAAGTGAGGACGTGCAGTATTTGGTTTCCTGTTCTGATGTTAATTCCCTTAGGATTATGGTCTCCAGCTCCATCCATGTTACTACAAAGGACATGATTCCTTTTTTTTCATGGCTATGTAGCATTCCATGTTGCATATATACCACATTTTTTTATACAATCCACCACTACTGATAGGCACCTAGGTTGATTCCATGTCTTTGCAATGGTGACTAGCACAGCAATGAAAATATGAGTGCATGTGTCTTTTTGATGTAATAATCCACATTCCTTTGGATATATACTCTAATGGAATTTCTGCATTGAATGGTAGCTCTGTTTTAAGTTCTTTGAGAACTCTCCAAACTGTTTTCCACAGTGGCTTAAATAATTTACATTCCCTCCAGCAGTGTATAAACACTTACTTTTCTCCACAGCCTTGCCAGCATCTGTCATTTCTTGACATTTTAATTATAGCCAAAATGTGTACTTTTTACATTCAAACTAGTTTTCAAGGAAAAAAAAAAAAAATACAAGCCTAAGTTAGTGTCCCCAAGTAAAGAACTTATCAGCAGCTCATCTTCTAAAAGAACGTAATTCATTAAAGGAAAAAGCCGTTGGTTCTAATTCTTTTTCCCTTTCTTTCTTACAGAAGTTCAAGATTGTCTTTGATAAAAGAATATTTACCAGGTGTCTGAAAATACCAAGCTGGAGAATTAGTCTATGGTGATTAAAAACTCTCAAAGCATGTCTTACCAACTGGAGAATTTTTCCTATGTCAACCAAAGGGGTAAGTCTGCTACATTTTTCCTGGTAACAAATTGCTGTCAATGCTGGGAAAAGCGAGCATTACACTATTCAAATAATTCCTGGTCAACAGTTTCCTCAGTCTGTGATACAAGTACTAAAAAGCTAGGCTTTAGAACTGCATATATTGTATTTGAGTGACTCCTTTGCAGCTGAAAACACTGAATTCGATTTATAGTTTTCAAAAATAATATTGTCAGTAGAAAGAAACTGAGTGCACGGAAATAAATCTCACTAGAAGATCCTTTAATTTCTTCCTCAGTTTATATCCAGGGGATCTAAATGCACTCAGGTGCTATCTCCTGCATTTGTCCACTTGATATCGTCTAACTGAAATCACATTAGTGATTTTTAGTGACTTCCTTTATTAAACTCACTTTCCTTTGTGAAGTAGTAATATGAAATGAGCTGCTGTACTGAGGGAAGAGAGAGACCCTCTCATATTGTTTTATACTGTTTTATACTCAGTACCTGTTTTAAGAAAAAACAACAAGGAAGTAAAACCAAAACAGGCAGCCCCGCGCCAGGCTCAAAACGAGGCCTGGGCCTGCCGGTCCTAAACCCAGTAGTTAAAAATCAACTCATAACTTACAAACCAATGTTATTCATAGATTCCAGACATTGTATAGAAGAACATTTTGAAACACCCTGCCCTAGTCTGTTTCACACTGACTACTGGAGCATGCAGCCCCTGTCATGTACCACCTGTTTGCTCAAATCAATCACGACCCTTTCAAGTGAAATCTTTAGTGTTGTGAGCCACTAAAAGAGACAGAAATTGAGCATTCAGGGAGCTCCGATTTTGAGGCAGTAGCTTGCTGATGCTCCCAGCTGAATAAAGCCCTTCCTCCTACAACTTGGTGTCTGAGAGGTTTTGTCTGCAGCTAGTCCTGCTACATTTTTTCCTTCCCTGACCAGGAAATGAGGTAACTGACCAATAGCTGAGGCAGCCCCTTAGGCAGCTAAGCCCTGTCCTGTGGAACATCCCTGCGGGCGACTGCGGCCACCCTGAGTGACGCGATTCAAAGTGGAGTAAGAGCCACCCCCTCTACCACCCTGGCTCTTAGGACCACCATCGCGGGGGGGGGGGTGAGGCGCCCCCCCGCGATGTGGGGAGTAAGAGCCAGCCCCTCTTCCCCCCACTGGCTCTTAGGACCCCCATCGCAGGGGGCGGGGGGTGAGGCGCCCCCCGCGATGCGGGGAGTAAGAGCCAGCCCCTCTTCCCCCCCTGGTTTTTAGGATCCGCGGTCGACTGACAGCCTGTTTACCGTATTGTGAGTAATATCATCTCCTCTCTGGAAATTATGAACTATTTCACAGACGGGTGTACACCCGTCTGTATTGGGAGTAATATCATCCTCTTCTTCCCTGAATATTCAGAACAGTATCACAGGGGTGTTTCTACTCCCTGCGATATTGGGTGTCATATCCTCCTCTCCCACGTTGCAATTAGAAACAATATCAGTGGGGGCGTGTCCACTTTCTGTGATATTTAAAGTAATATCATCCTCTTCCCTCCAGGATCATGGGAACAATATTCCTGGGGGGTGTACACTTTGTGCGACATATGTAGTCATATCACCCCCTCCGCCTTGGAATATTATGAAGGACCATCTCACACGGGGGTGTACACTTCCTGCGATATTGGGAGTAATATCAACCTCTCGGCCTCTGAATATTAGGAAGAATATCACAGGGTGGGTGTCCACCTCCTGCTCTATTATGGGGAATAATATCTATCTATTATGGGGAGTAATATCATCCCCTCCCTTTCAGGATATTAGTAACAATATCACAGGGTGGGTGAACACAGCCTGCGATGCTGGAATTATTATCATCCTCTCCCCATCGGGATACTAGGAACAATATCACAGAAGAAGTGTACACTCCCTGCGATATTGGGAGTAACATCATACGCTTCTTCCGTGAATATTAGGAGCAATATCACCGGGTGGCTGTACATTCATTGCTATGTTGGCAGTCATGTCATACTCCACCCGCTGGATATTAGGATCACTGTCACAGGGTGAGTGTACACCTACTGCGATATTAAAACTAATAGCATGCTCTCCATTCCTGGATATTAGGAACAATGTCACAGGTAGGTGTACACCCCCTGCGGTATTAGGAATAATAATATTATGAATTATTAAACATCAGTCTCATTAATGATTATCAATGGTAATATTAATTAATAGTATAACGTTATTAATCATTAATGATTATTTTAAAGATATGATTATGCATGATTAAAATTAATTCTTACTATTAATGTCATTTTAAATAATATTAGTTATTAATATTAATATTAATCATTGTTTTATTATCAACATCACTTATGATGGATTTAAGTAACATTAATAACTGATAGCATTATTTTAATATTAATATTGATATTGCTATTAATTGTTAATTGTAGTCATTAATATTTTTAATCCGCATTACGTTTTACTGTCCGCACTGTAGTTATTAATATTGATGTTTACTATTAATTGGGATTATATTTATTAATATTAATAACTAATAAAACTGTTCCCGATATCCGTGGGGAAGAGGATATGACTCCCAATATCGCAGAAAGTGTACACCCCTCTATGATGTTACTCCTAATAGCCAGGGGGTAGAGGATGACATTATGCAAAATATCGCAGTGGGTGTTCATCCCTTCAGTCATCTTGTTCCAAATATCCTGGGTGGGAGCGGATTTTATGACTCCCAAAATCGCAGTGGGCGGAGACCTCCCCCGTGATACTGTCCCTAACATCCAAAGGTGGAGAGGATGATATTTCTTCCAGTTTCGCCGGGGGTGCACACCACCCCTGTGATATTGATCCTAATATCCAGGGGGCGAGAGGATGATATTAGTCTGAATATTGCCGGAGGTGTACATTCCCTAGGGATATTGTTCCTAATATCCAGGGACGGAGAGGATGATATCACTGCCAACAGAGCAGGGGGTGTACACCTCTTCTGTGACATTGTTCATAATAGGCAACGGGGGAGAGGAAGATATCACCCCCAATATCGCAGGGGATGTACACCCTGTTGTGACATTGTCGCTTCTATCCTGGGAGGGAGAGGAAGATACCAGCGGCAATGTCGCAGTGGCTGTACACACACACTGTGATATTGTTCCGAATATACGGAGGGGGAGAAAATGATGTTAATTCCAATATCGCGGGGGTATACATGCCACTGCGATATTGTTTCTTATGTTCAGGGGGCGACGATGATATCACTCCCAATATCGCAGGGGTTGCACACACCACTTGCGATGTGGGGAGTGAGAGCCAGCCCCTCTTCCCCCCCTGGCTCTTAGGACCCCCATCGCAGGGGGGCGAGGCGCCCCCCGCTATGATGCGGGGAGTAAGAGCCAGCCCCTCTTGCCCCCCTGGCTCTTAGGACCCCCATCGCAGGGGGGCGAGGCGCCCCCCGCGATGATGCGGGGAGTAAGAGCCAGGCCCTCTTCCCCCCCTGGTTTTTAGGATCTGCGGTGGTCTCACAGCCTGTTTACCATATTGTGAGTAATATCATCTCCCCCTCTGGAGATTATGAACTCTTTCACAGACGGATTGTACACCCTCCGTGTACAGAGGGTGTGCAGCCGTCTGTATTGGGAGTAATATCATCCTCTTCCTCCCTGAGTATTAAGAAGTGTATCACAGGGGAGTTTCTACTCCCTGGGATATCGCGTGTCATATCCTTCTCTCCCACGTTGCAATTGGTAAGAATATTAGTGGGGGCGTGTCCACCTTCTGTGATATTGAAAGTCCTATCATCCTCTTCCCTCCAGGATCATGGGAACAATATCCCTGGGGGGTGTCCACTTTCTGCCATATATGGAGTCATATTACCCCCTCCGCCTTGGAATATTATTAAGGACCATCTCACACGGGGGTGTACACTTCCTGCGATATTGGGAGTAATATCAACTTCTCGGCCTCTGAATATTAGGAAGAATATCACAGGGTGGGTGTCCACCTCCTGCTCTATTATCGGGAGTCGTATCTATCTATTATAGAGAGTAATATCATCCTCTCCCTTTCAGGTTATTAATAACAATTTCACAGGCTGGGTGAACGCAGCCTGCGATGCTGGAATTATTATCATCCTCTCCCACTCGGGACACTAGGAACAATAACACAGAAGAGGTATACACTCCCTGCAATATTGGGAGTAGTATCATACGCTTCTTCCGTGAATATTAGGAGCAATATCACCGGGTGGCTGTACATTGATTGCTCTGTTGGCAGTCATGTCATACTCTACCCGCTGGGTATTAGGATCGGTGTCACAGGGTGAGGGTACACCTACTGCCATATGAAAACTAGTATCATGCTCTCCATCCCTGGATATTAGGAACAATATGACAGGTAGGTGTACATCCCCTGAGGTATTAGCAGTAATAATATTATAAATTATTAAACATCACTCTTATTAATAATTAGCGATGGTACTATTCATTAATAGTATAATGTTATTAATCATTAATGATTGTTTTCAAGTTATGATCATGCATGATTAAAAGTATTAATATGAATGTCACTTTTAATATTAGTTATTAATCTTAATATTAATTATTGTTTTCTTACCAACATCACTTATGATTGATTGAAGTAACATTAATTACTAATGTCATGATTTCATTATTAATAGTGATATTGCTATTAATTATTAATAATAACCCTTAATATTTTTCATCCGTACTGTTTTACTGTCTCTACTGTAATTATGGATGCCGATGATTACTATTAATTATTATATTTATTAATATTAATAATTGATATAACTGTTCCCGATATCCTTGGGGGAGAGGACATTACTCCCAATATCGCAGAAAGTGTACACCCCTCTATGATGTTACTCCTAATAGCCAGGGGGTAGAGGATGACATTATTGAAAATAGCGCAGTGGGTGTACATCCCTTCGGTCATCTTGTTCCTAATATCCTGGGTGGGAGCTGATGATATGCCTCCCAATATCGCAGTGGTTGTACACACCTCCTGCGATACCGGGAGTAAGATCCAGCCCCTCTCTCCCCCTGGCTCTTAGGAGCCCCATCGCAGGGGGGTGAGGCCCCCCCAACTGTACGGGGAGTAACAGCCAGCCCCTATCCCCCCCTGGCTATTAGGACCCCCATCGCAAGGGGGTGAGGCCCCCGCTTTGCGGGGAGTCATATCACCCCCCCTCCCCCCCTGGATATGACGATCCACGGTGGTCACATAGCTCGTTCACGTTATCATCAGTAATAGCTTCTCCGCCTCTGGAAATTACCAACTATGTCACAGACCGGTGCACATCCTCTGCACTCTTTGGAGTAATAGCATCCTCTTTCCCCTTGATATTAAGAACAATATCACAGGAGTGTTTTTACCGCTGGGGGCATTCCGTGTAGTATCATCCTCTCCCACGTCGAAATTAGGAACAATATCACTGGGGGCGTGTCCACCCCGTGCGATATTGAAAGTAACATCATCCTCTTCTCTCCTGGATCGTGGGAACCATATCACTGGGGTTGTGTACACTTTCTGCAGTATTGGGAGTAAGAGCATCCTCTCCGCCTTGGAATATTAAGGACCATATCACAGTGGGGCTGTACACACCCTGTGCTATTGAGAAGAATATTCTCCTCCCCTGCCCTGTACATTGGAAAAAATATCACAGAGTGGGTGTACACCTCCTGCAATGGGGGCGTGATCTCATCTTCTCTTCTTCTGGATAATAGCAACAATAGTACACGGGTTTGTACACTTTCTGTGATATTGGGAGTAATATCAACCTCTCCACCTTTGAATATTAAGAACAATATCACAGACTGGATGTAGACCCCCTGCGATATTGGGAGTCATATCAGCCTCTCCTCTCCGTGGATATTAGGAAGAATATCCCAGGATGGGTGTACACCTCCTGCTGTATGGGGAGTCATATCGTCCTCTCCCTTCCTGGCTGCTAGGAAGAATATCAGAGGGTGGGTGTACACAGCCTGCGATATTGCGAGTAATATCACCCTCTCCCCCTCTGGATATTAGGAACGATGTCACGGAAGGGGTGTACACTTCCTGCGATACTGGGAGTAATAGCATTCTCTTCTTCCGTGAATATTAGGAGCAAAATCACCGGGTGCATGCACACCCAGTGCTATATTGGGAGTAACGTCATACTCCACGCCCTGGAGATGATATTGGGATCAATATCACCGGCTGGATGTACACCTACCGAGATATTGAACGTAATATCATGCTCTCTCGCTCCCTGGATATTAGGAGCAATATCACAGGTGGGTGTACACCCACTGAGGTATTAGGCGTAATATTAGTATGAATTATTCCTCATTTATTAGTAACATGAATATGAATGACAGATATTAATATTAATATAAATAAATAATAGCTAATAAAAAGTTTTCAGATTATTAAGATTAATATTAATTATTAGGAGCTAATATGACTGTTTTCTAATGAAGAAGATCAATATCAGTTATTAATATCAGGCGTCATTAATCATTAATATTAATCATTTACTGTTATCGTGAGTATAACTATTTAATATTAATTATCATTATTATTGGTATTGATTTTAAAAATTATATTATCAGTTATTAATATTGATAATTATTAGTGTCAATTAATAATGGAGATGATTAATTGTGGTAAGTAAAAACGCGCCACTCCACCCCTCCCTCGGCAGCTCGTTTAAGACCCAAAACGGGGATCCAAGTGCCCCTGAGAGAGCAGCGGTATACTGGGATAGAGGAGGATGGTCACGTGGTGGAGAGGCGTGTTTTTGGGTAGCAGCCCTTCACCTCCGTCGACCTTCTCAACTGGAAAAACAATACACCGCCCTATACCGAAAAGCCACAAGCCCTAATTGATTGGCTCCAAACTGTTCTCCAGACCCACAACCACACCTGGGCTGATTGGCACCAGTTGCTCATGTTCCTCTTTAACAGCAAAGAAAGGTGGAGAGTCCTCCAAGCAGCAACTAAGTGGCTAGAGGAACATGCACCAGCTGATTATCAAAACCCCCAAGAGTATGGAAGGACCCAGTTGCCAGGAACCGACCCCCAGTCGGACCCACATGAAAGAGAGGATATGCAAAGGCTAAACCGAGACAGGGAAGCTCTCTTGGAAGGATTAATGAGGGGAGCTCAGAAGGCCACAAACGTTAACAAGCTCTCTGAAGTCATTCAGGGAAAAGAAGAAAGTCCAGCACAATTCTACCAGAGACTGTGTGAGGCCTATCCTATGTATACTCCCTTTGATCCCGATAGCCCTGAAATCAGCGCATGATTCACATGGCTTTAGTCCATCAAAGCACAGAAGACATGAGAAGAAAACTGCAGAAACAGGCTGGCTTGCAGGGATGAATACATCCCAATTACTAGAAATAGCTAGCCAGGTGTTTGTAAACAGGGATGCAGTAAGCCGTAAGGAAAACGCAAAGAGAATGGAGGTCAGGCCCGGCAAAACACCGACGTGTTAGCTGCAACAATCAGAGGGGTCCCCGCAAAAAGGCAAGGGAAGGGGGGCCCTGGGAAAGAAACTCAGCTTGGCTGTCAGAGTTTGCAGCGTAACCAGTGTGTTTATTGGAAAGAAATAAGACAGTGGAAGAACAAATGCCCTCAGCTCAAAAGAAAACAAGGTGACTCAGCAGGAGGCCCCGGACAAGGAGGAAGGGGCCCTGCTCAACCTGGCAGAAGGGTTCTTGGACTGAGGGAGACCGGGCTCAAGCATCCCCAAAGAGCCTCTGGTCAGAATGACAGTCGGGGATAGAGGCATTGACTTTCTTGTAGATAGCAGTGCTGAACATTCCCTAGTAACCGCCCCGGTCACCCCCTTATCCAAAAAGACTCTTGACATCATCGGAGCCACGGGGATTTCAGCAAAGCAAGCTTTCTGCTTGCCTCGGACTTGTACTGTGGGAGGACATCAAGTCATTCATCAGTTTTGGTACATGCCTGACTGTCCCTTGCTCTTTTTGGGATGGGACTTGCTCAGCAAGCTGAGAGCCACTCTCTTTTTGACAGAGCACGGCTCTTTGCTGCTAAAGTTACCCGGAACGGGAGTCATTATGACCCTTATTGTCCCCCGAGAGGAGGAATGGAGACTTTTCTGAATGGAGCCGGGCCAAGAGAGAAGACCAGCTCTGGCTAAGCGGTGGCCAAGAGTACGGCAGAAGACAACCCTCCGGGATTGGCCAGTTAAGACTGGGGCCCAGCCGGTGAGGCAAAAACAGGAGCCGGTCCCCAAAGAAGCCCTTCAAGGTATCCAGGTCCCTCTCAAGCACCTAAGAACTTTTGGAATGATTGTTCCGTGTGCTTCTTCGAGATCTGATTCCTAGATTGGGACTGTCCTTCCGGATCGGCTCAGATAACGGGCCTGCGTTTGTGGCTGACTTGCTACAGATGACGGCAAAGGTATTGGGGATCACACGGAAACTACATGCCACCTCCCAGCCTCAGAGTTCTGGAAAGGTGGAGCGGATGAATCGGACCATCAAAAAGAGTATTATTGTCTTCCCCACAGGATATGTAAAACAACACCACGAGGGGTGTCAAATCACCTGCTAAATTTGAGGGAATGTTGTCCTCTCCCACCCTCCCCTGGCCCCGGATATTAGAGACAATAACACAGGGGTAATGGACACCCACTGCTTTGTTGGGAGTAATGTCATCCTCTGCCTTCTTGGATATTAGGAACAGTATCACACTGTGCGTGTACGCCTGTCGCGAAATTCAATGGAATGTCATCCTGTGCCTCCCTGGATATGACGAACAGTATCACGGGGGATGTACAACTTCTGAGATATTGGGAGTGATCTCATCCTCTCCCCTCTGGAACTTAGGGACAATATCACAGGGGTAGTGTACACCCTCTGTGACGTTGGGACTAATATCATCCTCCAGCCCCCTGGATATTAAAAACCATATCACAAGGGGCGTGTACACACCCTTCCATATTGGTATGAATACCATCCTCTCCCTCTTTGGATATTCGGTGCAACATTTCAGGTGGGGAATACACCACCTACAATATTGGAAGTCATGTTATTTTCTCCCCCACTGGATATTAGAAAGAATATCACCGGGGGTGTCAACAACCCCTGCGATATTGGGAGTCATATCATCGTCTCTCCTCAAGAATATTAAGAACAATATCTTAGAGGTGGGGGTTGTACACCCCCTTTCATATTCGATATCATCCTCTTCCCCCCTGGATATTAGGAACAATATGAAGAAGGGATGTACAGACCCTGTGACATTTGCTGTCATGTAATTATCTCTCCCCTAGATATTAGGAAAAATGTCACTGGGGATGTGAACAGCCCTGTGATATTGGGAGTAATATCATCCTCTCCCCCCTTGCATATAGGGAACAATATCACAGGTGGGGTGTACTGCCTCTGCGATATTGGGAGTCCAATTATCCTCTCTTCCCCTGGATACTAGGAAGGATATCAGAGGGGGAGGGTGTATATTCCCTGCGATATTCAATGTCACCTTATCCTCTCCCTCCCAGGGTATTCAGAACAATAGGACAGGAGGGGTGTACACACCCTGCGACATTGGAAGTAATATGATCCTCCCCCACCTGGATATGGGGAAGATATCACAGCGCGGGTATATATTTCCTACGCTGTTGGGAGTAATATCATTCTTTTCCTTACTGGATATTAGGAAGAATATCCCAGGGGTGCTGTACAATTATTTCGGTATTGGGAGTTCTATCATCCTCTATTTTCCTGGATATTGGGCCCAATAACACAAAAAGGTGTACAACCCCTGCGGTATTGGGCGTAATAGCATACTCTCCTTCCCTGGATGTTAGAAAACAATATCATCAGGGCTGAACACCCCCTGCGATAATGGGAGTCATATTGACTATTTCACAGGCCATTTGGAGCAATATCACAGGGGGTGTTTACAAACAGGGGTGGTGTACACCCCCTGGGATATTGGGAGTAACATCATTCTCTCCACTACGTATATTAAGAACAATATCCCGGCGGGAGGTGGTACACCCCCAGTGATATTGCGAATAATGTCATCCTCTTCTTCCCTGGATATTAGGAACAATATCACAAGGGGGTGTACACCTTCCATGATATTGGAAGCAATATCATCCTCTCCCTCGCTGGATATTAGAAAAAAATATCACTCACGGTGTACACCCACTGCGATATTAGGAAGAACATTACAGGGTGTACACTCACTCTGACTTTAGGAGAAATAGCTCCCTCAAATGTCACAAATAATGCCACAGGGTATACAGTGATATCTCCCTAGGATATTACAAATACTATCACAGGTTGTACACCCACTGTGATAACACAGTGATACATCCCAAGGATACTACCAAGAATATCACAGGGCTGTACAACCACTATGACATCAGGAGTGATATCTCCCTAGGATATTACGAGTAACATCACAGAATGTACACCTATGGTGTGCACCCACTGTGATATTAGGTGTAATATCAACCCAGGACATAACCAATAAGACCACAGGGAGTACATACAAGATGTACACCCACAGCGATGTTATGAGAACTATCTCCCAAGGATAATACGAATAACATCGCAGAGTGGACACACATGGTGTACACGCTCTGTGATGTTAGGGATAATAACTCCCTAGGATATGATGAATAATACAACAGGGTGTAGAGAAACTGTGATATTAGAGGTAATATCTCTCTAGGATATTATGAATAATATCACAGGGTATACACCCACTGTGATACTGGGAGCATTATCTCTCTAGGATAGTACAAATAATACCACAGAGTGTACACCCACTGTGATATTAGGAGTAATATCTTCCTAGTAGATAACAAATAACATCGCAGGGTGTACACCCACTTTGATATTAGCTGTAATATTTTTCAAAGTTGTTACAAATAAGATCACAGGGTGTACAAACATGGTGTACACTCACTGTGATATCAGGAGTTGTATCTGTGTAATATATTATGAATAATATCAGAGGGTGTACACCCACTGTATTATTAGGAGGAATATCTCTGTAGCATTTTACAATTAAGATCACAGGGTGTAGAGCCACCGTGATATTAGGAGCAATATCTTTCTAGGATATTACAAATAATATCACAGGGTGTACGCCCACTCTACTGTCAGGAGCAATATCTCCCTAGGATATCAAAAATCCTATCACAGGGTGTCCAATCTCTGCCTTCCATGTTCTAAGGGATTCTCCTGCTTCAGCCTCCCGAGTAGCTAGGGTTACCCACCACCACGCCTGGCTAAATTTTTTATTTCCACTGGAGACGGGGTTTCACCACATTGGCCAGGCTGGTCTGGCACTCCTGACCTCAGGTGATCCATCAGCCTCGGCCGCCCAAAGTGCTGGGATTACAGGTGTGAGCCATGGTGCTGGGCCAAGAGTTACAGATTCAATTCATTTGGAAACACAGCTCCCATTTTTGAGTGTGCATGTACTTTTATGAAGAAATGATGTCAGAAAACTGAAGGATGATAATAAATATGAAAAGTAACAGGCATGTGAAAAGGTCTTCCGATTGAGAACTATAAGGTTCGATTTCATTTTCAGATAATGGGGTCCTAGCTCTCGTGTCGTCCTTTTACATATTCTACATCAATGGAAGTTGCAGCACGGTGTCAGAGTAAAGTAGAGTGTATTTCACGGCTTCTTAATTTCTTTCAATTTGACTGAGATCTTTTTCTGAAAGAGAGAAGGACATTTTCATTGCATTGTATTTTTTCTGAAAAGAGTAGGCCGTATTTTACTGAGATCACGGATTTGTTATATATGACGTTTTGGTCTTCTAATATTCTTCAGTGGATTTTCTCTAAAGTAGTATGTACAGAAAGCCTGTATAGCTAAAAAGTAAATCACGTAAAAATTCTGAGATTTTTGGAATTGTCACAACTGAGAAACATTGCTGGCGGTGTATGGTCCGCAAGTGTCAAGATGTTCCTTGTGAATTGCTTGCATCCAACATTAAGGGCTGGTTTTTATCTTTTATTTTGCAATCCTCTTTCCTTCTCAATGTGTCCAAGACACACAGAGCCACGGAATCTCACAGGTGTCTGAGAATTCCTCCTCCTGGGACTCTCAGAGGATCCAGAACTGCAGCCCGTCCTCACTTTGCTGTCCCTGTCCTTGTCCATGTATCTGGTCACGGTGCTGAGGAACCTGCTCAGCATCCTGGCTGTCAGATCTGACTCCCCCCACCACACCCCCATGTACTTCTTCCTCTCCAACCTGTGCTGGGCTGACATGGGTTTCACCTCAGCCACGGTTCCCAAGATGATTGTGGACATGCAGTCGCATAGCAGAGTCATCTCTCACGCAGGCTGCCTGACACAGATGTATTTCTTGGTCCTTTTTGCATGTATAGAAGGCATGCTCCTGACTGTGATGGCCTATGACGGCTTTGTAGCCATCTGTCGCCCTCTGCACTACCCAGTCATCGTGAATCCTCACCTCTGTGTCTTCTTCGTTTTGGTGTCCTTTTTCCTTAGCCTGTTGGATTCCCAGCTGCACAGTTGGATTGTGTTACAATTCACCATCATCAAGAATGTGGAATTCTCTCATTTTGTCTGTGACCCCTCTCAACTTCTCAAACTTGCCTGTTCTGACAGCGTCATCAATAGCATATTCATATATTTCGATAGTACATTTGGTTTTCTTCCCATTTCAGGGATCTTGTTGTCTTACTATAAAGTCGTCCCCTCCATTCTAAGGATGTCATCGTCAGATGGGAAGTATAAAGCTTTCTCCACCTGTGGCTCTCACCTAGCAGTTGTTTGCTGATTTGATGGAACAGGCATTGGCATGTACCTGGCTTCAGCTGTGTCACCACCCCCCAGGAATGGTGTGGTGGCGTCAGTGATGTACGCTGTGATCACCCCCATGCTGAACCTTTTCATCTGCAGCCTGAGAAACAGGGACATACAACGTGCCCTGCGGAGGCTGCGCAGCAGAACAGTGGAATCTCATGATCTGTTCCATCCTTTTTCTTGTGTGGGTGAGAAAGGGCAACCGCATTAAATCTCTACATCTGCAAATCCTGCCCCTTAGTCACATTATTTTTGTGGCTTGATGGCTTCTATTCCTTTCTGCATTTCCTTTGTGAATATTGCTTTCTTCGTTATGCCTTTAACTGGAATGGGTGAGGATTCTGGGATCCTTGGTTTAACAGAAACCTCATGACAGGATCCTCTATACCTAGGTGGCCTCTTTTAGTTTCTGAGCAATAACCCTGTCATCCAGGTGGAATCACAACCATCTTTTTATATACACGAAGTCCTCACTTCGTTTTGGAATTCCCTGAAAACTGACTTTATGGAAACAATGTACAGGAGGTCCTCCAACACTACTTGTTGTTCAAAGTTGTGTAGTTATACTGTTGATGAAAAATAAGTGGTTTCACTATACATAATTTTGCTTCAAGTTGAAGTTTCCAAGAGACTTTCAAAGATGTTAAGTGAGGACATACTGTACATCAAATTCATATCCTCTTCCACAGTTCCTGTGGAATTTCTTTATAAACTGCTTCTAGAGAATCTATTTAGGCAGGTTCTGAGGAGAGATCCATGTCGCCGTTCCTCAATCTTGGCTTTGAGTCAAATCACCTGGGGAGCTTACAGATGATGAGGCCTGGGTCTCAATACCTGAGATTCTGATTTCCTTGCACCTGTGTGAGTGTGTGGATTTTTTTTTCTTTTAAAGCACCAGCGGTGGTTCCAATGACGAAGTTTTTAGAGGCATCAAGCTCCAATGAGTTAGAACAGAAATTAATTGTAATATAATTTCTTCAAATATTATCTTCAAATGCATTGTCCATCAACACCATACAAATGTTTTTTATTATGCTGTTTTTTCTTACCATTTCGCATTTTCTATTTCTTTCTTTTCCTTTTTTTTTGAGTCAGAGTTTCACTCTTGTTGCCCAGGCTGGATTTCAATGGCACGATCTCGGCTCACTGCAACCTCTACCTCCCGTATTCAAGCAATTCTCCTGTCTCAGGCTTCCAAGTAGCTGGGATTACAGGCATGCGCTACCATGCCTGGCTATTTTTTTTTTTTTTTTGTATTGTTAACAGAGACAGTGTTTCTCCATTTTGGTCAGGCTGGTCTTGAACTCCCGACCTCAGGTGATCCGCCCGCTTCCGCCTCCCAAAGTGCTGGGATTACAGGCATGAGCGACCACGCCCAGCCACCACTTAGCATTTACATTTTACATTTGTTGAAGTTATAGATTTATACACACATCAATTGCTGCTTTGTTATACACTTGCATATACATAAGATGTGAAATAGAAAAGAATAAAATAGGCACAGTATCCCTGAAGTTTCACATTCCAAGTCTTTAAAAATATGTGCTCTTTAGAAATTTGTTTCAATGAAGAAACTGTGGTATACACACCCAATGAAGTATTATTCAGCCTAAAAAGGAAGAAACTCCTCTCCGCTGCAGACAAAATGGATGAGATTGCAGGTCTGTATATTAAATGAAAGAAGCCAGGCACAGAATTACAAATATTTCATGTCCTCACTTCTATGTAGGAAGAAAAAAGGAAACCTTGGCCACGTGTGGTGGCTCAGGCCTTTAATCCCAGCACTCTGGGAGGCCGAGTCACACGGATCACTGGAGTCCAGGAGTTCGAGACCCGCTTGGCCAACATGGTGAAACCCCGTCTCTATGGAAAAAACAAACAATTAGTCGGGCTTGGTGACGCGTGCCTGTAGTCTCAGCTACTGGGAGGGCTGAGGCCCAAGAAGCGCTTGAACTCGGGAGGCGGAGCTCGCAGTGAGCCCGGATTGTGCCTGTGTACTCCAACCTGGGCAACAGAAAGAGACTCCATCCTACACCTACACACAAAAGGAATCTGAGTAAGGTGGAAAGTATAAAGGAGGTTAGCAGACGCTACGAAGAAAAGGGGTGGGATGGGGAATGAAGACAAGTGGATAATTGGGTCCCGAAATACAGAAAGATGGAATAAGTGAGTTCTAGTGTTTGATAGTACAGTATGAAAATTTTACTTCACAAGAATTTCTTGCATAATTCCAGATGGTTTGGTAAGAAACTTCCTAACTTTCTCATTATGCTGGTTTTTAAGCTCTTCTCTTTCTGCTCTTGAAATCACGCTGGTTTTTTGTTTTTTGTTTTTTGTTTTGAGATGGAGTTTCGCTCTTGTTGCCCAGGCTGAAGTGTGATGGTGCAATCTTGGCTCACCGGAACCTCTGCCTCCTGGGTTCAAGCGATTCTCCTGCCTCCACCTCCCGAGTAGTTGGGATTACAGGCATACGCCAGCACGCCCAGCTAATGTTGTATTTCTAGTAGAGACGGGGGTTTCTCCCTGTCATTCAGGCTGGTCTTCAACTCTTGACCTCAGGTGATCAGCCCGTCTCGACCTCCCAAAGTGCTGGGATTACAGGCGTGAGCGACCTCGCCCGGCCCATGCTGTATCCTTATCTGTTGTCTGTTGTTGTTTGTTTGTTTTGGAGCCCAGAAATAACTTCCCACCTATATGTTCAAATGATTTTTCACATGAGTGCTAAGAAAGCTCATTGGTGGAAAAGCAGCCTTTTCAAGAAATGGTGTTGGAGAAACTTGATTTCCACATGCAGAAGAATGAAGGTGGACCCTATGTCACACCAGGTGCAAAAATTAACACAAACTGGATCAAAGACCTCACCCCAAGCGCTAAAAGTATCATACGCCTAAAGGAAAACATTGGCCACGCTTTCATGACATCAGATTGGGCAATGTTCTCTGGAATATGACAACAAAAGCATAGGCAACAAAAGAAAATTAGATTCCTTGGATTACATCTAAATGACAGACACTTTTGTGCAGCAAAAAACACTGCGAACTGAGTGAAAAGATAACCCATGGATTAGGAAAAATATTTGCAAAGCATATATCTGAAAAGAGGTTGATATCCATCATATATAAAGAACAGCTAGAACTAAACAACAAGAAACCCAAAACATCCCATCAATAATGGTCAGAAGACTCGAGTAGACGTGTTCCTAAAGAAGATATAGCAATGGCCAATAAGCATCTAAAATGATGTTCAAAATCACTCATCATAGGGAAGCGCAAATCTAACCAAGAATGTGTTACCAAACATTAGGATGGATATGATAAACAAACAGGCATTGGCGAGACTAGAGGGAAGTAGGAATGCTCGAATATGATCCGAGGGAATGTAACACCGTGAAGGAACGGGGAAAATAGTATGGCGTCTAACTGGAAAAATTAGAAACAGAATGATCAGATGTTCCCGCAGTTGCATTTGTGGGTACATACCAAAAAGAATTAGAAGCCAGGAGTGGAAGACAGATTTGTGTACACCCATATTCATAGCAGCATTATTCACAACAGCCAAAATGTGGAAGCAACCGAAGGGTTCGTGGACAGATGAATGAAAAAGCACACTGCAGTTCCTTCATACAATGGAAGACTATTCAGCCTTCAAAAGGCAGGCACTTCTGGCCGCTGCGGTAGCTCAAGCCTGTAATCGCAGCGTCTTGGAAGACCGAGGTGGGCGGATCACCTGAGGTCAGGAATTCAAGACCAGCCTGGCCATCTTGGTGAAACGCTGTCTCTACTGAAAATGCAAAAAATGAGATGAGCGTGGTGGCGTGTGCCTATAGACCCAGCTACTCGGGAGGCTGAGGCACAAGAATCGCTGGAACCCGGGAAGCGGAGGTTGCAGTGAGCCTAGATTGTGCCACTGCACTCCAGCCTGTGCGACAGAGTGAGACTCCATGGAAACACAAAACAAAACAAAGTCAAACGAACAAACACAAAACAAACAAAGAAACAAAACAGAGAGGCACTTCTGACACAGGCCGCAACATGGATGAACCTTGAAGACATTATCGTCAGTGAAATAAATAAATCCCAAAAGGATAAAGAGGCCCAGATTCAGTGGCTCGCACCTGTAACCCCAGCACTTTGGGAGGCTGAGCCAGGCGGATCACTTCAGGTCAGGAGTTCGAGACCAGCCTGGCCAATATGGTGAAAGCTCGTCTCTCTTAAAAATACAAAAATTAGCTGGGTGTGGTGGCGCACGCCTGTAATCCCAGCTACTCGGGAGACTGAGACACAAGAATCGCTTGAACCCACGATGTGGAGGTTGCAGTGAGGTGACATCACGCCACTGCACTCCAGCCGGGGTGACAGAGAAAGACTCTGTCTCCAAAACAAAAAAATTAAACACGGTATGATTCCACTTTTCTAGGAACTGTCTAGAGTAGTTAAACTCATAGAGTTGCAAACTAGAAAGGTGGCCCCCAGGGGTGGGCGAGAGAGAGGAGTGGAGAGCTTGGTGAATGGGTGGAATTTCCATTTTGAAAGATAAAACTGTTCCGGAGACGATGGCGGTGATGGTTGCTAAACAATGTGAACGTACTTAATGTCATGAAACTGTAAACTGAAAAACAGTGGAAACTGTAAATGTGTATGCTGGCCATTCTATATGAACTAATATATATTTATAATTTTTAATATTTATGCGTGGTATATTTTCCGATAATAAAAGATGAAAATTAAAGCAATTGGATGTTTAAAAAGAAAAGAAAGAAGGGAAGAATACACACTAGCTTTCTCTTGATTAGAGGAAGAGCCCCAAGGCTTCTATGGACACTCACTTTTCTCTTCTTCTTGCAATATTATGGGGAAATCCTTAGAGGTTGGGGAACTTGGGCGACTTTGGCTAATGAGGAGCTCTGTTCCTTGAGCCCCACAGGCCACAGAAGAGTAAATACTCTTGTCTGTGCCTCCAGCCCTGCAGTGTGGGGTTTCAGTCCTGTGGGCTCCACTCCCGTCACCTGTATCAGGGGGCTCATGTCTCACCCTGTCTTCTTGCCAGCCTTGAGGACGGAGTCTGAGCCTCCAGGGTGCACCAAGAAGGGAGAACAGTGGACCTGTTCTCTGTGGTCATGGCCCAGCAGAGGGGAAGGGCAGTTCAGTGAGTGTAGGGAAAAGAAAGAGAGATCAGACTTTTACTGTGTCTATGTAGAAAGGAAAGACATAAGACACTCCATTTTGAAAAAGACCTGTACTTTCAACAATTGCTTTGCTGAGATGTTGTTAATCTGTAGCTTTGCCCCAGTCACTTTGAACCAACCACTTTGACCCAACCTTAAGCTCACAAAAGCATGTGTTGTATGAAATCAAGGTTTAAGGGATCTAGGGCTGTGCAGGACGTGCCTTGTTAACAAGATGTTTCCAAGCAGTATACTTGGTAAAAGTCATTGCCATTCTCTAGTCTCAATAAACCAGGGGCACAATGCACTGTGGAAACCTGCAGGGAGCCCTGGCCTTGAAAGCAGGGTATTATTGTCCAAGGTTTCTCCCCATGTGATAGTCTGAAAAGTGGCCTCGTGGGATGAGAAAGACCTGACCGTCCCCCAGCCCGACCCCCGTAAAGGGTCTGTGCTGAGGTGGATTAGTCAAAGAGGAAAGCCTCTTGCAGTTGAGAGAGAGGAAGGCCGCTGTCTCCTGCCTGCCCCTGGGAACTGAATGTCTCAGTATAAAACCTGATTGTACATTTGTTCAATTCTGAGATGGGGGAAAAACCGCCCTATGGTGGGAGGTGAGACATGTTTGCAGCAATGCTGCCTTGTTATTGTTTACTCCACTGAGATATTTGGGTGGAGAGAAACATAAGTCTGGCTTACGTGCATGTCCAGTCATAGTACCTTCCCTTGAACTTCATTATGACATAGATTCTATTGCTCACATGTTCGTTGTTGACCTTCTCCTTATTATCACCCTGCCCTCCTACTACATTCCTTTTTGCTAAAATAATAAAAATAATAATCTATAAAAACTGAGGGAACTCAGAGGCCGGTGCCGGTGCAGATCCTCGGTATGCTGACCGCCGGTCCCCTGGGCTCACTGTCGTTTCTCTATACTTTGTCTCTGTGTCTTATTTCTTTCCTCAGTCTCTCATTCCACCCGACTAGAAATACCCACAGGTGTGGAGGGGCAGGCCACCCCTTCAAGTGAGTCCTGAGGGGCAGTCGGGAACCTTGTTTGATTTCCTCATCCTCAGGACAAACAGGAGAGTGCGTTGGGCTGATGGGAGGAGACCAATGTGCAAACTGTCCGCTCAGCAGACTGTGCAGTTTCTGTTCTTGGTTGTGGTGGGGGTCTCAGAAATCTTATTCAAAATTTTGCTTTCCTCACCCACTGGTTGTCCTTTTCATAGATATCTCACCCGTGATAGCAGGGAATCAGTCCCTCTAAACTATTCCCTAAGAACAACAAAAAGATTATGAAGGTGATGATGAGGATAAAGAGGATGACGACAGACACCATGGTATCATGAACCCTTACTGAGGGCTTCCTAAAGGCCAGGCTCTGAGCTCTGTGCTCTATGCAGCTTGTTTCATTTCATCTGCATAGTCTCCACATTATTAGTGCACATTTCAGGATGATTTTACAAACTAGAAAAGGAGCAACGCCTTTTCATATAACTCGTACTAGATCATGAAGTCAAAAAGGGTGAAGTCCAATTTGAACCAGTCAGTCTAAGTCCAGACAGATGGCATTTGGCCAGTCCTCTCCCTGCAACTAACCTGCCCTCTCAAATCCTCATCACTCAGGCGGATGCCCCTGCTCACTCTAACCTTCCCTTTGGGGGTTCCTTGGAGACCACATCTAGACCAGTGGGTGCCACAATCACTGTGTCAAGTATGGAAAGGGCAGCTGAGATCACATCGAGGATTCCAGAAAGAATTGGCACAGGATCATTCGGGATGCATCTCTCCCTTGCCTCTGTTCCTGGCTTTCCTTACAGCTCTCGACTTCCTCAAAGGAGTCATCAGTTCAGAGTTTGGCTTCCATTCCTATTGAGGAAGCTGGAAAGTGTTTCAAAAATGCTCCTCCGATGTGCCTGTGGTTAAGACCTCTGAGCTCTGCTTAAAACTTTTGGAAGCTGGGGGCAGTGGCTCAAGCCTGTAATCCCAGCCCTTTGGGAGGCTGAGGCAGGCGAATCACAAGGTCAGGAATTCGAGACCAGCCTGGCCAACATGGTGAAACCATGTCTCTACTCAAAAGAGAAAAAAATGAGCCAGGCGTAGTGGCGGGCGCCTGTCATTTCAGCTACTTTGCAGGCTGAGACAGTAGATTAGCTTGAACCTGGGATGCAGAGGCTGCAGTGAGCCGAGATCACTCCACTGCACTCTAGCCTGGGCAACGGAACGAGACTCCATCTCAAAACAACAAAAACAAAAACAAAAAACAAAAAAACCCACAACTTTTTGAGAGTTGGAAGACCAGGAAGTATAGTACCCGAGATTTCGAGTCTGTCCATGAAATTTGAATACCACCCTTTCTACTTCTCTGTGTGGCAAAGGGTGAGATGTCCATCCTCTGAGACTCAGCACTCTCATCTGACTTGTTTTCCAGTTGATCCGATGGAAGTGAGTGATGATTAAGCCGATCGTGGGTGTCCCCTGCGTGATCTCTAGGTGACGGATGCATAAAGTAAAGGCAAAGTGAATTTTAGATACATTCCTTAAGATTTTCAGCTTCAACTCCACACAATTCAATGGAAATATCCCCTGACCTGAAGTTCTGCTTTCCCTGCATTCCAGACAGGACATTTTGTTTTGTCCTTCTCTCAGTAAGGACTGAGTACTGTGAGAGGAACAATTGAGTCTCTTTGGTTTCTGATTCCCCAGAGCCTATATCTTGCTTGGCACATAGGAGACAGCAAAAGTCAAATATATGCTAATGATTGAATTGACACTTCCTTGCTTCACCAAAATTGGCTGTCATCAGCTTGACTTTGACTTACTTGATTCTTTTTGTTTTTTTTTTTGAGACGGAGTTTTGCTGTCATTGCCCAGGCTGGCGTGTGATTTCGGCTCACTGTGGTCTCTGCCTCCCAGGTTCAAGCCACTCTCCTGCCTCAGCCTCCCGAGTAGCTGGGACTACAGGCACGCGCCGCCATACCGGGCGAATATTTTGTATTTTTAGTAGAAGCAGGGTTTCACCATGTTGGCCAGGATGGTCTTGATCTCCTGACACTGTGATCCGCCCTCCTCGGCCTCCCAAAGTGCTGGGATTACCGGCGTGAGCCACCGCGTCCGGCCAAACTTTCTGATGAAAACTCTAAGTCCACCGAAGCTAAGAACAGGAGTTAGAGCTTCCACGAATTTTAAAACAAGACCCACCGATTTGAGTAAGCAATTACTCTCTCGAAGGAGAAAAGTCCGAAAACACAATGATGAAATCACTAGGACCTAACCGGCATGTGGAACTATTTTCTGCTTATGAACTATCAACTTTCATTTCATTTCCAGATGGCATGGTCTCAGCTGTTATACAGTGTTTACAAATGTTGTAAATCAAGGGAATTTGTATCAATCTAGTAGAATAAATAAAATATTTGAGTTCTTAATTTCCTTTAATTAGGATAACCTTTTTCTTAAAGTGAAGACAATGGTTTTATTACATCTTTTCCTTCGGAAAAGATAGGCTGTATTTTCTAGCAATTACGAATTTGTTATATATGATGATCTGGTTCTTGGAACGTTCTTGAAGCTAGTGTCTCTAAGGCAGGTGTTTATAGCAAGACATGAATAACACAGCAATCGATGTTGAAAGCATTATAAGGCAATTGAGTTTGTCAGAACTACAAAATATTGCTGAGTGTGGATTGCTCTGAAATCTGAAAACATTACTTGTGAATTGCTTCTGTCCAAAATGCAGACACAATGCTGGGTATTGGTTTACTTGTTTCCGACTTTTCAACCCTCTTTTCCAGGCAAAAGAGGGTTGTATCCAAACGCTACAGACCCACAGAGTCCAACAGTTGTCTCTATATTCCTCCTCCTCGAACTCTCAGAGGATCCAGAACTACAGCCGGTCGTCGCTGGGCTGTTCCTGTCCATGTGCCTGGTCAGGGTGCTGGGGAACCTGCTCATCATCCTGGCCGTCAGCCCTGACTCCCACCTCCACACCCCCATGTACTTCTTCCTCTCCAACCTGTCCTTGCCTGACATCGGTTTCACCTCCACCACCGTCCCCAAGATGATAGTGGAGATCCAGTCTCACAGCAGAGTCATCTCCTATGCAGGCTGCCTGACTCAGATGTCTCTCTTTGCCATTTTTGGAGGCATGGAAGAGAGACATGCTCCTGAGTGTGATGGCCTATGACCAGTTTGTAGCCATCTGCCACCCTCCATATCGTGCAGCCATCTTGAACCCGTGTTTCTGTGGCTTCCTAGATTTGTTGTCCTTGTTTTTTTTTTTTTTTTTCCCCTCAGGCTTTTAGACTCCCAGCTGCACAACTTGATTGCCTTACAAATGACCTGCTTCAAGGATGTGGAAATTCCTAATTTCTTCTGGGAACCTTTTCAACTCCCCCATCTTGCATGTTGTGACACCTTCACCAGGAACATCAACCTGTATTTCCCTGCTGCCGTATTTGGTTTTCTTCCCATCTCGGGGAGCCTTTTCTCTTACTGTAAAATTATTTCCTCCATTCTGAGGGTTTCCTCATCAGGTGGGAAGTAGAAACCTTCGCCACCTGTGGGTCTCACCTGTCAGTTGTTTGCTGATTTTATGGAAGAGGCGTTGGAGGGTACCTCGGTTCAGATGTGTCATCGTCCCCAAGAAAGGGTGCAGTGGCCTCAGTGATGTACACAGTGGTCACACCCATGCTGAACCCCTTCATCTACAGCCTGAGAAACAGGGATATGAAAAGTGTCCTGCGGCGGCCGCACGGCAGCACAGTCTCATCTCAATATCTTCTTATCTGTTCCATTCCTTTTGTAGGATGGGTTAAAAAAGGCAGCAAGGTCAAATAAGAATGATATCACAGGGTGAACACCCACTCTGACATTACGAGTAATACCTCCCTAGGATGTAAAAAATACTGTCACAGAGTACACACACACGGGGTACACCCACGGTGATATTAGAAGCACTATCTCCCTTAAATATTATGACAAATATCACAGGGTGTGCACACTGTGTGATATGAGGAGTGATATTTACCCTGGATATCACGACTGATATCAAGGGTGTACACACACCGGGTGCACGCACTGTGATATCAGGAGTTGCATCTCCCTAGGATATTACGAATAATATCACAGGGTATACACTATGTGTGAACATCCACTGTGATATTTGAAGTCATAGCTCTCTATGAGATTACAAATAATATCAAAGTGTGTACACCCCTGTGACATATTAGGAGTAACATCCTTCTAGGGTATTGCAGATAACATCACAAGGTGTACACCTTCTGTGACCTTTTGCGCACACTTTGTGCCATTCAAGGAAACATCCCCCTAGGATATTACGAATAATGACACAGGCGGTTGACACACATGGTGTACATCTCCCGTGTCATCAGGAGTAATATTCCCCTAGGATATTACAAAAAATATCACAGCAGGTGTACACATATGGTGTTCACCCCATGTGACATTAGGAGGAACATGCCCCTAGGATATTAGGAATAGTATCACAGGCATTGAATACGCATGATATACACCCCCGGTGACATTGAAAGTAACATCCCCCTAGGATATTACGAATAATATCACAGGGAATACACCCCATGTGACATTAGGAGTAACATCCCCCGAGGATATAATGAATAATATCAGGGGGCGTAGATACATTGTGACCTTAGTGGTAACATCTCTTTAGGATATTAGGGTGTCCACTGACCGTGATATTAGGAGTCCCATTTTCCTAGGATATTATGGATAATATCACAGGAGGTGTTCACACACAATGTGTACACCATGTGTGTACACCCAATGTGATATTTGAAGTCATATGTCCCTAGGATCTTACGAATATTATCAAAGGGTGTACACCCCATGTGACATTAAAAGTAACATCCCTTTTGGATATTCCGAATGCTATCACAGGGTGTGATATTAGGAGTGTGATATTAGGAGTAACCTCTTCCTAGGATAACCCATGTGATATCAGGAGGAACCCCTTCCTAGGATATTATGAATAACATCACAGGGTGTACACCCCTGTGACTTTAAAAGTAACACCCGCCTAGAATATTACAATAATATAACAGGGCGTACAACCCCTGTGACATTACGAGTAACATCTCCCTAGGATATTTCGAACGATGTCACTGGGGGCACACCCTCTGTGATATTAGCAGCAACCTCTTTCTAGGAGATTACGAATGATATCACAGGGTGTGCACTCACTGTGATATTAGCAGGAATATCTCCCTAGGATAAAAGCTATCACATCACAGAGTGTACACACATGGGATACACCCACTGTGATATTAGGAGTTATATCTCCCTAAGATTTTACAAATAATACCCCAGTGGGTGTAGCCCATGTGTGTACACCCATTGTGATCATTAAAGTAATATCTCTCTATAAGATTACATATAATATCGAAGGCTGTACACCCCCTGTGACATTAGGAGTAACATCCCCCTACAATATTGGGAGCAATGCCACATGGTGTACACCCCTGTAACGTTAGGGGAAATATCCCCCCAGAATATTGCTAATAATATCACAAGGTGTACAAGCATTGTTACATTAGTAGTAATATCCAGCTAGCATATTTTCAATAATATCACAGAAGGAACACACCTGTGACATTGAGTGACATCCCCCTAGAATAGTAAGAATACTATCACAGGGTGTACACCTCCTGTGAAAGTAGGAGAATCATCTCACCAGAATATTACGAATAAAGTCACAGGGTGTTCTCTTCTGTGACATTAGGAGTATAGACCCCTGGGAAATTAGGAATACTATCACAGGGTGTACACCCCTGTGACATTAGGAGTAACATCCTTCTAGAATATCATGAATAATATCACAATGTGTACACCCCCGGTGTCATTAACAGTACAAATCCCCTAGGATATTATGAAATAGAACACAGGGAGCACACGCCGTGTGACATTAGAAGTTACATCTCCCGAGGATATAACAAATAATATCAGAGAATGTACATGCATTGGGACATCAGTAGTCACATCTCTTTAGGATAATACGAACAGTATCAAAGGGTGTACACGCATTGTGAAATTAGTAGTGAACTCCCGCTGGGATATTAGGAACTTTATGACAGGGTCTACACGGCCTGTGATATTAGTAGTCATGTTTTCCTAGAATATGACGAAGAATATGAAAGTGTGTACAGGACCTGTGATTTACGAGTAACATTTCTACAGAAGTTTACACGTAATATCACTGTGTGTACACCCCGTGTGACGTAAGGAGTCACATCCCACAAAACTATAACGAATAATTTCACAAGGTGTGCAACGTCTGTGACATTAAAAGTAACATTTCCCTAGAATATGACGATAATATCACAGAGTGTACACCCTCGGTGATATGAGGAGTGACATCTTATGAGGGTAATACGAGGAATTTGACAAGGTGCACAAACTCTGTGACATGAGGAGTGACATCCCTCCAGGATATTCCGAATCATACCAAAGGGAAAATACTCCATGTGACAATAAAATCAACCTCCCCTTAGGAGATTAAGAATAATAGCACAAGCTGTACACACATTGTGACATTATTATTAACGTTTCCTAGGGTATTGCGAATAATATCAGAGTGTGTAGAGACTTGTGACATCAGGATTGACATTTCGCTACAATATCACGAATAATCTCAAAGGGTGTATACCCACTGGGACTTAAACAGTGGCATCGTCCTAGAATATGGAAAATAATGTCCCAGGGTGTTAATCAAGTGTGACAGTAGAGAAAATATACTAGCAGAAAGGGAGGAATATCACCTCCTCTCCCCTCCTGGATATTAGGAGCCACATAGACGGCGGGCTAGGGCGCCCCCAGCGATGCGGGGAATAATATCACCCGCCTCTCCACCTGGATATTACGATCCACACCGCAGGCGGGCGGGCTCCACCCTCGATGCGGGGAGCAATATCACCCCCCTCTCGCCCCTGCATATGACGATCCACATCGCATGGGGGTGGGCGCCCCCGCGATGCGGGGAGTAATATCACCACCCAATCCCGCAATGGATATGGCGAAACACATCGCAGGGGGGCGGGCGACCACCCCAAGCGGGGAGTAATATCACGACCCTCTCCTAACCTCGATATGACGATACAGATCGAAGGGGGGCGGGCGTCCCCCGCGATGCAGGGAGTAAGAGCCAGCCCCTCTTGCCCCCCCTGGCTCTTAGGACCCCCATCGCAGGGGGCGAGGCGCCCCACGCGATGCGGGGAGTAAGAGCCAGCCCCTCTTGCCCACCCCGGCTCTTAGGGTCCGCGGTGGACTCACAGCATGTTTATCATATTGTGAGTAATATCATCTCCCCCTGTGGAGATTGTGAACTGTTTCACAGACCTGTGTACACCCTGAGTGTACAGAAGTTGTACACCCGTCTGTATTGGGAGTCATATCATCCTCTTCCTTCCTGAATATTAGGAACAGTATCACAGGGGTGTTTCTACGCCCTGGGATATGGGGTGTCATGTCCTCCTCTCCCACGTTGCAATTAGAAAGAATATCATTAGGGGCAAGTCCGCCTTCTGTGTTAGTGAATGTAATATTATCCTCTTCCCTCCAGGAGCATGTGAACAATATCTTTGGGGGTGTCCACTTTCTGCCATATATGTTTTCTTATCACCCCCTCCGCCTTGGAATATTTTTAAGGACCATGTCACACGGGGTTGTACACTTCCTGTGATGTTGGGAGTAATAGCATTCTCTTCTTCCGTGAATATTAGGTGCAAAATCACCAGGTGGAAGCACACCCAGTGCTATATTGGGAGTAACGTCATACTCCACACTCTGGAGATTATATTCCGATCAATATCACCGGCTGTGTGTACACCTACTGCGATATTGAACGTAATATCTTGCTCTCTCCCTCCCTGGACATTAGGAGCAATATCGCAGATGGGTGTACACCCACTGAGGTATTAGGGTGTAATATTAGTATGAATTAGTCCTCATTCATTATTAACATGAATATGAATGACTTATATTAATATTAATATTAAGAAATAATTGCTAATAAAAACTTTTCAGGTTATTAATATTAATTATTAGGAGCTAATATTACTGTTTTCTAATGAATAAAATCAATATCAGTTATTAATATCAGGCATCATTAATCATTAATATTAATCATGTATTGTTATCGTTAGTATAACTATTTAATATTAATTATCATTATCGGTATTGATTTTAAAAATTATATTGTGGGTTATTAATATTGATAATTATTAGTGTCAATTAATAATTGAGATTATTAATTTCCATAAGTCGCCCACCGCCATTACACCCCTCCCTCGGCAGCTCGTTTATGACCTCAAACGGGGACACAAATGCCCCTGAGAGAGCAGCGGTAGACTGGGATAGAGGAGGATGGTCACGTGGTGGAGAGGCGTGTTTTTGGTTACCAGCCCTTCACCTGCGTCGACCTTCTCAACTGGAAAAACAATACACCGTCCTATACCGAAAAGCCACAAGCCCTAATTGATTTGCTCCAAGCTGTTCTCCAGACCGACAACCACACCTGGGCTGATTGGCACCAGTTGCTCATGTTCCTCTTTAACAGCGAAGAAAGGCGGAGAGTCCTCCAAGCAGCAACTAAGTGGCTAGAGGAACATGCACCAGCTGATTATCAAAACCCCCAAGAGTATGGAAGGATGCAGTTGCCAGGAACCGACCCCCAGTTGGACCCATATGGAAGAGAGGATATGCAAAGGCTAAACCGAGACAGGGAAGCTCTCTTGGGAGGATTAATGAGGGGAGCTCAGAAGGCCACAAACGTTAACAAGCTCTCTGAGGTCATTCAGGGAAAAGAAGAAAGTCCAGAACAATTCTACGAGAGACTGTGGGAGGCCTATCGTATGTGTACTCCCTTTGATCCCGATAGCCCTGAAAATCAGCGCATGATTCCCATGGCTTTAGTCCGTCAAAGCGCAGAAGACATGAGAAGAAAACTGCAGAAACAGGCTGGGCTTGCATGGATGAATCCATCCCAATTACTAGAAATAGCTAGCCAGGTGTTTGTAAACAGGGATGCAGTAAGCCGTAAGGAAAACGGCAAAGAGAATGGAGGTCAGGCCCGGCGACACGCTGACCTGTTTGTCAGCTGCAGCAATCAGAGGGGCCCCCCCAAAGAGGCAAGGGAAGGGGGGCCCTGGGAAAGAAACTCAGCTTGGCTGTCAGAGTTTGCAGTGTAACCAGTGTGCTGATTGTAAAGAAATAGGACAGTGGAAGAACAAATGCCCTCAGCTCAAAAGAAAACAAGGTGACTCAGAGCAGGAGGCCCCGGACAAGGAGGAAGGGGCCCTGCTCAACCTGGCAGAAGGGTTCTTGGACTGAGGGAGACCAGGCTCAAGCGTCCCCAAAGAGCCTCTGGTCAGAATGGCAGTCGGGGGTGGAGACATTGACTTTCTTGTAGATAGCGGTGCTGAACATTCGCTAGTGACCGCCCCGGTCGCCCCCTTATCCAAAAAGACTATTGACGTCATGGGAGCCACAGGGGTTTCAGCAAAGCAAGCTTTCTGCTTGCCTCGGACTTGTACTGTAGGAGGACATAAAGTCATTCATCAGTTTTGGTACATGTCTGACTGTCCCTTGACCTTTTCGGGAAGGGACTTGCTCAGCAAGCTGAGAACCACTATCTGTTTGACAGAGCACGGCTCTTCGCTGCTAAGGTTACCCAGAACGGGAGTCATTATGACCCTTATTGTCCCCCGAGAGGAGGAATGGAGACTTTTCTGAACTGAGCCGGACCAAGAGAGAAGACCAGCTCTGGCTAAGCGGTGGCCAAGAGTATGGCAGAAGACAACCCTCCGGGATTGGCCAGTTAAGACTGGGGCCCAGCCGGTGAGGCAAAAACAGGAGCCGGTCCCCAAAGAAGCCCTTCAAGGTATCCAGGTCCCTCTCAAGCACCTAAGAACTTTTGGAATGATTGTTCCTTGTCAGTCTCCATGGAACACTCCCCTCCTGCCTGTTTCCAAGCCACGGACCAAGGACTACCGGCCGGTACAGGATTTGCACTTGCTTCATCAAGCTACACTGACATTCCATCCAACAGTACCTAACCCGTCCACATTGTTGGGGTTGCCGCCAGCTGAGGACAGCTGGTTCACAGGCTTGGACCTGAAAGACGCTTTCTTTCCTATCAGATTAGCCCCTGAGAGGCAGAAGCTGTTTGCCTTTCAGTGGGCAGATCCGGAGTCAGGTGTCACTACTCAGTACACTTGGACCGGGCTTCCCCAAGGGTTCAAGAACTCCCCCACCATCTTCAGGGAGGCGTGGGCTCGAGAACTCCAGAAGTTTCCCAGCAGAGACCTAGGCTGCGTGTTGCTCCAGTAGGTTGATGACCTTCTGCTGGGACACCCCACGGCAGTCGGGTGTGCCAAGGGAACAGATGCCCTACACTGGCACCTGGAGGACTGTGGGTAGAAGGTGTCCAAGAAGAAAGCTCAGATCTGCTGACAGCAGGTAGGTTACTTGGGATTGACTATCCAACAGGGGTCAGAACGCAGCCCAGGATCAGAAAGAAAGCAGGTCATTTGCCATCTAGCGGAGCCTAAGGGCAGAAGGCAGGTGAGAGAATTCTTAGGAGCTGTGGGCTTTTGTAGACTGTGGATCCCAAACTTTGCAGAAGTAGCCAGCCTTTTTATGAGGTCACCAAGGGGGCGGAGACCGGGAACTTTTGGAATGCGGATCCCAACAACAGCAAGTCTTTCATGAGTTATAGGAAAAACTTCAGGCAGGGCCAGCCCTGGGGCTACCCGATCTGACAAAGCTTTTTCCATTGTATGCATCAGAGAGAGAAAAGTTGGCAGCTGGACTTTGAACCCAAACTGTGGGGCCCCGGCCGAGGCTGGTGTCCTACCTCTCTCAAGGACTAGACGGCGTTTCTAAAGGATGGCCCCCCTGTTGGAGGGCCTTGGCAGCAACTGCCCTCCCAGTACAAGAAGCCAATAAGCTGACTCTTGGGCAAAACCTGAACATAAAGGCCTCCCGTGCTGTGGTGACTTTAATGAACACTAAAGGACATCATTGGCTAATGAATGCCAGACTCACCAAGGACCAAACTTTGCTCTGTGAAAATCCCCATATAACCATGGAAGTTTGTAACACCCTACACCCCCCCCCCCCACCTTGCTGCAGGTATCAGAGAGCCCTGTGGAGCCTGATTGTGTAGAAGTGTTGGACTCAATTGACTCTAGCAGACCTGACCTCCAGGACCAGCCTTGGGCATCAGTAGACTGGGAACTATACGCGGATGGGAACAGCTTCTTCAACCCCCAAGGAGAGAGAGGTGCAGGGTATGCAGTGATAACCCTGGGCACTGTTGTTGAAGCCGGATAGTTGCCCCAGGCCACTTCAGCCCAGAAAGCTGAACTCATTGCTTTCATTCGGGCCTTAGAACTCAGTGAAGGTGAGACTGTCAACATTTACACTGATTCTCGGTATGTCTTTTTAACCCTTCAAGTGCATGGAGCGTGATGGAAAGAAAAGGGCCTATTGAACTCTGGGGGAAAAGACAGAAAATATCAACAAGAAATCTTGCAATGATTAGAAGCAGTATGGAGACCCCACAAGGTGGCAGTTAGGCATTGCAGAGGACACCAGCGAGCTTCCACTTTGCTGGGTTTGGGGAATCCCCGCGCTGACTCAGAGGCTTGAAAAGCAGCATCTGCCCCCTTCTGGGCATCAGTGCTCCCTCAAGCACCTAATCTTGGACCTGCTTCTTCTAAAGAAGAAAAGGACTTTCTCCAGGTAGAGGGAAGGACAAGTGATGGAGGAAGGATGGACTCGGTTACCAGAAGGGAGAGAAGCTGTGCCACAGCTGCTAGGAGCTGCAGTTGTACTGGCTGTGCAAGAAACCACCCATCGAGGTCAGGAGTCACTGGAAAAGTTGTTAGGCCGGTATTTCTACATCACGCCTTGGTCAGCCCTTGCCAAAACGGTGAAGCAGCGGTGTGCTGCCGACAGCATGATGCGAGGCAAGGTGCAGCCGTTCCGCCCGGCATACGAGCTTATGGAGCAGCCCCTTTGAAGGTCTCCAGGTGGACTTCACAGAGACGCCAAAGTGTGGAGGTAACAAGTATATACTAGTTCTTGGGCGTACCTACTCTGGGTAGGTGGAGGCCTATCCGACACGAACTGAGAAAGCTCGTGAAGTAACCCCTGTGCTTCTTCGCGATGTGATTCCTAGATTTCGACCGCCCTTACGGATCGGCTCAGACAACCGGCCTGCGTTTTTGGCTGCCTTGGTACAGAAGACCGCAAAGGTATTGGGGATCACACGCAAACTGCATGCCGCCTCCCGGCCTCAGAGTTCCGGAAAGGTGGAGCGGATGAATCGGACTATCAAAAACAGTACTATTGTCTTCCCCGCTGGATATTTAAAACAACACCGCAAGGGGCGTCAAACCACCTGCTAAATTTGAGAGAATATTATCCTCTCCCTCCCTCCCCCGGCCCCGGATATTAGAGACAATAACACAGGGATGATGTACAACCACTGCTTTATTGGGAGTAATATCATCCTCTCCCTTCTTGGATATTAGGAACAATATCACACTGTGCGTGTACGCCTGTCGCGAAATTCAATGGAATGTCATCCTGCGCCTCCCTGGATATGACGAACAATATCACGGGGGATGTACAACTTCTGAGATACTGGGGGTGATACCACCCTCTCCCCTCTGGAAGTTAGGGTCAATATCACAGGGGTAGTGTACAGCCTCTGGGATGTTGGGACTAATATCATCCTCCCGCCCACTGGATATTAAAAACCATATCACAAGGGGCGTGTACACACACTTCGATATTGGTATGAATACCATCCTCTCCCTCTTTGGATATTCGGTGCCATATTTCAGGTGGGGTATACACCACCTACAATATTGTCAGTAATATGATTTTCTCCCCCCCGGATATCAGAAGCAATATCACAGGGGGTTGTGAACAATCCCTGCGATATTTGGAGTAATATCATCATCTCCCCTCACGATTATTAAGAACAATATCGTAGGGGTGGGGGATGTACACCCCCTTTCATATTTGATATCATCCTCTTCCCCCCTGGATATTAGGAACAATATGAGGAAGGGATGTACAGACCCTGCGACCTTTGCTGTCATAGAATTGTCTCTCCCCTAGATATTAGGAAAAAATGTCACTGGGGATGTGAACAGCCCTGTGATATTGAGAGTAGTATCATCCTGTCCCCCCTTGCATATTGGGAACAACATCACAGGTGGGGTGTACTGCCTCTGTGATATTGGGAGTGAAATTTTCCTCTCTCCCCCTGGATACTAGGAAGGGTATCAGAGGGGGAGGGTGTACATTCCCTGCGATATTCAACGTAACCTTATCCTCTCCCTCCCAGGGTATTCAGAACAATATTACAGGAGGGGTGTACACCCTCTGCGATATTGAGAGTCATATCATCCTCTTTCGCTCTGGATGTTAGGAACAATATCACAGGGTTGTGTACACCCCCTGCGATATTGGGAGTCATATCATCCTCTCTCCCTGTGGATATTAGGAAGAGGATCACGGGGCTCTGGAAACCCCCTGCGGTACTAGGAGTAATATCATCCTCTCTCCCTCTGAATATAGGAAGATTTTCACAAGGGTTTGTGCACCCCCTGCGATATTGGGAGTAAGATCATCCTCTCCACCCAGGAAATGACTAACAAGGTCACAGGGGCGTGTGCTTCCCCTGCGATATTGGCAGTAATGTCGTCCTCCCGAAACCTGGATGTTAGCAACGAGATCACAGAGGGGGTGTACACATCCTGCGACATTGGAAGTAATAGGATCCTCTCCCCACCTGGATACTGGGAAAAATACCACAGCGCGGGTATACGTTTTCTTCGACATTGGGAGTAATATCATCCTCTATTTTGCTGGATATTGGGCACAAAAACACAAAAGGTTGTACAACCCCTGCGATATTGGGAGTAATAACATACTCTCCTTCCCTGGATGTTAGAAAACAATATCATCAGGGCTGAACACCCCCCGCGATAAAGGGAGTCATGTTTACGCTTTCACAGGCCATTTGGAACAATATCACAGGGGACATTTACAAACAGGGGTGGTGTACACCCCCTGTGATATTGGGAGTAACATGATTCTCTCCACCTCCGGATATTAAGAACAATATCCCGGCGGGAGGTGGTACACCCCCAGTGATATTGTGAATAATGTCATCCTCTCCTTCCCTGGATATTAGGAACAATATCACAGGGGGGTGTACACCTTCTGTGATATTGGAAGTAATATCATCCTCTCCCCTGCTGGATATTAGAAAAAAAATCACTCACAGTGTATACCCACGGTGATATGAGGAGTAATATCTTCCTAGGGTATTACGAATAATTTCACAGTCTGTACACACATGGTGTACACTCACTGTGATATTAGGAGTAATATCTTCCTAGTAGATAACAAATAACATCGCAGGGTGTACACCCACTTTGATATTAGCTGTAATATTTTTCAAAGTTGTTACAAATAAGATCACAGGGTGTACAAACATGGTGTACACTCACTGTGATATCAGGAGTCGTATCTGTGTAATATATTATGAATAATATCACCGGGTGTACATCCACTGTATTATTAGGAGGAATATCTCTGTAGCATTTTACAATTAAGATCACAGGGTGTAGAGCCACCGTGATATTAGGAGCAATATCTTTCTAGGATATTACAAATAATATCACAGGGTGTACGCCCACTCTACTGTCAGGAGCAATATCTCCCTAGGATATCAAAAATCCTATCACAGGGTGTCCAATCTCTGCCTTCCATGTTCTAAGGGATTCTCCTGCTTCAGCCTCCCGAGTAGCTAGGGTTACCCGCCACCACGCCTGGCTAAGTTTTTTTTTATTTTCACTGGAGGCGGGGTTTCACCACGTTGGCCAGGCTGGTCTGGAACTCGTGACCTCAGTTGATCCATCAGCCTCGGTCATCCAGAGTGCTGGGATTACAATTGTGAGCCATGGTGCTGGGCCAAGAGTTACAGATTCAATTCATTTGGAAACACAGCTCCCATTTTTGAGTGTGCGTGTACTTTTATGAAGAAGTGATGTCAGAAAACCGAAGGATGATAATAAATATGAAAAGTAATAGGCATATGAAAAGGTCTTCCGATTGAGAACTATAAGGTTCCATTTCGTTTTCAGATAATGGGGTCCTAGCTCTCGTGTCGTCCTTTTACATGTTCTACATCAATGGAAGTTGCAGCACGGTGTCAGAGTAAAGTAGAGTGTATTTCACGGCTTCTTAATTTCTTTCAATTTGACTGAGATCTTTTTCTGAAAGAGAGAAGGACATTTTCATTGCATTGTATTTTTTCTGAAAAGAGTAGGCCGTATTTTACTGAGATCACGGATTTGTTATATATGACATTTTGGTCTTCTAATATTCTTCAGTGGATTTTCTCTAAAGTAGTATGTACAGAAAGCCTCGTATAGCTAAAAAGTAAATCACGTAAAAATTCTGAGATTTTTGGAATTGTCACAACTGAGAAACATTGCTGGCGGTGTATGGTCCGCAAGTGTCAAGATGTTCCTTGTGAATTGCTTGCATCCAACATTAAGGGCTGGTTTTTATCTTTTATTTTGCAATCCTCTTTCCTTCTCAAGGTGTCCAAGACACACAGAGCCACGGAATCTCACAGGTGTCTGAGAATTCCTCCTCCTGGGACTCTCAGAGGATCCAGAACTGCAGCCCGTCCTCACTTTGCTGTCCCTGTCCCTGTCCACGTATCTGGTCACGGTGCTGAGGAACCTGCTCAGCATCCTGGCTGTCAGCTCTGACTCCCCCTTCCACACCCCCATGTACTTCTTCCTCTCCAACCTGTGCTGGGCTGACATCGGTTTCACCTCGGCCACGGTTCCCAAGATGATTGTGGACATGCAGTCGCATAGCAGAGTCATCTCTCACGCAGGCTGCCTGACACAGATGTATTTCTTGGTCCTTTTTGCATGTATAGAAGGCATGCTCCTGACTGTGATGGCCTATGACGGCTTTGTAGCCATCTGTCGCCCTCTGCACTACCCAGTCATCGTGAATCCTCACCTCTGTGTCTTCTTCGTTTTGGTGTCCTTTTTCCTTAGCCTGTTGGATTCCCAGCTGCACAGTTGGATTGTGTTACAATTCACCATCATCAAGAATGTGGAATTCTCTCATTTTGTCTGTGACCCCTCTCAACTTCTCAAACTTGCCTGTTCTGACAGCGTCATCAATAGCATATTCATATATTTCGATAGTACTACGTTTGGTTTTCTTCCCATTTCAGGGATCTTTTTGTCTTACTATAAAATTGTCCCCTCCATTCTAAGGATTTCATCGTCAGATGGGAAGTATAAAGGCTTCTCCATACGTGGCTCTCACTTGGCAGTTGTTTGCTGATTTGATGGAACAGGCATTGGCATGTACCTGGCTTCAGCTGTGTCACCACCCCCCAGGAATGGTGTGGTGGCGTCAGTGATGTACGCTGTGATCACCCCCATGCTGAACCTTTTCATCTGCAGCCTGAGAAACAGGGACATACAAAGTGCCCTGCGGAGGCTGCGCAGCAGAACAGTGGAATCTCATGATCTGTTCCATCCTTTTTCTTGTGTGGGTGAGAAAGGGTAACCACATTAAATCTCTACATCTGCAAATCCTGCCCCTTAGTCACATTATTTTTGTGGCTTGATGGCTTTTATTCCTTTCCACATTTCCTTTGTGAATATTGCTTTCTTCGTTATGCCTTTAACTGGAATGGGTGAGGATTCTGGGATCCTTGGTTTAACAGAAACCTCATGACAGGATCCTCTATACCTAGGCGGCCTCTTTTAGTTTCTGAGCAATAACCCTGTCATCCGGGTGGAATCACAACCATCTTTTTATATACACGAAGTCCTCACTTCGTTTTGGAATTCCCTGAAAACTGACTTTATGGAAACAATGTACAGGAGGTCCTCCAACACTACTGGTTGTTCAAAGTTGTGTAGTTATACTGTTGATGAAAAATAAGTGGTTTCACTATACATAATTTTGCTTCAAGTTGAAGTTTCCAAGAGACTTTCAAAGATGTTAAGTGAGGACATACTGTACATCAAATTCATATCCTCTTCCACAGTTCCTGTGGAATTTCTTTATAAACTGCTTCTAGAGAATCTATTTAGGCAGGTTCTGTGGAGAGATCCATGTCGCCGTTCCTCAATCTTGGCTTTGAGTCAAATCACCTGGGGAGCTTACAGATGATGAGGCCTGGGTCTCAATACCTGAGATTCTGATTTCCTTGCACCTGTGTGAGTGTGTGGATTTTTTTTTTCTTTTAAAGCACCAGCGGTGGTTCCAATGACGAAGTTTTTAGAGGCATCAAGCTCCAATGAGTTAGAACAGAAAGTAATTGTAATATAATTTCTTCAAATATTATCTTCAAATGCATTGTCCATCAACACCATACCAATGTTTATTATGCTGTTTTTTCTTGCCATTTCGCATTTTCTATTTCTTTCTTTTCCTTTTTTTTTGAGTCAGAGTTTCACTCTTGTTGCCCAGGCTGGAGTTCGATGGCACGATCTCGGCTCACTGCAACCTCTGCCTCCCGTATTCAAGCAATTCTCCTGTCTCAGGCTTCCAAGTAGCTGGGATTACAGGCATGCGCTACCATGCCTGGCTATTTTTTTTTTTTGTATTGTTAATAGAGACAGTGTTTCTCCATTTTGGTCAGGCTGGTCTTGAACTCCCGACCTCAGGTGATCCGCCCGATTCCGCCTCCCAAAGTGCTGAGATTACAGGCATGAACGACCACACCCAGCCACCACTTAGCATTTGCATTTTACATTTGTTGAAGTTATAGATTTATGCACACATCAATTGCTGCTTTGTTATACACTTGCATATACGTAAGATGTGAAATAGAAAAGAATAAAATAGGCCCAGTATCCCTGAAGTTTCATATTCCGAGTCTTTTAAAATATGTGCTCTTTAGAAATTTGTTTCAATGAAGAAACTGTGGTATACACACCCAATGAAGTATTATTCAGCCTAAAAAGGAAGAAACTCCTCTCCGCTGCAGACAAAATGGATGAGATTGCAGGTCTGTATATTAAATGAAAGAAGCCAGGCACAGAATTACAAATATTTCATGTCCTCACTTCTATGTAGGAAGAAAAAAGGAAACCTTGGCCACGTGTGGTGGCTCAGGCCTTTAATCCCAGCACTCTGGGAGGCCGAGTCTCATGGATCACTTGAGTCCAGGAGTTCGAGACCCGCTTGGCCAACATGGTGAAACCCCGTCTCTACGGAAAAAACAAACAATTAGTCGGGCTTGGTGACGTGTGCCTGTAGTCTCAGCTACTGGGAGGGCTGAGGCCCAAGAAGCGCTTGAACTCGGGAGGCGGAGCTCGCAGTGAGCCCGGATTGTGCCTGTGTACTCCAACCTGGGCAACAGAAAGAGACTCCATCCTACACCTACACACAAAAGGAATCTGAGTAAGGTGGAAAGTATAAAGGAGGTTAGCAGACGCTACGAAGAAAAGGGGTGGGATGGGGAATGAAGACAAGTGGATAATTGGGTCCCGAAATACAGAAAGATGGAATAAGTGAGTTCTAGTGTTTGATAGTACAGTATGAAAATTTTACTTCACAAGAATTTCTTGCATAATTCCAGATGGTTTGGTAAGAAACTTCCTAACTTTCTCATTATGCTGGTTTTTAAGCTCTTCTCTTTCTGCTCTTGAAATCACGCTGGTTTTTTGTTTTTTGTTTTTTGTTTTGAGATGGAGTTTCGCTCTTGTTGCCCAGGCTGAAGTGTGATGGTGCAATCTTGGCTCACCGGAACCTCTGCCTCCTGGGTTCAAGTGATTCTCCTGCCTCCACCTCCCGAGTAGCTGGGATTACAGGCATAAGCCAGCACGCCCAGCTAATGTTGTATTTCTAGTAGAGACGGGGGTTTCTCCCTGTCGTTCAGGCTGGTCTTCAACTCTTGACCTCAGGTGATCAGCCCTTCTCGACCTCCCAAAGTGCTGGGATTACAAGCGTGAGCGACCTCGCCCGGCCCATGCTGTATCCTTATCTGTTGTCTGTTGTTGTTTGTTTGTTTTGGAGCCCAGAAATAACTTCCCACCTATATGTTCAAATGATTTTTCACATGAGTGCTAAGAAAGCTCATTGGTGGAAAAGCAGCCTTTTCAAGAAATGGTGTTGGAGAAACTTGATTTCCACATGCAGAAGAATGAAGGTGGACCCTATGTCACACCAGGTGCAAAAATTAACACAAACTGGATCAAAGACCTCACCCCAAGCGCTAAAAGTATCATACGCCTAAAGGAAAACATTGGCCACGCTTTCATGACATCAGATTGGGCAATGTTCTCTGGAATATGACAACAAAAGCATAGGCAACAAAAGAAAATTAGATTCCTTGGATTACATCTAAATGACAGACACTTTTGTGCAGCAAAAAACACTGCGAACTGAGTGAAAAGATAACCCATGGATTAGGAAAAATATTTGCAAAGCATATATCTGAAAAGAGGTTGATATCCATCATATATAAAGAACAGCTAGATCTAAACAACAAGAAACCCAAAGCATCCCATCAATAATGGTCAGAAGACTCGAGTAGACGTGTTCCTAAAGAAGATATAGCAATGGCCAATAAGCATCTAAAATGATGTTCAAAATCACTCATCATAGGGAAGCGCAAATCAAACCAAGAATGTGTTACCAAACATTAGGATGGATATGATAAACAAACAGGCATTGGCGAGACTAGAGGGAAGTAGGAATGCTCGAATATGATCGGAGGGAATGTAAAACCGTGAAGGAACGGGGAAAATAGTATGGCGTCTAACTGGAAAAATTAGAAACAGAATGATCAGATGTTCCCGCAGTTGCATTTGTGGGTACATACCAAAAAGAATTAGAAGCCAGGAGTGGAAGACAGATTTGTGTACACCCATATTCATAGCAGCATTATTCACAACAGCCAAAATGTGGAAGCAACCGAAGGGTTCGTGGACAGATGAATGAAAAAGCACACTGCAGTTCCTTCATACAATGGAAGACTATTCAGCCTTCAAAAGGCAGGCACTTCTGGCCGCTGCGGTAGCTCAAGCCTGTAATCGCAGCGTCTTGGAAGACCGAGGTGGGCGGATCACCTGAGGTCAGGAATTCAAGACCAGCCTGGCCATCTTGGTGAAACGCTGTCTCTACTGAAAATGCAAAAAATGAGATGAGCGTGGTGGCGTGTGCCTATAGACCCAGCTACTCGGGAGGCTGAGGCACAAGAATCGCTGGAACCCACGATGTGGAGGTTGCAGTGAGGCGACATCACGCCACTGCACTCCAGCCGGGGTGACAGAGAAAGACTCTGTCTCCAAAACAAAAAAATTAAACACGGTATGATTCCACTTTTCTAGGAACTGTCTAGAGTAGTTAAACTCATAGAGTTGCAAACTAGAAAGGTGGCCCCCAGGGGTGGGCGAGAGAGAGGAGTGGAGAGCTTGGTGAATGGGTGGAATTTCCATTTCGAAAGATAAAACTGTTCCGGAGACGATGGCAGTGATGGTTGCTAAACAATGTGAATGTACTTAATGTCATTAAAATGTAAACTGAAAAAAAGTGGAAATTGTAAATGTGTATGCTGGCCATTCTATATGAACTAATATATATTTATAATTTTTAATATTTATACGTGGTATATTTTCTGATAATAAAAGATGAAAATTAAAGCAGTTGGATGTTTAAAAAAGAAAAGAAAGAAGCGAAGAATACACACCCAGCTTTCTCCTGATTAGAGGAAGAGCCCCAAGGCTTCTATGGACACTCACTTTTCTCTTCTTCTTCTTGCAATATTTTGGGGAAATCCTTAGAGGTTGGGGAACTTGGGCGACTTTGGCTAATGAGGAGCTCTGTTCCTTGAGCCCCACAGGCCACAGAATAGTAAATACTCCGTCTGTGCCTCCAGTCCTGCAGTGTGGGGTTTCAGTCCTGTGGACTCCACTCCCGTCACCTGGATCAGGGGGCTCATGTCTCACCCTGTCTTCTTGCCAGCCTTGAGGACGGAGTCTGAGCCTCCATGGTGCACCAAGTGGGGATGAGAGTGGACCTGTTCTCCGTGGTCATGGCCCAGCAGAGGGGAAGGGCAGTTCAGTGAGGGTAGGGAAAAGAAAGAGAGATCAGACTCTTACTGTGTCTATGTAGAAAGGGAAGACATAAGAGACTCCATTTTGAGAAAGACCTGTACTTTCAACAATTGCTTTGCTGAGAAGTTGTTAATCTGCAGCTTTGCCCCAGTCACTTTCAACCAACCACTTTGACCCAACCTGAAGCTCACAAAAGCATGTGTTGTATGAAATCAATGTTCAAGGGATCTAGGGCTGTGCAGGACGTGCCTTGTTAACAAGATGTTTCCAAGCAGTATACTTGGTAAAAGTCATTGCCATTCTCTAGTCTCAATAAACCAGGGGCACGATGCACTGTGGAAAGCCGCAGGGAGCCCTGCCCTTGAAAGCAGGGTATTGTCCAAGGTTTCTCCCCATGTGATAGTCTGAAAAGTGTCCTCGTGGGATGAGAAAGACCTGACCGTCCCCCAGCCCGACTCCCGTAAAGGGTCTGTGCTGAGGTGGATTAGTCAAAGAGGAAAGCCTCTTGCAGTTGAGAGAGAGGAAGGCCGCTGTCTCCTGCCTGCCTCTGGGAACTGAATGTCTCAGTATAAAACCTGATTGTACATTTGTTCAATTCTGAGATGGGGGAAAAACCGCCCTATGTTGAGAAGTGAGACATGTTTGCAGCAATGTTGCCTTGTTATTCTTTACTCCACTGAGATATTTGGGTGGAGAGAAACATAAATCTGGCTTATGCACACGTCCAGTCATAGTACCTTCCCTTGAACTTCCTTATGACATAGATTCTATTGCTCACATGTTCTTTGCTGACCATCTCCTTATTATCACCCTGCCCTCCTGCTACATTCCTTTTTGCTAAAATAATAAAAATAATAATCAATAAAAACTGAGGGAACTCAGAGGCCTGTGCCGATGCAGGTCCTTGGTATGCTGACCGCCGGTCCCCTAGGTCCACTGTTGTTTCTCCATACTTTTTCTCTCTGTCTTATTTCTTTTCTCAGTCTCTCGTCCCACCCGACTAGAAATACCCACAGGTGTGGAGAGGCAGGCCACACTTTCAAGTGAGTGCTGAGGGACGGTTGGGGGTCTTGTTTGTTTCCTCATCCTCAGGACAAATTGGAGAGTGCGGTGGGCAGATGTGAGGACACCAATATGCAACTCTCTGCTCAGCAGACTGTGGAGTTTCTGTTCTTTGTTGTGGTGGGGGTCTCAGAAATCTTATTCAAAATTTTGCTTTCTTCCCCCACTGGTTGTCCTTTTCATAGACATCTCACCCATGATAGCAGACACTCAGTCCCTCTAAACTATTCCCTAAGAACAACAAAAAGATTATGAAGGTGATGATGAGGATAAAGAGGATGACGACAGACACCATGGCATCATGAACCCTTACTGAGGGCTTCCTAAAGGCCAGGCTCTGAGCTCTGTGCTCTATGCAGCTTGTTTCATTTCATCTGCATAGTCTCCATCTTATTAGTGCACATTTCAGGATGATTTTACAGACTAGAAAAGGCGCAACGGATTTTCATGTAGCTTGTAGCAGATCACGAAGTCAAAAAGGGTGAAGTCCAATTTGAACCAGGCAGTCTAAGTCCAGACACATGGCATTTGGCCAGTCCTCTCCCTGCAACCAACCTGCCCTCTCAAATCCTCGTCACTCAGGCGGATGGCCCTGCTCACTGTGCCCTTCCCTTTGGGGGTTCCTTGTAGACCACAGCTCGACAAGTGGGTGCCACAATCACTGTGTCAAGTATAGAAAGGACAGCTGAGATCACATCGAGGATTCCAGAAAGAATTGGCACAGGTTCATCCGGGACGCATCTCTCCCTTGCCCCTGTTCCTGGCTTTCCTTACAGCTCTTGACTTCCTCAAAGGAGTCATCAATTCAGAGTTTGGCTTCCATTCCTATTGAGGAAGCTGGAAAGTGTTTCAAAAATGCTCCTCCGATGTGCCTGTGGTTAAAACCTCTGAGCTCTGCTTAAAACTTCTTGAAGCTGGGCGCAATGGCTCACGCGTGTGATCCCAGCTCTTTGGGAGGCTGAGGCAGGTGAATCACAAGGTCAGAAGTTCAAGACCAGCCTGGCCAACATGGTGAAACCCTGTCTGTACTAAAAATACAAAAAAAAAGAAAAAAAAAATTAGCCATGCATGGTGGCGTATGCCTGTAATCCCAGCTACTGGGGAGGCTGAGACAGGAGACTCCTTTGAAGCTGGGAGACAGAGGTTGCAGTGAACCAAGATCACGCCACTGCACTCCAGCCTGGGCAACAGAGCAAGACTCTGCCTCAAAAAAATAAATAAATAAAAATTACGAAAAAAAGTGCTTAGATGGGCTTGGCAAACTTTAGCCATTAGCTCACGTACCACTTTGGAAGGGCATACCTTCAGTCACTTCACCCTTGAATCCCTTTGCTCAAGACTAAAGTTCTGAGAGGATGTCTAATAGGCTGAGTTGTGTCCATGTGGGCAGTGCAGGAAAGGATGCAGCGGGAGGCTGCTCCAGGGACGTCTTTGGCTTCCATCATGGGGGTGCAGGCAACTGGATTATCCACCCCAAGAAATCTGGACAAAGGAAAACGAGGTTCTCTGAGGAAGGAGACATAGAGCCCAGGGAGCTAACCAAGAGACAAATAGTCATCCTGTCTTGTCATTTTCTTTTACACATGTGTGCACATTATCTTACACTTATCACTTTGTTTTCTTTCTTTCCTTTAATTGCACCCTGCTGCCAAAAGTTAAAATAAAATGAAAGTATTGAGATAGCTCAGTAACTGACTTTTGGTCAATTGCCTTTTCATATAGTGAACAGCTGCCCAAACGATTGTCTCTGTCACTGTGCAAATTTGCAAGCGTTTGCATGATCACTCCCAATCCCCCAACACAGGGCTGTGTTACAGCACAATTTAGTTCAGTGTTTTGCTCTCTGCAACAGGGAGGTTCTCATCCATTACAGGTTTCAGTAAAAACAGGGGTACCATAAGCAACCCCCTCTTTCCTCAACGATGTGATGAAAGCAAAAGCCAAGTATCTTCATGTATCCAACTTAAAAATAAAAAAAGTTACGCCCGTGGGCTGCAGTTGGAGCTATGGCGGCGGCAGCTGTCACTGGGCCTAGCCCGGAGTGTGGACCTGGGGACTCCCCAGAAGGGCCCGAGGGGGAGGCTCACGGAGCGTCGGCGGAAGGCGCACAGAATGCTAAAGCTTTACAACGGCCTCTCGAAAGGGGAGGCGGTGGGACTCCCCGCGGGGACCGACCCCCTGGACCCCACTGATCTGAACGGGGCGCACTTCGACCCGGAAGTTTACCTAGACAAGCTTCCTAGAGAGTGCCCTCTGGCCCAGCTGATAGACAGTGAGACGGACATGGCGCAGCAGATCCGGGCTCTAGACAGCGACATGCAAACCCTGGTCTATGAGAACTACGATAAGTTCATCCCAGCCACAGAAATTGACAAACAGCATAAAACTGTATGAAGAATTGCAGGAGACCCAGAATTTCCCAAATAACCTTATAAAAGAAGAATAAAGTTGGAAGACCCATGCAAAAAAAAACATATATATATATATATATATAATATATATATATAAATAAAGATGTGTTTTCGTTCAGTTGTAAATGTTTAGTAATTACTATTGTGATTTTTCATTTAACTCATGAAAGGATATTTTTAATTTTCCAAATGTATGCTTGTGTTTAGCTATCTTCTTGCTGTTGACTTCTAATTTTGTTGCATTATGGTCAGGATAATGTGGTCTGGACAATGTCAATCGTGTAGTGGATTTTGTTGAGACTTCTTTATGGCCTAATATGTGGCCAGTTGTTGTTGTTGTTGTTGTTGTTGTTTTTTTTTTTTTTTTTGCAAATTTGCCACATGTGGTTAAAAGGAATGTGGATTATTTGTTTTTTTTTGAAGAGTTTTTATTTTTAAATAGATAAGGTTCTCAGTGTAATTGAAATCTAGCTTCATTTAACAATATGCTAGATCTCTCAAACCTTAGCATGTTGGTCAGTGTAACAATAGACTGCTGCTGAGATGAATAAACCCTGAACTCTCAGTGGGTTGGCACACATAGCATAGTCTGATGCAGGGCAGGGGTTCTCCTTGGGGGCCCTTGTCCAACAGTGATTCAGAGATTCTGGAGCTTTCCATCTTTTAATTCTGCCATCTCAGAGTTTTTCACTTCTAGCCATATGGATAGGAAGAGAGGGAACATAGCTCACACTTGCCTTTGATAACCTTGGCGCAGAAGTGATTTCTTACATTCCTATTGGTGGAAATGCAGTCACATGGTTCCAAACTAACTGCAAGTGAGGCTGGGAAATGTAGTCTTTCTGCATGTAGAGGAAGAGGAATGGTGTGAACCCAGCATTGTCTTTGACACACTAAGCATGGGCTGAAGAGTTCTTACTCTCATAGGAGGTTTGTCTGTCCTGTGTAACTTTCTCAGTTTTGCTTAGATAGTTTCAGGCAATGTTGTTTGGTGCATTCAGGTTGATGATTATTATGTCCTCTTGGCAAAGTAGTCAAGATTCCCATCAGTTTGAATGAAAGTGCTTTACAGATAGGTCAGGAAATGTTAATACTTTAAAAGGCCCTTCTATTCCTCCCTCTACAGATAAGAACAACAGAATCCTAGAGAGAGGAGGTCATGGGTCTCACTCATGAGTGGCAGAATTGAAACCAACATGGCAGTAACTTTGCCTTTCCCCCATCATGTTGTTATCCCTCTATCTTCACTCTGCTGATTTCTTCACTTGCTCCATACAGACCTCCCAGTGCCAAGTGTATAAGTGTGTCTGGAATTGGTGGGTTCTTGGTCTCACTGACTTCAAGAATGAAGCTGCAGACCCTCCTGGTGAGTGCTACAGTTCTTAAAGGTGGCATGTCTGGAGTTTGTTCCTCTTGATGTTGGGATGTGTTCGAAGTTTCTTTCTTCTGGTGGGGTTTGTGGTTTCACTGGCTCAGGAGTGAAGCTGCAGACCTTCATGGAGAGTGTTACAGCTCTTAAGGCTGCACGTCTGGAGTTGTTCATTTCTCCCGGTGGGTTCATGGTCTCACTGGCTTCAGGAGTGAAGCTGCAGACCTTCTCGGTGTTACCGCTCATAAAGGCAGTGTGGACCCAAAGAGTGAGCAGCAACAAGATTTATTGCAAAGAGCAAAAGAACAAAGCTTCCACAGTGTGGAAGGGGACTCCAGCGGGTTGCCACTGCTGGCTCAGGCAGCCTGCTTTTATTCTCTTACCTGGCCCCACGCACATCCTGCTGATTGGTCCATTTTACAGAGAGCCTGAGTGGTCTGTTTTGACAGGGCGCTGATTGGTGCATTTACAATCCCTGAGCTAGACACAAAGGCTCCCCTCGTCCCCACTAGATTAGCTAGATACAGAGTGTCCACACAAAGGTTCTCCAAGTCCCCACCATAATGGCTAGGTACAGAGTGTCGATTGTGGCATTCACAAACCCTGAGCTAGACACAGGGTGCTGATTGGTGTGTTTACAAACCTTGAGCTAGATACAGAGTGCCGATTGGTGTATTTACAATCCCTTAGCTAGACATAAAGGTTCTCCAAGTCCCCATCAGACTCAGGAGCCCAGCTGGCTTCACCCAGTGGATCCCGCACAGGAGCCGCAGGTGGAGCTGCCTGCCAGTCCCTCTCCGTGCGCCCACACTCTTCATCCCTTGGGTGGTCGATGGGACTGAGTGCCGTGGAGCAGGGGGCGGTGCTCGTCGGGGAGGCTCGGGCCGCACAGGAGCCCACGGAGTGGAGAGGCTAAGGAATGGCGGGCTGCAGGTCCCGAGCCGTGCCCCGCGGGGAGGCAGCTAAGGCCCGGCGAGAAGTCGAGCACAGCAGCTGCTGGCCCAGGTGCGAGGCCCCTCATTGCCCGGGCCGGCAAGGCTGGCCGGCAGCTCCTAGTGCGGGGCTGCCAAACTCACGCCCACCCGGAACTCCAGCCGGCAGGCAAGCAGTGTGCGTAGCCCCGGTTCCGGCTCACGTCTCTCTCTCCACACCTCCCTGCAAGCTGAGGGAGCCAGCTCCGACCTTGGCCAGCCCAGAAAGGGGCTCCCACCATGCAACCCCGGGCTGAAGGGCTCCTCAAGTGCCGCCAAAGTGGGAGCCCAGGCAGAGGAGGTGCTGAGAGCGAGCGAGGGCTGTGAGGGCTGCCAGCATGCTGTCACCTCTAATAAGGAGTGATTAATCTGAGCTTCTCCAGAAAGTCCATTCCTGGTTGGCACTGGGAATAAGAAATCTCAGAGTATAAAAAAACATCAAGTGGTAGCACTTTTGTGAATGGCTCCCAAATTAGATCCTTTACTTTTTTTTTTTCTCATGAAGGACAGTTGCCCAAAACAGGCTTAGCCTGAGATGAAGCACATATTAGAGAAAGTTTCTCTCTATAGCATTATGTATTACTTGAATGAGCATTAAAAAGAGGAGACGCGACATGCTCTCTCTAGCTGTTATTACCTGCACTATAGAGTTGACAGACACAAGCTCATTATTGCATTGTTTTATTCAACAAAATAACTTTAATGTTGAAGCTTAAATTGAATTCGCTAAAACATCTTTGTCTCCAGCATAGTGTGCCTCAATGTCCCCTTGGTGCCTGAATTTTCTCCAGAATTATAGTGCTGAAGCTATGGAAATGGTGAAATTATATGTAATCTGCAAAACAATGTGGCTATAACGTGGTAATTGGCCTTCCACATAATTAAAGGAACATTTCCTCATCAGAGCTGTTCCATCAGAGACCCAAAGGCTATCGTTGTACAAATCACCTACTTAGGAAAACCTTTATTCCCAGTAGCCTATAAAAATCTGGTTATGCAAACAGATTTGCTTATTCAGTAACATTAATGGCTTCTCATAGTTAAAAAGTCATCAATGTGATTGACCTATAATCTGTTTCCTCTGTGACCAAGTGTCAATTTTATTTTGACAGTTAGGAGCCTTTTGACTCTTTCACAGCTAGCATGAAGGCACAGGGAGGGAAATCTCAAAAACCAACAACCTGTGTATTCCCAGCCTATTAATCAATAGAAAATCACTTCAACTGGATTAGGGTCTTGTACCTGGAAGAAAGGCTGTTATGGACATTGGAATTGGATTTTTACACTTGATATGACACCTCCTTGAGTCAGATCAGATTCGTGTTTGATAGACTCTTGCCGAAAAATTGCTCCAGGGTCTGTGCGGTAGCTAAAGCCTTTTTGTTGTTGTTGTTGTTTTAAAAGCAGCATTAAATGTTTTCATGAAGACCTTCCCAGCAGTGATGTTATTGGGAATATGGTCTTTAGCTCTGGTCCTGAATAACTCACACTGAGGAAACCTCTAACAAGTGTTGTATTGGAAGATGTCTGATGGATGGTTGGTTTTAATAACAAATCTCTTCCCTTTTTCTGTCCCCTGTGTTCTATTCTCCTTTCTCTATACATTATTCTGGGAGGATTCACCTATTCCCAAAGTCCTTTCCTCTTTATTTCCATTCCAGAGCTCTCTGTATAACTCCAGGCTGATGAATCCAATGGCCCAGTTGTTATCTCTATTTGACTGTCTTTCTTGCATTGACCTCATCTTACCTTGCCTCTCCTGATTTCCTCTTCTGCCTGGGCTCAGCACGTCAGATTCACACCACCATCCACCCAGCTTCCAAAACACCTGGGCCTCCTCCTTCGTTCCTCCCTCTTTCTCGTCAAGTTAGTCTACTGTCTCTTCTCCATCCTCACTGCCACAGCCTTGGTCCAGCCAACCAACTTGTCTCACTTGGCTTATTGCAGCCTACTACCTGGTCTACTCACCTCCCACTCTCCTCCAGCCAGACTGCTCTTTTTATAGCACAAAGTGGATCATTACTCCCCTGCCTAAAAACATCTACTGTCTCCCTTTGTGTACAGGATAAACACGACAAAGAGCCTTTAAGATTTGGCTCCAACTTACCTCTATATTAGTCACTTTTTATAATTATATGAACATCTCTCAGCTCCTCACCCTCTCACGTCTCGATTTTTGCACATGCTCTTCCCCCTGCTGGGAATGATCTTCCACACCTCTCCTATCGACCTGGCTAATTCCTACCATTTTCTAGTCTTCAACTGAGGAGTCCTGTGGTGGAGAAGGATTTCTCACCACCTGATAGAGATTGCATGCCCACCCACCTCCGGGCTTTTATTTATTTATTTATTTATTTTTTTGATGGAGTCTCGCTCTGACCGTGCAGGCTGGAGTGCAGGGGCACGATCTTGGCTCACTGCAATCTCCGCCTCCCAGGTTCAAGCAATTCTCTCACCTCAGCCTTCTGAGTATCTGGAAATACAGGTGCCCGCCACCACATCTGGCTAATTTTTTTGTATTTTTAGTAAAGACAGGATTTCACCATGTTGGCCAGGCTGTTTTTGAACTCCTGGCCTCAAGTCATCCACCCACCTTGGCCTCCCAAAGTGCTGGGATTACAGGCATGAACAGCTGCACCTAGCCAATCGGGTGCCTCTTCTATGTGCTCCCATTGCCCCAGACATACTGTCACCATAACTTTTACCATTCTGTGTTGAAAATGATTTTTTTTTTGCTTTTTATTTCTCTCACTAAATGCAAAGCTCATTGAAAAGAGGACAGTGGTTGTTCACTATTGTACTCCTAACCTTTGACTCAGTGTCCTGAGGTTGGCTCTAGAGCTGTGCACACATGTTCAGACATTGGAGCACATCTTGTCTAGCACCTCTTTTTAGGTGACTTAGAGAAAAGTCAGTAGGTACTTCCCCAAGGATGAAACAGAAGCTTCACCTAAACCAGTTCTTCAACTTCAGCCTGCATTAGAATCCTCTGAGAGCTTGTTAAAAATCCAGTCTCCTAGAGCCCACTCTTCAAGAGTCCGTGAGTTGCTTCATCATCAATATATATATAGAATTCAGGCAGTCTTCAGCGCCAGCCTGGTCTGAGCCACTGTGGACTCCCACCTGCAGAATCTCCCTGCTGGTCTCCTTGCTTCTGCTCTTACCTTCTTATTACCTATTCAAGTAGCCAGGGTGATCCTTTTTAAAATTTTTTTTAACTTTTTTTTGAGATGAAGTCTCACTCTGTTGCCCAGGCTGGAGTGCAGTGGTGCTATCTCAGCTCGCTGCAGCTCTACCTCCTGGGCTCAAGCCATCCTCCCACCTCAGCCTCCTGGGTAACTGGGACCACAGACATACACCACCACACCCGGCTAATTTTTGTATTTTTTGTAAAGACACGGTCTTGCTATGTTGCCCAGGCTAGTCTTGAACTTCTGTGTGCACCCACCTCAGCCTCCTGCATTTTGAGGAGGCCCCTCTTGTAGGGATTTTGATGCAGACGCCTGGGTGCCTCATGTCTCCTCCCATCTCTCTCTGTCTTTCTGTCTCTGTCTCTCTCTCTCTCTTTCTCTTTGCCTTATTGCTGCCCTGGGGACTAGACTCTGCCTTAGGCATCCCTCTGAATCTTGTTTGCTTTTACACTGAGGCTGCTTTAAATTGCACCTTGATCTGAAGCCTTGGGCTTCTGTTCCTACTCCTTGCTTTTGTTGGAAGGGCCATGCAGCTTCTTGACAAATTGCAAAGGTGCCCACGAGTTTCCAAGTCCCCAAGAACCAAACCAGATGACAAACAAAGATGCAGCCCACAGCTGGAGAGACAGATTTCATGTCCACACAGAGACTCGAAGATGCTGAACTGAAATCCACCCCGAAACCTGCTTTCTCTCTCATTTAAGTTCAATGTGAACTGGGGGCTTGCAAGGCAGGGCTGGTGACCATTCACAGGGCAAAGATGCTTTGAAATGGCAACTGAGAATGGTGTGGTGGTTGACAGATGGCACGTCAGAGCATAGATTAACATGAAAAGAGAAACTCACCCCTTGGGGGGAGTGTGTGAGGCTGGCAGCCACACAGAGGGCTTTTCCTGCGAGCTCTTGCATAGATGCAAACAGCCAGGAGGTTTTGCTTTCTGAGCCTGAGTGGAAGCATGTTCCTCCCTGCACATTGCCGCTCTGCAGCAAATGTTTATTCCTGTTGCATTGATTAAAAGTGCTTACCAGGCCGGGCGCGGTGACTCACGCCTCTAATCCCAGCACTTTGGGAGGCCGAGGCAGGCGGATCACAAGGTCAGGAGATTGAGACCATCCTGGCTAACACGGTGAAACCCCGTCTCTACTAAAAATACAAAAAAAATTAGCCGGGCATGGTGGCGGGCGCCCGTAGTCCCAGCTACTTGGGAGGCTGAGGAAGGAGAATGGCGTGAACCCAGGAGGCGGGGCTTGCAGTGAGCCGAGATTGTGCCACTGCACTCCAGCCTGGATGACAGAGCAAGACTCCGTCTCAAAAAAACAAAGTGCTTACCGAAGGGGTTTGAGGGCATTGGTGACAGTGTGAGTTATGGCTCTGCCGGCTGCCAGTGGAGCCAGCCGCTCTGCACAGCTGTGCAAGCATGTTTTGAAAAGTGGCTCAGCTGGCCAGGAGTGACTGGCTGTAAATATTGCTGCCACAACATCTTGTAGCCTGATTGGGGCCATGTTTGCAGAACCCCTAAACCACTACACTTGTTCAGGCTTAAAAATAAGCTTACTTTTTTTTGTTTGTTTTGTTTTGTTTTATGAGATGGAGTCTTGTTCTGTCACCGGGTTGGAATGCAGTGGCATGATCTCGGCCCACTGCAACCTCTGCCTCCTGCGTTCAAGTGATTCTCCTGACTCAGGCTCCCGAGAAGCTAGGACTACAGGCGTGTGCCATCATGGCCAGCTAATTTTTGAATTTTTAGTACAGACGGGGCTTCACCATGTTGGCCAGGATGGTGCGATCTCTTGACCTCGTGATCTGCCCGCCTTGGCTTCCCAAAGTGCTATGATTACAGGCGTGAGCCACCGTGCCTGGTCAAACATAAACTTACTTTCTTACCCCTTCTCCTGAACTCTATTTGCTTCTTTTCTCAACTTCTGCTGAACTCTATTTTGCTTCTTTTTCCTGGATAAAGCTCTTCTTTATCCAGAAGAGCTTTTAGCAACAAAGTTACCCAATGCCCTTCCCTAGTCTCTCCTTGCAACTGGCTCTCAGCGGATGGGGGTGGGGAGGGGTGGTGGGTAGGAGGAAATCCTTGACAGAACCAATTTACATGACTGTTTGGAGGACTCTCGCTAGCCCCAGGAGGTGTTTGCATTTTTAAATTGGTTACTAGTGTCAGAATGTTTCATGAGTAAGAGCACAGCCTCTAAGTTGGATACCATGAATTTAAATCTCAACATGGCCATTTTGTATATAACCAGAGGATGGATTTGGGGACCCAATGGATCTACCATGACATGAACTTGCACCAACATTCACCTGACCACCAAAATGCCTATTCTGTCTGGTAGATCCTAGTCTCGCCCTAGTGCCAGTTCAGAGCCTGTGTCCAGTGATCCTGCACTGGTCTCATTAGTTCCTTTTCTCCTATTCAGTCATCCTGGTAAAAGGCTGTGTATTCCCTTGGGGGCAGGCTGGGAGAAAGATTGACAGTATTAATTTGTGGCAGTGGAGCAGAGTCCTTTCTGGAGGGGACCTGGCTTCCCATTCAGACAAGGGACTCTGGGTCTGTGAACTGGCTTATATCTGGGAATTGACTGGGGACTGTGACTCTGTTTTTAGGATTCAGATTAGACTTCTGCTCACCTGACCTAGAACTCTTCTGCAAACACAGATCCAGTAAAAATGTGGCAGGCTTCTTATCTATTTCACTTCTAGGAATGCCACGATCAGCTGGCACCATAGGTCTCTGCGAGTCAGGCTATTCTGGTTGCAGCTTTGACTCTGCTGTCTTTTAATGATAACTGCATCCACCTTGCCTTTGGGGACTGAGTGCTCTGATCACTTGGTCCCAGCCTCTGTAGTGTGCCTATGTCACTTACCCTCTTTATACCTCAGTTTCCTCCTCTATAAAATGGGCATCCTAATAGCACCCACCCTCAGGGCTGCTGTGGGGTATAGATGGATTAGCATATGGAAAGTAATAGAAGAGCATCTCAAAGTCCATGTGTCGTTATCAGAATTATTTCATGATAGGGAGAGCTGGAGGAGGGAGGAAGGTGCTGAGCAGACCCATGTGCTCTGCCACCAGTGTTTCCTGAGCACCTACTGTGTGCTGCCCACTGTGAGAGCTGTTAGGGTTGAAATAGAGAGCACAGCAGGGTAGGGGCTGCCATCAGGAGCTTAGTTGGGGAGACCATTGTGCAACATGGTTCCAGCTCTTGGGGTGGAGAAGCTCAGGGGCCTAGGATCCTGGGCAGAATCTGGGGAAGGACACAGCCTCCCCAGCCTCTCCTGCCTCCTCTGCCTCCCTGGCCTCCTCTGCTTCTGTGGCCTCTCCTGCCTTCCTGGCTTCCCCTTCCACCCCGGCCTCCCCAGTCTCCCCTGTCTCTCCTGCTTTTGAGGTGGGCCAGGAGCTGCTGGTGCTCACTTAGCCTGTCCTGGACTCTGGGTGTAGCACCTCCATGTCCAGAAAATACCCCCGAGTTCAGCTCATCACACAGCCAAGGAAGGAGCTCCACACTGACACTAAGGGTGCATCCTGGGCTCCTTCATCAGGGCATGCCTCCAAAATATTTCTCCACGTCTCCTCCCTTTGCCCACCTGCATTGTCTCTGTGCCTCAGCCCCGGCTGGGGGCCTGCAAGGATCCCCTATCTCCTCTGCCCCTGCACGGCTGGGTCCAAGGCCATCTGTCCACCCACCACACCTCTCTCACCTTGCCCACCACGCTCCAGCCCCACCGTCCTCTTTCTGCTTCTTTCCCAGCCTCTGGGCTTTTGCACACGCTGTTCCCTCTGCCTGAACACCCTCCACTGGGCTGAGAACAACTCTCTGAGACCTCTCTCAGCTGTTGCTTCCTTTGGAACAGCCGCTGCTGCTGTCCCTCTCCCAGCTCCAAGACCTGCTGAGCCTCCTGTCTTTTTTAGTTCCCATGCACCCAGCACTTCTCCTTGGCCTCCTTTGGCCCAATTGACAATGTCCATTCTCAATGCCTTCTCACCCAGTGCTGAGCCCCACTGGGTGAAGGCAATGCCTGTCATGTTCACCACAATATCCCCTCCCCCATCACCACGCCTGGTCCACAGTGATGCTCAGAAAAGATCTGTTGGTAGGCAATGCGAAGGTGCATTCATGTCATCCTGCAGGCGGAATTCTCCACGAGTTTTGAGCAGCCTCGGTTTTCCCACCACCTCCAAATCATGGAAGACACAGGGTAAGAGCAAAGACAAGGTGGCTGTGGCCAATGTCCACCCTCTCGGGGCGTCCCTTCTCTTCCTCCTCCTTGAGCAGGGAGACCATCGGGGTGCAACCTGGCTGGGGTGGCGAGGAGGTGCAGGGCCTGGCCAGAGCGGGCCTGGCCACGGGCAAGGGACAGCGACCTCCTGGGCCAGGACGGGTGAGAGCGGCGCAGGCCCGGGCCCGGCGTGGTGGCGGTGCGCGTGAGCGGCCAGCAGAGGGCGCCAGAGGACCACGAGCGGCCCGCGGAGGAGCCCGCGCCGCCCCGATGCCCAGCTCCGCGCCGCGCGGACCCACCGAGCCCGCGCTCAGACGCCCCAGCTCCGCCGAGAGGCCGCTTGCGCAGGCTCCTTCTTCTTCCGCAAGTGTAGGCAGAGCCCCCGGAGCCATGGCCAGCCCTTCCCGCAGCTCCGAAGCCACTGGCAAGCCCCGAGGCAGGGATGGCCGGCCCAGGAGGGAGGAGGACGACGTCCCTCCCGAAGAGAAGAGGCTGCGGCTCTTGCTGGAGGGGGGAAGCGCACAGCCCCAGGACGGCGAGGACGGGGAGGACGCGCCGCGGCCGGGCAGGGTGGAGACCGGCACCCAGACAGGTGGCGACGGCAGAGGAGTAAGTGACGCGGGCGCGGGGGTCCGGGGGTGCCGGGTGCGCGGGGATGCGGGGAACGAGGGGTAGGGGCGGCGAGAGGCTCCGTGGCCTGCCCCGGGTTGAAGTTGGGAGGGCGGCCTTCATTCTGAACCCATTTAGGCAGCACGGGCAGCCCTCCTCGCCGTGGGCTGCATCAGAGCCCCCCCTGCCCAGTCTTGGGGTTGCTCCCGGATGCTGTCTGGGAGGCTTGGTCATGGTGACATCCTCATCTCCCCGTGCACGTTACCGCATTCGGAGCTTGGGTCACCTGGACACTGAACTCAGGCGAATTTTCTCTGAGATCCCGGGAGAAGGAGGACAGTTCTTTGGAAGGTTTTGCAGGGCCGATCACGGAAAGGATGAGAAGGGAGAGGTCCTGGTCGGGGACACAATTACAGTGGCAGTGTAACACCAGGAAACTTTATTGCGTGAAGTCCTTCTCACTCCCTCTACCTCCTTCTTTTACGTGGACTCTGCCAAAGACCAGGATACCAGAATGCAGTGGAGTGACCAAGTGTAGTGGGATCTTGGGAACGCGAGTCTGGAGCCAGGCGGCTGGGGTTTGCATCCTGGTTCTGCCCCTCCTTAGCTGGCTGACATGGCACAAGCCACTTACCCTCTCTGAGCCTTACTGTCTTCAGTGGCAAATGGATCTGTCAACGGGCCCCATTGCCTGGGGTTGTTACTGCTGAGATTAAGGGATGCTCGTCCATAGAAGCACTTAGCGTTGTGCCTGGCACATAGTGTATGGTGGATAAATGGGACTTAGGACTAAAACTCATGCCTTGGTGTGTTTTTGCAGTGATGTTTTGTTCTGGGGTGCATCACAAGAGACAAGGTTCCTGGCCGGGCATGGTGGCTCAAGCCAATAATCCCAGCACTTTGAGAGGCCGAAGGGGGACGATCGCTTGAGCCCAGGAGTTTAAGACCAGCCTGGGCAACATGGCGAAGCCTCATATCTACCAAAAAAAAAAAAAAAAAAAAAAAAAAAAAAAAAAAAAAAAAAGCCAGGTATGGTGGTGTGTGCCTGTAGTCCCAAGTACTTGGGAGGCTGAGGTGGGAGGATTACTAGAGCCTGGAAGGTCGGGCTGCAGTGAGCTGTGATCATGCCACTGCACTCCAGCCTGGGTGACAAAGTGAGACTCTGTTTCAAGGAAAAGAGAGAGAGACAGACAGACCCACAAGAGTCTTAAGCCAGAATCTTCATGTTAAAATGCCTTCTGGAGGCTAAAAGGATGATATGTTGATAATGAAATATTTAAAAGGCAGAAACCCCACTGAATTGTTTGGTCCACAGAGGGAAATGGGAATCGCATGACCTGAAGGATGATGGAGGAACTGAACAGAAACCATCCTTGTTTCCTGAATCTGAACATGGCACCCTCTTTTCACGGTGTCTGTATCTGCTCAGTCCGGCGGCCCCTCGAAAAGAGGGAATCTTGATTTTCAAACTTAAAATTTGGCCCAAAGCCCACTGCTGCCCACAATGCCCGTCAGACACATTCCTCTTCCTTTTTAGTTTCTATGGGAATACTCTCTTTGAAGAACCCATGAAGCAGTGTCAGGCTGGTACGAGGATCAGCAGTGATTTCTTTGAGGAGGAGATCCGTTTCTTCACTCACAGGTCATGTCTGAGTGGATCAAGAAGAACAGAGGGCCCTTTTATGAGATTTTGTCTGCGTAGACCATTAGCTTGGTAAAAATGTCAAAACCATCCTCATTCTTTAATAGCAGATTATTTTGGACTTTTCTCTGCCAGAAGCAGCATGGGCATTCAGATGCGTTTAAGGATAAAATGATCTTTCTCATCACCAGGCCTGGTGCTCTGGATGGCTGAGGTTTTAATGTGACTGGATGTCCCTTGGAGTGGCTCCCAGGCTGTGATCTTGTGGTCGGGTGGCAAGGGGTTGCTTTATTCCGTGATGGCTAGAGGATGTCTTAGCAGATAAATCGGGACCCCAGGAGCCCCTGAGTGCCAAGTCCTGCTGCAGGGCATGTGTTTATGGAGGGGATGTGGGGGCGTGGAGGGTGGGGGGTATTGATTTCCTGCCAATATCAGAAGTTTCACAGGCTTCTTGTGTATCCACAAACACCCACCCCATTGAGAAGGCCTAGAAAACCTGGCCCTCCCCAAGCCTTTATTGACCACTTGTGAATGATCCCAGGGTGTGTCTGACCCACAGCTCCTCCTGGAGGGAGAGAAAAGTGTCTCCTAGGTACTTGGTTATCAACCTCAACCACTTGCTGAGCCTTCCCCAAGACCACCAGGCATCTTGGCAGAGATTTCTGGGTTGTCAGGCAGAACCGAGCATTCGAGGGTAATAACTCACTGGAGTCCCTGAAATCCCTGATGGACGCACCAGGTAAAAGCATCCAGGGTTGAAACCAGATCAGGAAGGTTGTTGTCAGCCTGGGGCTCCTGTAGAGGCGCATCCACGTTGCAGGGATTTTCCTTCTTGCTGAGGAGAAACCTGGTTTCTCAGCTTTGCCACAGTCACAACACTTGGGGTGAGACCATTCATGGTGGTGGTGGGGGGCCGTCCTGTGTATTGTAGGATGGTTAGCAGAATCTCTGGTCTCCATCCTCTAGGTGCCATTCTACCCTCCCAGCTATGGCTACCCCAGATGTCTCCAGTTGGTTTCAAATGCCGTGGGGCAAGGGAGTGGTACGTGAGCAAAACCAACCCAGTTGAGAGCCATTGGTCTACACTTGTGGGAATGTTTGAGGGTGAGAGTGTCGAGCTTGGGTCCCTGCTGTACCCTTTATGAGCAATGAGGTCTTGGAAAATTAATACTACTCCAGGGGCCTCAGTTTTCTCATCTATAAAATGGAGATAAATGAGATACACTTTCATAGGAAGGTTATATGGGATTTACTGAGATAATAAGACAGTACATGGAAAATACTGGGCATAGCATTTATTTATTTTTATTTTTTTTTAAGACAGAGTCTTACTCTGTTGCCCAAGCTGGAGTGCAGTGGCATGTTCTCCGCTCACTGCAACCTCCACCTCCTGGGCTCAAGTGATTCTCCTGCCTCAGGCTCCTGAGTAACTGGGACTACAGGCGTGCGCCATCATGCCCATCTAATTTTTGAATTTTTAGTAGAGACGGGTCTTCACCATGTTGGCCAGGATACTCCGATCTCTTGACCTCGTGATCTGCCCGCCTCGGCCTTCCCAAGTGCTGGGATTACAGGCGTGAGCCACCGTGCCTGGCCAAACATAAACTTACTTTCTTACATCTTCTGCTGAACTCTATTTGCTTCTTTTCCCAAATGTCTTTATCCAGAAGAGCTTTTAGCAACAAAGTTACCCAATGCCCTTCCCTAGTCTCTCCTTGCAACTGGCTCTCAGCAGGGGATGGGAGGAAATCCTTGACAGAACCAATTTACATGACTGTTTGGAGGACTCTCGCTAGCCCCAGGACGTGTTTGCATTTTTATATTGGTTACTAGTGTCAGAATGTTTCACGAGTAAGAGCACAGCCTCTATGCTGGATGCCCTGAATTTGAATCTCAGCATTGCCGCTTTGTATATAACCAGAGGATGGATTTGGGGACCCAATGGATCTACCATGACATGAACTTGCACCAACATTCACCTGACCTCCAAAATGCCTATTCTGACTGGTAGGCCCTAGTCTCACCCTAGTGCCAGTTCAGAGCCTGTGTCCAGTGATCCTGCACAAGTCTCTAGTTCCTTTTCTCCTGTTCAGTCATCCTGGTGAAAGGCTGGGTATTCCTTTGGGGGCAGGCTGGGAGAAAGATTGACAGTATAAATGTTTGGCAGTGGAGCAGAGTCCTTTCTAGAGGGGACCTGGCTTCCCATTCAGACAAGGGACTCCGGGTCTGTGAACTGGCTTATGTCTGGAAATTGACTGGGGACTGTGACTCTGTTTTTAGGATTCAGATTAGACTTCTGCTCACCTGACCTAGAACCCTTCTGCAAACACAGATCCAGTAAAAATGTGGCAGGCTTCTTATCTATTTCACTTCTAGGAATGCCACGATCAGCTGGCACCATAGGTCTCTGCGAGTCAGGCTATTCTGGTTGCAGCTTTGACTCTGCTGTCTTTTATGGTAACTGCATCCACCTTGCCTTTGGGGACTGAGTGCTCTGATCACTTGGTCCCAGCCCCTGTAGTGTGCCTATGTCAGTTATCCTCTTTATATCTCAGTCTCTTCCTCTTTAAAATGGGCATCGTAATAGCACCCACCCTCAGGGCTGCTGTGGGGTATAGATGGATTAGCATATGGAAAGTAATAGAAGAGGGTCTCAAAGTCCATGTGTCGTTATCAGAATTATTTCATGATAGGGAGAGCTGGAGGAGGGAGGAAGGTGCTGAGCAGACCCATGTGCTCTGCCACCAGTGTTTCCTGAGCACCTACTCTGTGCTGCCCACTGTGAGAGCTGTTAGGGTTGAAATAGGGAGCACAGCAGGGTAGGGGCTGCCATCAGGAGCTTAGTGGGGAGACCATTGTGCAACATGGTTCCAGCACTTGGGGTGGGGAAGCTCAGGGAGTACAGGGGCCTAGGATCCTGGGCAGAATCATGGAAAGGACACAGCCTCCCCAGCCTCTCCTGCCTCCTCTGCCTCCCTGGCCTCCTCTGTTTCTGTGGCCTCTCCTGCCTTCCTGGCTTCCCCTTCTACCCCGGCCTCCCCAGTCTCCCCTGTCTCTCCTGCTTTTGAGGTGGGCCAGGAGCTGCTGGTGCTCACTTAGCCTGTCCTGGACTCTGGGTGTAGCACCTCCATGTCCAGAAAATACCCCCGAGTTCAGCTCATCACACAGCCAAGGAAGGAGCTCCACACTGACACTAAGGGTGCATCCTGGGCTCATTCATCAGGGCATGCCTCCAAAATATTTCTCCACGTCTCCTCCCTTTGCCCACCTGCATTGTCTCTGTGCCTCAGCCCCGGCTGGGGGCCTGCAAGGATTCCCTATCTCCTCTGCCCCTGCACGGCTGGGTCCAAGGCCATCTGTCCACCCACCACACCTCTCTCACCTTGCACACCACGCTCCAGCCCCACCGTCCTCTTTCTGCTTCTTTCCCAGCCTCTGGGCTTTTGCACACGCTGTTCCCTCTGCCTGAACACCCTCCACTGGGCTGAGAACAACCTCTGAGACTTCTCTCAGCTGTTGCTTCCTTTGGAACAGCCGCTGCTGCTGTCCCTCTCCCAGCTCCAAGACCTGCTGAGCCTCCTGTCTTTTTTAGTTCCCATGCACCCAGCACTTCTCCTTGGCCTCCTTTGGCCCAATTGACAATGTCCATTCTCAATGCCTTCTCACCCAGCGCTGAGCCCCACTGGGTGAAGGCAATGCCTGTCATGTTCACCACAATATCCCCTCCCCCATCACCACGCCTGGTCCACAGTGATGCTCAGAAAAGATCTGTTGGTAGGCAATGGGAAGGTGCATTCATGTCATCCTGCAGGCGGAATTCTCCACGAGTTTTGAGCAGCCTCGGTTTTCCTACCACCTCCAAATCATGGAAGACACAGGGTAAGAGCAAAGACAAGGTGGCTGTGGCCGATGTCCACCCTCTCGGGGCGTCCCTTCTCTTCTCTCCTCCTTGGGCAGGGAGTCCATCGGGGTGCAACCTGGCTGGGGTGGGGAGGAGGTGCAGGGCCTGGTCAGAGCGGGCATGGCCACAGGCAGGAGACAGCGACTGCTTGGTCCGGGGCAGGTGAGCGCAGCGCAGGCCAGGGCCCTACCTGTCCACGGTGCGCGCGAGCGGCCAGCAGAGGGCGCCAGAGGACCACGAGCGGCCCGCGGAGGAGTCCGCGCCGGCCCCGATGCCCAGCTCCGCGCCGCGCGGACCCACCGAGCCCGCGCTCAGACGCCCCAGCTCCGCCGAGAGGCCGCTCGCTCCGGGTCCTTCCTCTTCCCCAGGTGCAGGCAGAGCCCCCGGGGCCATGGCCAGCCCTTCCGGCAGCTCCGAAGCCCCTGGCAAGCCCCGAGGCAGGGATGGCCGGCCCAGGAGGGAGGAGGACGACGTCCCTCCCGAAGAGAAGAGGCTGCGGCTCTTGCTGGAGGGGGGAAGCGCACAGCCCCAGGACTGCGAGGACGGGCAGGACGCGCCGCGGTCGGCCAGGAAGGAGACCGGCACCCAGACAGGTGGCGACGGCAGAGGAGTAAGTGACGCGGGCGCGGGGGTCCCGGGGTGCCGGGGGCGCAGGGTAGGGGCGGCGGGAGGCCCCGTGGCCTGCCCTGGGTTGAAGTTGGTAATTGAGCGGCAACTCCGGCGGGCGCGGAGTGACAGCTCGTGTCGGCCTCCGAGACGCCAGCTGCCCCTTCTCGGCTGTGTGGCTTCGACTTCCTGATTCTCCCACGACGTCCCTGGCCGGGAGACGCGCTGGACTCTGCAGCTAGCCAAAAGGGGAGGGGGAGCCCCGCGTCCTGGGGGCCCCTAGCAGGGGAAGGGCCGGGGGTTGCGCTGAGCCGCCTGTCTGGGGCATCTGTCTGGGACTCTGCCGGTGCCTCTCACCTGGCGAGGGGCCTGTGGTGGGGGTAGGGGGGAAGTCCCTGGCGCCAGGCTTGGCCAAGCCCTGCTCTGCTGGGCTGCGGGCTGGCGGCGCTCACCCAGCTCCTCACCTGTCCCGCATCTTCCTGTTTTTCTTCCCTTTCTGGTTGGGCAGCGAGAGTTGAGAGGAGGCAGATGGCTTCCATCCCAGAAATCGCTCTCCTCTTTCCATCCCTACAGAGAGGGACAGAGAGGCAAAGTTCCTTGCATCCCCCGGGGCACTGTCCCTGTGAGCTCCCGGTGTCCTGCACATGTGAGCCCCTGAGTCAGCGGGCCTGTGAGTGTGGGATGGGGCTCCGTGGCCAGCCTGGCCTCCTGGGGTTCACTTTCTGCTTTCCTACGCCAACTCTTCCTGTGTGGTTTTGCTGGCCTTCCACTGAGGAGGCACATAGGTTTGGAGGACAGATGAGGGCCCACTGGAGAGCTGTACCCCTCAGTGAGGTCCGCCACCTTGATGGTTTTTGATGGATAATGGGGTTGACCTCTTGGTTCCTTCCACATGTTTTTATGTTTGACCATTTGCTCAGCTGAGCTTGTCTTAATAATTGGATTCGTGGTTAATGAGCCCCACATGGGCGAGAGGGCGGCCTTCATTCTGAACCCATTTAGGCAGCACGGGCAGCCCTCCTCGCCGTGGGCTGCATCAGAGCCCCCCCTGCCCAGTCTTGGGGTTGCTCATGGTGACATCCTCATCTCCCCGTGCACGTTACCGCATTCAGAGCTTGGGTCACCTGGACACTGAACTCAGGCGAATTTTCTCTGAGATCCCGGGAGAAGGAGGACAGTTCTTTGGAAGGTTTTCCAGGGCCGATCACGGAAAGGATGAGAAGGGAGAGGTCCTGGTCGGGGACACAATTACAATGGCAGTGTAACGCCGGGAAACTTCATTGCATGAAGTCCTTCTCACTCCCTCTACCTACCTCTTTTACGTGGACTCTGCCAAAGACCAGGATACCACAATGCAGTGGAGTGACCAAGTGTAGTGGGACCTTGGGAACCCGAGTCTGGAGCCAGGCGGCTGGGGTTTGCATCCTGGTTCTGCCCCTCCTTAGCTGGCTGACATGGCACAAGCCACTTACCCTCTCTGAGCCTTACTGTCTTCAGTGGCAAATGGATTTGCCAACAGGCCCCATTGCCTGGGGTTGTTACTGCTGAGATTAAGGGATGCTCGTCCATAGAAGCACTTAGCGTTGTGCCTGGCACATAGTGTATGGTGGATAAATGGGACTTAGGACTAAAACTCATGCCTTGGTGTGTTTTTGCAGTGATGTTTTGTTCTGGGGTGCATCACAAGAGACAAGGTTCCTGGCCGGGCATGGTGGCTCAAGCCAATAATTCCAACACTTTGAGAGGCCGAAAGGGGAGGATCGCTTGAGCCCAGGAGTTTAAGACCAGCTGGGCAACATGGCGAAGCCTCATATCTACCAAAAAAAAAAAAAAAAAAAAAAAAAAAAAAAAAAAAAGCCAGGTATGGTGGTGTGTGCCTGTAGTCCCAAGTACTTGGGAGGCTGAGGTGGGAGGATTACTAGAGCCTGGAAGGTCGGGCTGCAGTGAGCTGTGATCATGCCACTGCACTCCAGCCTGGGTGACAAAGTGAGACTCTGTTTCAAGGAAAAGAGAGAGAGACAGACAGACCCACAAGAGTCTTAAGCCAGAATCTTCATGTTAAAATGCCTTCTGGAGGCTAAAAGGATGATATGTTGATAATGAAATATTTAAAAGGCAGAAACCCCACTGAATTGTTTGGTCCACAGAGGGAAATGGGAATCGCATGACCTGAAGGATGATGGAGGAACTGAACAGAAACCATCCTTGTTTCCTGAATCTGAACATGGCACCCTCTTTTCACGGTGTCTGTATCTGCTCAGTCCGGCGGCCCCTCGAAAAGAGGGAATCTTGATTTTCAAACTTAAAATTTGGCCCAAAGCCCACTGCTGCCCACAATGCCCGTCAGACACATTCCTCTTCCTTTTTAGTTTCTATGGGAATACTCTCTTTGAAGAACCCATGAAGCAGTGTCAGGCTGGTACGAGGATCAGCAGTGATTTCTTTGAGGAGGAGATCCGTTTCTTCACTCACAGGTCATGTCTGAGTGGATCAAGAAGAACAGAGGGCCCTTTTATGAGATTTTGTCTGCGTAGACCATTAGCTTGGTAAAAATGTCAAAACCATCCTCATTCTTTAATAGCAGATTATTTTGGACTTTTCTCTGCAAGAAGCAGCATGGGCATTCAGATGCGTTTAAGGATAAAATGTTCTTTCTCATCACCAGGCCTGGTGCTCTGGATGGCTGAGGTTTTAATGTGACTTGGTGTTCCTTGGAGTGGCTCCCAGGCTGTGATCTTGTGGTCGGGTGGCAAGGGGTTGCTTTATTCGGTGATGGCTAGAGGATGTTTTAGCAGGTAAATCGGGATCTCAGGAGCCCCTGAGTGCCAAGTCCTGCTGCAGGGCATGTGTTTATGGTGGGGATGTGGGGGCGTGGAGGGTGGGGGGTATTGATTTCCTGCCAATATCAGAAGTTTCACAGGCTTCTTGTGTATCCACAAACACCCACCCCATTGAGAAGGCCTAGAAAACCTGGCCCTCCCCAAGCCTTTATTGACCACTTGTGAATGATCCCAGGGTGTGTCTGACCCACAGCTCCTCCTGGAGGGAGAGAAAAGTGTCTCCTAGGTACTTGGTTATCAACCTCAACCACTTGCTGAGCCTTCCCCAAGACCAGGCATCTTGGCAGAGATTTCTGGGTTGTCAGGCAGAACCGAGCATTCGAGGGTAATAACTCACTGGAGTCCCTGAAATCCCTGATGGACACACCAGGTAAAAGCATCCAGGGTTGAAACCAGATCAGGAAGGTTGTTGTCAGCCTGGGGCTCCTGTAGAGGTGCATCCACGTTGCAGGGATTTTCCTTCTTGCTGAGGAGAAACCTGGTTTCTCAGCTTTGCCACAGTCACAACACTTGGGGTGAGACCATTCATGGTGGTGGTGGGGGCATCCTGTGTATTGTAGGATGGCTAGCACCATCCCTGGTCTCCATCCTCTAGGTGCCATTCTATCCTCCCAGCTGTGGCTACCCCAGATGTCTCCAGATGGTCTCAAATGCTGTGGGGCAAGGGAGTGGTACGTGAGCAAAACCACCCCAGTTGAGAGCCATTGGTCTACACTTGTGGAAATGTTTGAGGGTGAGAGTGTCAAGCTTGGGTCCCTGCTGTACCCTTTATGAGCAATGCAGTCTTGGAAAATTAATACTACTCCAGGGGCCTCAGTTTTCTCATCTATAAAATGGAGATAAATGAGATACACTTTCATAGGAAGGTTATATGGGATTTACTGAGATAATAAGACAGTACATGGAAAATGCTGGGCATAGCACTTATTTATTTTTATGTCTTTTAAAGATGGAGTCTTACTCTGTTGCCCAAGCTGGAGTGCAGTGGCATGATCTCTGCTCACTGCAACCTCCACCTCCTGGGCTCAAGTGATTCTCGTGTCTCAGCCTCCCGAGTAGGTGGGATTACAGGTGCCCACCACTACACCTGGCTAATTTTTGTATTTTTAGTAGCGATGGGGTTTCACCATGTTGGCCAGGCTGGTCTCAAACTCCTGACCTAAGGTGATCCGCCTGCCTCGGCCTCCCAAGGCGCTGAGATCACAGGTGTGAGCCACCACGCTGGGCTGGGCATAGCATTGTAACACAGGGAAAGCACAAAATACTTGGGCAATATCTTTTTACATTTGGCTTGTCTAGACTCCATCCTCCATCCCCTCATGCACTGGTGTGGTGCAGACCAGAATATCACCCACCTAGACTGCAGAGTGGATTTGGGTGGCATGTTGGCTTTCTGTACAAGACTTGCCTGTTCCCCACCACATCCCCCTGGTTCTCAGGGTCCAGGATTCCAGGAAGCAGGGATGTGGGCAGGCAGGGTAGGTGGCCCACCCAGTTCACTCCCATGCTGGGGACCTGCAGAGCTGGCTGTCTGAGACAGGGTGTTTGGACCAACATCTGGGTTTCTGGATTTCCATTTGAGCACAGCTGGACTACACAGGCTGAAGCTCTCTCTGCCGAGATATAGATATTTCCCTGGTGACGATCTTTCAAGCTGACATGAAGACATGGCCACCCACTGGAACGTCGTGTGTCTGCCGTGGCGCTCTTGTAATTTGTGAGGCAGGCTCCTGAGGAATGCAGTGCGTAAGTGGGAAATGGTGGGAAGTTCTCGCATCCCCCCCCGGGCCGAAAGTGCTGCCTGCACAGGTTGGTGGATGGTCCTTTGAGCAGGAAGAAGACATGAAGCACATTCCTGTTAGCTACGACAGAGAGGGGCAGGGCACACACTGGACATTTCAAGCCCCTCCAGAAAAGCAAGTCTTACTGTGCTGGGAGTACTTGTGGAGTGCGGGCTGTGTTGCCCTGGGCTTTAATTATTTCAGGAACATTTAACCACAGGGTTGGCAGGCCGGATCTTGATACGTGTTTCTTAGTTGGAAAGACTTTGGACCATAGGGAAATGTCTTCTCAATTCTTTTAATTTCATTAAGGTTATCATTTTTCTTCTTGTGGCCTCTGGAATGTGACACAGAACTCAAGAGACAGGAAGGAAATGAGTTGAAGGCTGGGACAGGGGTCCCTGCCAGGGATGCTGGTGACTCACATGACGGTGTTGATGTGTGGAGTCCGGTGCCTGGTTTGGGGAGTGTTCATGGGATATGTTCCAAAGGACTGACGGACCTATCAGGTACTGGAGGTGAATGGTCAAGTCTGATCTCAGGGCTGACAGTGTCAGGCAAGGACAGGAAGTTGACGTTGGACTCATTGGCTGAGGTTGCTTGGGACCCAGGGAGCAACGTGTGCCAGGACAGATGGGTCTGGGGCTAGGAAGGCAGGTTTGGGCTGGAGACTTGGGCTTGGGACGCATCCCAGGTAGACAGTGGTTGAGGCTGTGGAAATGACCATGATTGCCTGGGATGAGAGTGGAGACGGACAAGATGGCGGTTTTGCTCTAAGCCTGGGGAACCCACCTCCCAGGTTCAAAGGATTCTCCTCCCTCAGCCTCCCAAGTAGCTGGGAATGCAGGTGCGCGCCACCATGCCCGACTAACTTTTGTATTTTTAGTGGAGATGAGGTTTGGCCAGGCTGCTTTCAAACTCCTGACCTCAAGTGATCGGCCCACCTTGGCCTCCCAAAGTGCTGGGATTACAGGCATGAGCTACCATGCCTGACCATTTTTCAATATTAATTTTTATGAAATATTTTCAAACACATTTTACTGTACATTGGAAAAGTCAATCATGATTTGAAAACTTTATCAAAATCCAATCAAATGTCAATTAACCATTTAATTGTGGATGAGTAAGGAGACTATTTTGACCAAAACATGTTAGAACAATTACCACTTATAGAAATAATCTATGTTTTAATGTTTTAGTTGAATTAAACAATCTTTTATATTCTGTCCAGGCACAGTGGCTCACACCTGTAATCCCAGCACTTTGGCAGGTCGAGGCTGGTGGATCACCTAAGGTCAGGAGTTCGAGACCAGCCTGGCCAACATGGCGGAACTGTCTCTACTGAAAATACAGAAATTAGCCAGGTGTGATGGCACACACCTGTAATCACAGCTGCTTGGGAGGCTGAGGCAGGAGAATCATTTGAACCTGGGAGACAGAGGTTGCAGTCAGCCGAGATCGCACCAATGCACTTCAGCCAGCCTGGGTGACAGAGTGAGACCCTGTTTCAAAAATAAATAAATAAATAAAATAGAATTCTGAATTTTATTTTTAATAATTATTTTCTAAAAAGAATGTCTTGTTTTCTGGAGCTGTTGAATTTATTGAATTGACAAAAATTATGTACAAGAGGGTACAACATGATGAGATTGAAGTATGTATACATTACAAAATGGCTAGATCAAGCTAAATAACATATCACCTCCCAGACTTATTTTTTTATGGTGAGAACACTTAAAAAATCTACTCTCTTAGTGATTTCCAAGTGTATGATATGTTGTTATTAACTATAGGTACCATGTTGTCCCATGGATATCCTGAACTTATTCTTCTTCTCTAAAAATGACATTCTGTGTCCTTTGGCATCTGCCCACTTCCCCACCCTGGCAACCATCATTCTACTCTGCTTCTGTGAACTCAACTTTTTTCTTTTCTTTTTCATTCTTTTTTTTTTTGAGACAATCTCATTCTATTGCCCAGGCTGTAGTGCAGGGGTGTGATCTTGGCTCACTGCAGCCTTGAATTCCCAAGCTCAATCAATCCTCCCACCTCGGCCTCCTGAGTATCTGGGAGTACAGGCATGCACCACCATGCTCCACTAATTTTTGCATTTTTTTGTAGAGATGGGGTCTTGCTATGTTATGCAGGCTGGTCTCGAACTCCTGGGCTCAAGCAATCTGCCGGCCTCAGCCTCTCAAAGTGCTGGGATTACAGGCATGAGCCACCATGCCTGGCCGAGTTCAACTTTTTTAGATTTCACATATAAGTGAGATCATGTGGTATTTGTCGTTTTGTGCCTGGCTTATTTCACTTAACATAATATCCTCCAGGCTCATCCATGTTTTCTCAAATGGCAGGATTTACTTCTTTTTGAAGGCTGAATAGTATTCCATTGTGTACGTACACTACATTGTTGCTGGAAGTGTAATGGAGGCCAGTTGGGGGAGGAGGGGGAAAAGATTCACTCTAAGTATAGATGCTCCAGCACCCACCCAGGTTGTGTGCAAGGAAGTGCAGGATGCTCCTGGTCTTGCAAACTGTGGTTTGTGGGACTCCAAAGCCCCTATCCTTCCACAGTGCTTTCTGTCTTGTTATCACATTTCCTTGGAGGAGAGCCCAGCCTTGGTGGAGAGCCCTGCTCTGGCTTTGTCCCTCGGCATGAGATGGCAGAGGATGGTGCTGCTGGGAGACCCTCACGTCTGCACACTGGGGGCTGCTTGCCTTCTCCATTCCTCCTTCAAGTATCTGAGCAGCTCCTGTGTGCCAGCTGCTGGTCTACAAGATGGATGGGTCCTTGGAGATCACGCTGTAGCAGAGGAGGCAGGCTGTAGCCCACACGCCACAACCAGCCCCCTGCCTGTTCACACAAATAAAGTTTTATTGGCACACAGTCACACCCATTTCAGTGCATATTGTCTGTGGCTGCTTTCCTGCTACAATGGAGAGTTGAATAGTTGGGACAGAGACCTATGGCCTGCAAAGCTGAACTATTTACCATCTGGCTCTCAAGAAAAGGGGAAAATATGCTTATCTTTGTACCCCGACAGTCTTAGATTAAGAGGACTTTGTACCACCCTGACGTCCCAGGTGGCCATGAGTCCAGCCACCGCTGAAATGTACGCAAGTCTGGGCTAGGGTTGCAGCAGGTGAGGCCCAATTTTGCAGGTCTTTGGCATCAGGGGCACAACCCAGGATTTTGAGTGGGGTTTCCTCACCACTGTGGCTGGGCACTGGGCTAGTGTGCTTTCTGATTTTTGTATGGGGAAGAGAAAGGAGGGAGGAAATGGCCACTTGTTGCCCTGTTCTAACGTTTTCCTAAGATGGGTCTCCAGGCAAGGGCTTGGGATCTCCCCTTGCACAGCTTACAAAACCCAGTGAGGCCGGCTGTCTTGGCGCTGCCACTCTGAGGGATGGAGCCCCCAAATTCCTAGGAAGGGAGATAAAAGAATGGTTTCTGCAAGCACAAGAAGTGGCGTTATTGAAATTAGCATTTCCCCCAAGTTTTATAATGTCTAGGCATGCATATTTAAGTGTCTGTCTCAAAAGCTCTTGCTAATAACAAGATGGTGCATTTAATTTCCTTTTTTTGTTCTCTGAGCAACATGCAGCTTCCTGCACAGCCCTCCTTGCAGGCAACTGCACTGAGGTGACAGTCCTCCTGACTGCCAGCACAGATCCCCAGGGCCTCTGACAGCCCTGTATTCTGGGGGCAGCCTTTCCCCCTTCTATTTGGCCCCAGCTGGAAGGGGGCAGGTCACCCACAGCCCAGCACAGGGCTCCTGCCTTAGCTTCTCTAGGGAGTCTGGCTCCCTCTGACCCTCTAGACCTCACCAGCTGAGGATCAGAGCCCCGGGGCAGGAGCCAGGGCCAGGGGGCATTGGGGGGTGGTTTGAGAGTGCAGCTCTGGAGGGGGGCAGGGCGGGCCCAGGAAAAGCTGCTCAGGGGAGACTGCAAAGAGATGGCAGAGTTAGGACAAGAGGGCCAGGCATGGTGGCTCACACCTGTAATCCCAGCACTTTGAGAGGCCGAGGTGGGCAGATCACCTGAGGCCAGGAGTTTGAGACTAGCCTGGCCAACATGGTGAAAACCTGTCTCTACTAAAAATACAATAATTAGCCGGACATGGTGAAACCTATAATACCAGCTACTCGGGAAGCTGAGCCACGAGAATTGCTTGAACCCCGAAGGTGGAGGTTGCAGTGAGCTGAGATTGTGCCACTGTACTCCAGCCTGGGCAACAGAGCAAGATTCCATCTCAAAAAAAAAAAAGTCAGGACAAGAGGAGGAGGGAAGAGAAGGGAGCTGTGGGGCAGCAGCCAGGACCTTAAAGGCACAGAAGAGGAAGCTTGGATTTCCAATTCCAAAGGACATGAAGTCACACAACTTTATTTAACCTGCTCCAGGTGAGGCTGGGCTTTGTGTATTTTCCTTGTTTTCCTTTTCCTTGTGTTCAGGCTGTTGTGGAAACAGGTACACAGGGGCTCTGTGTGGCACCCTGTTCTGGTGGCCTTCAGGAAGCATGGGGTGCCCTGGGTTCCTTGGCTTCATAACCCCCTTTCCTCCTGCCATCCCTGACTGTGCCCCCCACCTTATCCCTCAGGCCATCCTCCTGGAGGGGACTGGCCAGGGCTTGTGTCCTTGCTAGTCTCTAGGAAGGAAGACTCTGTGGCTTGAAAGCTTGTCGGCTTAAGTTGCAAGGTGTAGGTGCCTGAGAGGGCATGTGCACAGCCCTCTTCACTGATCCATTCATGTTTTTCTTTTTTGACTCTTTTCTATGTTGTCCTGATGGAGGGGTAAGCCCCTGCCTTCTGCCTTTCCTGCCTTGGACTCTTGCAATAGGACCAGATGAGAGGGTCCATGTGGTCTGAGAATTCAAGCAATGCAGGCCAGGCATGGTGGCTCACACCTGTAATCCCAGCACTTTTGGAGGCCAAGGCGGGTGGGCCAAGAGTTCGAGACCAGCTTGGCCAAAATAGTGAAACCCTGTCTCTACAAAAAATACAAAAGTTAGCCAGGTGGTGCGCACCTGTAATCCTAGTTATTTGGGAGGCTGAGGCAAGAGAATCACTGTATCCCAGAAGGAGCAAGTTGCAGTGAGGAGCAGGTTGCAGTAAGGAGAAGGTTGCAGTGAGCAGGAGGTTGCAGTGAGCCGAGATTGTGTCCCTGGACTCCAGACTGGGCAATAGAGCGAGACTATGTTTCCAAAAAAAAAAAAAAAAATTATATAGAAAACAAAAAACAAAACATCCTCTCGACTTGCTTTTCTTGATCTTGCTTCTCAGAGGTAACACTGGGAAGCGTTGGGGTATACCTCTCCACACCTTTTTCTTTGATTTCTTTTTATTTTTTATTCTACGTTCTGAGATACATGTGCAGAATGTGCAGGTTTGTTACATAGATATACATGTGCCATGGTGGTTTGCTGCACCTGTCAACCCGTCATCTAGGTTTAAGCCCTGCATGCATTAGGTATTTGTCCTAACGCTCTCCCACCCCTTGTCCCCCACCCCCGACGAGCCCCGGTGTGTGATGTTCCCCTCCCTGTGTCCATGTGTTCTCATTGTTCAACTTCCACTTATGAGTGAGAACCCGCAGAGTTTGGTTTTCTGTTCCTGTCCACACCTTTTTCCTCTGTGCATGCAAGCACATGTATTTGCACGTAAGTGTTTATTGTAACCTTTTTTAAAAAGTAAAAACGGAATAATGCTGTATTTATTCTTTGGAAAGCCTGCTTTTCAGGCAGCGTGTCTTTGACATTGTCTCCCATTGGAACCTGGGAACCACCTTCTTCTCCCAGCAGTTATTCTGATGTGTGGATGCACCTTGCTTCGTTTAACCAGCCCTGCAGCGATACGTCTGTGGATGGTTTCCGCCTTTTCCCAGTCACAGACGGTGTTCTGATGAATTTCCTCGCACACATCACTTGGTGCTCTGTGTCTGCGTTTCTGTGGGATGTTCCTGGAGGTGGGCTGTCTAGGTCAGAGGGGGATCTGTGCTTAATTTGCATCCTGTGCAAAATTCCATCCAGTCATCTGGCTCCCCAAGGGCTCACATGGTACTGTCCTCTGTAGACATCATCTTCTGCAGATGATGGCACGACCGCCTCTCTTTTACTCACACCAGTCTGCACCCTGGTGTCCTGGGGGGTCCAGCCCCTACCTGCTTGTCTGCCCCCACCCCACAGTCCCCCCAACCCCTGCTAACAGGGACTCTGGCTTCTGAGCTCTGGCAGACTGCCTCACTCTGGAGAAGTTTGCTTTCTCAAACATTCCTGGCAATGTTACTGCAAATCTCGAGGCCTGCATTTGCCTTCTTCAGGCCTCAGTTTCCTCAAAAGTAAAATGGGGATAATGTGATGCTACTGTCTGCATCCTAGAGCTGCCATGAGGGTTCAGTGAGATCAGTGTTGAGAGCACGTTCACAGCGCCGGCCTTGTGCGCAGTCAGCACGTGTGGGGCAGGGCTGTTGCTGATACGTGGTTGACTGTCATTGCTAGACTGTGGCTTTACCAGGGGCATTGTCTTTAGTGCCGAGCCCAGAGCCACCCCAGTACCTGCTGTGTTTATAGAGTGATTGAGTGTCAGGGTCAGAGACTGGGGCAATGGCAGCAGAAACAGAGGAAAGAAGTGGGGCTTCTAATAGGTCCTGGACCAGTGGCCTTCTTGCCAAGGTCTGGGGCTGTGCTGTGTGTTCTAGGCCCGAGACTGGAAGCTAGGCCTGGCTGCAGCCCCGGCTTAGCTGGGGAAGTGCAGGTCAGCATCCTGCTTCTTTAGGACACCTCCAAGCCCAGCTTAGACGTGGATGCCAGGTGACCCTCTGTTTGCTCTGAGCCCAGACAGAGGACAGGGAAGTGTGCAAGGGTGGGGACCCTCATCACAGCCCTTGACTCTGTAAGGCATATGGGTTTGTGTGCATGTGTGAGCACGGCCGTGGCTTCTCTGTGAGTTTCAAGCTCGAGGTTGTGTTTACACGGGGTTAGGCTTGCCAGTTAAAATACAGGAAGTCCAATTAAACCTGAATTTCTCATTAACCTTTTTTTTTTTTTTTGGTGCAAATATATCCCATGCAATATTTGGGACCTGCTTACCCTAAAAAATGATTTGTTGTTTATCTGAAATTCAAGTTAAACTGGCATCCTGTCTTTTCACTTGCTACGTATGAGAGTTCCGTGTGGGGGTTATCAGTGTGCATTTGTGAGTTCCAATGTGAAGGACCCTCTCCAAGTGTCTGTAGGTGCCAGGATGGAGATGGACAGAGAAGATCCTCTCGGGCTGCTTTGGTGGCAGGTAGAGGCTGTGGGGTTGGACACTTCAGCCCAGGGGCCTAGGCAGCACTTTCCAGCACCTGTGTGCTCCTGTCTTCTTCATGGGGGCTGACTTCCCTGCCATCTCTCTCCAAATACGGTGGCAAGAGCTATCCCATCCGCCCCCATCTGGAGCTCGGCTGCCCAGCCAGACAAGATGGCAAACAGTGTGCAGATGGCTGCAAAGCTTTCCCCAGCTCCTTCTGCAAGGGTCCTGCAGATGAAATGGAAGCCCTCATCCTCACCGCCTCCCCCTTCCAGAAAACCCAGGCAACAGCCACCTCTGAATGCTGCTTTAGATGCTTCTCCCTCCTGGTGATTAAACCACCCCAAACAAATAAAGCACTGCATTTCTACCATAGGCTTGTTCACATGCATGCAGCCGATTGTCTTGGATGCGCCCGTGTGCCTGATTCATCAGGGTGAGGGGTTCTCCTCTGAGGTGCTTGCAGAGAGCTGCTTGCAAAGAGCTGCTTAATTTTCATCTGAAAGACTCTCTGTAGAAACCAGGCCCAGCTTTGGAAGAAAGCCGTTTATCCCCCTTTAGCAAATTCTGTGTCATTCTTTTTTTTTTCTTTCTTTTTTGAGACGGAGATTCACTTTTGCTGCCCAGGCTGGAGTGCAATGGTGCAATCTCGGTTCACTGCAGTCTCTGCCTCCCGGGTTCAAGCGATTCTCCTGCCTCAGCCTCCTGAGTAGCTGGGACTACAGACACCCACAACCATACCTGGCTAATTTTTTTGTATTTTTAATAGAGAAGGAGTTTCACCATGTTGGCCAGCCTGGTCTCGAACTCCTGACCTCAGGTGATCCACCTCGGCCTCCCAAAGTGCTCGGATTACAGGTGTGAGCCACCATGACTGGCTGGAATTCTGTGTCATTCTGGATACTTATCATGACTTCAAGCATCCAGGACTCTGTCCTGGATATCCTGAGCCTGAGGCTGTATGTGTGTCCAGCTGGCTTGGAGGTTGTCTACAGGCAGGTTGAACTTGGCCTCTGAGTCCATGGCAGCCTCACATGGGAAATACCACCAAGGAGCTTCATCCTGTGCTTTTAGGAGATAGTTTCTATTTAGTCATTGCTGAATCTGTTACAGACAGTGTCTCAATTTCTTGCAAGTCCTGTATGAGGTGGGTGCTGTGATTATCCACATGTTCACTTGTTCTCTCTGGCCTCTTTCAGGCTCTTGCACTTCCTTTGCTCTTTTCCTGCCACGGGGCCTTTGCACATCCTGCTCTTTCTGCCTGGAAAGATTTTCCCTGTCCCTACCCGTTCACCTGGTCACAGTCTCATCTGACAGTGGAGTCACTACATCCTCTGGGACGCCTGACCACACTGACTCAGTCACAGCAACCCCCTGTTATCTGCTTTCATGACACCAGGTGTCATGAGCTCAGCTACGGCTTCCTATTTCTGTGCGTGTCATCCTTCCCCTTCAAGACTGTGGTCACCGTGAGGGCCAGGGCCATGCCTGTTCCTGATTCTCATTTGTGTCTCTGGTGTTTAGTATATGCTTACCTAGAATTTGATTAATGAATGACGGCATACTCATTTTACAGGTGAGAAAGTTGAGGCTCAGGAACATTATGTAACTTGCTCAGTATTAGATGGTGATGGTTTGAAGCCATCTGGCTGGTCGCTGGGTGCACACTCTTAACCACTTCACTATGGTTCTTTCTCTTAGTAGTTCTCCAACAGCAGGAGTGAGAGACAACTTTAGGACAGGCGTAACCAGAATCCCAGGGGTTATCCTAGAAGGTGGTGTCAGGAACATGCTTGCCTATGGGCCTTCTTACTGTATTGCATAAAATACCCTGTTTTTCTGACTTGCCTTTAGTAAAGACCTTAGCAATATTTGAAGCACAGTTGTCAGTAGGAAAGGGTGGGTGTTTATACTTTTTTAAAAAGGAGTCTATATCATATTTATCTTGTGGTCTGCCATGCCCCCCAATCTTCTTCAGCTTCAGTTATGCAAAATTCACACTTCTTCTCTTTACTGCCTCTCTCTTACCTGTTCAGTTTCTTTTCTGTGTTCGAGATTGCTTAGAATTTTTTCCCCACTACGACAGCCTGTTTCCCACCTGTATCCCGCAGCCAGCTTGTTCTGGATTTTGTCAACAACAGTTCCAGCGTTTAGTGAGGGCTGGACTGAAGGAAAGCCTTAGAAAAGGCTGTGTGATGAAAGATGAAGATACCTAATGAGCAGGCAGTCATCAGGGTTAATTCAAAGGCTGGAAGAAGGGCTGACCCGGAGGACTGGAAATGTCTTTGAGCTGAAGGTCATGTGCAGGTGGAATGAAGAGGGTGAGCCTTTTGGGGCAAACTGCAAGTATTTGATAATATCCCTGTCCTCATGGTTGGGGAAATCTTGATAGGCATCCTCAATGTGATGGAGGGATTAAGGAACCCGTGGCTCTACCTGTCCAGCATGGCAGCAACATGACACAGCCAAGTTATTGATTATTGGTTGCCCAGCTCTCATCACTCAACATCTTCTGTTAGTTATAGCTGTAATTTGCATTAGTTGTCAATGCCAGTTTTGACTTTCCTAGTCAATAAAGTGTTCTGAGAGTGGCGACTAAGGCTGAGCACTACCCATAATCATGAGTATTACAGAGGCAAGCCCCCTTGCCCACCCACCTGCAGGTGATGACACACCCTAGGAAATCACTCAATTCTTTGGAGGACCTTGAATAAAGGCTCAAGTCCATCTGTTCATCTGTCCGTCCATCCATCCACCATTCCGTCCATCCATCCATCCATCCATCCATCCATCCATCCATCCATCCATCCAGACATGCATACATCCATCCACCCACCTACCCATCTATCCACCCGCCCACCCACCCATCTATCCATCCAGCCCACTCTCTTATGCACCCAGCTATCATCCACCTACCCACCCACCAACCCATCTATCCATCCACTCACCCATGCACCCATTCACTCATCTATCCATCTATCCACCCACCCGTCCACCCATTTATCTATCCCTCCACCCCCTCAACCACTCATCCATTTCTCCACCCACTCAGCCATCCCTTCACCGACTCAACCACCCATTCATTCATTCACCTGCCCACCCACCCATCTTTCCATCCACCCATCTATCCACCCACCCACCTATGTATCCATCCACTGCTTGTCCTTCTGTTCATTTATTCCACAAAGACTCATTAACCACCTACTAGATTCTGGGGAGGTATCTGCTCCAGTAGTTGAGAACATGGTTTCTGGAATCTGATTCCCTGAGCTCAAATTGAGCTGCCTCCTAGCTAGCTGCTTGGGTAAGTTATAGAAACTGTGCTTTGATTTTCTTATCTGAAAATTGGCTATTAATAGCTTCTACTCTTGCAGATATAGTGAGGATTAAATAAGATGTCACGTTAAAAGTGCATCATCGACACTCAATAGAGATTAGGTTTTACCATTCATTATTATTCTTAGCAGATGCTGCAGATAACGTGGAGAGCATATGAAAGACACATGTTTGAACCAATAGTGACATACAGGTGCTAAGTTCTGCAGTAGGGGAAGGGCAGAGAGCCATGGAGAAGGCCTGGCCCAATCCTGGAGCCTCAGAAAAAAGTTCCCCGTTGAATTGCTGTTTTAGCTGAGACTTCTGGGATGGGTAGTAGTTGGAGATCCCAGACAGGAGGTGACCGAGTTAGCCAGGGAAAAATTGGGTCCTGGCACCCATGGCAGAGTTGAGTGATCCAGTCCTTCTGTCTCCTCTGGCTGGAAGTCCACCAGATCTGGGAATGTCCAGTTGGGGGAGGGGGCTGACAATGATCATGACCTTCACCTGTCCTCACATGTCCTCTGTGTATCTGCAAAGCCTCTGCCTCAGTCTCCTCTTCTGGAAAGTGGGATTGGAAACCACATCTGCTTCTCTCCCAGGACTGCTAGGAAGACAAGATTAGATGGCAGGTGAGAGCTCTTTGAAAATGAAAACATTCTGCTATTTGAATGCAAAGTGTTCTTCTTTGCCTGTGATGTTTCCTAACCTGTGAAATCACACTGGACCTCGAAGCTGTCTATTAAAAAAAAATAGCAAAGTGGCTGGGCATGGTGGCTCATGCCTGTAATCCTAGCACTTTGAGAGGCTGAGGGGGGTGGATCACTTGAGGCCAGGAGTTCGATACCAGCCTGGCCAATATGTGAAACCCCATCTCTACTAAAAATACAAAAATTAGCCAGGTGTGGTGGCATCTGCCTGTAGTCCCAGCTACTCGGGAGGCTGAGGCACAAGAATCATTTGAGCTCAGGAGGCAGAGGTTGCAGTGAGCCGAGATGGCACCACTGCACTCCAGCCTGGGCGACAGAGCGAGTCTCTGTCTGAAAACAGAAAAAAAAGAAAAAAAAAAAAGCAGAGTTAACACTTCCTCTGTCTCTCCCCTAGGGGAGGCAATTTCTCAAAGATTGTTGTTGGATTTTACACACAGGGAAATCTAAGGAAGGTGTGGAAATCAGACCAGGACTCCAGACTCTCGTCTTCCTGTTTACAGGGTCTTCAATGGGGGAGGCACTTTGGGTTCTTTCCACAAGATTGCTTTGTAAAAAAAAAAAAAAAAAAAGAAACAAAAAACTCAAAAAAAATCCCTGACCTAAATATTCACAAGGGACCTTAGGCAATATCTGCAAACAAAAGTGAGTGATGAGTGGAATCTGTCATCTTTACAACTAAGACAGCTCCAGAGTTGAAGCAAGTGGAAATATCTCTAGAGACAGAGATTTGGGCGGGTTTTGCCAGTTACAAGCTATGAGAACCTGGGCAGGTTTACCTTTCTGAGCTTCTGTGACCTTGTAAAATAGGCTGCATTGCGCTAAACGTGCAGGAGGAATCCCAGCATCCTCCTGTGCACAAGGCTGGTTTCTTCCCATCCTTTTCCTTGTTCTGCCTCTCTCCTCCCCTCCAAGAGATGAATACATTTGGACCCAGTAGGGGCCTGTGTTTGCAAAGGCTCGCAGGTGATTCTCATGCAGCCAGCCTGGCTCTGGCACTGAGTTCTTGGACACTTCTGGAGGCGCATTTACTAGTGAGGAAGGTCACTGTGTGCTGAAGGCATGCTTCATCTTCCATTCCTTTCTTCCATGAAGCAAGGCGCATGGGTCGACTGAGCTGGGAGAGTCCACGGTGTCAGCCTCCCCCACGCTTCCCTCCCTGCTTATTCCTTGTGTGCTGTACTTTGTCTTGATTTTCTGTACTCTGCAACAAGCCAGGAGATGGTAAGATCTCAAAAAAATCATTTTTTTGGGAAATGGGATCAAGAGGGTTTTTGTTTGCTTGTTTGTTTGTTTGAGACAGGGTCTGTAGCCCAGGCTGGAGTGCAGTGGCGTGACCTTGGCTCACTGCAGCCTTGACCTTCTGGGCTCAGGTGATCCTCCCACCTCAGCCTCCTGAGTAGCTGGGACTGCAGGTGCACACCACCATGCCTGACTAATTTGTCTATTTTCTGTAGAGATGAGGTTTCACCATGTTGCCTAGGCTGGTCTCAAACTCCTGGGCTCAAGCTGTCCTCCATCCACCTCGGCCTCCCAAAGTGCTGGGATTACAGGCATGAGCTGCTGTGCCTGGCCAAGGTTTTTTTTTGTTATTATTATGAAAAATTGTCAATATGCATAAAAGTAGAGAGACTAGTTTAATGAGCTATCATATACCCATCACATAGGTTTAAAAACTATTAACGTTTGCAATATTTACTCCATTTCTTTTTCTGAAGTATTTAAAAAATAGTTTACAGTAGTTATGTGATTGCATCCTGATATTCACCCTTATGTAATTTACTTCCCTCTAAAAACATGAGGGCATTTTTTATATGATCATTATCATACCTAATCAAATTACCAGTAATTCCTTAATATCCTCTAAGATCAAGTTTACATTCAGATGTCTTGTCCTCAGAATGTCAATTGTGATTATTTTTTTCTTTGAGCAAAGATAATAAGATCTCAAGATTTAATGACAGAGATTCCACGTTAGCCCTGATGTCTAAGCTCTGTGGTCCATTGTGGCTTTACTTGAAAGTCTCAGGCTAGGCGTGGTGGCTTACAGCTGTAATCCCAGCACTTTGGGAGGTCAAAGTAGGTGGATCATGAGGTCAAGAGATCAAGACCATCCTGACCAACATGGTGAAACCCTGTCTCTATTAAAAATACCAAAATTAGCCAGGCATGGTGGCGGGCGCCTATAGTCACAGCTACTCAGGAGGCTGAGGCAGGATAATCGCTTGAACCCGGGAGGCACAAGTTGAAGTGAGCTGAGATTGCACCGCTGCATTGCAGCCTGGGTTGCAAGAACGAGACTCTGGAAAAAAAAAAAAAGTCTCTCACTGTGGTCTCATAATGAAAGGACACTCCATTTCCCATCTGGCCCCTGCTCCTTAATGTTAGCCCCCTGCTGTGGGGAGGAGGGGGTGACCTTCAGCGCAGGTTCAAGCATTCCCAGGGCTGGCTCTGATCCCGATAAAGCCCATCGTCATGAATGAATGCCTCCTTTGCAGGTTATTCTAAGTATTGTAAATAGTGCACATGGAGCGTCCTCATGATGCCTGGGATGGTAGTGAATATTTATAGGTTTCTTTTAGTGCCTTTTTTTTTTTTTAGCGTTTTCCATAGTTCCATGTTTCTACAAGGCATAGGAACATCAGAATCATGTGTGTGTGGGTGCTTATTAAATAAACCAATTCCTGGAGCTCACTCCCAGTGACTCCCAGTCTGATGATTAGGGGCTCAGTTAGGACCTATGTTTGCAAAAGCTCCCAGGTGATCTCATGCAGCCAGCCTGGCTCTGGCTCTGGCTCTGGCTCTGGGAGCTGGGTTGGGAACTAGTCTTTGGTGCTATTCTGCTGAAACTTCAAGTTGGGCTCTTTGACTCCGTCTTGTATTGTCACCATTTGTATTCAGGTCTGTTTTCCCCCTGGATTGTAAACTCCCTGATGTCTGGGTCATCTCAGCTCATGAGCTGAGCTTTCAGTGGGTGCTCAGTGGAACAGGTGCTGAATGGAGTCAGGCTTTAGGGAGGCCAGCGTGTGTTGGTAAGTGAGAGGCAAAAATCATTTTAAAAAGAATCTTTTTGCCCTTCAGTTGTGTTTGCCATGAGTTAATGTGACTTACTCTAGTGGAAGCCAGTGCAGCTTAAGAGGAGGTCTTGTCCTGAAATGGAGCCAGGTTATGGATCAGCAGAGCTGCCAAAAGCGTTTTGGGGGAAATGTTTCTGTGTCACTCTCAGTTGATTGAACTCAAGTTTTCACTCCCATTTAACACCACGTGGGGGCCATTCTGACTTCTGCAGAGTGGGTATGATCAGATCTTCTGTAAAAGTGTAAGTGAGGAGGCTGGGCACGGTGGCTCACATCTGTAATCTTAGCACTTGGAGGGCTGAGGTGGTCAGATCACTGGAGGACAGGAGTTTGAGACCAGCCTGGCCAATGTGGTGAAACCCTGTCTGTACTAAAAATACAAAAATTAGCCAGGCATGATAGCACATGCCTGTAATCCCAGCTACTCAGGAGGCTGAGGCAGGAGAATCGCTTGAACCTGGGAGGTGGAGGTTGCAGTGAGCTGAGGTTGCACCAATGCACTGCACTCCAGCCTGGGTGACAGAGCGTGACTCTGTCTCAAAAAAAAAAAAAAAAGTGTATGTGAGGAAACTGGGATAGAGCTTGGGGATGTTGGGGAATGGAGGTACTTCATCTACTGAACAAAAACCATGGGATACCAATGCTGGAGGAAGAAGTATCATCCTCAGTTTCTACTAACTCAACCACGCATGAGATGGGGACTTGATGTCCAAGAGAAGAGCCTCTTTTTAGGTCTTCAGCCTTGATCAAACCATATCTGAATTCCTCATACACATATAATCAGGTGCTATGAGTGGTACTGATTGGATAATCTTTCTGTCTTTTCCTGTGCTAGGAAGGAAAATACCCGTACAGCCAACTTCCTTGAGGGTTCGTTCTTTTGCATCAGGGTGTCTCAAACTCCTGCCCTTAAAACACCTGCAAGAGAATCATCTAGGTGGCTTGCTCGCTCTGCATGCAGACCCTTTAGAATCAGAGTCAGAATACCTGGGGCTGGAGCCACAAAATGAAATGACATTTCAACAAGTTTGTCATCACGTAAGAGAGAATAGGTGAGTATTTGGACACCTATAATACAAAGTAGATTCAAAAAGAATGACTTGATTATTTTAAATGTTTTGTTTTAAAAAATTTAATACAGAAAAGGTTGGGCACGGGGGCTCATGCCTGTAATCCTAGCACTTTCAGAGGCCAAGGCGGGTGGATCATTTGAGGTCAGGAGTTCAAGACCAGCCTGGCCAACAAGGTGAAACCCCACCTCTACTAAAAATATAAAAATTAGCCAGGCGGTAGTGGTGCGCGCCTGTAATCCCAGCTACAGGGGAGGCTGAGGCAGGAGAATTGCTTAAGCCTGGGAGGCGGAGGTTTGGTGAGCTGAGATCGTACCACTGCACTCCAATGTGGGTGACAATTGTTTAACCACCACCAAAATGGGTTTTGAGTCCAAATATTAATATGAAGGACATTGGTGACATTGTCTCAAAAAAATTAATGAATACAGAAAAGTACAAAAAGGGAGAGAAATCACCCCAAATCTCACGACCCCAAGAAATAAACCTCCTAATATTAAGTGAACAGCATTCCTTGCTATGCACAAAGATGGCCTGAGACATGAACAGACACTTCTGATCACACAAAATGAGATTTTGAAAACAAGAAGTAGCAAATTGAATGCCGTGTAAATTTATCAGAAGAAAAAGAAATGGAAATGAAACTGAAGGAACTGGTCAACTCAGATAAATGTAGTTTTTTTCTCACTAAAAATCAGTTTCTAGAACATCTAGGAAATCAAAGATGATGAAAAATATTAAGATGTTTTATATATATGTAAAAGTCTTTACAGCTGATTGATCATCTCATGCAAAATTTGTACAGTCACTGCAAATAAAGTCATTGCAAAATCTTTACTCCTTTTGCTTTTTGCCAGCACTGACATTGGCCTTTGCAGTCTCTTGACTTCATTCTGCCCTTGCATTCCTTTTGCTGTTTTCTCGAGGTCGTTTTCTTCTCATGTCAGCTGTGTCTTGCAAGTCTATGTTTGAGTTCATTTTTCTTTGCATAATTCAAAGAACCAGATAGCATGCCAAAGCCCATTGTTTAACCACCACCAACATGGGTTCTGAGTCCAACTATTAATATGAAGATGACACCTATTATGATCTTGTACATTTTGTTGCATTTCCGTGGTGAAGGACATTGGTGACCATTTGTTTCCTCTGGAGCGGTCGATTGGTCATGAACTTCCTGGTCCAGATAGTTACCGTGTCATTCATCGTGGTGATCCTTAGGTAGTTACGGAGGAAAATAAACAAGAAATTATATGTTTAAAACCACGTTTCAATTTTAGACCTGATTAATTGACTTAATAAGGGGCATTTGTACTTCTGCTTCCTACAGTCCCTCCCTTTACCTCTGGAAACTAGTTATTTCTGGGTTGTTTCATGTTGTTAAGGTTGACCACCTTTCTTTCTGTTCTGCAATCATAGTCCTGTTTTTAAATGGATTCACCTCTCATCACTAACCTTTTGTCATGGTCATTCAATTCACAAGTTGCTTATTTTTTAATTTCTTGGCTGACTAAATTTTATTATGAAGGCTTTTTTTTAAAGAGCTCAGAAATACTGTATTCTTTAAGTTCTTGAACATGTGATAGTATCTTTTGCCTATTTTGATTGGGCAATAATTTAGCTGGCTATAAAATTCTTGGATTATACTCTATTTCCCTTAGAAATTATAGGCACCCATCCACTGACATTTCATTGTGCTTTCTTTTTTTTTTTTTTTGAGATGGAGTCTCACTCTGTCACCCAGGCTGGAGTGCAGTGGCGCCATCTCAGCTCACTGCAAGCTCTGCCTCCCGGGTTCACGCCATTCTCCTGCCTCAGCCTCCTGAGTAGCTGGGACTACAGGCACGTGCCACCAAGCCTGGCTAATTTTTTGTATTTTTAGTAGAGACGGGGTTTCACCATGTTAGCCAGGATGGTCTCGATCTCCTGACCTTGTGATCCACCATCCTTTGCCTCCCAAAGTGCTGGGATTACAGGTGTGAGCCACCGTATTAGCCCAGCCTCATTGTGCTTTCTACTAACCCCCTTTCCCTGGCCTCTTCCATCTTGTCTTCTTCTCTCCCAGTAGTTTCTTCATGAAGAGGCCATGTGCTATATTCCATGAGATATTTCACACTCAAAGAAGACTTCTTTTATACTCTTTTGATAATTTGGGAATCACTGCCTTGATTTGTAAGGGAGTTTGTAATAAATACAGTAAAAGAGAAACACACAACGTATTTTGAGACATCAGCGAAGGGAGAAACCAATTCTATTAATATTTGGGGTTAGCAGGGAAGGCTTAGTTAAGAGGTGACATTTGAACTAAGCCTTGAAATAAGGGAAGGATTTGGACATGCAGTAATGGGGAGAGTGTAGAAGCAAGACATGATGGTTAGTGTTATGTATGAATTTGACTGGGTTGTGGGTGCCCAGATATTTGGCTACACATTATTCTGGGTGGGTCTCTGAGGTATTCTGGATGAGGATAACATTTAATTGGTAGACTGAATAAAGCAGATTGTCCTCCCCAATGTGGGTGAGCCTCATCCAATCCACTGAAGGCCTGAACAAAACAAAAAGGTAGAGTCACAGAGAATTTGCTCTCTTTACCTGATTATATTTGAGTTGGGACAGCAATCTTCTCCTGACTTTAGATGTGGACTCGAGTTGGAACTATATCATTGGGAGTCCTGGGTCTCCAGCTTGCTGGCTGCAGACTCCAGGACTCCTTAGCCTCCATAACCATGTGAGCCATCCCTTACAACTAATCAATCTGCGTCTCTCTGTGTGTATAGCTCTACCTCTATCTCTTTGCTCTTTGGAGAACCTAGAGTAATACACAAGGTTATATTAGAGAAGACAATGACCCAAGGAAAAGCATGGAGGCAGAAAAGTGTGAAGAGGGTTTGGGAAGACTGGGGTCCTGATGGGGAGTTTGGATTTCACTGTGTGTAGCATGGAGAATCCTTGAAAATATTCAAGAGGTGAAATTGTATCTGTGGAAGAATACCAGGAGTATGTGAAAAGAAAAACACTCACTCCATTTTAACTCCACTGAAGGGGGCATCAGAGGGATGCACTGGGGACATGGGTTGGAGGGTAGTTGAGGCCATATCTGGAGGATCTTTACTTCTAGGCTGAGTCTGAAGTTCTCTTTCTGGGGAGTGAGAGATCATTACAAATCTTTGAGCTCCACTCAAGAGATGGTTTTGCTAACAATGGCAGGGTGACGGTGGTGGTGGTGGTGGTGGTGGTGGTGGGAAGCTGGTAGCATGAATTCTAATTGGGCTTCTGTTATTCCAGCCGAGGAAGTTGGGGAATGGACTTTCAGTAGAATAATACAGATCTGGGAATCAACTACATGGAGGAGGTAGTTATAGGTGATGAGATGTCTCAGGGACAAAGTTTGGTAGAAGGAGAAAAGATACTAGGCTGGTACAAAAATAATTGCTGTTTTTGCCATTACTTTTAACAGCAAAATCCACAATTACTTTTGCACCAACCTAATAGGATGCAAACTGGAGCCATCTGCATCAGAGGGTTTGATGAAGATCAACAAAGTTTGGGAACACAGGAAAGGAGCGGGGAGGGTAATGACTTGAGGGCATAACAGGGATGATCAAGGTTTTTCTTGTTAGCATGTGGAGACTTAAGCATGATTATATGTTAAACACCTGTCACATACATGGTACAAAATATGAGTGAAATGATGAGTGAAGGTGGTGAGTCATGGCAGTTCCAAGGGAACGGGTGATAAAGGGAGGTCTCAGATGAGGCACAAGTGGAGAAGGTAGCTTGGGAAAGGATAAGGATGCTTCTCCTTATAAGATGGGAAAGGCAGAGGAAGAGGGTCAAGATACAGTTATCTAGAGGTGAGATGGAAGTGAGTTGAGAGAACTCAACTCTGGGCTCTGAAACCCCTAGGGATGGGTTTGGGGGCTTTGAGATATGGAAGAGGTTTAAAGTCAATTGTTATAGCAAATATGGTTTTGAATTTATTTGTGATGCTTAAAAATACTGCTGAACAGAAATGAAGTCTACCCTAGAGTTGGATGGTGAGATTATTTAGTGGAACTACCAGATCCATGTTGTGATTCTTTCCAGTATCATTCAGCAGCCCTTGGGCAGTTGCGAGGCAAGTCATCAATGGGGTATGGAGATTTTCCAGGTGGGTGTGGTTGAAAGCAGGGAAGAACGCCTTTAGGAGCACATTACAAGAAGGTGACTGTAAGGTCCAGGCTGAGCAGGAAGGTAAAGCAAGAAGGAAACATGAGGTTGTGAAGAGAAGTTTAGAGGGATGAGGCGGCAGGAGAGGTGAACAGTTGCAGGATGTAGCTAGAGTGGTGATGTTATATCTTGGGGCCAGAGAGCTTTACAGTGATGATGAAGATCAAAGGGCATTAGAATCAAGCTATAAAGAGCCACTGTTTGATGTTGGGATGTGAGGATGCTGCAGGTGGATGTCTGTGCATTGATGGTGAGAACGTGGTCACCCTGGCCCTGCTGGGTCTTTGCTAAGGAGACTGTGCTCTGTTCTTAGGGCCGTTTTCATCACCTGATTAGAGCAGTGGTCCTCAAATGGTGTTCTTTGGACCATCTGTATGAAATGTTCATAGGTCAAGGATAAAATGGAAAAACAGAGACAATGTCACAGAAATGTGCCCATTGTTGAAAGACCACGAGCTGTCCTTTTTGGAGGATTGTTCTTTATTCTAAAAATGTATCTATTCTATTCTATTAAAACATTTTTGTATTTACATTTTTTTCTCTTATGAAATGCCATTGGGTAGAAATTTGTAATGTATCCAATTCTCCTGTCTCCATGCATTGCAGTGTGGTGGGGGAGGGGATGTGGCAAGTACTGGCCAACAGGCTGGGGGCAGAGGTGCAGTGTGAGACTTCTAGCCTGGAGCATTTAATTCTTAGTACAAGACTCTCTAGCATTCTTCTCCCTCTGTTCCCTGCTTGGTGATACTCGAGGTAATGCAACCCCCATTAGCCTTAGTCTTAGGGCAAGTTTGATGGAAAACAGAGCACCCCACACTTCCCTGCAGATGTAGCACGAGTGAGAAAAACAACTTCTGATGTTTGAATTTACCAAGATTTAGGAGTTGCTTGTTATTGCAGCAAAACCTCACCTCTTCTGACCAATCATGGTGGAATTTCTGTGTGTGTGTGTATGTGTCTGTGTGTGTGTGTGTGTGTGTGTGTGTGTGTGAAACTGGTAGTTTAAAAAAGTTCCTTCTTACCAAAGAGAAAAAAAAGTAGCAACCTTATGTTGGTTCTCAAATTAATAAAATATTTTTACTGGTTTATAAAATAGAAAAATCTGAGAATCTGTAGCTTAGAGAACTACAGTGTGGGATGTCTATAAAGACCAGGTTATTTTATCAGCTCCTAACACCCCTTAATAGAAGCTTAGCCAAGACTTGGACTATTTCAGTCTTTCCCATTCCACATTCCATGGACTCTCGAAGAGACATTGATGAAACGGTGCAGCCATGAACCACCCTCACTCTATCCTAGTGGCAGAATCCCCCTTTTACTGCAGAATGAGCTTCTTGCTACAGTGATACTTGAACCCCTTAGATATATCCTGTACTAATTATATTAAAACATGACCAATGCTTTTGCTTTGTTGTCCCCCAAATTAAACACCTTAATCATGAGAACCCAGAGAATTGGATTTAGTGTGACTGATTCCAAACTGTCAGTAAGAACACAATTAGATTATATTTTTCTCCAGTTCAAATAAAAGAAAATTGACAATAAAATGCTGATCAATATGTGTAGCTCAGGAGGTAGAGCCTGCTTTGAGATGCAGAAGTGTTTGGTTTTTTTAGATCTATATTCTTGAGTAAAGAAAAAATCCATCTCTCTCTCCTAGAGGGGAAGACTTTCAGAGTTGGGCTTGGCAACAGCCTGCCAGAGGCTGAATTAAACAAATAGGTACCTCCCTTGAGTGAATGGTGTGTTTCTCCTGTTCGGGGAACCGTGCTTTTATGGTGGAGTTTGCTTTCTGCCTTGGTCTCTGGATGTGTGTATCTGTGGGTGGATGTCTGCATGTAAATGGCAGTGTATACCCGTGTGAGTGTGTACAAAATTCCCATGTGAATCTCAGCTTTGCGGGGATCTCCGGGTCTTGAGCCCAGCAGATGCCAGTTGAAGAAAAATCACTTGAAAATGAGACAGAAAGGATGGAAACTAAATCCTAGCTCTAAAGGCACCAGGCTGACCAAAAAAAAAAAAAAATCTCTGGATTTTCTTTGTTTTGGACTCTACCTGCCTCCAAATAACATTTCTATTTCCTATGCAATGATCAGAATGAAAGAGATCCTCAGCACGAAAGAGCAGATACTGTGTGATTCTGTGTATGTCATGGTTTCAGCTGTGACACTGCTGACATTTTGGCTCAGCAATTTCTCTGTTGTATATGTGGGGGTTCCCTGTGTATTTTAGGATGTTGAACGGCATCCCTGGATCCCTGGAGTCACTGGATGCAGGAACACAACTCCCCCCAAGTAGAGACAACCCCCAGTGTCTCCAGATATTGCCTAATGTCCCCAGGGGGCAAAATAGCCCCCATCTGAGAACTGCTGCTTTCATAAAGTACAATGTCAGGTGAAATAGGTGGAGGCTGTTTGTAGTCAGGGGTTAGTAGAGATGGAAGAGATGCCAGGAATATCCTGGAAGGGGCTGTAATGCTCTGTTTCTTGAATTGGGTGTCGCTAATATGGAAATGTTCTGTTTTTTTTTTTGTTATTTTTTTTTTTTTTGGGCAGAATCTTGCTCTGTCACCCAGGCTGGATCACAGTGGCACCGTCATGGCTCACTGCAGCCTCTGCCTCCTGGGCTCAAGCAGGCCTCCCACCTCAGCCCTCCCGAACAGCTGGAACTACAGGCATGTGCCACCACTGTTGCCTAATTTTTTATTTATTTATTTTTTGTAGAAAGGGGGGTCTCACTATGTTGCCCAGGCTGGTCTCAAGCTCCTGGGCTCAAGCAATCTGCTCACCTCGGCCTCCCAAAGTGCTGGGATGACAGGCATGAGCCACTGTGCCTGGCCAGTATGTTCAGTTTGTAAGAAAAGTACTGTGTTGACCTCTTCTATGTGCACATTTCTTTAAGTAATAATTCAATAAAGCATTTAGAAAAATTGGTCATAATAGGAGTGATCTGTAGAGTGATTGGCATGAAAGCTGATCATCTTAATTTTAACTACTCTGAAATGAGCACCAGGGACCACCAAGAAGCGCCTTTCAAGGTGTCACAGCCAAGGATAGGAGTGTGTTGTGTACATCTCTGCATAAAGGATTTGCTGGTTACATGGAAGGATGAAGCCTCCTTCTGAGGACAGAGGCAGCAAAGCAAGTGGAAGCCCAAAGCATTGAGCTTTCTAAATGGACTTTGCTAAAATCTTGTGGATGACTCATGCTCTTAACATACACCCATGTACATATTGTCCATATAAACATTAATTCTGTAACAAGGCCCACACATAAGGGTTTTTTTTTTTTTCTTTTGAGACAGTCTTGCTTTATTGCCCAGGCTAGAGTACAGTGGCATAATCTTGACTCATTGCAACCTCCGCCTCCTGGGTTGAAGCAATGCTTGTGCCTCAGCCCCCCGAGTAGCTGGGACTACAGGTGCACAACACCATGCCTGGCTAATTTTTGTATTTTTAGTAGAGACGGGGTTTCACCACGTTGGCCAGGCTGGTCTCAAACTCCTGGCCTCAAGTGATCTGCCCACCTCAGCCTCCTAAAGTGTTGGGATTACAGGTGTGAGCCACTGCGCCTGGGCCCACACATAAGGTTTGAGTTGAGATAGAGAAACTCTGGCAAGACTGAGGAATTGGGCCACAGTCTCTGGGAAATATGCACAATTTCTGGAATCTTCTCTACTTCCAGAGTTCCCACTTTCTATCTGTCTCCTGTTTATTCAACAAACTTGTATGGAACCACAGTGTGTCTAGAACTTGCCAGGTGTGGAGAATAAAAAGATGATTGAGGTCAGGCATGGTAGCTCATGCCTGTAATCCCAGCACTTTGGGAGCGCAAGGCAGGCAGATCACTTGAGGTCAGGAGTTTGAGGACAGCCTGGCCAACATGATGAAACATCTCTACTAAAAATACAAAAATTAGCCAGGCATGGTGTCATGCACATGTAGTCCTAGCTCCTTGGGAAGCTGAGGCAGGAGAATCGCTTGAACCCAGGAGGCAGATGTTGCAGTGAGCTGAGATCACCCCGCTGCATTCCAGCCTGGGAGACAGAGCGAGATTCCATGTCAAAAAAAAAAGATGACTGAGATACAGACTCCATCAGAGTTGACTCTAACACAAATTAGGTAAGAGCCCAAGGTCTGGCTGGGCAAGCAGCTTGATCAGCCTCATCCTGCAGCCTCTATTAGAATGAACACTTTTTTCTTTACTCATGAAATGTTTTGTGTTTTCACAAATTGCAAGTGCAATTTGTGTTAATTCTGCAAAATTTGCCGCATAACTCTGCCTGTATTCTTAGCATTTTTCCTTTGAGAGATTTCTCAGCACATCATCTTTGGACTATGTGGAATTGGAAATTTACTTGGAGTCAATAACAAGTACAGGAAAGTCAGTTCTTAGTCAAGAGTTAGGTTTTCACAGACAGTGGATAAAATAAAAAATAGTACAGTCAAGATTATATGTGTAAATCCCCTCATTCATAAAGTTTAGCAGTCAGTCTTACCGTGGCTCACCAGGTCCAATCCACACTTCTTCCTCCACGATTAGAGCAGAGGGTAATTTTTTTTTATGAGCAACTGATGAAGTCATTTAGAGACCATTTGCAGTAGGAGCCCTGTGTACTAGAGACCAATCAATGTGCCCTCATGGCTCCATTTCTGCCTCTCTCCCTCTTTGTTCTTGCCAAGTACCCATAGTTCATTTTCCATAGATTAAAAGAGCCCAAGCTGGGCCTATACCTAGGAGTACAATTGCTGGGTCATTTGGTAACTCTGTGTAGAATTGTTTGGGAAGTTGTCAAACTGTTTCTCACAGTGGCTACACCATTTTATTTCCTACCAGCAGTGTATGAAGTTTCTAGTTTCTCTGCATCCTCACCAACACTTGTTATTTTCTGTATTTTATTTATTTATTTTTTTGAGACGAAGCCTTGCTCTGTCACCCAAGCTGGAGTGCAGTGGCACAATCTTGGCTCACTGCAACCTCTGCCTCCCAGATTCAAGTTACTCTCCTGCCTCAGCCTCCCGAGTAGCTGGGATTATAGGCACCCACCACCATGCCTGGCTAATTTTTGTATTTTTTTAGTAGAGACAGGATTTCACCATGTTGGCCAGGCTGGTCTCAAACTTCTGGCCTCAGGTGATCCACCTGCCTCGGTCTCCCAAAGTGCTGGGATTACAGGCATGAGCTACTGCACCAGGCCAATTTTCTGGATCTTCGATTGTAGCCATCCTTATGGGTATGAAGTGATATCTCACTGTGGTTTTGATTTCTGTTTCCCTGATGATGAATTTCATTGAGCATCTTTTCATGTGCTTATTGGCCACTTGTATGTCTTCCTTGGAGATGTGCCATATTTTCATATTCAAAAATGAAAGCACAGGTCCACACAAAAATTTGTACATGAATAATTGCAGTAGCATCACTCCTAATAACCCAGAGAGGGAATTAATCCAAACGCCCATCACCAGATGAAGAGGTACAACGAATGTTGTCTACCCACATGGTGGAATATTATTCGATCACAAAAAGGAGCAAAGTACATATGCTACAGCGTGGATGAACCTTCAAAGCAGATGAAAGATCACATTCTACATGATTTCATTCAGATGGAAATCTATAGAAATAGGAAGTCGATTAGTGGTTGCTTAGGGCTGGTAGGAGCATGAGAGGATAGGAGGTGTTAGCTAAAGGGTATGAGGTTTCTTTTTGAGGTCATGAAATGTTCTAAAATTGACTGGTAATGTTTTTGTATATCTCTGAATATATTAAAAACCATTGAAATGTAAAAAATGCAAAGAAAAAACAGCCCAAGTTGCAATTTTATTCAACACTTGATTGGCTTTAAAACTAGATTCCAGGCTGGGCACGGTGGCTCACATCTGAAATCCCAGTGCTTTGGGAGGCTGTGGTGGGAGGATTGCTTGAGGCCAGGAGTTCCAGGCCAGCCTTGGCAACATGGCAAGACTCTGTGTCTACAAAAAAGAAAAAATAAATATCAGCTGTGTGCAGTGGCTCACACCTGTAATCCCAGCACTTTGGGAGGCTGAGGCGGGCAGATCATCTGACATCAGGAGTTCAAGGCCAGCCTGGACAATATGGTGAGACCCCGTCTCTACCAAAAATATAAAATTTAGCCTTTTCGTACTCTGAGCAGCACCATGGTGTTTGTTAAGAACAAGTGCCTTATGAAAGGTGGCAAAAAGGGAGTTAAGAAGAAAGTAGTTGATCCATTTTCTAAGAAAGATAAGTATGATGTGAAAGCACCTCCTATGTCCAATATAAGAAATATTGGAAAGACTTGGTCACCAGGACCCAAGGAACCCAAATTGCATCTGATGGTCCCAAGGGTCTTGTGTTTGAAGTGAGTCTTGCTGATTTGCAGAATGATGAAGTTGCATTTAGAAAATTCAAGCTGATTACTGAAGATGTTCAGGGCAAAAACTGCCTGACTAACTTCTATGGCATGGGTCTTACCTGTGACAAAATATGTTCCATGGCTGAAAAATGTTCAACAATGATTGACGCTCATGTTGATGTCAAGACTACGATGGTTACTTCTTTCATCTTGTTTTGTGTTGGTTTTACTAAAAAACGCAACAATCAGATACGGAAGACCTCTTATGCTCAGGACCAACAGTCTGCCAAATCCAGAAGAAAATGATGGAAATCATGACCTGAGAGGTGCAGACAAATGACTTGAAAGAAGTGGTCAATAAACTGATTCCAGACAACATTGGAAAAGATGTAGAAAAGGCTTGCCAATTTATCCTCTCCATGATGTCTTCATTAGAAAAGAAAAAATGCTGGAGAACCCTGGGTTTGAAAGGCATGGAGCTTCGTGGTGATGGTAGTAGTTCTGGAAAACCCACTAGGGATGAGACACATGCTAAAGTTGAATGAGCTGATGGATATGAACCACCAGTCCAAGAATCTGTTTAAAGTTCAGACTTATAATAGTGGCAAATAAAAAGTTCTATTTGTGAAAAACAAACAATAAACAACATTGAAAAAAGCAAAATTAGCCTGGTGTGGTGGTGCATGCCTGTAATCCTAGCTACTCAGGAGGCTGAGGCATGAGAATCACTTGAACCTGGAGACAGAAGTTGCAGTGAGCCAAGACTGCACCATTTCACTCCAGCCTGGGCAACAGAGTGAGACTCTCTCCAAAAAGAAAAAAGAAAAAGAAAAGTATCTGGGCTTGGTGGCATTCACCTGTAGCCTCAGCTACTCTGAAGGCTGAGGTGGGAGGATGGCTTGAGGCCAGGAGTAATTTGAGGCTGCAGTGAACTATGATTGTGACACTGCACTCCAGCCTGGACTGCAGAGCAAGACCCTATCTCTTATACATACATACATACATACACACACACACATATACATACATGCATACATACATACACACACACACACGCACATACATACATACCCAGGCTCTACCTCTGGTGATTCTGACTCAGTAGGGCTGGGTATCCCCTAGGGATCCTGCTGTTCAGCCTGGTCTGGGATCCACTTTTCACTGGGAACTGAGACACTGGCTGTGAGCCTTTCTGTCCTGAGATGTAGGTCATGGCGATGCAGGTTCAAGCTTAAGGAGACCTGACTGTGCGTTAGGTATTGTGCTGAACATCATCTCTTACTCTCACAGCAACATCCTTAGAAGGTTAATGATGCATCCCTGCTCTACAGATGAGGAACTGAGCTTTCAGAGGAGTTTAGCTTGTTCAAAACTTATTCTTCCTATTGGAAACTTTGTACCCTTTGACCAGTGTCTCCTATCCCCTACCTTTCCTCCACCCCAGCCCCTGATAACCACTGTCTTACTCTCTATTTCTGTGAGTTCAACTTCTTTAGATTCCACATATAAGTAAAATCATGCAGTATCTGTCTTTCTGTGCCTGGCTTATTTCACTTAACACAATGTCTTTCAAGTTCATCTATGTTGTTGAAAATGACAGGATTTCTTTCTTTTTTAAGGGTTAATAGTATTCCGTTGTATGTATATAGTATATTTTCTTTATCCTTTCATCCACTGATGGACACTTAGGTTGATTCTATATCTTGGGTATTGTGAATAGTGCTGCAGTGAACATAGGAATGTAGAGATCCCTTCGACGTATTGACTTCGATTTTTTTTTGGTCTATACCCAGAAGTTGGGTTGCTGGATTACATGCTTTGAAATCTATAGCACAGCAGCGTGACTATAGTCAATAATAATGTATCTTTCAAAATAACTAAGAGGGTACATTTCAAATTTCTCATCATAAAAATTGTCAGTAAATTAGGGGATGGACATGTTAATTAGTTTGATGTAATCATCACACATTGTATACACATAACAAAACACCACATAAATGTGTACAATTATGATTTGTCAATTAAAATAACATTAGTTAAAAAAATAAGTAACTTGTTCAAAGCCCCAGTTGGGATTGCTGGAGCTGGAACATGCACCAAGTCTGTTGCTCTCAGGCCCGCAGGGTCCTTGGTCCACGAATGTTGAAGCCCTACCTGAGATTTCTACTGAGATCAGTGTGGGGATTCAATATCTCAGAATCATCCCATCCTCCAGGGCCCACAAGTCCATGACTGCTGCCTCTACCCCCAACCCTACTGACCTGAAATTTGGCCCTTGCTTTCATTTCTGGGAGCATACAACACTTACACCAAGCATTGATGGGTTTTATTGACTTCATTTGAGTTGTGGGGCCATGGAGAGTGTTCCATGATCCTTGCTTGGTGTTGACCAACTCATTGACTTTTCTCCTTTGACTTCACCCTTCCCTTTTCTACTCACATCCTCTGTCATGGATTGCTATGGGAATTCTGAGCCCTGGTTCCTTTATTTTGCAGATAACTTCACTCTTCTCTGCAACGAATCCCAAAAGTATATAATTGAGCTGACTGCAAGGTACTTGACACGCAAGAGACTCCACAAATGGGATTCAGCCTCTGGAAAGTGGTGGTAGTTCCAGATTTATGTGGATGTTACTTTGTTTTTCCCTATAAAATATATTATTTAAACTATCAAACTCTTGGCTCCTGGATGCAGTCCTTTGCTGGTGGCAGTGGGCTGGGTACTGCCATTGGGGAGAAATGCTGCCCACTTAGAGAAAGAGAAAGTGGCTCTCTTTAAGAGGCAGAGGGAGGTTTCCAGTGCCAGTTTGTTTGGAGGCAAAATGGCTGTTGTATTAAAATTGCCCAAACTTGGGCTGGTGCCTTGTGTGTTTAGAGCTCATAGCCATGATTGCTTTCTTTCTTTCTTTCTTTTTTTTTTTTTTGGTGGTCTTTTTTCCATCCTTTTGCTTGGCAGTTTTCTGTTAATAGCTCCAACCTCAAAAGTTCCATTATACAGACACTAATAGCATCTACTAAGTGTCAATCTGTAGTGCCTGCTATGTGCCAGGCATTGGAGATAATATAATGATGAACAAGATAAACATGGCACTTGGAAAAGAGAGTCTAGTTCCCACTCTCAGCCCACCCCAAAGAGAAGCCAGAATTCAGCTTCCAAAGATCTCAGATGCCCTTGCATCACCTCCCTGAAGAGGGTGGGTGAAGCTTTGGTGTCTGAAGAGAATTTGGCTGGACAATCCCCCAGGTTTGGAACAATGGGAAGGAGCTGCCATCTGTGTTTAAGGTGAGAAGTGGGGGAGTGGCTGGATATCAGAGGAAGCCAAGATGAAGAGAAGGTTTTTGTGAGTTCCTATGCATAGTGGAGACCTGCTATAGTGAGGGTCCCTGGGGCTGAGCCTGTGGGTCAGTGGAATGATGCTGTGAGGAGGGTCTTGTTATAGCAGATGGCCCAAAGAAGGTTGATGGATCATGAGCAGCTGGAAGAATGGAGAGTTTGGGGGATGTAGTTCCTACCTGGCTTTCCAACAGTATGTAAGTCCAGAATTCTTACATAAGCCCATGGAGAAGGGAAAGGAATGCTGGTAACGACAAGATTGAATTCTCCACCTGCCAGGCATCCAGGGACTCAGAGCAGATTTAACTGAAGTTACAGAAATAGGAATGTGACATTTCCTACATTCGGGTGTGCTGGAGCAAATGTATTCCCTCTCTGGTTTGTGGGGAATGAGAATGCTAATAGACAAGACTCCAGGTTTTCACTCTTAAACCTGGTGCCTAGAAATGCATTTTCTACTGGATGCAGACAAAAGCTGCATATAGATATATGCATCGCTGCATCTCTCATGCCTTGTGTTCTGCCTAATTTTCTCTTTTTAACCCACAGAGGAAGAAAGTTCCAGCATCACTTCTGGCCTCTCAAGAGTGAGTTAGGTGGCCAGGTGGGGTTGCTCATGCCTGTAATCTCAGCCCTTTGGGAGGCTGAGGTGGGCAGATCACTTGAGGCCAGGAATTTGAGACCAGCGTGGCCAACATGGTGAAACCGTGTCTCTACTAAAAATAAAAAATTAGCCAGGCGTGGTGGTGGGCACCTGTAGTCACAGCTACTCTGGAGGCTGGGGCATGAGAATCGCTTGAACCCAGGGGGCAGAGGTTGCAGTGAGCCAAGATTGCACCACTGCACTCTAGCCTGGGTGATAGAGCGAGACTCGGTCTCAAAACAAAACAAAGCAAAAACAAAGAAGAGTGAGTTAGGATGAAAACTTCCAAGTCTCTCTGCCCCTTTCATACAGCTCCTCCCTGGTGAGTGGAGGAGTTGACTTTATTGGCAAGACTGAGGAAATGCTGACTGTATTTCTGCCATGTTCACTTATTAGTGGATGGGTTATTTTGCCTAGACTATGGCCATGGGAGCCACCTCTCAGTCCCTTGCATAGTCACCAGGCTTTTTTAGGGCAAGCAGGACAGGTAAGATCTGCCTATGGCAGAGCCAGCCAGGTCTCCTTATGCTCTGCTTCCCTTTCTGCCTATGACTGAATGGGTATGTCAGGGTCTAGTAGGGGATCCAGGAGGAGGAAGCCTCATTAACTTCTATTCTGCAGCAATTGATGGCCACCCAACTTGACAGTGGGGGCTTATCACCTCATGTACTAAGACCGGAGATAGCTGATGCCAAGGTTGGCTAAATTAGTAGCTTGAGATGTTAGGTTTTTCATTTGAGCTTTCTATGCTGCTATAGCCTTCTGCTCTTGGTCCCAGGGGCTGCCACAATTTGCATGTCAAGTCCTCATGTGACAATATCCAGAGACAGCAAGGAAGAGGTACAGTGTATTCCTGCATGTTTCTTAAAAAATTGTTTTTGACAGAGAATAATTGTACACATTTATGGGGTCCATGTGAGATTCTGGTACATGCATGCAATGTGTAATGATCAAATCAGGGTCTTTAGGATATTAATCACCTCAAACATTGATCATTTCTTTGTGTTGGAGTTATTTCAAATCTTATTGCTATTTAGAAATATACAATAAATTCATTTATCAGGATACAAAATCTATGTGTACAAATCAGTAGCAGTGCTATACACCAACAGCAACCAGGCTGAGAATCAAACCCTTTTATGTTAGCTGTAAAAATAAAATACTTAGGAATATACCTAACCAAGGAGGTGAAAGACCCCTACAAGGAAAACTACAAAACACTGTTGAAAGAAATCATAGATGACACAAACAAATGGAAACACATTTCATGCTCATGGATGGGTAGACTCAATATTGTGAAAATGACCATACTGCCAAAAGCAGTCTACAAATTCAATGCAATTCCTATCAATATACCATCATTCTTTATAGAACTATAAAAAACAATGCCAAAATTGATTTGGAACTAAAAAAGAATCTACAAAGCCAAAGCAAAACTAAGCAAAAAGAAACAATCTAGAGGCATCACATTACCCAACTTCAAACTATATTACAAGGTTATAGTTACCAAAACAGCAATGGTGCTGGTATAAAAATAGGCACATGACCAATGGGACAGAGTAGAGAACCTAGAAATAAAGCGAAATACTTAACAGCCAACTGATCTTTGACAAAGTAAACAAAAACAAAGTAGGGAAAGTACGCCCTATACAACAAATAGTGCTGGGATAATTGGCAAGCCACATGTAAAAGAATAAAACGGGATCCTCATCTCTCAACCTTATAAAAAAATCAAGACAATATGGATCAAAGACTTAAATCTAAGGTCTGAAAGCATAAACATTCTAGAAGATAACATTGGAAAACCCTTCTACACATTGGCTTAGGAAAACAGTTCATGACCAAGAACCCAAAAGCAAATGCAACAAAAACAAAGATAAATAGATGGGACTTAATTAAACTAAAAGCCTCCTGCACAGCAAAGGAAATAATCAGCAGAGTAAACAGATCACCCACGGAGTGGGAGAAAATTTTCACAAACTGCATCTGACAAAGGACTAATGTCCAGAATCTGCAGGGAACTCTAATCAGCAAGAAATAAATAATCCCATCAAAAAGTGTGCCGAGGACATGAATAGACAATTCTCAAAAGAAGATATACAAATGGCAAACAAACATATGAAAAAATGCTCAATATTACTAATTATCAGAGAAATGCAAATCAAAACCACAATGCAATACCACGTGTAAAGTAAACAAAGATAGGGCCGGGTGAGGTGGCTCACGCCTGTAATCCCAGCACTTTGGGAGGCTGAGGCGGGTGGATCACAAGGTCAGAAGTTTGAGACCAGCCTGACCAACATGGTGAAACCCCATCTCTACTGAAAATACAAAAATTAGCCGGGCATGGTGGTGGTTGCTTGTAATCCCAGCTACTCAGGAGGCTGAGGCAGGAGAATTTCTTGAAACCGGGAGGCAGAGGTTGCAGTGAGCTGATATCGCACCACTATACTCCAGCCTGGGCGACAGAGTGAGACTCCATCTCAAAAAAAAAAAGAAAAAAAGAAAAAATCAACAACAAAAAAAGTAAAAAAAAGCAAAAATTGATGTTGGCATGGACGTGGTGAAAGAGAACGCTTTTTCACTGATGGTGGGAATTTAAGCTAGTACCACCACTATGGAAAGCAGTATGGAGATTCCTTAAAGAACTAAAAGTACATCTACCATTTGATCCAGCAATACCACTACTAGGTATCTACCCAGAGGAAAGGAAGTCATTATATGAAAAAGACACTTTTGCACACATGTTTACAGCAGCAAAATTCACAGCTGCAAAACTATAGAATCAGCCCAAATGCCCATCAATCAATTAGTGGATAAAGAAAATGTGTTTTTTATATATATACCATAGAATACTACTTAGCCTTAAAAAGGAATGAAATAATGGCATTCATAGCAACCTGGATGGAGTTGGAGACCATTATTCTAAACGAAGTAACTCAGGAATGGAAAACCAAACATCGCATGTTCTCACTTATAAGTGGGAGCTAAGCTATGATGATGCAAATGCACAAGAATGAAACAGTGGACTTTGGGGGTTCAGGGGGAAGGGGGAGGGGGTGAGAGAAAAAAGACTATACGTTGGGTAAACTGCTTTGGTGATGGGTATGCCAAAATTTCAGAGATGACCGCTAAAAAACTTATCCATGTAACCAAATACCACTTGTTCCCTGAAAACTATTGAAATAAAAAAAAAGAAATATACAATTGTAGTCACTTTCTGTGATATGGAACACTAGATCTTATTCCTTCTATTATATATTTTTATACCCATTAATCAACCTCTTTCCAAACCCTTCCTATTCCCAGCCTCTGGTAACTATCATTCTACTCTTTATCTCCATGATATCAATTTTCTATAGCTACAGGGCACACAAGTCCATAACTGCGGTCTCTATCCCTGACCCTACTGACCTGAAACATGGCCCCCGCTTTGATTTCCAGGAGCATAAACTGCTCATATAAGTGAGAACATGCAATAGTTTTCTTTCTGTGCATGGCCTAGTTCACCTAACTTTATGACCTTTAGTTCCATCCATTTAGCTGAAAATGACAGGATTTCATTCTTCTTTATGGCTGAATACTATTCTATTGTGCGTATATTCCCATTTTCTTTATCCATTCATCCATTGATTGACACTTAGATTGATTCCATATCTTGGCTATTGTAAATAGTGCTGCAGTAAATATGGGGGTACAGATATCCCGTTGATACACTGATATCCTTTTTTTTGGATATATACCCAGAAGTGGGATTGCTGGATCATATGGTAGATCTGTTCTTAGATTTTGAGAAATCTCTGTACTTTTTTTCATAATGGCTGTACTAATTTACATTCCCACCAACAATATACGATAATTTTCTTCTCTTCACATGCTTGCCAGCATTTGTTGTGCTTTGTCTTTTTAATAATAGCCATTCTAACAAGTGCGAGATGATATCTCACTGTGGTTTTGATTTGCATTTCCGTGATTATTAGTGATGTTGAATATTTTTTCACAAACTTGGTGATTTGTATATCCTCTTTTGAGAAATGTCTGTTTATTTTTTGATAGTTTCTTTTGCTGTGCAGAAGCTCTTTCATTTAATTTGATCCCATTTGTCAGTTTTTGCTTTTGTGGCAATTGCGTTTGGCATCTTCACCATGAACTCTTAGCCCATCACTATGTACCGGATGGTATTGCCTAGGTTGTCTTCCAGGGTTTTTATAGTTATGGGTTTTACATTTAAGTCTGTAGGCTATCTTGAGTTAATTTTTGTATATGGCGTTAGGGAGGGGTGTTGTCTTTTCACTCTGTTGATTGTTTTCTTTGATATGCAGAAGGTTTTTAGTTTAATATAATCCCATTTGTCTGTTTTTGTTGCTCGTACTTTTTAAGTGTTAGCCATACAACCTTTGTTCTGAAGCATTTCTCCTGTGTTTACTTCTAGTAGTTTTATAGTTGTGGCTGTTACATTTAAGTCTTTAATCGATTTTGAGTTTATTTGTGTAAGTGATGAGAGATAAGGGTCTAGTTTTATTCTTCTGTGTTTGGATATCTAGTTTTCCTGGCACCATTTAATGAAGAGGGTGTCCTTTATTCAATATATGTTCTTGACACCTTTCTTGAAAATCAGCTGAAAATACGTGGATTCATTTCTGGGTTCTTTAGTCTGTTTCCTTTGTTTTTGTGTCTGTTTTAATACCAATACACGCTGTTTTGGTTACTATAGCTTTGCAGTATGTGTGTGTGTGTGTGTGTGTGTGTGTGTGTGTGTGTGTGTGTGTGTGTGTGTGTGTGTATATATATATATATATATATATTTTTTTTTTTTTTTTTTTTTTTTTTTTTTTTTTGAGACAGAGTCTTGCCTTGTCAGTCAGGCTGGAGTGCAGTGATGCAATCTAGGCTCATTGCAAGCTCTGCCTCCCGGGTTCACGCCATTCTCCTGCCTCAGCCTCGGCTAATTTTTTTGTTTTTTTTTTAATAGAGACGGGGTTTCACCGTGTTAGCCAGGATGGTCTCGATCTCCTGACCTCATGATCCACCTGCCTTGGCCTCCCCAAGTGCTGGGATTACAGGCGTGAGCCACCACGCCCAGCTGCTTTGCAGTATACCTTTAAATCAGGTAGTGTGAGGCTTCTAGCTTTGTTCTTTTTGCTCAGTATTGCTTTGGCTATTTGGGGTCTTCTGTGGTTCCATATGAATTTCAGGGTTTTTTTTTCCTGTTTCTGTGAAGAATATAATTGATAGGGATTATACTGAATCTCTAGATTGCTTCGGGTAGTATGGTCATTTTAACAGTATTAGTAATTCCAACCCATGGGCATGAGATGCTTTTCCATTTGTTTGTGTCTTCTCAATTTATTTTATCAGTGTTTTGTGGTTTTCATTGCAGAGGTTTTTTTTTGTTTGTTTTTTTTTTTTGTTTTGTTTTTCCCCATCCTTGGTTAAGTTTATTCCTAGGTATTTTATTTTTGTAGCTATTGTAAATAGAATTTCTTCCTTGGTTTCTTTTTTAGCTAGTTTGTTACTGATATATAGAAACATTACTGATTTTTGTATGTTGATTTTGTGTCCTGAAGCTTTACTGAATTATACATCTGTTTTTTTAAATTTTTTTTATTTTTTATTTTTTGAGATAGAGTCTCGCTCTGTTGCCCAGGCTGGAGTGCAGTGATGCAATCTTGGCTCACTGCAACCTCCGCCTCTGGATTTCAAGAGATTCTCCTGCTTCAGCCTCCCAAGTAGCTGGGATTACAGGCACCTACCACCATGCCTGGCTAATTGTATTTTTAATAGAGACAGGATTTCACCATGTTGGCCAGGCTGGTCTCAAACTCCCAACCTCAGGTGATTCACCCACCTTGGCCTCCCAAAGTGCTGGGATAACAGGCATGAGCTACCATGCCCAGCCTAATTTATCCATTTTAAGAGTTTTTTGGTGGAGTCTTTAGGTTTTTCTGTTTACAAGTATAAGATTATGTCATCTGCAAAGTGAGACAATTTGACTTCCTCTTGTCTAGTTTGGATGCCTTTTATTTCTTTATCTTGTCTGATCACTCTGGCTTGGATGTCCCATACTGTGTTGAATAAGAGTGGTGAAAGTGGGCATCCTTGTCTTGTTCCAGTTCTTAGAGGGAAAGCTTTTCAATTTTTCCCAGTGAGTAGGATGTTAGCTGTAGATTAGTCATATATGCCTTTTCTTATGTTGAAGTGTTCCTTCTATGCCTAATTTGTTGAGAGTTTTCATCATGAAGGAATGGTAAGTTTTACCGAGTGATTTTTCTGCATCTGCTGAGATGATCAGATAGTTTTTGCCTTTCATCTTGTTGATGTGATGTATCACATGCATTGATTTTGTGTTTGTTAAGCCATCTTTGCATTCCTGGGATAAATGCCACTTGATCATGGTATATTATCTTTTTCATTCATCATTAGATTTGGCTTGGTAGTATTATGCTGAGAATGTTTCCATCTGTGTTCATTAGGAATATTGGCCTGTAGTTTTCTCTTTCTGTTGTTTCCTTGTCTTGATTGGATATCAGGGTAATGCTGGCCTTATACAATGAGTTAGGAAGAATTCCCTCCTCTTCAATTTTTGGGAATAGTTTGAGAAGAATTGGTGTTTGTTTTTCTTTATAAACTGGGTAGAAATCAGCATAAAAGCCTAGTCTAGGGCTTTTCTCTTTGGGGAGACTTTTTGTTACTGATTCAAACCTGCTATTCATTTTGAGTCAGTTCAGGTTTTCTGTTTCTTCCTAGTTCAATCTTGGTAGGCTGTGTATGTCTGGGAATTTATCCCTTTCTTCTAAGTTTTCCAATTTGTTAGGATATGGTTGTTCATAATAACCTCTAATCATCCTTTTTATCTCTTTGGTAACAGTTGTAATGTCTCCTTTTTCATTTCTGATTGTATTTATTTGGGTCTCCTTTTTTCTTTTCTTTTTTTTTTTTTTGGTTAGCCTCACTAGTGGTTTATCAATTTTGTTTAACTTTTCAAAAAAACAACTTTTATCTTGTTGATTCTTTGCATTTCTTGTTTGTCTCTGTTGCATTTGGTTCTGCTGTTATTTTTTTTTTCTTTCTACTAATTGTGTGTTTGGTTTGTTCTTGCTTTTTGAGTTCCTTGAGGTGCATCATTAGGTTGTTTATTTGAGATCTTTCTACTTTTTTGGTGTAAGCATTTATTGCTATAAACCTTCCTCCTAGTACTGCTTTTGCTGTATCCCATTGGTTTTGCATGATGTGTTTCCATTTTCTGTTTAAAAAAATTTTTTGATTTCCATCTTAATTTCTTCATTGACCCAATGATCATTCAATAGCACATTTAATGTCCATGTATTTGTACAGTTTCCAAATTTCTTCTTGTTATTGATTTCAAGTTTTATTCCATTGTGGTCTGAGAAGATACTTGATATGATTTTAATGTTTAAAATTTTGTTGAGCCTTGTTTTGTGTCCTAACATATGGTCTATCCTGGAGAATGTTCCATGTGTTGATGAGATGATTGTGTATTCTGCTGCTGCTGGATGAAATATTCTGAAAATATCTGTTAGGTCCATTTGGTCTAAAGTGCAGCTTAAGTCTAATGTTTCTTTGTTGATTTTATGTCTAGATGAACTGTCCAATGCTGACAGTAGGATGTTGAAGTTCTCAACTATCATTGTATTGGACTCTATCTCTCCCTGTAGATTTAATAATATTTGCTATGTGTGTCTGGATGCACTTGTGTTGGTTGCATGCATATTTAGAATTGTTATATTTTGTTGCTGAATTTATCCCTTTATTACCATATAATGACCTTCTTTGTCCTTTTTACAGTTTTTGACCTAAAGTCTGTTTTATCTGATGAAAGTTTAGCTACTCCTGATTACTTTTGATTTCTGTTTGTGTGGCATATCTTTTTCAGTCCCTTCACTTTCAGTGTGTGTGTGTCTTTACAAGTGAAGTGAGTTTCTTGGAGATGTTGTTGGGTCATTTTTTATCCATCAAGCCTGTCTCTATCTTTTAAGTAGGTAATTTAACACATATTCAAAGTTATTATTGATAGGTGAGGACTTATTCCTGTCATTTTGTTCATTGTTTTCTGGTTATTTTGTATATTCTTTTGATTTGGTTTGGCTGTGTCCCCACTCAGATCTCGTCTTGAATTCCCATGTGTTGTGGGAGGGACCCAGTGGGAAGTAGTTGAATCATGGGGGCAGGTATCTTCCATGCTATTCTTTTGATAGTGAGTAAGTCTCATGAGATCTGATGGTTTTAAAAGGAGGAGTTTCCCTGCTCAAGCTCTCTCTTTGCCTGCTGCCATCCCTGTAAGATGTGACTTGTCTCTCCTTGACTTCCGCAATGATTTTGAAGCCTCCCCAGCAACGTAGAACTGTAAGTCCATTAAACCTCTTTCTTTTGTAAATTTCCCAGTCTTGTATGTGTCTTTATCAGCTGTGTGAGAATGGACTAATACAGTAAATTGGTACCAGAAGTGGGGTGTTCCTAAAAGATACCTGAATATGTGGAATAACTTTGGAACTGGGAAACAGGCAGAGGTTGGAGGGCTCAGAAGGAGACAGGAAAATGTGGGAAAATTTGGAAGAGATTTCCTAGAGACTTGCCCAAAATGCTGATGGTTATATGGACAATAAAGTCTAGGCTGAGGTGGTCTCAGATGGAAATGAGGAACTTGTCAGGAACTGGCACAAAAGTGACTCCTGTTATGTTTTAGCAAAGAGACTGGTGGCATTTTGCCCCTGCTGTAGAGATTTGTGGAATTTTGAACTTGAGAGAGATGATTTAGGTTATCTGGTAGAAGAAGTTTCTAAGCAGCACAGCATTCAAGAGATGACTTGGGTGCTGTTAAAGGCCCTCAGTTTTATAAGGGAAGCAGAGCATAAAAGTTTGGAAGATTTGCAGCCTGACAATGCAATAGAAAAGAAAATCCCATTTTCTCAAGAAAAATTCGATCTGGCTGCAGAAGTTTGTTTAAGTAACGAGGAGTCAAATGTGAATCTCCAAGACAATGGGGAAAATGTCTCCAGGGCATGTCACAGAGCTTCATGGCAGCCCCTCCCATCAAAGGCCCAGAGGCCTAGGAAGAAAAGATGGTTTTGTGGACTGGACCCAGGTCCCCCCTGCTGTGAGCAGCCTCGGGTGCCTGAGTCTTAGTCACTCCAGCTGCAGCTAAAAGGAGCCAAGGTACAATGTGGGCTGTGGCTTCAGAGGGTGCAAGCCCCAAACCTTAGCAGCTTCCACATAGTGTTGAGCCTATGGGTGCACAGAAGTCAAAAATCGAGGTTTCAGAACTGCTGCCTAGACTTCAGAAGGTGTATGGAAATGCCTAGTTGTCCAGGCAGGAGTTTGCTGCAGGGGCAGGACATTCATGGAGAACCTCTACTAGGGCAGTGCAGAAGGGAAATGTGGGGTCGGAGCCCCCACATAGAGTCCCTACTGCAGCACCACCTAGTGGAGCTGTGAGAAGAGGGCCACCATCCTCCAGACCCCAGAATGTTGGATTCACTGACAGCTTGCACTGTGTGCCTGGAAAAGCTGCAGACACTCAATGCCAACCTGTGAAAGAGACAGGAGGGGGTTTATACCCACAAAGCCACAGGAGTGGAGCTGTGGCCTTTTTTCTCCCAAGGCCATGGGAGCCCACCTCTTACATCAGCATGACCTGCATGTGAGACATGGAGTCAAAGGAGATCATTTTGGAGCTTTGAGATTTGACTGCCCCACTGGATTTTGGGCTTGCATGGGGCCTGTAGCCCCTTTGTTTTGGCATTTTTTTCCCATTTGGAATGACTGTGTTTACCCAATGCCTATACCCCCATTGTATCTAGGAAGTAACTAACTAGTTTTTGATTTTACATGCTCATAGGTGGAAGGGATTTGCCTTGTCTCACATGAGACTTTGGACTGTGGACTTTTGAGTGAATGCTGAACTTAGTTAAGACTTTGGGGGACTGTTGGGAAGGCATAATTTGTTTTGAAATGATATTTGGCAAGGGCCAGGGGCAGAATGATATGCTTTGGTTTTGTTCCCACCCAAATCTCATCTTGAATTCCCACATGTTGTGGGAGGGACCTGGTGGGAAGTAATTGAGTCATGGGGGCAGGTCTTTCCCATGTTGTTCTCGTGATAGTGAATATGTCTCACAAGGTCTGATGGTTTTAAAAAGGGTAGTTTCCCTGCAGAAGCTCTCTCTTTGCCTGCTGCCATCCATGTGAGACATGACTTGCTTTTTCTTGCCTTCCAACATGATTGTGAGGCTTCCTCAGCTACGTGGAAATGTAAGTCCATTAAACCTCTTTCTTTTGTAAATTGCCAAGTCTCAGTCAGTTATGTCTTTATCAGCAGTGTGAAAACAGACTAATACACCTTTGTTCCTTTTTTCTCTCATTATTTATTGTTGCAGTTTGGTGGTTTTCTTTAATGGTGATGATTGAATCCTTTCTCCTTTGTGTGTCTGCGCTACCATGAGTTTTATACTTTCATGTATTTTCATGATGGTAGAAATTGTTCTTTTTCTTCCCAGTGTAGGACTCCCTTAAGCATTTTTTGTAGGACCACAACAAACAAGACACAAACAAACAGTCTTTTGCTTATCTCGGAAATATTTTTTCTCTTTTTTAAGCAATGGAGTCTCACTCTGTCACCCAGGCTGGAGTACAGTGGCATGATCATAGCTCACTGCAGCCTTGAACTCCTGGGCTCAAAGGATCCTCCTGCCTCAGCCTTCTGAGTCTCTGGAATTGCAGATGTGAGAAACAGTGCCAGTCTTCTTCATTTGTGAAGGATAGCTTTGCTGGGTATAGCATTTTTGCCTTACTTTTTTTTTTTTTTTTTTAACTTGTAGTATACATCCCCTTTTCTCCTAGCCTGAAAGGTTTCTGCTGAGAAATCCCCTGTTAGCCTGATGGAGATTCTCTTATAAGTGACTTGATGCTTTTCTCTTGCTGTTTTTAGCATTTTCTCTTTGTCTTTTGACAATTTTACCATAATGTGCCTTGGAGAAGACCTTTTTGAGTTGTATTTATTTGGTAATCTTTGAGCTTCCTGTATTTGGAAGCTTTCAGGAAGTTTTCAGTTATTATTTTATTAAATAGGTTTTCTATGCCTTTACCCATCTCATCTCCATCCAGAACTCCCAGAATTTCAGTTTTTGGTCACATATGTGTCCCATATGTCATGTAGCCTTGCTTCATTCTTTTTTCTTTCTTTTTGTCTGACTGAATTATTTTAAAAGACTAGTCTTCAGGTTCAGAAATTCTTTTGTTTTGCTTGATCTAGCCTATTGTTAAAGCTGTCAATTATCTTTTGTATTTCTTTCAATGATTTCATCTCCTCCAGGATTTGTGTTTGGTTCTTTGTTATGCTGTCTATCCCTGTTGAATTTCTCATTCAGATCATGAATTATTTTCCTGATTTTTTTGTATTCATTATCTGTGCTCTCTTATATCTCCCTGAGTTTCTTTAATATCATTATTCTGAATTTTTTTCAGGTATTTCATAGATTTTCTTTTCATTGGAATCTGTTGCTGGAGAATTATTGTGCTTCTTTGGCGATGTTATGTTTCCTTTTTAATATTTCTTGCATTCTTATGTGACTATCTGTGACTCTGACATAGCAGTCACTTCTTCCAATTTTCTGGGTTGGCTTTTATATGGGAAAGAGCTTTTCTTATAGCTGTATCTACAGTGTTCATTGGATATCACACTTTGGCTTTGATTCTGGGTGGGCACAGTGGTATAGTCTGCATATGATTTCTTCAGCTGTAATTGGCATGAGTGGTGTCTGTGAGTTATTCAGTGGCTTAGACTGCAGTTTTTTTTGTTTGTGTGTTTGTGGTTGAGATGGAGTCTAGCTCTCTCACCAGGCTGGAGTGCAGTGACACAATCTAAGCTCACTGCAACCTCTGCCTCCAGGTTCAAGCGATTCTCCTGCCTCAGCCTCCTGAGTAGCTGGGACTACAGGCACGTGCCACCACGCCCAGCTAATTTTTGTATTTTTAGTAGAGACAGGGTTTCACCATGTTGGCCAGGCTGGTCTCGAACTCCTGACCTCATGATTTCCTGCCTCAGCCTCTCAAAGTGTTGGGATTACAGGTGTGAGCCACCATGCCCAGCCAGACTGCAGTTGTTATTGGAGGCTGTGGTGAGGCTTTGCTGAGGATGGAGATGCCTGGAAGTCTTGTCCTTCAGCATCAGTGGTAGTGGTGGTAGACCAGGTGTGTCAATACTAGGGACCATGGGCAGTGTATGTGGGCACTGATGATAGCCTGTCTGCATGGGCCAATCCCTGGGCCTCCAGGTGGCTTCTTTGGTTGCTGGCAGTGGCAGCACTGGGCCAGGTGGGCAGGTGCGCCACTGGGCTCCTGGGTGGTGTGTGTGGCAGGCTGATCTCTAGTTCTCCAGGTGACATGCGCAGGTTCCGGTGGTGGGTAGGCAGGTGTTTCCTCAGGCCTCTCAGTAGTAAGTGTGAGCGCTAGCTCTGGAGGCAGTGTGAGTCAATCTCCAGGCCCCCAGATGGTACATTCAGGCACCAGCATATTCCTATGCATTTCTAGATAAAAGTATTTTTCAGAAAACCTGAGCATATGTCCTATTAATACCACTTACCCTCATCAGCTCTGCATGAGAAGAAGGGGGATTTCCCTCAGTAGAACAGTCAGAATGGAATCACAGACTTGTTTTGAGCCAGTCACTGGTAAGTGGGGGTAGGCTAAAATGTTAAGCTCAGAATCTCAACCTTAGACTAGGGAATGGCAAATGTTTTCCATAAAGAAGCAAACGGTAATATTTTAGGCTTTTGGTCTAGATAACCTCTGTTGCAGTGACGCAGTGGTGCCATCGTAGTCTAAAAGCATATGTAGACAAGGCATAAATGAATGGACCTGCTTTTATTCCAGTAAAACTTAATTTATACAAACAGTCAGAGGGCCAGATTTGGCCCTTGGTCTATAGTTTGCCAACCCTGTTTAGACTGGTCACAATTTATTCCCTGGGGCTGGGCCAATTTTTTCTTAAAAAAAAAAAAAAGTAAGCAACCCGCTGTCAGAATAAAATAGGGTTTCTATTTAAAAAGAAGAAGAGGCTGGGTGTGGTGGCTCATGCCTATAATCCTAGCACTTTGGGAGGGTGAAGCAGGAGGACTGCTTGAGGCCAGGAGTTTGAAACCAACTTGGGCAATATAGTGAGACCCTGTCTCTGCAAAGAATAAAAAAATTAGCCAGGCATGGTGGCACATGTCTGTAGTCTTAGCTACGTAGGAGGTTGAAGGGGAAGATCAGGGGAGACCAGGATTTTGAGGTTACTGTGAGCTCTGACTGTGCCACTTGTACTCTAGCCTAGGCAAAGAGTAAGACTCCGTTTCAAAAAAAAGAAAATGGTAATGGTTGGTTGGGGTGGGTTGGAGAAGAAAGTATTTCTGAATTTCTGGGTAGGTAACTGGTAGTGTCAGGCCAAAGTAGCTCTACAGTCTTATTCATTATAAATAAAGGCAACTAGAAGATCTCCATCTAGCTATTAAAAATTGGCAAAAATCTACAGAGATAAAGGATGGTGACCCTTGTATCAGTTAGTTATTGTCACAAAATGCTGTATAACATGTCACTCCAAATCTCAGTGGCTTAATACAACAGTCATTTATTTTCATGGAGCTATGGGTCAGCTGAGGATTGGTTAATCTAGCATGAGCATGTCTGGGAAGCTCGACTTTGCTCTTGGTGTCTCTTATCTTCTGCTGGAAGCAGCAGGCTGGCCTGGGCTTGTTCTCATGGTGACAGCAGGAGTGAGTGAGCACAAATGAATGCATACTTTCCAAGTTTTTGGTCATGCAGATTAATATTCCAGTGGCCAAAGCTAGACACATGACTAAACCCAACATTAGGGGCTGGAGAAATATACTCCGATTCTTCAGCGGGAGGCACTGCAGAGACAAATGGCAGAGTCTTGGATACAGGGAGGAAATGGATCCATTAATGTACCTTAATCAACAACAGCCCTCTAGCCACCAATGCAATTAAATAAGTATTTGTTGAATGCACTTGTGCCTGAATGCTTCTAGCTGCAGCCCAGGCAGTGCGGGCCTGACTGGGGAGGGACCATAGCAGGGACTCGATGTCCTGCAGGTCTGCATGTAATTGTGTACGGCGGACTCCATATTGGTCATGGCTGATTTGCTTTGTCCTGCGTCCCCAAGGGGCAACGATTGGCCGATTTTATTTCTGAACAATTTTGACAAAGTTGTTTTCAGGAGCCCAGGGGAAGCAAATCAGTTGTAGATTTGAATTTTGCAGGGGGTCAGAATTGTTGAATATATATATAGTCTTTTACATGCTGATAATTATTTCCATACCACAAAGAAGGCTAGCTATTAGGAGGCTGCTGTTCAATTCCTTTGCCCCGTGAGCTCATGAGCTGTGTCTATGTGGGGGCCACTCACTTGTTAGAGATATTTCCCTTCAGAATAACATTAACCAATATTCTAAATAAATGCAGGAAATTAAATAGTTTTCCCCAGACAGGTACTTTTCCCTTCTAAAGTGAATTACACATTGTAAAATAAAACACAGTCACATTAAAAAACCAAAAGGTCTTTGTGTTAGGTTGGTCTGGCATCAGCAAAGATATTTTCCTCCAGAGTAGAAGATCCTTTTAATGCACGATATTGCATGTGGCAGCCCCACATCTCGTTTCCTTTTTTTTGTTGTTGTTTTTAACTAAAAGAGTTGACAATTTTATTTTCATATTTCCCAATAGAAATGAATACTGCATCTTTTTGTCCCACTTCTCCCCTCCAAAACTATTCTCTTTGATAGGGCAAGGGGACAAGTCTTCCTTATGCTGTTAAGAAAAGCCGGCATCACAGCAGCATGATCTCCTGGTGAAGGGAGCAGGTAAATATAAAACTCATATAGGCCGGGCGCAGTGGCTCACACCTGTAATCCCAGCACTTTGGGAGGCTGAGGCGAGCGGGTCACGAGGTCAGGAGATTGAGACCATCCTGGCCAACATGGTGAAACCCTGTCTCTACTAAAATAAAAAAAATTAGTCGGGCATGGTGCACACGCCTGTAGTCCCAGCTACTCAGGAGGCTGAGGCAGGGGAATTGCTTGAACCCGGGAGGTGGAGGTTTCAGTGAGCTGAGATCGTGCCACTGCCCTCCAGCCTGGGCGACAGAGGAAGATTGTGTCTCAAAAACAAAACAAAACATTACAAACAAAGAAAACACAACAATAACAACAACAAAACAACACTGATGTATGAGGCCTCCCCTCTATCCTTATCTGTCTGGTCGAGTCATTCTGGGCTGACTGGGCACCATCATGAGATGGGCAGGAGGTCTCATCATTGGGCACCCAGGCATCATGGGCATGTGGCCTCCCATGGGCGGCCTCATTCCAGGAGCAGGTCCCACTGGCATCATCCCAGGAGGAGGAGGGCCCATCATTGGCATCATGGGAGGGCCCCCCATATGGGGTGCTGCCATCATTCTGAGATGTGCGAGAAGTGTCAAATACACATTAGATTGTGAAGACTTAATATAAAAAGAAAGCAAAGTATTTTGTTAATGTTAAAATATTTTATACTTGTAGACCTGGTATTTCGGATAGATTTGTTTAAATCTCTGATATTATTCCAATTACCTTCACTTCTTTTGTTTTACTTTTTAAAATGTGGTTACTACAAAATGCAAAAGTAAATATGTGGCTTGCATCATATTTCATCACATTTAGTGTGGACCCTGAGGATCTAGGGGAGTTATGAGCCTTAAGTTGAGGGTGACCCAGGTCAAAGTGAATTGCTCTGAAAGAGAAGCAAAGGGCATAAAGAGAATGTATAAATGGAGAGAGGGAGCTCAGTCTCACAGGGTGAGGAAAGGCTTTCTTTCTTACACAGTCTGGCACTTCTTCAAAAGCTTAAACACAGAGTTCTATGACCCACCACTTCCACTCCAGTTTATGAAACAAATGAAAATATATGTCCGTGCAGAAACTTGTACACAAATGCTCATAGCAGCATTATTCATAATAGCGCCAAAGTGAAAACAACACAAATGCTTGTCTACTGATGAGTGGAGAAATAGAACATGGTTTGACCATGCAATGGAATATTATTCAGTCATCAAAAGGAATGAAGTACTAACACGTGCTACAACACGGATGAACTATGAAAATATTATGCTAAGTAGAAGAAACTAGTCAGAAAAGGTCACATATTATAAGATTTCATTTATATGAAAAGTCCAGAACACGCAAATCTATGAAGACAGGAACCCTGTCTCTACTAAAAATACAAAATTAGATGGGCGTGGTGGCATAGCCCTGTAATTCCAGCTACTCGGGAGGCAGGAGAATTGCTTTAACCCGGGAGGTGGAGGTTGCAGTGAGCCGAGATTGTGCCACTGCACTCCAGCCTGTGACAGAGACTCTATCTCAAAAAAGTAAATTGTCAGGGCTTAGTGGGAGGAGGAAATGGCAGGTACCTGCTCATAGATACAGGGTTTCTTTTGGGGTGATGACAATGTTTTAAAATTGATCATGATGGTGGTTGCCGAGCTCTGTGAATGCACTGAAACCATTGATTTGTTTACTTTAAATTGGCAAATCATAAGGTACCTGAATTATATTTTAATAGTTATATTTAAAAAGTAAAATCTTCCTGGAAGAGATGACACTTAAGGAGAGGCCTAGGGGGTGGGATGAGTTCACTATGTGGAGAAATGAGGAACAGCATTTCAGGGTGAGGAACAGCATAGTGAAGTCCCTGAGGTTGATAGGCATACAGCAGATTTAAGGGACTTTTTTTTTTTTGAGACGGACTTTCACTCTTGACGCCCAGGCTTGGGTGGAGTGGTGCGATCCTGGCTCACTGCAATCTCTGCCTCCCGAGTTCAAGTGATTTTCCTGCCTCAGTCTCCCGAGTAGCTAGGATTACAGGTGCCGTCCACCACACGTGTCTAATTTTGGGATATTTAGTAGAGATGGGGTTCCACCATGTTGACCAGGCTGGTCTCGAACTCCTGATCTCAGGTGATCCACCCGCCTCAGCTTCCCAAAGTGCTGGGATTACAGGCGTGAGCCACTGCGCTCAGCCAGATTTAAGGGACTTTCAAGAAGTTTCTGTGGCTGAAGCCTGCAGGGCAAGCGAGAGAATCAGGAAATGAGGCTGGAGAAAGACAGGGGCTAGGTCATAGAGGGTCTCACATTAGGGTGTGGAAACTTCACACGAGTGGTCCCACCTTGGGCATCCCACGTAACTACTCTCTGTCCCAGCTTCCCCACTGGTGAAATAAAGGGCTGATGTAGGGATGGACTGAGATAGTGTGTGCTCAGAAAAGGTGACCTTTTATCGTTGTTGTTTTTTTTTTTCCGAGATGGAATCTCATTCTGTCACCCAGGCTGGAGTGCAGTGGCGCGATCTCGGCTCACTGCAAGCTCCACCTCCCGGGTTCACGCCATTCTCCTGTCTCAGCCTCCGGAGTAGCTGGGACCACAGGCGCCCGCCACCACACCCGGCTAATTTTTTTGTGTTTTTAGTAGAGACGGGGTTTCACCGTGTTAGGGAGAATGGTCTGGATCTCCTAACGTCGTGATCCGACCGCCTCGGCCTCCCAAAGTGCTGGGATTACAGGCGTGAGCCCCCGCGCCCGGCCGAGCTTTTATCATTGTTAACCCACACAGCAGAGGGAGCCATTGAAAGTTGAGTGATCTGTTTGGATGCACCTTCTGAAGTGATTGCTTTGGTCCCTGTGAGGAGTGCAGATTGTCACAGGGCCAGGGAAAAGCAGAGGCCAGTCTGGAGGCATTTGCAGTCAAACAGCTGGAGGTGATGGTGGCTTGGTTTATGGTGGTGTCAGGAGAGTGGCTGAGCAGTGAAGGATATGAGAGATTTAGGAGGTAAAACCTACGTGACTTGGTCACTGAATGTGAGTTGTGTGGGCTGGAGGAAAGGTAAGAAAGAATGAGAAGAAAGACATACGCAGGTGGGCCCTCCAGCCTAAGGTTACTTGAGGTCCCTTTGTGAAGAGGAATGTTTGTGTTGATGATGAAGATGTCTAGACTTTGAAAGGCCATTTGCAGGACTTTTTTTTTTTTTTTAACAGCCAACAACTCCTCCTTCCCTGTGCCCTAAATATATGAATGTTTTTTGACCTAATTTATCACAGAGGGATGGACGTTCATTTGCTTTAATGAGAAATGCGGAATGCCATTAAGAAAGCATATTAAATTAATCTGGATTGCTGGGAGGGAGTTAAATCTGTTTAGATGTGCACCAGTGTTACTATAATAGTTTGGTCTCAACCCATTTCTGGCCTGCGGCTGCAGGAGGTTGACTCCCAGCTTGCTTTCATTTGAAAGATCCCAGCTACAAGCACATTTGGCATTTCCAGCCAAATCCACTTTGTGCAGTGAAGGAAAAGTTGAGGAGTGCCTCTGTTGTTTTCCCCCAAATCATTAGGCAGAAATGTGGCTGGGAGCTTCATTGCTGATTTTTTCAGTTTTAATATTGCTGTGGAAAGCCTGTACCAACACTCAGCCATGTTATTAATCCACAGCTCCAGTCTGGGCTGTGATTTGTTTTTCCTTTGAGTGACACAACCTTATTTTCCATTAAGACTCAATGCAAATAGACACTCATGCACCATCACCATCACTCCCCCTGATTGGTGGAGGGAAGTCAATGGAATGATCCTAGTTTGGTGTTCATATCGGAGGGTTTTATTTATTTATTTTGAGACGGAATCTCCCTCTGTCACCAGGCTGGAGTGCAGTGGTGCGCTCTCGGCTCACTGCAACCTCTGACTCCCTGGTTCAAGCGATTCTCCTGCCTCAGCCTCCCGAGTAGCTGGGCTTACAGGCTTGTGCCACCACGCCCGGCTAATTTATTGTATTATTAGTATAGACGGGGTTTCACCGTGTTAGCCAGGATGGTCTTGATCTCCTGACCTCGTGATCCGTCCGCCTCGGCCTCCCAAAGTGCTAAGATTATAGGCGTGAGCCACTGCGCCTGGCCTGGAGTTGTTTTTAAAACCACATTTCTCTGAAATTAACTCCGGGGTGTCCCACTGTGACTAGGGCAAAGGTTTGGATTTTCTGGAGGTGGAAAGTCAAACTTCAAGTAGAATTTGGAGGCTGCCACTGTGGTTCATGCCTGTAATCCCAGTACTTTGGGAGGCTGAGGTGGGTGGATCATTTGAGGCCAGAAGTTCAAGAACAACCTGGGCAACATTATGAGGCCTCGTTTCTACTAAAAATACAAAAATTACCTAGGTGTGGTGGTACATGCCTGTAATCCCAGCTACTTAGGAGGCTGAGGCAGGAGTTATTGCTTGAATCTGGGAGGCAGAGATGTCGTGTCCAAATCCCATGAGGCGTATCAGCTGGCTGAAGATAAAATCGGTCACGCTGTGTTGGGATTGGGGTTGCTGTTATCATCCCTCATCCCCACCCCTGCTAGGCATCCACAAACAGTCAACTTCAATGAGACATCCCTCCTGCCCCTGGCTGCCTTATTTCATCTGCACCCAACCATATCCATTGCTTGTCACTGGGTCTCAACCTTGGCTGCACCTTGGAATCTCCTGGGGAGATGAGACAATACCAAGGCTCTCTCTCACTTAGCGTGATGTTTCCAAGGTCCATCCACATGTGGTAGGCACCAATACTTTCACTGTATGGATACAGCACATTTTGTTTATTCATTCATCAACCAAATGGCCATCTTGGTTGTTGCTACCTTTTGGTTATTATATATATTACATGATTCCATTTATGTGAAAGGTCCAGAATAGGCAAATCTGTAGAGGCAGAAAACAGGTAAGTGGTTGCCAGGAACTGGGGGAAAGGGGAGGGGATGGAGAGTGCTTGATTGGATACAGGGTTATTTTTTGGGGGGGCTGGGGGTGTTAATGAAAATGTTTTGGAACTAGACAGAGATGATGATTGCTTAACATTGTGAATGTATTTAATGATACCGAAGTATATGGTTTCATACAGGGACTTATGTGTTATGTGAATTTTGCCTCATTAAAAAAATACTGCTAGGAGCAATGGCTCATGCCTGTAATCCCAGCACTTTGGGAGGCCAAGGCAGGTGGATCACCTGAGGCTGGGAGTTGGAGACCTGCCTGGCCAACATGGTGAAACTCTATTAGAAATACATAAATTATCCTTTCACATCTTTGGGGGGTAATTTTTACAATGCAGTCTAACAACCAGCTGCCTCAAAATGAACTGGGATCCCTCATAACCAGGTAGCTCCCCCATCTCCAACTCTCACCTGCCAAGTCAGAATCTTGCAGGTGGGTTCGAGGACTGTACATATTGAAACAGACAGTAACCTGGGAACTGTTTCTGAACACCCCTATGTTTCCCCTGTGTTTGCTCTTTCCTTTCACGTTTGGACCCCTTTGTGTGCTGACCACTGGGCTGTTTCACGTAGACATAACATAAATAAGACAAGCCAGGTGCAGTGGCTCATGCCTGTAATCCCAGCACTTTGGGATGCCGAGGTAAGCAAATCACTTGAGGCCAGGAGTTCAAGATCTGTCTGGCCAACATGACGAAACCCCATCTCTACCAAAAATATGAAATTAGCTGGGTGTGGTGATGTACACCTTTGATCCCAGCTACTCAGGAGGCTGAGGCTGGAGAATCCCTTGAGCCCAGGAGGCAGAGACTGCAGTGAGCCGAGATCGCACCATTGCACTCCAGCCTGGGTGACAGTGAGAGTCTTAAAAAAAAAAAAAAAAAAAAAAAGACAAAGATAGTCCTTCCTTTATGGAGCTCTCAGTAAAACAAGAAAGCTCACGATGTCCTGGCATTTGTCAGAAATACATTTGGTATATGCAGCTGGGGTCACATGCTTGACATGCCTATTGAAAGCTTCTGGGTAGGAAGAGAACAATCATCACAGCATCACAGCCTGGCATAACTGTCTCCCAGGACAGGTCTCCCTGGGGAGACTGAGACCACACCTCTGAAATCAGAGCTCAAATCCAGGTTCTACATTTCGCTCAGTAATGTA